>NC_000013.11:98127979-98752979 GCF_000001405.40 Homo sapiens
AGAGACGAGGTTTCACCATGTTGGCCAGGCTGGTCTCGAACTCCCGACCTTGTGATCCACCCGCCTCAGCTGCCCAAAGTGCTGGGATTACAGGTGTGAGCCACTACGCCCGGCCAGAATAATATTTTTAATAAATGTATATTATGATTAGGCTTTGTATCCCCACTCAAATCTCATCTTGAATTATAACCCCCAGATGTTGAGGGAGAGTCCTGGTGAGAGGTGATTGGATTATGGGAGCAGTTTCCACCAGGCTGTTCTCATGATAGTGAGGGAGCTCCTATGAGATCTGATGGTTTTATAAATGGCAGTTTACCCTGGGGTTCTCTCTCTCATCTGCTGCCATGTAAGCTGTGCCTGCTTCCCCTTCCACCATGATTGTAAGTTTCCTGAGGCCTGCCCAGCCATGAGGAACTGGGAGTCAATGAAACCTCTTTCCTTTATAAATTACCCAGTCTCAGGTATTTCTTTTTAGCAGTGTGAAAATGGGCTAATACAATGTAGTAGCCTAAGTGTACAGTGTTTATGTAGTCTACAGTTGATATGCTTTGTCTCTGTGTCCCCACCCAAATCTCATCTTGTAGCTCCCATAATTCCTATGTGTTGTGGGAGGGACCCAGTGGGAGATAATTGAATCTTGGGGGTGGATTTCCCCATACTGTTCTCTTGGTAGTGAATAAGTCTCATGAGATCTGATGGTTTGATAAGGGGAAACCCGTTTCTTTTGGCTTTCATTTCTCTCTCTTGCCTGCTGCCATCCATGTGAGACATGACTTGCTCCTCCTTGCCTTCTGCCATGATTGTGAGGCTTCCCCAGCTGTGTGGAACTGTAAGTCCAATTAAACCTCTTCCTTTTGGCCGGGCGCAGTGGCTCTTGCCTGTAATCCCAGCACTTTGGGAGGACGAGGCGGGCAGATCATGACGTCAGGAGTTCGAGACCAGCCTGACCAACATGGTGAAACCCTGTCCTAAATACCAAAATTAGCTGGGCATGGTGGCGCACGCCTATAATCCCAGCTACTCAGGAGGCTGAGGCAGTAGAATTGCTTGAACCCAAGAGGCGGAGGTTGCGGTGAGCCGAGATCGTGCCATTGCACTCCAGCCTGGGCGACAGAGGGAGACTCTGTCTCAAAAAAAATAAATAAATAAAACCTCTTCCTTTTGTAAACTGCCCAGTCTTGGGTATGTCTTTATTAGCAGCATAAAAATGGAGTCGCATATAGCTATGTTCTAGACCTTCAACTCATTCACCACTCACTCACTGAGTGAGTCACCCAGAGCAGCTTCCAGTCCTGCAAGCTCCATTCATGGTAAGTGCCCTCTGCAGGTACACCATGTTTTAATCTTTTATACCATACTTTTACTGTACTTTTTCTATGCTTAGATATGTCTAGATATACATATACTTACTATTTGTTATGATTACCTACAGTTTTCAGTACAGTAACATGCTGTTCCAGTTGATGGCCTAGGAGCAACAGGCTGTACCATATAGCCTAGGTACATAGAAGGCTACACCATCTAGGTGGGTGTAAGTACATTCTGTGATGTTCACACAATGATGAAATCGCCTACTGATGCATTTCTCAGAATGTATCCCCGTCATTAAGCAAATCATGACTGTCATTAAATTCCAGAACTCTGAGTCTTTTCTTGTGTCCTGCACATTTTGCAGCCTCAGACATCATTCAGTGGCTTTTCTCTTTGGCCAATTACAGAGACCCCAAAGTAGAAGGAGTGGGTTTTGATATAGTATGTTTAACCCTTCCATGTTAGGAGAAAGGTGAGCTTGCTCCTGAGGATGAGGGCTGGGGAAGAAGCTGGGATGCCAGGTGTGACTGTACCAAGCTTTAGGTCCCAGTCGAAATCTCCCTCCCTTCTCCCAAGCAGGAATCATTTCCTTTGCAGTTCCTTCCCAACCCACCCTCACCCCTACCCTGGTCTGATCTACTAGGGAGATTCATATTCTCTGTATTAACATAACTTTGATTCTAGTTTTGCTAAAAATACTCTGGATTTATTTTGCTAAGACAGCATTTGCCCCTCCTCCTCCCAATGCTCTCTCCACAGTTACATTATAAAACTTGTTGGGTTAATTGACAATAAATTGTGTCATTTACAAGTCAACCTTTTGTAATTCCTTATCATTTAGGACAATAGAGAAGACTCAGTTTACCCATCATGAAAGCACTAAAAAAGAGAAGCTGCATAAAATGCACAAATATTTGAGCAAAGAGTGTTGAAAAGAACAATTGTGGAGTAAAACCTTGTGGGACCATCTTTTCCACTGCCTGCTGAGCCCTCCACCTGTTTCTTACCTCTTCAGGTCCTGGCTTAGTGTGCCTTCCCCCTAGAAGTGAATAAGGCTTCTTTTGTCATATCCACATGGGTGGGCTTGGTGCACTTGTGATGTGGTGCCTCCTGTTAATTCACCTGTCATCCCGGCTGCACCGTCAACGCTCATGGACGGGGGCCTCCTAACACAGACCTTGATGTCTTTTCAACATGAAATGGATGATGGGTATTTTTTTTGAGATATTCAGGTTTTCAAAAGCCAAAACCCTAAGTATGTTCAGTGTTCTGTGGGAATAGAGGAGCCAGAAGTCGTGCCTCTGAAGGAAAAGAGAAAAGAGAAGGGATTCCCTTCAAGCTAAAACGGAAGGAGGGGTCTGTGGTCTTGCAGACAGCAGGGACCCCCCCTCATCTGCGGTTCCCAGCCTTGCTGGCAGTTCGCTTGCCCTAAGCAGGGCCTGGAAGTTGCGGCGCAGGTGCACGGACCTGACATGCAGCTGGGACTGTGGTCCTCAGAGGGTCTCCTGACACCCTGATGCTACCTGAGTTGCTGGAACTCTACTGTCCAGCAAGACGTCCAGCGAAGGGGGTGCAGTAAGCCCCGCAATGGCTGGGGCTGAGTTTTTTCCTGCCTGGTGGAAAGAAGTTTGGAATATAAATTAATTTAAGTGATATTCTTTGCATGCCTGAATTTGGAAATGTAGTTATTTAAATGGGAAACAAATATAGAGTGCTTTCACCATGGGAAAAACATCAAAGTTCTTAATTCTACCACGAAAAAAAAAATCAAAGTCACAAGTTAATTACAGTGTGAATCTGTTTTGATGACTAATTTGTGAGAACTGAAGAAAAATGTAGAAGTAATCAGCATCAAATTACATTAAGATGGTCAATGAGATCATCCGGGGAGATAGGTGGTAGAAAGTTATTTCCATGACTAGATCATAAATACTGGAATGGGAAGATTATTGAGAAAATGAAAGGTCTTTCTTCAGAAATGCTTTAAAACACAAAAGATTGATACCTCTGTCCAGCAAGGCGCCTCAGGAATCGACTAGATGCCATTGGAAAGTCCTTATTAGGGCTTCTAATTTACACAGAAAGAAACCAAACTCAATAAGAGAACAGGCACACACAAAGAAGCTCTCAAGTCAGAAAAGGCTTTGGAAGAATCATAAAGAGGGGATCATGGTTTGTTTTTTTTTTCTTCAGGTGGTGGAAAAAATGCCAAAAGTACTAAGATTACATATATAGGAGCATAGATTCAAAGAATATGTTAGAAAATTATCAGTTTGGGGCCAGGCGCGGTGGCTCATGCCTGTAATTCCAGGACTTTGGGAGGCTGAGGCGGGCGGATTACCTGAGGTCGGGAGTTTGAGACCAGCCTGACTAACATGGAGAAACCCCATCTCTACTAAAAATACAAAATTAGCCGGGCATGGTGGCACATGCCTGTAATCCCAGCTACTCGGGAGGCTGAGGCAGGAGAATTGCTTGAACCTGGGAGGCGGAGGATGCGGTGAGCTGAGATCGTGCCATTGCACTTCAGCCTGGGCAACAAGAGCGAAATTCCATCTCAAAAAAAAAAAAAAAAGAAGAAGAAAAAAGAAAATTAGCAGTTTGGAGAAGCTTAATGCAAGGAAAATGCAAAAAGTATGAAATGACAGTTTAATTACTACCAATGATGGCGCAATTGCACATCAATATCCATAAAAAAGAAGTACATAGGAATGTTGGTAGAAAGACTTCTATTATAATGTAATTTTGAAATGTATATCCTGGTGCTTTCATTCTTTCATCTATTAGACATGTTTTACATATCATAGGCATTCAATTAGTATTAGCAGAATGACTAAGATATGGTGTATCACCTCTTGGGGCGAGTGAACAGCCTGAGTCCCTTTTGTCAAGGATGAAGAAGGGCTTTCACCTCTTGGTCTGTCCACCTGTTCACCCACCTCCTTATTCTTCCTCAGAAAAATTGCTAACTTGCGGGGCGTGCTTATATCATCTATGCAGCTAGTGGGCCAAAACAGAACATTGGGCCACAGCTGAATATTGTGGAGCACAGTTCACCTGTGGGCTACAAATGAACATTGATAGAAGAGGAACTACAAAAGGGTCTTAAACATGGGAAAACGCACAAGTTCACAAATGGGAGAGAAAAGCAAACTCCAGTATACTAAGACATCTTTTTTTTTTGAGACGGAGTCTTGCTCTGTCACCCAGGCTGGAGTGCAGTGGCGTGATCTTGGCTCACTGCAGCCTCTGCCTCCCGGGTTAAAGTGATTCTCCTGCCTCAGCCTCCCAAGTAGCTGTGATTACAGGTGTGCACTGCCATGCCTGGCTAAGTTTTGTTTTTTTAGTAGAGACGAGAGACTAGGTTTCACCATGTTGGCCAGGACGGTTTTTTTTTTTTTTTTTTTTTTTGAGACGGAGTTTTGCTCTGTCGCCAAAGCTGGAGTGCAGTGGTGTGATCTCAGCTCACTGCATCTTCCACCTCCCGGGTTTAAGCAATTTTCTGCCTCAGCCTCCTGAGTAGCTGGGACTACAGGCACCCACCACCACGCCTGGCTAATTTTTTTGTACTTTTAGTAGAGCCGGGGTTTCACCATCTTAGCCAGGCTGATCTTACCACACCCCGCCTAGGAAGGTCTTGATCTCCTGACCTCAAGATCCGCCTGCCTCTGCCTCCCAAAGTGCTGGGATTACAGGTGTGAACCACAGAGCCCAGCTGAGACATCATTTTTTAACCTATCAGACTGGCAAACAACTTAGAAGTGTGACAGCCTACTCTGGTGAGGTGGTTGGGGGTGGGATACCGGGAGCGAAGAAGAATCTCATGTTGCTGGTATAAGTATCAATCGCAATCACCCCATGGAGGACAATTTTGTGATGTTTATCAAATTACAAATGTACAACATTTTGACCCTGGGATTCTGCTTGTAGGAATTTATCCTGCAGTTATATTAGTATCTGTGCAAAATGACATGAACAGGGTTATCCATGGAAGCATTTGGATATAATATCAACTAGGAAACAATTTAAATGCCCATCAATAAGTAATTCTTAAAGTAAATTATGGTGTGCCTATATAATGGAATACTATGTAGATGTAAAAAAAAGAGAGAGAAATTGATATGAAATTATTTAAGCATCGATATGAAATTATTTCCGACATTTTCCTGGGAAAAAAATAGCATGAAATTCTATATTTGCTGTTAAAAAAACAACATATATCTGGGTTGGCTTGAATTCTCTAGAGAGATAAAGAAGAAGCTAAAAGATAAACATGTCTTTTTCTGGAAAGATAAAGAAGCAGCTGTAAAGATAAAGAGGTGACCTGTTTGGAGGTAGGGCAGATAGCAGCAACAGGTGAACAGGGTAAGAGGAAAGCTTTTCATGAACTATCTTTTAATAGAGTTTGATTGGAATTCTATCTTTAGAATTAGAGGATGAGGATGACGTTAAGGCGCCATGTTTGCGCTCTCCATCTGTGCTCACTCACTCTTGCCTGAGTTTCGTGCAGCTTGGGGTCATGCGGAGAAGGGTGAATCCCCGCACCATTTGGATTTAGGTTCTGAGCTAAGCCTCTGCTCCAGCCTGGCCCTCCCAGAGCTAGGGTGATTGTCCTGGGCCAATAATTCTCAATCTGGCCGTATGCTAGAATCTCCTAGCGAGCTTTAAAAGATCCTAATGCCCAGGCTGCACCCCAGACCAGCGACATCAAGATCTCTGGAAGGGGAGGAGCACCTAGGCATCAGTGCATTATCAAAGGTCCCCAGGCCATTCCAGTATGCACTCAAGTTTGAGAACCAGTGGCTTGTTTAAAGAATAACTTCCTCATTTCACATGCACTGTCATGCTCTGTCTCTTTCTTTCTGCCTCTGGGACTTCCCAGGGATCTAAAGTGACGAGCAGGGCAGTGTTTAAGCATTTAAACTTTAGTAGCCTTAGTAGCCTCTGACTTTAGTAGCCTTAAATACCATGTGAGTCTATCCTGAGCTATCTGTAACTAGCAATTGTTAAAAAAAAAAAAAAAAAGAAGACACTTGAAAGAATATTAGAGTCCTCCAGTTAGAACCAGTTTGATGAATCAAAGATTAATACCATGAATTGAATTTAGAAATTCCTTAAGAAATTAGTGTTAATATATACAGAATATATTCGAATTTATGATGATGATCTTTTTCTTCATTTACAGCAAGAAATTTGTAGTTGATACAGCAATTAATCAGGTGATAATAGGGCTGAAGGTAATATTTTTTCTGACATTTTATTTTTAACACCTGTATTGAGATATAATTTACATACCATAAAATTTACCCACCACACAATTTACCCATTTTAAGTGTACAATCCAGCTTGGCATGGTGGCTCACACTAATACCAGCACTTTGGGAGGCCGAGGCTGGTGGATCACTTGAGGTCAGGAGTTCAAGACCAGCCTGGCCAACATGGTGAGCCCCATCTCTACTAAAAATACAAAAATTAGCCGCACATGGTGGTGTGCACCTGTGATCCCAGCTACTCGGGAGGCTGAGGCACAAGAGTCACTTGAACCTGGGAGGTGGAGGTTGCAGTGAGCCAAGATCACGCCACTGCACTCCAGCCTGGGTTACCAAACAAGACTCCATCTCAAAAAAAAAAAAAGGTGTAAAATTCAGTGGCTTTTAGTATATTTAGAGTTTCACAATCAACTCCACAATTTTAGAACATTTTCATCACTCAAAAAAGAATCCTTGTACCCACTAGCATTCACTTCCCATTCTCCTCCAACTCCCCAGCCTCTGGCAATCTCTAATCTACTCTGTCTCTACAGATTTGCTGACTCTTGATCTTTTCTAGAAATAGAATTATATACTATAAGGTCTTCTGTGTCTGGCTTCTTTCACTTATGATGTTTTCAGGGTTTATCCATGTTGTAGCATGCGTCAGTACTTTCTTTTTATTGCCAAATAATATTCCATTGAATAGATACACCATATTTTGTTTGTCCATTCATTATTTAATGGACTTCCAGGTTGTTTCTGCTTTCTGGCTACTTTGAATAATGCTCATATGAATTTGTGGACATGTTTTCATTTCTCTTGAATATATACCTAGGAGTAGAATTCATCATTTTATTATAAAACGTTCAAACATACAACAAAGTTGAATTTTACAGTGAATGTCCCTCTAGTCACCACTACAATTCTATTAAAATTTTAATCTACTTCTTTTGTCACATATCTGTCAATCAGCCTTTTTATTTTATTTTTGAGATCGAGTCTTGCTCTGTTGCCCAGGCTGGAGTGCAGTGGCGTGATCTCGGCTCACTGCAACCTCCACCTCCCAGGTTCAAGTGATTCTCCTGCCTCAGCCTTCCGAGTAGCTAGGATTACAGGCGCCTGCCACCACGCCCGGCTAATTTTTTGTATTTTTAGTAGAGATGGGGTTTCACCATGTTGGCCAGGCTGGTCTCAAACTTCTGACCTCAGGTGATCCACCCACCTTGGCTTCCCAAAGTGCTGGGATTTCAGGTGTAAGCCACTGAGCCCAGCCAAATTTTAGCTTTCTTATTGGGTGTGTGGTACTCAATGCATTTCTGGACAACAAAAATACTTCAGGTAGTCATCAACAATGACATACCTTCCCTTTATGTATCATTTCTTTCTCTGAGATGAGAATCAAAGGGCAAGATCGTAGGCCAGACTGAAAATGATTTCAGTCTATGACCTTCTTTTGCTTCCCTTCTGAAGTTCTCCTTTTGAAAGTGAAGTGAAAAATAAATGACCTGAAGTCTTCACTTTTTATCCTATCCTATTTTCTATCCTAAAAAAGTGCATTTTGAATGCTTTCTCCAGTTGTCCTAGATTTTTGAATATGGAGGCACAACACAGGATCATGGCTAAGAGGGTGGCCTCTGAAGCTTGACTGAGTCTGAATCTCTTTCTTGGCTGTGTACTGTGTGTGACCTTGAGTAAATTACTTAGCCTCTCTGTGTCTCAGTTTCTCCTTTGTAAAATGGAAATAATAATACAAGTCCAAAAAGTTGAAGTTGAAGGTCAAAATGTCAGCACTCTTTTTTTTTTTTTGAGACAGAGTCTGGCTCTGTCATCCAGGCTGCAATGTAGTGGCGTGATCTCGGCTCACTGCAACCTCTGCCTCCCGGGTTCAAGCAATTGAGCCACCATGCCTGGCCCAAAATGTCAGCAATTCTAATCAAAATTGTAATATGATTATTTTCAGAGCTTAACAAAATGATACCAAAATTCATGTGGAAAAACAAACATGTAAGACTAGCTGGGAAAACTTTTGAAATTAACAATAATTATGGGGTCCAAGCAGTATCAGATAGTAAAATACATTATGAAGCCATAAACACAAACATTTTGGTAACTGGCACAGGGATAGGCAGATAAGTAGAAAAGAATATTCATAGAAAAGCGGATCCTAAGGTAGGACAAAGTTGGCATTTTAAACAGGTATGGAAGATGAAAGTAAGATGGGTTTTCAAATCGTATCTGCTCAGCCATTTGGAAAAAAGATGTTGGAGGCATGTGTCATTTCTTATGCCAAAATAAGATATAGATCAATGATAAAATATAAAAATAAAACCATTAAAGTATAGAAACATGATGATTTTTTAAAACATCTTGCATAGAGAAGACATTTCCAAGCATGACACAAAAATGTGAAAGCATAAAAGTAAACACTGACAAATCTGACAACATAAAAATTAAGAACTTGTTGTGAAAAAGAGTACCATATTAAAAAACGTAAAAAATATTCATTACATGATAGCAAAGGGCTAATTTCCTTAACATATAAAACATATTAAGAGTTAACAAAAAAAGATAACTCAATGGCAAAATGAGCAAAGCACATGAAGGGCAGTTAATGGATAAATGCCAATGAATAATTTTTAAAATAATGAGATTTTGTTTTTGCCTGTAAGACTGACAAATATGCCTGGGAGCGGTAGCTCACGCCTGTAATCCCAGCACTTTGGGAGGCCGAGGTGGGCAGATCACGAGGTCAGGAGATTGAGACCATCCTGGCCAACATGATGAAACCCTGTTTCTACTAAAAATAAAAAAATTGGCTGGGTGTGGTGGTGCATGCGTGTAATCCCATCTATTTGGGAGGCTGAGGCAGGAGAATCGCTTGAACCGAGGAGGCAGATATTGCAGTGAGCCTACATCGCACCACTGCACTCCAGCCTGGGTGACAGAGTGAGACTCCATCTCAAAAAAAAAAAAAAAAAAAAAAAAGACTGACAAATATTAAGTTTGCCAATATCCAAAGTGGGCTAAAGAATGATCATTCTCAAGCATGGTTAGTGGGTTCATTTATTGTTCCATAGTAAGTCATGCAAAGCTTAATGGCATGAAATTACCAGTTTATGGGATTGGGAATTTGGAAAGAACACAGGGTTCTTCTCTGTCCATGGTGTCCTTAGGTGGTATGACCCAAAAGTCTGGGGTGGTTGGGATGGCTGGGAACAGGGACAGTGGGAGCTGGAGAACTCATTCTGAGGTGGCTTCTTCACTCACGTTCTGACACGAGGGATGGGATGATTGAAAGACCAGCTCATCTGGGACTGTCAACTGGAACATCTCCAAATGAGCCTCTTGAGTATGACAGTCTCAGGATTGTTGGGACTTCTTACATGGCCACTCAGATCTCCAAGAACAAGTGTATGCAAAGAACAAGTTAAAAGCAGCATGGCTTATTCTGACCTAGCTATGAAAGTCACATCACGTCCACTGTATTCTATTGACCGTAACAGTTATGAGCCTGTCTAGATTCAAAGGGCATAGACATAGATCTGAACTCTCAGTGGGAGGAGTGTACGATAATTTGTGGCCATGTTTTAAAATCTCTACAGTGGAAGAATAAATTTTTGCAGTGTCTTTGAAGTACAATTTTGCAATATCTACCAAATTTTAATATGCAACTATCTTTTGAACCAAAGGCATCCCACACAGATAGTCCCCGGAATCCTATCCTCTACCTCCCCCACTCTCTCCTTAAGCTGTTCTCCATCTGGCTTCTGTCACCACCAGTGCTGCCCCTTCCCCTCCAAGGTCTTGATTCTTTGCAGAAGAATAAGGTCTTACCTCCAGATCCCAACTAATACCTCATAAGTTCTCCAACCTCAGATGTCTACTTCATGTCAGTTGCTTTCTCTGTAGCTCAGTTTCTGCTGGTTCCATTAAGGGCTGCTGAAACTGAGCTCAAAATCCCAAGATTTCCCACCAGCTACACAAGGAGATTCATATTCTTCCTGTTGACACGACTTTGAAACTGCTCATCCTAATATTCTTCCTCCTACCACATTATGCTGTGTTATCTATTGCTGCAAAACAGGTTATTCCAAAATGTGGCTTAGAAGAACACTTATCATCTCATACTTCCTATGGGTTAAGACTCTAGAAATTGCTTAGTTGGGTCCTCTGGCTTTGGGTTCCTCATGACACTGACATCACTTCAAGTCTCAGCTGGAAAGGACTTGTGTATCACATGGTTGTTGGCAGAATTCAGTGCCTCCAGGGCTGTTGGAGTAAGGCTTCCCTCTGTTCCTTGCCACTGTGGGTCCTCCATAGGACATCTTACAACATGGCAGCTGGCTTCATCAAAGTGAGCAAATGAGAGGGCAAGACCGTATCAGTAAGAAGTTATGGGCCTGGCGCGGTGGCTCACGCCTGTAATCCCAGCACTTTGGGAGGCTGAGGCGGGTGGATCACGAGGTCAGGAGTTCAAGACCAGCCTGGCCAAGATGGTGAAACCCCGTCTCTACTAAAAATACAAAAATTAGCCGGGTGTGGTGGCACGCGCCTGTAATCCCAGCTACTCAGGAGGCTGAGGCAGAGAATTGCTTAAATCCAGGAGGCAGAGGTTGCAGTGAGCCGAGATTGCACCACTGCACTCCAGCCTGGACGACAGAGTGAGACTCCGTCTAAAAAAAAAAAAAGTTACAGTGCTCTGTGACCTAATCACAGAAGTGACACTGCCTTCCTTTTCTGTATTCTATCCATTAGCAGCGAGTCACTAGGTCACACTCAAGGCAGGGGGATTACACAGAATGAGCCCACCACAAATGCTACAAGCAGATCTCTTTCCGCCTTGGGTTTTAATACAGGCTGCCTCAGTTACTGTCAGTGCATACTGTCACGTCCAGAGAGCATCATCACCCTAAACCCAGGTTCTCCGAAAGGTGATGTGTTGAAGGGGAGGGAACTATGGAATAAAAAGTTGTGTTTCACTGTGACGTGTGATCTCTTAATATGAAAGATTTGCTTGCCCCCACACACTTTTGTATATGAGCAGAAAATTCCTGAAAGACTGTAAAAACTGTTGGGAAAATTATTTCTAAGAAGCGAGATTAGGGATGCAGGAAGGGTTCCTTCTAGGTTTCACTTCATACTCTTCTATACTGCTTAATTTTATCTTGACATGTACACACGTTTTACAGTAAAACAGTTAAAATTAATAAGAGGAATTGTTAAGCACAGGGTGATTCCTTAATCCAGAAAGATTTCTAAATAACCCATGCCACAGCTTGGGATAAAAGGGGGATCTAGGGGGATTATACATTTTTATATTCTGAAAGTTAAGCATAAATGACACACAATGACAAGGAAACGCCTAAGTTTTTCAGAAGTTGATTTTCCAGGTTCAGGATTTTCGAGGCCAGGTACCCCTGGCTTTTCAGGGAGAGGAATTTAAAAAGTGCTTTCTGGCCAGGCACGATGGCCTTATGCCTGTAATCCCAGAACTTTGGAAGGCCAAGGCAGGGGGATCACTTGAGCCTAGGAGTTCGAGGCTGCAGTGAGCTATGTTTGTGCCACTGCACTCCAGCCTGGGCAACAGAGCGAGACTCCTTTTTTTTTCTTTCTTGAGACGGAGTCTCGCTCTGTCGCCCGGGTTGGAATGCAGTGGTGTGGTCTCGGCTCACTGCACGCTCTGCCTCCCGGGTTCACGCCATTCTCCTGCCTCAGCCTCCCAAGTAGATAGGACTACAGGCGCCGGCCACCATGCCTGGCTAATTTTTTGTATTTTTAGTAGAGACGGGGTTTCACCGTGTTAGCCAGGATGGTCTTGATCTCCTGACCTCGTGATCTGCCTGCCTTGGCCTCCCAAAGTGCTGGGATTACAGGCTTGAGCCACAGCGCCCAGCCAAGACCCTCTCTTAAAAGAAACAGTACTTTCTATCAGGTTAGGTACCAACCGCGGAATGTTGGTGAGAGCTGGGAGGAAACGTAGGAAGTTCTCTAGTGTGACCCCACCGCTTTACAGCCTCTCTAACTAGATTCCCAGAACTGCCCCTTCTCCCCTCTCTTTTCCCCCATTAACTCTCTCCCCATGGGCTCCTGCCCTCAGCCTGCAAACCTCAGAACGGCTCCTTTAAAAGTCACCTTCACAAATGTTGATAATGTTGAGATAAGGCAACATGGGATATTATGTATTATCATATTGATTAATATGATCAATATATTATGTGTTATGATCATAAATAGTTTTAAGATCACAACTAAATCTAATTCTAGACATACAAAGACTATGAAAGAAATGCTGTAACATGTAGAAAATGTCGGTCTTGCAAAGAGAGTGACTGGGAAAATGTCACTTTTCTAATTTTCTGCGCTTTCTATGATTTTTTGCTTTTATTATTTTTATGATTTTTTTTTTGAGATGGAGTCTCACTTTGTTGCCCAGGCTGGAGTGCAATGGCACGATCTCGGCTCACTGCAACCTCTGCCTCCCGGGTTCAAGCAATTCTCATGCCTCAGCCTCCCGAGTAGCTGGGATTGCAGGCGCGCACCACCACGCCCAGCTAATTTTTGTATTTTCAGTAGAGACGAGGTTTCCCCATGCTGGCCAGGCTGGTTTACAAGTTCCTGACCTCAGGTGATCCACCTGCCTCAGCCTCCCAAAGTATTGGGATTACAGGAGTGAGCCACCGCGCCCGGCCTAATTTTTTCCTTTTAGTTGGGAGGTATGACATAGCACTTTGCTACTACGTGTAGTCCTTGGACCAGCAAGTAACACCTGAGAGCTTGTTAGAAACAGTCTCAGACTTACTGAATCAGAATCTGCATTCCAACAAGATTCCCTGGTGATTCAGGTATACACTAGAGTTTAAAAAGCCGCCTACAGCAACTGTTCTCAAACCTGGCTACACACTGGAATCACCTGCGGAACTTTACTGATGCCTGGGTTAGAATCTTTATATATTTGGCTGGGGTGCAACCAGGGTGTTGTTTTTTAATCGCAGATGATTCCATGAGTTTGAGACCCACTGTCCTAACACTGTGATCCTCCAAGTGTGATCCCAGGACCAGAGCAACATCACTATCTGGGAATTTGTTAGAAATGCAAACTCTCAGGCCCCACCCCAAACCTACTGAATCGGCAGCTCTGGGGATGGAGCCTGACAGTCCTTTATCCCTGCAGGCGATTCAGATGCTTGCTAAGGTTTCATTAGGTAGGTCGGGGATGCGGCCCAAGAATGTTCATTTCTTGACGTTTCCAGGGGCTGCTGGTGGTGGTCGTGGTCTGAGAACCACACTTAGAGAATCACGAGCAGAAAAAAATCTGATCTGTGACACACAGCTGGTTGGGCTGACAGAGCAAAGCCTCAAACCCACCATTTCTTCTCTTCAACCACAGACCACCAAATCTGCAAGTATTACATCTCTGCTCCTCCCCAGGAGCTGCCCACAAGCACCCCCTACTTCCAAGACCCCTGTTCTTGTCTCAACCCGCCCTTCTATCAGGGTCCCTACACTCCACTTCTGCCCAGCTCCTGTCCAGCTGTGAGTTCACTTGAGGCCTCTCCCGTGAAATCTGCCCTCTCGGTCTGAGGTCAGGGAACTCCTGTAAGACGCAAAAGGCCCACGGTTCTGAGCCAGTGGCCTCCGAAGGCCGGAATCCGCTAGCCCCGGGTCTGGCAGAACGTCACTTGCTGCGCCCTAGGCCTCTTCCCGCCACGCTTAGAGAGAGGGACTGGAGGCTCAGAAGGGGGAAGAGAAGGTAACGCGGCAGCTGCTGGGTGGGGACGGTGACTGTGCCCCTAGATCGCTGCCTCCTGGGTCCTGAATCTTGCTCCCCGCTCCGTAGAGTTCCCGAAACCCCGAAGGCTCTCAAGCACCGCAAGCCACTCCTAACCTCCCCCACGCCATTCCCCAAGGGCACTGTCCCCCGAGGCTGGGCGGGCGGGAACTGTCATGGGATTCGCTCGGGCGGAGGGCGCTGGGCCAGGACGTGGGCGGGCGCGGGGTGGCCGCCGCTCCCCCAAGCTTAAGTCCCGCGCAGCCCGGGGTGGTGCCGGAAGCCCGTGCCTGTGGCTCCGGGGGAGGGGAGGGCTCGGTGGGTCCCTGAAGACTGTCCTCCCCGCGCGACGTCGCAGGCGAAGCAGCCCCAGGCAGGACCTCAAAAAGCGACCTGCAGAGTCCGAGCCCCTGACCGCCCGCCTGCCGCTCCCGGCTTCGCCGTGCACACGTCTCCCGCTCTCCCCGGTTCGTTTTTCGCCACAGCTGCTGGATTCGCGTCTCGCCAGTGGCGCTCCCCGCGCTGCATTAGGTAGCGCCGCGCGGAGCCCGGCCCTGGCCGGAAGCCCAAGAGAGGCGCAGATCCCCGGCGGCGCGCTGGGCTCGGGAGGCCCCTGGGCGCACCTGCCCGGGCGGAGCGGAGCGGGGCGGGGCGGGCGCAGGGCGCGGGCCCGGACGCTGGAGGGGGCTGTGGCTCTCCCGCGTCCCCGCTGCTCGGGCTGCGCGGCGCCCGCCTCCCCCCGCCGAGGGGCCGGCCCAGACCCGGGGAGGGGCGGTGGCCACTGCACTTCCCGCTCGCCGGCCTCAGAGGCGGCGGGTCCGGCGCGGGCGCAGCGGTGCGGGCGCTCGGCTGGGGCGCGGGGCGGGGACGCGGCCGCTGCCCGCTTTGCGCCGCTCCTCCCTGCGCGAGTAGCGCTGGCCCCGGCGTCGAGGCGGCCATGGCGACCCGGAGCCCGCTCCCCACCCACCCCGCCTGCTCCGCCCTCCCCTCCGCCCCGCGCCACCTTTGATGGCTCGGACCTCAGCCGGCCACCGCCAGCCCTGCTCGCGCGCCCGCGCCGCCGCCGCCCGCGGGTATTAATAGCCGGCGCCGCCGCGCCCTCGGCCGCCGGGGGCTTGGGAGCCGCCGATCCCGGAGCCCGAGCCGGGAGAGGGAGCCGCCGCAGCCGCCGGCGCTGTGGAGGTAGGAGGCGCGCGGTGAACAATGACCGCGGCGGGAGGGCGGGGGCCGGCGGGGTCCGGGCCGCGGGCGGCAACTTGTGCGAGTCCAGGCTCCCGCAGCGCACGGCCGCGGCTGCGGGCGAAGGTGGGCGCGTGGTCCCCGAGGTCCTGCCCTGCGCAGTCGGGCGGCGGGTCGGGCCCGGGCAGCCCCGGCCACCATCGCAGGAGCTCGGGGGCCTCGGGGCTCCGGGCTGCCCCCTGCGCCCCTCTCCCCTCACCTCCGCCGACGTCGGGCTGCGGGGCTCCGCGCCGGTCCCCGCTCGCCTCCCCCGACCCCGGCGCCCTTCCCCCGTTTCCTTCCGTCCTACCCGCCCGCTGACAGCGCTGGACGCCGCTTCCGGACCTCGGGCCGCAATCTCGGCCCCTGAGGCCGGTTGCGGGCCGGGGAGGTGGCCGCTGGCGCGGATGCCGCCGGGTGCCCGCCGCTCGCCCACGCGCGGCGCGAGGGTTCCCGGCGGGTGACAAAGAGGAACACACCCTCTGCCCAAGTTAGATTTGTGTCTCTCTTTACTGTCTGCCTTTATGCAGGGCAAAGTTTTTTTTATTTTTTATTTTTTAAAGCAAAGGACAGATTGCTTTGCGGCGAGTATTTCCAAACAACTTCTGATTGTGGTTTTACGATTCAAGTTCCGGAAACTTTAGCTGTGTGATCCGGCTGGACCCCGGAGACTCTGTGTGTGTGTGTGTGTGTGTGTGTTTTATTTGAGGGGGGGAAATACGAATTCCCTGTAATGAGTCTGGATCTCGTTTGTGGCAGCTGGAGGCCAGCGGCTGTTGGGGATCGAGTAGGGTTCCCCAGAAAGGAGGGAGCTGAGGCTCACAAAGAAGCGAGGCCCTGGTATCTGATCAGTTCGTGGAGACGTGGGAGAGCCTGCTTGTCATCTGGAACAGTTTAGCAGCCTCGGCCTCCCTGTCTCTCCCAGCCCTGGGGAGTACCGGTGGCCTCTGGCCGTTTCATTATATTGTTGTTAAGGCTCTTCTCCTTGTCAGTTTACCAGGTTTGACCGCCCAGCCCTGGTCTCTGCGTGGAAACCCCCGGGGGCCCCTCTCCTTCCAGTAGGCAACATCTTCAGAGCCAAACCCTGGCCTAGCACTGGCTTCTGTTTAATGTGCTTTGCACGTGGTGACTTGCGGAGCCCATTTCAGAACATCCTCCAGCATTGTCTTGCTTTTCTTATTCAGTCTGAACAAGGAGAGGAGAAAGAAACATCTTTCTGGTCCTGAAAGCTTTAGGGAGAGTTGCCTTAAAAATTGGCTTCGTTGTTCCGGAGACTTTAGGAGGGCCCTGCTTCATCCTATCTTTGGCTTTCTCCCTCCTTCCACAGTGTTCTCGTAGGGGGTTTATTCTCAGTCTTTCGGATGGGTTGGTCTCCAGGATGTGACAGTTTCTGACAGTGTGCTTCATAAGTGGGTACAGCTAGCACATGGCTCACTTTATATTCCTGCAGCATCGTTCTGCAGCAAGGCATCAATATTGGAGTTACTCCAAGCACAACGAAGCGTTTGTGTTTTTAGAATGTCTGGCTAATAGATCTGCTTCTGGGTAAAATAAATAGAAGCATTATTGGGCAATGGCTGCTTTACTGAGGGAATTGTTGGTGGAGACAGTGAGTAGATGCCTTCCTAGCCCAGCGCCTCCCAGAATCTCTTACTTGTTTCTTTTATGTGAATGGGAAACTGGAAACCCTCGGTGTGGAGGTGGCTGTGCCTCCTAGGGGCAGATTCTATGGTGCACCACCCCGCCCCCGTTACTTGGGGTGTGGTGTTTCATTGAGAAGTTCTGTCACTGTGGGAATCCTTTTGAAGCGTGGTTTCTAATGCCCCCTTTCACATTGATATTCTCTTCCTTTAATTGATACAGGGATGGATTTATTCCTTGCTTCATAATAGAATGTTAACTTTACTCTGTAGCCAGACTTATCAAAGAAGATCTTAAAATAATTATCCTGGACAAGTTTCTTACTGGGTTATTGCATTCACCTCAGAATTATCCAGAGTTTACAAGGAACCTGGAGGAACGTTTTTGTTTCACTTTTCGTTAAAGAAACTGTCCAAGGGGGCTGGGCATGGTGGCTCACACCTGTAATCCCAGCACTTTGGGAGACCGAGGCGGATCACTTGAGATCAGGATTTCCCAGCCTGGCTAATATGGTGAAACCCTGTCTCTACTAAAAATACAAAAATTAGCCAGGGGTGGTAGCAGGTGCCTGTAATCCCAGCTGCTCAGAGGCTAAGCCAGGAGAATCGCCTGAACCCAGGAGGCGGAGGTTGTAGTGAGTTGAGATTGGGCCACTGCACTCCAGCCTGGGCAACAGAGTGAGACTCTGTCTCAAAAAAAAAAAAAAAAAAGAGAAAAAAGGAACTGCCCAAGGAAATTGTTTTGTTTTGTTTTTTGGTTAAAGATACAAATAAGATAGCATTGAAAGGGTTAGTTTTTTTTAAACAGTGAAGCTTATACTCATTTAATTTATTGAACACCTAAGAGCTTAATTCATTTGGAAAATTGTATATATTTATGAGGAGGATGCTTGTGATAAACATCAGAAAAAAACAACTCTTTTCATCCTGGACGGGATTAGAGAATACTAGAGAAAGGATAAAAGGCTGGTTTCTGCAGGCAGAATATGCTTAGGAAAAATGGCATTGTGATTTTCCCAGAGGATAAGAGAAATTCTGTGGATTTGTAAGTACTGTACTTGCCTGATTTTTTTTTTTGAGATGGAGTTTTGCTCTTGTTTCCCAGGCTGGAGTGCAATGGCGCAATCTCGGCTCACTGAAACCTCTGCCTCCCAGGTTCAAGCGATTCTCCTGCCTCAGCCTCCCCAGTAGCTGGGATTACAGGCATTTGCCGCCATGCCCAACTAATTTTCTGTTTTTAGTAGAGACGGGGTTTCTCCATGTTGGTCAGGCTGGTCTTGAACTCCTGACCTCAGGTGATTTGCCCGCTTCGGCCTCTCAAAGTGCTGGGATTACAGGCGTGAGTCACAGAGCCTGGCCTTGCCTGATGTTTTGATAGCATGGTGGACTGGACATTTTAAAGAAGCCCTTTGTAACTGGCCTTGCTTATTGCAGATAACTGCTTAGTGTTTTTGAGAAATGCACTTTCCTCACCAGCTGAAGGTGCTACAGATAAGAGGGGCAGGTATAGTCCTGTAATGCAGGTGCTAAAGTCTTTCTACTTTGGAAGGACAGGCATTCCCTGTATTGGTTACCGTTTGCCTGGGAAGGGAGGCTGTGGGGTTTTAGGCTCTCGTGGCAGTCTCTCTCCTGTTGTTTGGTGCTTTTGATTGAAAGGAGCCTCTCCAAGCCTGGCTATTGAATGGGAAGCAGCGGATCAACTTCTTTTCTTGTCTTTTAGTGTCAGAGTTTATTCTGTGGTGGTACTGGGTCACAGTCCTTTCTCTCTGTTTCACCCATGGCAACTTAGGTAGGCTGTTACCTCCTTAACCACTTCCACATGGCCAGGAAGATCAGAGCCAAACGGTTTTCATTCAAATTACTTGAAATACTGATTTCTCCAGTCCTGTTCTGCCAAATGCAGCCTTTGTTTTCAATCAAGAAGCCCCCAGAAAACGTGTATTTAAAACTGGCAAAACTTTTTATAGGATGCCCTTGCCCTGGTTTGAATTAGTTAAAAATGTTTGGCCAAGTGGATACTTTGAGCAAAAGTGGATAATGGATACATTACTAAAATATCATGCTCGAAGCTTTTGATACTAATCCGGCGAGACTGAAACTGAGGCATGCTCAGTGCTGCCTGCAAACTGTTAACTCAGATTTTAAGTTTTCTTAGTTTAATGTGGGATGGAAATTATGAACTTCAAGACTTGCAATTAATGTGGGAATTCATCATTTACACTGAATGAATTTCATATGTAAAACTGTCATATTTGTTCACACATTAAAAAAAAGAAGAGCCTCAGGCCACACTAGACTGCCTTTAACTCTCAATTATGATAATAACCTCTGACCACAAGAGTAACTTCACTTTATGTGCAGACTTTTGACGAAATGCTTTGCATAAATTTATTATCAATTAGAAGACTTAAAAATCCAGTATTATGATGACTTTCAGTTTTTGTTCTTGTTCATTCAGGATCTAGTATAGTATCTGAATATAGCAAACCCTTGGTAAATTATTGTGTTCTGTTTTCTTTTTGAAAAAAACTCGAGGCTGGAGTGCAGTGGTGATCATGGCTCATTGCAGCCTTGACCTCTTGGGCTCAAGCAATCCTTTCATCTCAGTCTCCCGAGTAGCTGTGACTACAGACACATGCCATCACGCCCAGCTAATTTTTTCTTTAAAAAAATTTTTCTTAGAGAGTCTCACCGCTATGTTGCCCAGTCTGGTAAATCCTTGTTGAATGAATAATAAATCCAGTTTTTACCATCCCTTCAAATTAGTCTTTAGGGTTTTTAAAGGAAACTTGTTATTAGAATTGATAGATTGCAGTTCTGGCAGTTTGATATTTGATTTTGTTTTCATTTCATTCTAATTTAGCAATTGAATCCTTAAAGCTAAGTCAGATTGTAAAAAGACAGAGGTTCCTTTTCAAAAAAAAAGACAATAAGGTGCGGTGGCTCACGCCTGTAACCCCAGCACTTAGGGAGGCCAAGGCGGGCGAATCATCTGAGGTCAGGAGTTCAAGACCAGCCTGACCAACATGGAGAAACCCCGTCTCTACTAAAAATACAAAATTAGCCAGGCGTGGTGGCGCGTGACTGTAATCCCAGCTACTCGGGAGGCTGAGGCAGGAGAATCGCTGGAACCCGGGAGGCGGAGGTTGTGGTGAGCTGAGATTACGCCATTGTACTCCAGCCTGGGCAACAAAAGTGAAACTCCGTTTCAAGAAAACACAAGACAATAAAAGCATGAAGAAGAAAATAAAACAAACTTGAAATCCTGCCACCTGTTACTGACTCCTACCTTAGCATTTTGGGATCTGTTCTTTTATATAGCCTTCTCATTTCTTAACCTGCGCCAAATTTGACATTCTAATTGTTTTATATGGTACTTGTCTGTAAATTTAATGTGCTCACCATTCCTTTTTGTACTTTGAAGCTTGCTTCTGGGATACATTTTCCTTCTTCCTGAGACACATCTTCTAGAAATTCTGTTAGCATCTGTTGGTGGTAACTTCAGTTTCTGCATGTCTTAGATACCTTTGTTCTTGAATGGTAAGTTTATCTGGGTGTGCAATTCTGTATTGTTCCTGTATTAATCAGCTGTGTTCTGGTCCCATTGCTGTTGCTGTCTAATTATTTGTAACTAGTCTGCCTTTTCTCTCTGGCTACTTTTAAGATGCTTTGGTGTTCTGCAGTCTGGCTATGACATGTCTAGGTATTTCTTCTCTCTTTTACTTTTTTTTTTTTGAGTCAGGTTCTCACTCCCATTGCCCAGGCTGGAGTGCGGTGGCATGATCTCGGCTCACTGCAGCCTCAACTTCCTGGGCTCAAGTGATCCTCTCACGTCGGCCTCCCAAGTAGCTGGAACTACAGGCAAGCACCACCACACTTGGCTCATTTTTTGTATTTTTACTAGAGATGGGGTTTTGCCATGTTGCCCAGGCTAGTCTTGAACTGCTGGGCTCAAGTGATCCTCCTGCCTCGGCCTCCCAAAGTGCTGGGATTACTGGCATGAACTGCCATGCCTGGCTCTCCTTTAGTTTTATTCCTCTCTCTCTTCTTCCCTCTTCTCCTCTCCCTCTCTTCTGTTCCTCTTCCCTGCTCCCTTGCTACTGTCTTTCCCATCCTCTTTATTAGTTTATTTTCTGTTGCTCAGCAGTATTTCCGTGGCTGGATATGCTATGACTTGCGTATCCACTCCCCTTTGGCCATTCAAGTTGTTTTCAGTGTTGGCTATCATGAATACAGCTGCTGTGAACATTTGTGAACAAATCTTTGTGTAGAGATAGGTTTTTATTTTTCCTCCTGGGTCTTTAAGTGTGTGCCTAACTTTATAATAAGCTATTTGTAAGAAAGCGTTGGCACCATTTTATGTTACCATCAGTGATGTATGAGACTTCTAGTTACTCCAATCTTGATCAACACTTGAAACAGTCTTTCCTTTTAGCCATTCCAGTGGCTATGTAGTGATATCTCACTGTGGTTTTGTTTTTCCTGATAACTAATGAAACATTTTCATGTACTTATTGACCATTTATATATCTTCTTTTGTGAGTGTCTGTTAGATATTTACTTTTTTTTTTTTTTTTTTTTTTTTTTGAGACGGAGTCTTACTCTGTTGCCCAGGCTGGAGTGCAGTGGCGCAATCTTGGCTCACTGCAAGCTGTGCCTCCCAGGTTCACACCATTCTCCTGCCTCAGCCTCCCGAGTAGCTGGGTCTACAGGCACCCGCCACCATGCCCGGCTAATTTTTTGTATTTTTAGTAGAGACAGGGTTTCACCATGTTAGCCAGGATGGTCTCGATCTCCTGACCTTGTGATCCGCCTGCCTAGGCCTCCCAAAGTGCTGGGATTACAGTCTTGAGCCACCGCGCCCGGCCAAATATTTACTTTTTTTTTGAGACGGAGTCTCACTCTGTCACCCAGACTGGAGTTGCAGTGACACAATCTTGGCGCACTGCAACCTCTGCCTCCCAGGTTCAAGTGATTCTTCTGCCTCAGCCTCCCGAGTAGCTGAGATTACAGGCATGCGCCATGCTATTTTTTGTATTTTTGGTAGAGATGGGGTTTCACCATGTTGGCCAAGCTGGTCTCAAACTCCTGACCTCAACTGATCCACCTGCCTCGGCTTCCCAAAGTGCTGGGATTACAGGCTTGAGTCACTGCGTCCGGCAGATCTTTACTGTTTTTAATTTTTTTGTTCAGATTGTTTTATATAGCTTTATTTAGGATACTTGATATACAGTAAACTGCACATTCTTAATGTCATCTTATAGTTGTAGGAGTTCTTTATATATTTTGTGTATAAATCCTTTGTAAAGATCTACATAGTATGAATATTTTCACCCAACCTATTTTTGCCTTTTCATTTTTTAAGTATCTTTTGAAAGGCAAAAGTTATTAGGAAAACATTTTACATGGTCTAGTTATTGAACTTATTTAACGTCAGGAAATATATTCAGTGTTGGAAGAATAGCACATTTCTTGTCTGTAAGGCAAGAGAAAAGGAGCATATTGCTCCTTTCAAGAGATCAGGCTCCATTTACTGGATGGCGATGGAACACTTTTGTTCTTACCTAACTAAAACTGAGTTGGAAAAAACCTATAGAGGAAGAAAAAAATTGCCTGCTTAATTTGAAAATATAAGCAAAAAAGTGTTTAAGATTATGATCAAATAAATAGATTTAAAGTCCCAAACTGAGTTGTGTTTGTTCTTTGGCACACAGAAGGATTATGGGAAAAAATGTTTTTGAAATGAATGAAAAATGGGTGCCTTGGGCAAAAGCAAGTTGTAACATTCTAAAAAGAGGTTAGTGTGGCAGATACACAGCTCTGCAGTCTTGCTTTCTGCAGTTTCAGTTACCCACGGTCAACCACAGTCTGAATAAACAATTCACAGGTCTTAAACGGTGTGCTGTTACGAGTAGCTTGATGAAATCTCTTAGCGTCCCACTCTGTCCCTTCTTCATTATGAGAAGGTGAGTACAGTGCATTAAGATATTTTGAGAGATCACATTCACATAACTTTTATTACAGTGTATTGTCCCTCCGTTTTATTACTGGTTATTGTTAATCTCACTGTGCCTAATGCATACATTCAAGTTTACCACAGGTATGTAAGTACAGGAGAACACAGAGTGTATGTAGGGTTCAGCGCCATCTGCGGTTTTTAGGCATCCACTGGGGGTCTTGGAATGTAAACCATCTGGAGAGGGGGACATTAGTTTCTCTGTTTTGGTAGTAATTGTATCTTTTTATCGGTGTATTCTCCTTAGTTTCTGGGCCAAAGAGCAAGTATTGTAAGGTCAAGAAGGATGTTTCTCTAATTTTTGGTTTTCTTGCCCACAGAAGATCAATGATAAACATTGGTTGATTTGAACTGAAATTTGTGAAATATACACTCTCTATGACATTTTAGAGTAAGGAAGGCACAGGATATCAAAGGTGACAATTTGGAGTATAGTTGTTGAAGCGAGACAAACCTGCCCTTATATATCTTCCATCTTTTTTTTTTTTTTTTTTTGAGACGGAGTCTTGCTGTGTCACCCAGGCTGGAGTGCAGTGGCATGATCTTGGTTCACTGCAACCTCCGCCTCCCGGGTTCAAGCAATTCTCCTGCCTCAGCATCCCAAGTAGCTGAGATTACAGGTGCACGCCACCACGCCCGGCTAATTTTTGTATTTTTAGTAGAGAGGGGGTTTCATCATGTTGGCTAGGTTAGTCTCAAACTCCTGACTTCAGGTGATCTGTCCACCTCGGCCTCCCAAAGTGCTGGGATTACAGGTGTGAGCCACCACGCCTGGCCATATCTTCCATCTTTGACATTGGACAAGTTATCAATGCTCTTTCCCGAAAACCTCAAGGGGACATTTAAGAGTACATGTATCTGCAAGTGGCAGAATGTCTGACTAATAGCAGTTTCAGCCATCAAATACTGAGTTGCTTCAAGTAATAAAGGGGCTCCCAGTTCATGTCTCAGCCCAAAATATCATCAAGGACACAGATGCATTCTGTCCTTCTCTGCTGCCCCTCGGCATGTTGATTTTTGCACTTGGGCTTGTTGGCCATGGTTAATTAGACTGCTGCAGCCTAATTAGTCATTATGCCTAATGGCAGTTGCAGCTCCAAGCTTCATACTCTCACACATTTGTTGTTACTAGGTCCCTAGCAGCACAGGCTTCTCATTTAGCAAAAATTTTCCCAGAAGGCTCCAGCATCTGGGAGGTCTTTGAAGAGGATTCTGGGGAATGTTTGTGTGCACTTAAAAGGAGACCCAAAGACTAGATGTGATGCCTGGAATCACAGCAGCCATGTTTTTACTAGACCTGAAGCAGGCAAGAGGGTGACAGAGCTGAAAGTGGAACCAGAGTCCATAAATGCATCATTGAGTCATTTAGATCTTGCGCACCTGGAGCTTAGCATGCCAAATACTAATCTGTTCTAGGATACCAGATAATATGTGAATTCACTTTCTCGTCGTACTTGAGTTGGGGTTTTCGGTTATTGCCATCTAAAGCATCATGACTGATATATTAATTGGGAGATTTTATCTTTCATCTGCTATTTAATATTATCTATGAGAAAACTGATTTCTACCTGTTAATTATGTGGAAAGTGACTTAAAGTCATATCAAATCACTGTTAGAGATGATCTCTTTATAAGGACTTTAGATGTTTGATAATGTGTGCAAGTCGTGCAACTGAGTCTACATGAATTTCGCGTCCTTTTAAGCTGGCCTTGCAGGGCATCTGCTTGGAATCTACCATCTGGCAGTTTGGGTTACAGAACATACTTGAGAGTATTGCTTCATTTCTTCAAGAAAAAAATGATGGAAATGCCAGCCATTTCTGTCAACCTAGAATATCATCTATCTGCACATTTAATATTGTTAGGAACTTTGTGAGGAACTTATTAATCAGGGGTTTGTGATCTTCCTTTGTAATCTTAACTGGAGTGTTTGGTTCTCTAACATCAGGTGCTAGCAGGGGCCAAGATGGATCCAAGTGGAGTGAGCTGTTTGGAAATATCAGGATATGGGGAAACCAGCGATTTTCTAAATGAGACAAACATGTTAGTGAATCTGTGAAGAAAAGTTAAGTGATGTAATAATAACCTTTATATATATATAAAATATATATAAATATATTTATATATAAAATATATAAATAATATAATATATAAAATAATATATATAAAAATATATAAAATATGTTATATATAAATATATAATAAATAATACATTATATATAAATATGTATAATATGTAACACATTATATATAAATATGTATAATATATAATACATTATATATAAATATGTATAATATATAATACATTATATAAAAATATGTATAAATATATATTTATATATATATTATATATAAATATGTATAAATATATATTTATATATATTATATATATATTTCGAGATAGACTCTTGCTTTGTTGCTCAGGCTGGAGTGCAGTGGTGCAACCTTGGCTTGCTGCAACCTCCGACTCCCGGGTTCAAGTGATTCTCCTGCCTCAGCCTCTCGAGTAGCTGGGATTACAGGTGCCTGTCACCACACCTGGTGAATTTTTGTATTTTTAGTAGAGACGGGCTTTCATCATGTTGGCCAGGCTGGTTTCAACTCCTGACCTTAGGTGATCCGCCTGCCTCAGCCTCCCAAAGTGCTGGGATTACAGATGCGAGCCACCATGCCTGTCCTTTTTTGAGTTTTAATGCATAGATTTGTGTAACCAACTCCACAGTCAGGATATGGGACATTTCTGTCAATTTAGAACATTCCCTTGTGCTGCACCCCCAGTCCCTGTTAACCACCTGTCTTTGCTCTGTCACTAACTATAGTCTGGTCTTTTCCAGTATGTCATATAAATGGAATCTTAGCATTTGTAACCTTTTGAGACTGGCCTCTTTCATTCAGCCTAATGTCTTTGTGATTCCAACAGCTCACTCACTTTTGCTATCTAGTTAGTATTCCATCATATGGATGTACCACAGTGTGTTTATCCATTTACTTATTGAAGAACAGTTGACTTGTGTCCAGTTTGGAGCAATTATGAATAGAGCTGCTATAAACTCTCACATACAGATTTTGATATGGATGAAGTTTGATTTCTCATGGACAAATAGCTAGAAGTGAAATCCTTGTCAGCACTTGGTATCGTATTTTTTATTTTAGCCATTTTAACAGGTGTGTAGTGGTATCTCATCATGGTTATATATTTTTTTAACCAAAAAAATATAGAGAAAAACATCTTTAAGAAGGGCTTACCTGAAGATGTGACTAAATAATTTCTTGGACTCTCTGGCAGAGAAAGACTGGAGGAGCTTTGTTGGCTGCCTGCGTTTTGAAGGAGTGGATTGGAAAGAGCAATTTGTGTGTAAAATCTCGAGGCCCAGAATGGAACAGCGCCAGCGGGAATAAATAAGATGTCAGTCCTGTAGGTGATTATCTCAAAGACCTGATGGGGCATGTAGGTTTAATTCCAGTAACTATTTTGTTAATTCTCTATGTGAATATACAGGGATAATCATTCAAAAATAAAATTACCGAAGCAACTGCAAGGCCCTGTGGAGGTGGAGAAAAGAATGCAGGCATTAGGGCATGCCTTCATTATCTATGGCCGCATGACACATTACCCCCAAAGCTGAGTGGCTTGAAACAACGGTAAACATTGATTATCTTTTGCAGTTTCTGTGGGTGAGGACTTTGGAAATGGCTTCAATGAACAATTCTGGCATGGAGGTTTGTGATGAAGATGTCAGCTAGGAGCTGGGCATGGTGGCACATACCTGTAGTCTCAGCTACTTAGGAGGCTGAAGGTAGAGGATCGCTTGAGCCCAGGAGTTCCCAGCCTCAGCAGCATAGCAAGACCCCATCTCTATTTTTTGAAAAAGTCAACTGGGGCCGGGCGTGGTGGCTCACGCCTGTAATCCCAGCACTTTGGGAGGCCAAGGTGGGCAGATCACCTGAGGTTGGGAGTTCGAGACCAGCCTGACCAACATGGAGAAACACCATCTCTACTAAAAATACAAAATTATCTGGGAGTGCTGGCACATGCCTGTAATCCCAGCTACTTGGGAGGCTGATGCAGGAGAATGGCTTGAACCGGGAGGCAGAGGTTGTGGTGAGCTGAGATCGCACCATCGTACTCCAGCCTGGGTAACGAGCGAAACTCTGTCTCAAAAAAAAAAAAAAAAAAAAAAAAGTCAACTGGGACTGTGGGGTCTGCTACCAAGGAGCCCGATAAGCTCCTTAGGCGGGGTGCTTGAATACCTTACAACATGGTGGCTAGCTTCTCCCAGAGTGAGTGAACCATGAGGAAACCAAGGCAAAACTGCTGTGGTTTTTTTAAGTTTTAATTTTACTTATTTATTTTTGAGACAGGGTCTCACTCTGTCACCCAGGCTTGAGTGTGGTGTGATCTCAGCTCATTGCAATCTCTGCCTCCCAGGCTCAAGTAAGCCTTCCACTTCAGCCTCCCAAGTAGCTGAGACTACAGGTGTGCACCACCACACCTCACTAATTTTTGTATTTTTTGTAGAGACGGGAGTCTCACAGTGTTGCCCAGGCTGGTCTTGAACTCCTGAGCTCAAGTGGTCATCTGCTTCGGCCTCCCAAAGTGCTGGGATTATGGGGGTGAGCCACTGCGCCTGGCCCTGCTGTGGCTGCTTGCCAGCCATGGAAGTTATACACTGTCACTTCCACAGTATTCTTGGGCCTACTGCCAGCTATGACTTAAGGGGAGGCAGTTACACAAAAGTGTGGCTGCCAGGAGGCAAGAATCATTGAGTGCTGTCTTGGAAGCTGGCTGCCACAGGACCCTGAGGTAGCTGTGTTCAGATCCCTGCTCTACTACTCAAAAGTTAGGTCGTCTGGAGCAAGTCATTTCATTTCAATCCCCGTTTCCTCCCATATTTTAAAAATAAAAATAATACCTTTTGAATAATGCCCATTATGATACAAATCATGGATTCTAAATAACTAATTATAAAAGTCCTTGTGATCAGTGTTTTTTAAGATTTGGAATTTTGGCCATTTGGAATTTGTTTTGAGAATGACAGATAACGTATAAAAACATACTCTCTGGCAATTTATAAAAGACTTAAGACATGGTAGCTGTTATTTGTATTATTAAACCATGAAGCTTTGAATCTGAACTGTGTGTAAGCATAAAAACAAAGATAAACATATTAAGTTATAATAACGTTCTTTTTAGCAAAAGTCTTAGTCACACAGCTTCTTTCACTTTATTTATTGATTTTTATAGGTAAGATCTTGTACTGTCACCCAGGCTGGAGTGCAGTGGCACAATCATAGCTCATTGCAGCCTTGAACTCCTGGCTCATATGATCCTCCCACTCCAGCTTTCCAAAGTGGTGGGATTACAGGCATGAGCCAGTGTGCTTGGCTGATTTTTAAATTTTGTGTAGAAATGGGACTTTGCTTTGTTGCCCAGGCTGGTCTTGAACTCCTGGCATCAAGCGATCCTCCTGCCTCAGCCTCCCAAAGTTATAGGATGAGCCACTGTACCTGGCCCCCATTATAATCTGGGTTTTTTAAATTTAAATTTTTATTTTTTTAAAGAGACAGTGTTTTGCTGTGTTGCCCAGGCTGGTCTGGAACTGGGCTCAAGCAATCCTCCTGCCTTGGCATCCCAAAGTGCTGGGATTACAGGCATGAGCCACTGCACCTGGCCTAGAATGTATACATGTTTTTATTTATGTTTTCCTTTCCTGAAAGGGGTAAGCCAGTCACTGAAATAGCAAAAACCAAATTCCTCATCTAGTCTTCATTAATACCCCCAAATAAGAAATACCTAATCTGAGGTCTGCTGGGTCATGCAGGAAGGACGCTGAGAGACATTATTGATGAGTTTAGCATGTCTGCAGAGTGGACGTGAAGGATCACCTCACTGCATCACCGCCTCTTTATAGAGATTTTAGAAAATGCTCACTTGTAAAAGTAGTTTTAGAAAGCATGAATCAGTGCCCTTTGAGTTGACTGGAGTAGTCAAGAAAAGTTTTGGTTTTAAAGTGATCATTGTGTGAGATCATGTTACTGTTTTGCTGGAATTGATAACGAGCCTGGCTGGAAGAAACCTGGTGTTTTTGCCCCATTTTATTTCCCAGCCTCCTGTACTTCCCTCTTCCCCCTGATCAGTCCCCCTCCCCCATGCTAGTCTAGGTGAACTTCCTACAAGCCACAGAGCCTTCCTCTGTCACATCTTCCCATCTGCCACTGCCCCGGCCTTCCACCAAGTCCTTCTCTGCTCTGACATTCATCCAGTCCCTGCCTACCTCCTTCCAGAAGCCTTCCCTAAGGCTAACGTCTCCTCCCGGGTGCCAGCGTGGACCCTCCGTGCTTGTACTGGCGTGTTTACTCTCCTCTCCACTCATTTTGGTTATTTGAGCACTAACATTTACTGAACATTTGAAGTCCTAGGCTGAGTTCTAACAGCCCAACCACCCTGATTTTTATCCTCATTTTACTTAAGAGGGTAATGGAGGTTCAGAGAGGTTAAGTGTGCCTAAGGTCACACAGCTTATAATTGGCAGAGCAGAGATAGAAGCTCAGGAAGTTTTTCCTCACTTAGAGCAACTTCTACTTAAGTATTTTACACATCTGCATTCCTAATGCCTGGCAGAGTGCCAGGAACATAGTAGGTGCTCAATAAATATTTAAGATGAACTCTCTTAAGTGGTAAACATCGTCACAAATTATTTCTGTACATTTCTTTGTAAAATGTAGCCTCCCTTGGCCTTCTGCAGGATGAGGTTCTGAGTTACTGCTCTTCCTTGATCCTCCTGTGGCTGGGAGGTCACTTACCACTTCTTTTGTGATTATACTGTTAGTTTGCTGCTTAAAAGATGAGCATGTTTGCTTAAAATTCTATGCATGACATATATGCATTGAGAAAAGGATGTTACGGTTTTCTTTGCATGAGATTAATCCAAGTGGTTTTTATTTTCTGCTTTGAACTTCTCTGTATTTTCTAAAGTTCCCACAAATTTTTATTGCTTTTGTAATTACCAAACCATGTTATTTACAATGAGAAGAGAAAACTATTTTTTTCGGAGTGCATGAAAAGGAAAACCTTAAATTTTTTTCCCCTGTGGATTAAGCTAAGCCTGCTACACATATAAAAAGTCATGTAAGACATACTTTGGCTACAGAACATGCATTGCAAATCTGTCCCTACTCTACTATTGAAACCACCTACTCAAAGGTCATTTTCTTATTCCAGTGTGTCAAAGGCACATAACAAAGTAAGGGAGGTGCACATGATACTTGAGTGAGACATGGTCTTCTTGGGGAGATGGTTATTCCAAGGAGTTTATTTGTAGTTCAGAAGTTCAGGGTTGTCAGATCAAGGTTGTCCAGGTCAGTGGGATGCTTTGGTTTTGGAGGTAGAATAGCATAAGCATGAACTCAGGCTCCAGGTACCATTTGAGAATAGTAACTCCAAAGTCACATAAAAAAACCCTAAAGTGTGAGTTTGAGGTCAGGCTCAGAGCCTTTGGCAGGGGACCAGGGACAGGGAACAGCTGCTTTTCTCAGGATTATAGGCAATTTAGCCAGGACTGTAGGGGCTAAGAGACTGTCTGGTGGTTTAAAAAATGGCGTGCTTCACTGTTAGGAAAGAAAATTCTGAGAAATGCAGAGGTGGTTGTGTCTTCCGTCTGCGTCATGCTGTTTGTGGCCGCACCTGCCTGTTCACCTGGAGGAGCTAGACAGGGATGGCTCCTCCATTCCTTGGAGAGCTAGGAAAGCCAGCTCCATTCCTTGCTTTCCCTGGCATAATTTTGGGCCAGGAAGGTTCATCAGTCCTAAAGATTGAGCAGAAAAATAAGAAAAGTCTATCTTCAAGGTAGAGAAATCCCGGTGATCTGCCAAAACCCATTTCCTGAAAATTGCTTGAGTCTAGTGTGTGAACAAGCATGGCAAAGTGCATGTAGGAGACGCCTTCTGGCCCATCCTTGGAATCGTGCTCCTTGATGGGGTGCTATTCCCACGGCCAGTTTTGTGCTATTATCATGCTAGGCACTGTGCTCAGCATGTTGCATAGATTTTTACTTGACCATTCAATGAGGAAGGTATTCGTTTGACAGGAAGCTGAGGCTTAGACTATACGGTATTATGCCCAATGTCACACAGCTAATAAGTGAAGTCAGGGGTCTTCTTGTAGTACAGGTGTCCCTGAGTGTGCCAGATGAGGGTGAGAGGAGATGTATCTTGCAAGATCAGGGTCAGACCCAATCTTTATTGAAAATTTTATTGCTTTGTTCATTGTGGATTTTTTTTAATTGTGATTTTTTTTTTTTTTTTGAGATGGAGTCTTGCTCTTGTTGCCCAGGCTGGAGTGCAATGGCGTGATCTCAGCTCACCGCAACCTCCACCTCCCAGGTTCAAGCGATTCTCCTGTCTCGACTTCCCAGGTAGCTGGGATTACAGGCATGTGCCACCATGCCTGGCTAATTTTGTATTTTTAGTAGAGATGGGGTTTCTCTATGTTGGTCAGGCTGGTCTCGAACTCCCAACCTTAGATGATCCCCCCACCTCGGCCTCCCAAAGTGCTGGGATTACAGTTGTAAGCCTCTGCGCCCAGCCTACTTGTGATTTTAAAAAATATTCATTACACATGACTATCTTAATTATGGAGTATTTGGCACTCCCTTAAATTCTGCACCCAAGGTGAGTGCCTCACTGGCCTCACCCTAGTGCCAAGTAATGAGCAGTTGTGAAGTTGGAGGATGAAAATCTGGTCAATCACCAGACGATTTCATCATCATTTTCGGCATTGTAGTACAATTTTGTTTTCCTTCAAGGCATTTTTGGAGGTCAGTCATGGTCTTAAAGATGTACTTTAGCTTCACCTTTGAAGATACTGACCTATCTGATACACAGTTGTTGGTACCAGAGGTTGCTTGCAGCATTTCACCTTTTAGAAACCAAAGCCCAGGTCCAGTGAAAGCCTGTGAGAGTCACTGTGGCCAGGAAACCATGTCTTTGGAGCTTGGTGATGGAGGTGAGGGAAGAAGTTAAATCTTTAAATTGAAGTCACATCATAAAGGAACTGAGAAATGAAGCCTCCTTTGAGTGGATATGCCAGCACTCTGGCAGGTGTGTGCTGTAGGCGTGATGGTGGGGCCTGGGCTGCCTGGTGCTGGGGAGTGGCTATCCCCTTTCCTTGCATTGCTACTGGATGACTTGGGTAGACCAGCCATCCTACACAGATCGTAAGGATAGCCTAATGTATTTCACATGAGAATGGGCTGTGTTTCACTGAGGCTTTAAAAAAAATTTAAAAATAGCCTCGTTTCTTTAAAAGCTTTTTTTCTCGTTTCTTTTTGTTAATTGCAAAAATAAGGTCATTGTAGAAACATGGAAAGTGAAGAAAAGTAGGCAGAATACATACACACAGACACCTGTTGTTAACGACTACCACTCCAGCACACACAGATTGCTTTTGTCATATTTGCCTTATTTTTAAAAATTTTTTTAATTTAAATTTTTTTTTTGAGACTGAGTCTTGCTCTGTTGCCTAGGCTAGAGTGCAGTGGTGCCATCTCGGCTCACTGCAACCTCCACTTCCCGGTTCAAGTGATTCTCCTGCCTCAGCCTCCTGAGTAGCTGGGATTATAGGCTCACACTACCATGCCTGGCTAATTTTTTTTGTTTTTGTTTTTTGTATTTTTAGTAGAGATAGGGTTTTGCCATGTTGGCCAGGCTGGTCTCGAACTCCTGACCTCAGGTGATCCACCCGCTTAACCTCCCAAAGTGCCGGGAGTACAGGAGTGAGCCACCGCGCCTGGCTTATATTTGCCTTATTTTGTTTTCTTGATGGACTTTATTATTCATAGCAGTTTTAGGTTCTCAGCAAAATGGAACAGAAGTTAGAATTCCCCTATGCCCTCCTGCTGAACCTTCCCTACCATCAACATCCCACAGTTTCCTTTTTACATTTTTAAGAACGCTCTATTTTTTTCAAATTGGTAATATATTATACATACGTTTTGTGAATTTCTTTCCCCTCCATTATCTTGCTTCAGTAATTTTTTTTTTTTTTTTTGAGATGGAGCTTTGCTCTTGTTGCCCAAGCCAGAGTGCAATGGTGTGATCTCAGCTCACTGCAACCTCCATCTCCTGGGTTCAAGCGATTCTCCTGCCTCAGCCTCCCGAGTAGCTGGGATTACAGGCGCGCACCACCATGCCCGGCTAATTTTTTGTATTTTTAGTAGAGACGGGGTTTCACCATGTTAGCAAGGCTGGTCTCGATCTCCTGACCTCAAAAGATCCGCCCGCCTCGGCCTTCCAAAGTGCTGGGATTACAGGCATGAGCCACCATGCTCGGCAGCTTCAGTAGTCTTTAAGTCAACATGATTGAGGTCAAAGGTCTCTTGAGGTCATTTCCTGTTGACCTTTCTCTGAGGAATGTGGCTGAGTTCACATGATGGGAAGGGGGTTCCCAGATGTCTTTCAAGCCCTTGACTATATTGTGTGGCGATTTCCCAGAATGTGTATAGAAGGCTTTGGGGACTATGAAGTCCCTACCTTCTTGTCTCTCTTTTTCTCTCTTTCTTTCCTTCCCTCCCTCCCTCCATCGTTCCTTCCTTCTTTCTTTCTCCCTTTCTTTCGAGGCAGGGTCTCATTCTGTCACCAGGACTGGAGTGCAGTGGTGTGATCTTAGCTCACTGCAGCCTCAACCTCCTAGGCCCAAGTGATCCACCCACCTCAGCCTCTTAAGTAGCTGGGACTACAGATGTGGTCTGCCACTTCTGGCTAATTTTTGGAATTTTTTTGTAGAGACAGAAGTCTTGCTATCTTCCCCAGGCTGGTCTCAAAATGACCTCAAGCAGTCCTCTCCTCTTAGCCTCCCAAAGTGCTGGGATTACAGGCCAGCCACTGTGCCTGGCTCTTCCTGTCTCTTTCTTTTATCATTTGACTTTTTTCTCACTGGCACTTGGAGGAGGGGGTTTGGGATTCACTTTCTATTAAAAGTGTTCTTCATGGGTTAGAAAATAGAACTGTAGCGGGAATGTTTCCAGAAAAGTCTTAAGTGTCAGGGGAGACACCTAAAGTGAGATGAATCAGTTAATACTCCTGTGTGCCATGCCTGCGTACAAGTGTGGAGTTTCTAAGTGGCATAGGACAGATTTCTAAGGTGGTGGGTAGGCAAGAACTGACAAGGTTTGCCTTCTCATCGATGTGCAGAAGAGAATCTTTTCCTTGTGTACCAACAATTCTGGCTTATTTTGTTTGCGTTTGTGCCGCTATTCCTAGCTCGGGGCATGGCCTGTAGTAGGTGCTCATTAAATCTTTGTTGAAGAAACCCCTCTTGGGGTTTCTGGATAAACTTACCTTGAACCTCTCAAACCTGGGCTGACCTCACCAGCTGTTTGGCCCCCATGGTCTGTAAAAGCCTTGAACTTATAGTCACAAATGGGTGGCAGATATACATTTATTTATGATCTTAGTCTTCAGACACTATTTATCTACTTTACCCTTCATCTACCTTTGACTTCTAGATTGTTTCTGTCTCTCTCATGTCCAGGCCTGTTAGTCTCTGGTAAAGTTAGAGATGCTCTAACAATGTTCTAGGAGTGGCTGAGGCGCCTTGCAAGTCAGGAGCTACAAGATCTTAAAAACAAATACCCATTTAGGTTGCTGGCGAGGTTGCGGAGAATAAGGAATGCCTATGCACTGTTCGTGAGAGTGTAAATTAGTTCAACCGTTGTGGAAAGCAGTGTGGCGATTTCTCAGAGAGCAAAAAACAGAACTACCATTCAACTGAGCAATCTCATTACTGGATATATACCCCCCAAAATATAAGTCATTCTACCATAAGGACATAGGCACGTGAATGTTCATTGCAGCACCATTCACAATAGAAAACACATGGAAGCAACCTAAATTCCCATCAATGACAGATTGAATAAATAAAATGTGGTACATATATACCACGGAATACTATGCAACCATAAAAAAGAACAAAATCATCTTTGCAGGAACATAGATGGAACTGGAAGCCATTGTCCTTAGCAAACTAACGCAGGAACAGAAAAGCAAATACCGCATGTTGTCACTTATAAGTGGGCGCTAAATGAAGAGAACTGATGGACACACAGAGGGGAACAACAGACACTGGGGCCTACTTGGAGAAGGGTGGCAGGAGGGGGAGGAGCAGGAAAAGTAACTGTTGGGTACTAGGCTTAGTACCTTCTGTTAAACCCCTGTGACATGAGTTTACCTATATAACAAACCTGCACGTGTACCCTGAACCTAAAATAAAAGTTAAAAATTAAAAACAAAAAATTGCCCCTCCCCTTCAAATCCCAAATAGCCATTTAGGAAAATCAAATCAAATCCTTATTTGTTGGTGTTTTTTTTTTTTGAGATGGGATCTCACTCTGTCACCCGGGCTGGAGTGCAGTGGCGTGATCTAGACTCACTGCAACCTCTGCCTCCCAGGTTCCAGCAATCAAAAATACTTACTTGGTAGTATGGTATCATCCAGTGGTGGCTTATAAATTAAACTTAGCATGGCCTTTTCTTTTTTTTTTTTGAGACGGAGTTTCGCTCTTGTCGCCCAGGCTGGAGTGCAGTGGCGCGATCTCAGCTCACTGCAACCTCTGCCTCCTAGATTCAAGTGATTCTCCTGCCTCAGCCTCCCCAGTAGCTGGGATGACAGGCACCCGCCACCACGCCCAGCTAATTTTTGTATTTTTAATAGAGACGAGGTTTCACCATGTTGGCCAGGCTGGTCTTGAACTCCTGACCTCAGGTTATCCGCCCGCCTCAGCCTCCCAAAGTGCTGGGATTACAGGCATGAGCCACTGCACCCGGCCAGCATGACCTTTTCTAAACACTTCAAGATTATCCTTCTTTAGCTTAATTCTAATTGCTGGATTGCTTGACTGTACCTCCATGAATAATCCTGTTGGCACTAAGTCCTGTGAATGCCTTACTTTTAATGAAGAGTTTACCTAATAGCATGTAAGATTGTGCAGGAAACGAAGGACAGAAAGGCCCAGGAAATTGGCATATGGATAGTTTGCCTCCATTTGTTAATTTGCGGGCCACCTTGGTCCGTTTTGGGGGCGTGGCGTTTGTTTTCACCATATGGCGGGTGACGGAACATCTGGACTGTTTACCTGACAGCCACAGGGCAGCATTTCAGGAACTCTTGAGAATGTGGGAAAGGACATTTTAGTTCTAGTCTGAAACTAGGACATTTTAGTTCTAGTTTGAAAGAGTCAGAGAGTCTGGGTTGCTCTTGGTAGGTTTATGCTCAAAAGCCTTTTAATTCTTTCTAATTGAATCCCTTGGCTTAAGATTCTTTTGATTTGTATTTGATTAAACAACAAAGCAACACATCTGTGGCCTTCATTTGTATGCATCTTTACCTACTGCTGTGAACCCAATGAGAGGTGTCTTTCAGAGAACTTAGATTTTTGTTTAATACAAAACAAGCTGATATTCTTAATTGTTTTAGGAATTACATAGCATTCTTCATTGTTGTTCTGGCTTCCTCCTCCACCATCTAATGTGTAAATATGTGTGAAAGGGGAAGATCTCCAAAATAGAGCCATGGTCTGGCAGGTTGAGAGGTTTGTCAGTTAGAATTGTCCCAAGTGGGTCGGCCGCAGTGGCTCACACCTATAAACCCAGCACTTTGGGAGGCCGAGGCGGGTGGATCACTTGAGGTCAGGAGTTCGAGACCAGCCTGGCCAACACGGTGAAATCCCATCCCTACTAAAAATACAAAAATTAGCTGAGCGTGTTGGTGCATGACTGTAATCCCAGCCCTTTGGGAAGCCGAGGTGGGTGGATCACTTGAGGTCGGGAGTTCAAGACCAGCCTGGGCAGCATGGCAAAACCCTGTCTTTACTAAAAATACAAAAATTAGCTGAGTGTGGTGGTACACACCTGTAATCCCAGCTACTCTGGAGGCTGAGGCAAGAGAATCACTTGAACCTGGGAGGTGGAGGTTGCAGTGAGCCGAGATTGAGCCATTGCACTCCAGCCTGGGTGACAAAGCCAGACTCTGTCTCAAAAAAAAAAAAAAAAAAAAAAAATTGTCCAAAGTGAATGATGTGATGATTGCTTCGTTGGTCTCATTCTTCTTTATCCTTTAAGTAATTTAAAATCATACTGTAACTTGGCATGTTATGCTGATATTAAAAGAAATGAAACAGTTTTTGAGGAGAAATGTCAGTGTTTTGAGGCAGATTGTAACTATTGAAGATATTGTGAGTGCTCCTCTGTGCCCAAAGGTGGACATGCATTGATTTTTAAACCCCACCAATTCAGAGTTCAGGACAGTTGACCCTTTGTCAGTCTAAAGTTTGTTTTAACAGAAGGCCGTGGGAAAAAGTTTGTTACACAAATAATGAAAATTTACAGGGGAAAGTTTACTCTATTTAAAAAAGACTTTTCCCAACACTTCAGCATCATTAGTAATTTTTTCCCATTAAAACAAACCTGGTAAGACCTTAATATGATAATCTCTCATCATTAAAAAAAAAAAAAAAACCCTTCCAGAAGGGGTTTTTTTTTTTTTTTTTTTTTTTTTTTTTTTTTGTCTCACTCTGTCATGCAGGCTGGAGTACAGTGGTGCGATCTCGGGTCACTGAAACCTCTGCTTCCCAGGTTCAAGCAATTCTACTGCCTCAGCCTCCAGAGTAGCTGAGATTACAGGTGCACACCACCACGCCTGGCTAATTTTTTTGTATTTTTAGTAGAGGTGGGGTTTTGCCATGTTGGCCAGGCTCGTCTCGACCTCCTGATCTCAGGTGATCCACCTGCCTTGGCCTCCCAAAGTGCTGGGATTACAGGTGTGAGCCACTGCGCCCAGCCCAGAAGTCTTTTATGCATAGACATTTAGCATGAATAGTAGCATACCCTAAATATGGTGTTGTGCTTGTTCTCTTCAGTTTAATACACTCCGAAGATGGTTTCATATTAGTACATACAGATTGGCCTCATTCTTTTTATCGGCATATAAACAGAGGGTACCATTAAATAATCTGTAAAATTTTCCCTGTCAATAGACATCTAGGTTGTTCTGAATATTTTGCTGGTCTAAATGACACCACACTGAAGATGGGTGATACCTGAAGTATAAAATCCTAGTAGGATCAGTGGTCAAAGGCTGTATTTGTTTTTAATATACATAGATATTGCCATATTGCCCTCCATGGCTTACAACCTTATAACCGTTCATTCGTTTTATGAACTTGCATATAGTGCTTACTTTGTGCTAGAAACTATATCAAATGTTTTACAAATATTAACTTGTTTAATCCCCAAAGCTACCTGTAGGGGAGAGGTATTATTATTATCACAGTTTTGCTGATGAGGAAACTGAGGCAGGAGAGATGAAGTAACTTGCCCAAGGTTCACCTCAAGTAGCAGAGCAGAGATTTGAACCCACACAATCTGGATCTGCTGTTGGCTCTTAATCACTGTGTTGAGGCTGTTTTTCCCAAACCGGAAACCTACAGTGATGGCAAATATTTTCACCTGTCCTAATCTGATCAGTGAGATGCCAGTTTTTCTTTCTTTTTTTTTTTTTTTTGAAACAGGGTCTCGTTCTGTCACTGTGGCTGAAGTGCAGTGTCGTGATCATGGTTCACTGCAGACTTGACCTCCCTGGGCTCAAGGGATCGTCCTACCTCAGCCTCCTAAGAAGCTGAGACTATAGGCGTGCACTACCACACCTGACTTAATTTTTTTGTATTTTTAGTAGAAATTGGGTTTTGCCATGTGTCCCAGGCTGATCTTGAACTTTTGGGCTCAGGCAATCTGCCTGCCTCGGCCTCCCAAAGTTCTGGGATTACAGGCATGTGCCACCACACCCGGTCCAGTTTTTCTTAATTGTCATTTTGCACTTTTCTTACTACTCGTTGTGGTTGAATACATTTTCAAACGTTGACAACTCGACAAGCCATTGGTATTTTCTTGACCATCCTTCTACTCCCTGTTCCTGTCCCTTGGCCAATTTTCTAGGAGGTTGCAAATATTTTTCTTATTGATTTATAGGACTTCCTTTATATATGGAGAATTCTTAATTGATTTATAGGCGTTCCTTTGTATATGGAGAAAATCAGCCCTTTATAATATGTAATTCAAGTACTTTTTCCTAGTTTGCTTTTGGCTTTGCACTTTTTTAGTTTTTTTCCCTTATGGCATGTAGCATTTAGGTCATGCTTAGAGAGATCTGCAATTTGAGAACAGTTTTACTTTTTTTTTTTTTTTTTGGAAACAGTCTCACTCTCACTCTGTCACCCAGGCTGGAGTGCAGTGGCGCGATCTCAGCTCAATGCAGCCTCTGCCTCCCTGGTTCAAGTGATTCTCCTGCCTCAGCTTCCCTTGTAGCTGAGATTATAGGTGTCGACCACCACGCCCAGCTAATTTTTGTATTTTTAGTAGAGCTAGGGTTTCACCATGTTGGCCAGGCTGGTCGCGAACTTCTGACCTCAAATGATCCGCCCGCCTCAGCCTCCCAAAGTGCTAGGATTACAAGCATGAGCCACTGCGCCTGGCCGCAAACAGTTTTAAAAAATCTTATGTTGTCTTCTAGAACTTTATGATTCATTTAAAAAAGTCTACATTGACTCAAGTAATATTGGGATCTAATTTTATTTTTCTAATAATAATCAGTAGTAATGATGCACAGCTATACACGAATAAAGAGCCTTCCAATAGATTAGATTTGGTGCCATGCTGGCCGGGTGCGGTGGCTCACGCCTGTAATCCCAGCACTTTGGGAGGCCGAGGTGGGTGGATCACGAGGTCAGGAGATCGAGACCATCCTGGCTAACACGGTGAAACCCCGTCTCTACTAAAAATAGAAAAAATTAGCCAGGCGTGGTGGCGGGTGCCTGTAGTCCCAGCTACTTGGGAGGCTGAGGTGGGAGAATGGTGTGAACCCGGGAGGTGGAGCTTGCAGTGAGCCAAGATCGTGCCACTGCACTCCAGCCTGGGTGACAGAGTGAGACTCCATCTCAAAAAAAAAAAATAAAATAAATAAATAAAAAAGTTTTGGTGCCATGCTGTTGTAATAGACTCTACTATCACTATTGACAGCTAAACTGCATCATAAGCTTTGTGGCTCATGTATATACCATAACTAATTTTCCTTTATCGCTGAGTTTTGTTTCCTGTGGAGTCAATGGTTATCTTGCTTTTCCTTTGCTTCATTTTCCACATATGTATCTAATTAATTCTGAAACTCTCACCTGTTGTCTAAATCGACTTTTAGTCTCTTCAGATTAATCAGATCATTAGATATCCTGTTTCATCCTTGAGAGATCCTTGTCCAGAAGTCTTCAGACTGGGCCAGGTTTCTCACTGGCCTGGTCAGCGTCCTGGGGTCTCCCCTACTGTAATCTACTGGGGGGGTTCCCCTTGCCTCTATCACCTGATGTAGGATCTTTGTCCTGGACAGCTTCAGGGATCTCCCCATGACCCTGATGATCCCCTTTGCTTCTCTTTCTTGAAATTTGTTTCCTGGAGCTTATCTTCTGATTTCTGTGTTTTTTTTCCCCCTTCATTCTGGTAGAGCCCTTCCCAAAGTGATTGGAGTGATAAATGCTTTGAGACCTTGTGGATTTGTTAGAAGATCAGAAAACAGGATCTTGAGCTGAGAGGCTGTTTAAGAAGTAGTTGAAATGTTCAGGTGTCCTGTACTTCCTGCTGTGGGCAGGGGGGATCAGCTCTCAACCCCCGCTGGACTCACCCAATGTGGTTTGCAGTGCAGTCTTTGTTTAACTCAATGTTGGTGTGTATATCATTATGACTGTGTGGACTTGTTCACTGCTGAGCCAGATAATGCCCTATGATAGTTTTCTTCAAAAACTGTTTTTTTTTGTTGTTAAGATAATTCATTTTTTAAAATTTGTTTGATTTTTCTACGTATCCATTGCTAATAACTTGAACCGACCTATCAGTTTTCTTTCAACTAATTTGTACTGATCTCTAAGCCATATATAGCCATTCAGTTCCCCCATCATCCTTTTTCCTGGTGCTTCACCTTCTGTAGCACCCCCATCCTTCAGCTTCTATCTGAATGGGTTGTACTCTAGGCGTAGTTCACAACCATCATTCAGGGGCTTTCCTTTACCCTTCTTCTTTCTTGGACACGCTCTTTTCTGGATTCCGTATCATCTCATTTCATGATTTACTGCATTGTTTTGGTAGAACACATACACCCGTAGCTTTCTCAGAAAGGTAAAGAAGCTACATTTCTTTTGAATCTTTAACATGTGAAAATATCTTTGCTGGATGCAGTGGTGCATGCTTGTAATTCCAGCTACTTGGAAGGCTGAGGTGGGAGGATTGCTTGAGGCCAGGAGTTCAAGACCAGCCTGGGAAACAGGGCAAGACCTTGTCTCGTCTCTTGAAAGAACAACAACAAGAAACTTTAAGGCATGCTTAGATTTCCTTGATAATTTTACTACATACAGAGTTAAAAATGGAAACTACTATCCTTGAAATTTTGAAGACATTGCTCCGTTGTCTTCTAACATATTTTGGATATGATTTAATTTTTTCTTTTTCTCCCTGGAACATTTTAGAATCTTAAGATTTTAAAGTGTCACAACTTCTGTCATGTACTTCGGTGTAGATCCTTTTAAAATTATGCTGGGTATTTTGCTTTCTCCATTTAGTCTGGAGACCATTGTCCATCAGTCTGAGATATTTCCTAAGTTTTCAAAAAAAAATTCTTCTAAAAAAACTTCATATTATTTGATTATTAGGGCTTTAGGAAGATTCTCTACTTTCCTACCTTTAAAATTTTCCATGTAGTTATGTTTTGCCTTACTTTCTATGAGATCTCTTCAAATTAATCTTTATAAACTAATATAGAAATAAAACTTTCAATTATCCATATTATCAATTTTGGGGAGCTATTGGCCTTTTTTCCATAGCAACTCTTCTTGTATTTTGGAAGAGATTCTTATTCTCTTGGGGAATAGTCTAGATTTTAAAACATTTTCTTCTGCTCCCTAGAATGTCTGCATTTTTTTTGTTTTTGATACAGAGTCTTACTCTGTCACCCAGGCTGGAGTGCAGTGGCGCGATCTCAGATCATTGCAACCTCTGCCTCCCGTGTTCAAGCAATCTTCCCACCTCAGCCTCCCAAGCAGCTAGGATTACAGGCATGCGCCACCATGCCTGGCTAATTTTTGTTTGTTTGTTTATTTGTTGAGACAGAGTCTTGCTCTGTCACCCAGGCTGGAGTGCAATGGCGCGATCTCGGCTCACTGCAGCCTCCACCTCCCGGGTTCAAGCAATTCTCCTGCCTCGACCTCCTGAGTAGCTGGGACTACAGGTGTGTGCCACCACGCCCGGCTAATTTTTTGTATTTTTAGTAGAGATGGGGTTTCACCGTGTTAGCCAGGATGGTCTCTATCTCCTGACCTTGTGATCTGCCCACCTCAGCCTCCCAAAATGCTGGGATTACAGGTGTGAGCCACCGCACCTGGTCTAATCATTGTATTTTTAGTAGAGACAGGGTTTTACCATGTTGGTCAGGCTGGTCTCGAACTCCTGATCTCAAGTGATCTGCCCACCTCGGCCTCCCAAAGTGCTGGAATTACAGGTGTGAGCCACCGCGCCCGGCCATCTACATGTTTTTAGAAGGTTTTTTTCCTCTTCTTTGTTTTGGATGTGACTTTCATTTTGCAGGCTTTTCTTGAATGCGTACTGATCTTTGGCTGATCCAAGGCACTTAAAATCAGGTTGGAATTTTTGTGCACATGGATGGGGCTTGTCAATTGTTGATTTTTCTTTAAAATGATGAAGCAGCAACTGGTCATTTTTGTCAAAGGAAATCCTCAAATATCAGTATATGTGCTCATTGAGATGGTCCTGAGAATAATTCTACCAGCCCTGCCTGGAATAAACCTGGATAAGCTATTCTGGAAGCAGGATGGAAGAAGGGGACTGTGGAGGTTTCCTGGTACAGTAAGTAGACTGATTCTTCCTCAATTCCCAACACCTCGTGCCTCATTTTCAGCCCTGAATTACACACACCCTCTTCGTCATTGTGCCTGGCGTATGTGAGTTTCTAATTTTCCTGGTTCAATGTCCTTGGGTAATAAACTTCTTTGGGGTTTGGGTAGGTGGGAGAGGGTCCCTGGGTGCAAAGGTCTAGCCTCTTCGTATAGTGACTTACACCCTCTTGTTTCCCACGCCCTTCCCCCTCCCATTCAGCATGAGCCTCCTGGGCTTTGGACTATTTTGTTGGAATTCTCTGAGCATCACTTATGATACAAATCATCACAGACCTCTCTCTTGCTTTCTGTCACCCAAAAGTCAGTAGAATGTTTTATCTGCTCTTGTTCCTGCTGCTATAGTCCTCTTAAAGTATATTTACTGGCATTTTTGTAGGATTTTTGGTGTTGATACAGGCATGTGGTTAATCTGCCATGTTCAACTGGAAGTCCATTTTATTTTACCAAGGTATAACATAACATGATTTAAAAATTTACTGTAATAGCAGTAATCATACCAGAGCTACATTGTTAAAAAATATGCAAAATTTTTATTTTCTAAGGGTGCAGATTCAGTCAGATATTCACAGATTAGTCTAATTTATATGATTTGCTTAAAGTCCTCCTCCCCACCAATGAGGTAGCCTCTGAACTCGTCTGAGAGTGTGAATGACATTTTTGAGTTGACCATTCAGACTTGTGCCCCTGAACGTATCTGCACACGCGCTCGGTCACATTTCTCTATCTCATTTTCTTCCCTATCACACAGAAAATCACATTCAGCCTGAGGTTTGGTTTTGTTTTGCATTAGGTCTCTGGCTGCAGGTGTTGTGGCGCTCTGGGGGTGTCTGCCTGCCTCCTGTCAGTGCAGCAGTTCTCTTCTGGATGGTAACAAAGAGAAGATGTCACCGATAATGCAGGGCCATGGAAATCCGGCCGTTCTTTATCTGTGCTCTGCTGTTTGTTGGGCGGGGTGGGGAAAAGTATGAGAATTCTAGTTCTGATTAGCCGTGAATGAGACTTTTCTCAGTGGGAGTCCTGCGGACACCAGGGTGTGGTGACTGATTTCATTTCTGCTGCTCAGGGATGTCTCGGTGGCTGTCGGCCCAGAGTGCTTGGAAGGCAGGAGAAACTGGCAGGATCAGCAAGGCTCTGAAAATAGGGCGTCATGGGGGTTGGCACGGGGGCTGGGGCTGGTCTCCGGCAGTGCCACTGAGCAGTTATGTGACCAGCTAGGTTTCTGGTCTCCTTGACCCCCTTGGAATTTCCTCATGACCTCACCTCCCCAGGGGTTGTAGCCAAAGAATGAAAATCACAGAGCTGCCTCTAGCATAGCACCCTTAAAATGCTCGGCTATGAAACGAACAGTTCCTTAACATTCAACAGACAGAAGCAGAGAAAAGTTACCTGTTAGCCCTTAACCTGCCCGCTTCCTGGTTTCTTTTAGACCTTGGGCAAGTGTTATAGTTTTCATATTTATTTTTTGGAAGTGGAGAAGCTGGAGAGAGAAGGAAGTGAGCTAATAACCAGCTTTTCAAGAGTGCTGACTTCTGCATTTCTTAGTACAGGATTTTGCCAGGCCCTTGACATTCGTTTAAAGGAAGAAAGAATTCTTTCTCCTTGAACATCTGTGCAAATCAGTGGGGGTGGGAGTCTAGAGCCCAAGGAGAGTATGAGATAACTTTACACGTTTCTGAAAGCTAGGATGAGAGACAGCAGATCCACGTTATTGTACTGCACTGGCAACAACCCAGTAGCAAAGGCAGACCAATGAAATGTGCCAAAAAGATGCATTTGTAGTGTGGTATAATCACATTTTGAAAAATGTGCAGTAGATAAGTGGGGAAATACGCATTCTGGTTGCTTCATAAATAATAGTAGTTAAGGATATCTATCAATCTCGTGTTTTTTAGCTCCAGCACTGGGTATGTAGAATAAAAAAGGCAAACCGAATCAGTTTGGCATAGAGCTCTTTTCAAATTCAGCATCATTTCAGTGCATTTCAGCTTTATACATAGCTCTCAGCCAGGAAATCTCAGGTTTAATTAGGTCATTTGTTCTTGAGAGTTCTGTCCTTGCAAAACAGGAGAGGAATTTTTATGGGCAGTTGGCACACAGAAAAAGTCAACAGCAAAATGTCCCTGTTTTCTTCAATTTTAGGTGGTACTTATAAAAACTCCTTAGAAGGAATTTTGTGTATTTCAGGATATTAATCAATCTGGGTACAGTGTTTTCAGGTTTTGATTTTCATGTGCTCTAGGTTTTTGCCTCTCCTGGAGTCTTTGGAATCCTAGGGGTTTGTGACCTTGGAATGCAGGCCTGTGAGGCATTTTCAGGATTTCAGAAGGCCTAACCAGAAACTGGCAGTCATGGGGAGAGGGAATGGAGCTGCCTCCATAAGTCCATGCAAATTAATGAAAACATCAAAGCATTGTTTGGTTTTGCCAGATTTTTCTCATGTTGCTCATGTTGATTCCGAAGGACTTATTGACCATTACGTGTGCCTTCAGTGAACAGAAAAAAGGTCAAGTCAGTTGTTGCTTAACTGCAGCCTGGCTGATGTGTTCTTTTGACCGGAAAGATAGGGGTTGGGGTGTGATGTGGTGGGACCTGGTCCAGACAGGATAAAGTGCCGGTAACCACGGTGCTAACTTTGAAAGCCAGCTGGCCCCACACTGCTCTTCACTTCCCCAGCAGGGTGCTGTGTAAGGTGGTGCAGTGCTGATGGGGGACTGTCCTCATCCCTGTTCTGAGCTGTTTCAGCAAAAGTCTGAGGGGTCGCTCCAGCGTTGTGACCTTAGAGCGTGGTGATGGGAAGGACTCAGCTCCCAAGGAATGTGTGCACTCCCTGCAGTCCTGCTTGCTTCTTCCTTCCAACTCCAGAATGTTTATTTCATACATTAATATGAAAAATACACAGAAAAAAGACTGGAAGGAAATCGGCCAAAATGCTAGCAGATTTTGTTTACCCACTCTATGTTAGTAAACCAAATTGCCAAATTCGGCAACGCTTACTAGTGATCGCCTTTCTGCTTAATTTTGCAAATGATTGATTATGAACCTTATTCTGTCATTTTAAAAATGGAATAAGAACTATATATCTTAGTGCATATTTGGAATGTTTTCAAAAGGTTGGTGACTTGGAGCACTTGTTGACAAGGTTCACGAGCGTAGCTGAGTCCAGTGTCTAGGAAGGGACATACATGAAGCATTGTAAAGAAACTCGAGTGAGCCTTGGGAGAAAAATCCTGGAGCCAGAGCTTAGAGTTTCTGCTTCGGAGTGCCTGAAAGTTTCATATTTCTTCTTTTGTGCAGATTCCAAATGTTTTTGGAAGGCTTGAAAGTGAATAAAATAGCCCTTTGACAGAACTGACAAAAACGGACGGACTTAGGGGTAGGGCCCAGTAAGTCATTGTACACAAGCTTTGTGTTGTTAGCTTTGGCAAGGACAATTCTTAGAGAAAGCTCTATGTGAAATGCCAGAATAAATGGCTCACTTTTATGGGGCACTTGAACTGTCTGCCTTGTCGACTATCAAGCTGCCATTTTCCCTGCTTGAATTACAATAATCGATATGTTGATAGCACATACTGTATGTCAGGCACTGTTCTAAATATGTTAATTTTTGCTTCAAAACAACCCTGTGAGATACTACTATGTATGAGGAAACTGAGGCACAGAGAGGTAAAGTAACATACCCAAGGTCACGCAGCTGTAACTGGTAGAACCATGACTTGAATCCTATCTCGCTCCTGGGTCTGTGCCCTCAACCACGGCTCTGCTTTTGTCTGCAACCTGGCCATGGTGGTGGGTGGGTCGATGGGTGTGGTTCAAGGTCAAAATCACGTGGAAAGTTTTGCCGAAGTTCGCTCTGCCGCAGTTGCTTGCATAGCCGACTGCTAGGTAGCTTGGTTTGACTGACTTTTCACTAACTGACTTTTTATTGAGCTACCTGTTGGCCATTAAAAAACAGGAAGTATGTGAGACATGGTTTCAGTCTTCAAGGAATTCACAGCCAAAGTTGATATATGAGATAGGCTCTTATGAAAATTTACATAATCTGTGTCAGTTCCTTGTAAGGAACTCATCAGCTGTGAGGAACTCAGCGTGGATCTGTTGGTGTTTGTCTTGGGAGAGGAATACATTGCCATTTTAAGGGAGAGGATGTTAACATCAGCCAAACAAAATCAAATCCAAACTTCAGCGTGGATATTCTTCTGTCAACTCCTCCCCTCCTTGGTTCTTAACTGATATCCTTTATTTGCTGTTTTGGTAACTCTTGAACCCCATCCTCTCCACTCCCTCCCGGTCTTGGTTCCATCATTTCTTCCTTTTCTGATATCTCTTTTTAGCTTTTTTGAAAAAAAAAATTAATTATAGTACAAAACATAAAATGTACCCTTAACCATTTTTAAGTGTTCACTCATATTAGGTATATATATATTGATGTGTAACAGAGCTTTATAACTTTTTCATTTAGCAAAACTCAAGCTCTGTACCCATTAAACAACAGCTCCCCACTCCCGCTCTTCCTAACCCCTGACAACCACCATTCGACTTTTTATGTAATTTTGACAACTCTAGATACCTTATATTAGTGAAAAATCATACAGCGTATTGGTCATTTTGTGACTAGTTTATTTCACTTAGCAGTGTCGTCTTCAAGGTTCATTCTAGTTGTAGCATGTGATCCTTAAAAGGATCAGTTTAAATCTTTAAAAGGATTTCCTTCCCGTTAAGGCTTAATAGCATTCCATTGTGTGTGTGTATCGCATTTTGTTTGTCCATTCATCCATCCATGGACACTTGGGTTGTTTACACCTCTTGGCTTTTGCAAATAATTCTGCAGTGAACATGGGAGTGCACATACCTCTTTGAGATCCGGATTTCAATTCTTTTGGTTACATACTCAGGCATGGGATTGCAGGAAGACTGTCATCTCTCTCATCTTACTCAACAGGCTGCTTCTCCCCAGTGTACATACAGACTTGAGTCTTTCTTATCTCTTTTTTCCTAAAAGAACAAAAAAATTTATTTAAATGTGAGAATTATGGGAAACCTAAGCCATGGGAATTGGACACTCATGGGGGTCTTCTGTGAAATGGGACTTGCCCCCACCTTCTGCAGCCTGAAGCTTTTGCAGTTTCGCCATCAGTTCTTTGGCGGGGTTAAAGATGCCGCCGGTTGGCTGGTCACAGATGTAGCAGCGCGGGGTGGCCCGGAAGTGCTCCAGCGCGCAGCTCTCGCAGAAATAATGCCTGCACTTGGTGACGACTGGGTTTTGGAAGGCCTGGCGACATATGAAACACCTGAATGGTATTTCCTCTTCCTCGCTTCCCACTTCATGGTTTTCGTCCTCGCAGATACAGTAGCGACCCTCTTCAAGCTCCCGTTCAATCTCCCACCCGAGCTTGTAATCGGAACGGTCGTGGAGGAATTTGCAGCTGTCCCCGAAGCCACAGAAGCCAGTCTCCTTGTAGTCCTTGCAGATGTCAGGCTGGTAATCCCAGCGCACAGTGGCGCGCAGATGCCCTGGCGCACGTATGGGGCCCTTCCTCGCCATCCCCGAGGAGGAGTTGCCCATGGACGTGTCCTTGGGCTTCAGGTACCTCAGGTAGCTGTGGATTCCCCGGTAGATGTGGTCGTGCTCCCGACCCCGCAGTGCCTCCTGGACCCGCTGGCTGCACTTGAGGATGGTCGGCGTATGGTGCTCCTTCTCGGTGTCCTGCTCGAAGTCAGCGGTGGCCCCCATGTCCTCTGGCCCCACAGGCTTCGCCGAGCGGGTGGACCTGTACACCACGTCGAGGCTCTCAGGCGCCGCCTCCTCGCCCCTCCTGTCGCCGTGAGCCGCCTTCTGCCAGCTGTGGAGGCCCCGGGGCCTCGGTGCCACCCGCGGGGGCTGAGCCACTGTGTCGCCCTCGTCCCCGCTGCTGCTGCTCTCTCCGTGCTCGGGGTCGCAGGCCGGGCGCTTTCTGAGGCCTGCAGCCCCTTTCCGTCCAGGCTTTTTGAAGAGGAAGGTGCATACCTGGTCTGCTTGGTCGGCCGTCCTTCCTGGAGAAGGTGGCGCTGCCATGTTTGAGTCTCAGGCTCCCAACGGCCGTGGCGTGCGTCACCCTTGCGTCGCCCTTGCGTCGCTGCACGTGGGGCGTGGGCCCTCCCAGTTCTAAAAAGCAAAAGCAAGTGAAAGAAAAGCTTCTGCTAGGCCAGGCGCGGTGACTCACTCTTGTAATCCCGGGACACTGGGAGGCCGAGGTGGGAGAATCACCCGAGGTCAGCAGTTTAAGACCAGCCTGGCCAACATAGCGAAACTCCATCCTTACTAAAAATACAAAAATTACCTGGGTGTGGTGGCGTGCGCCTGAAGTCCCAGCTACTAGGGAGGCTGAGGCAGAAGAATCGCTTGAACCCAGGAGGCAGAGGTTGTAGTGAGCCGAGATCACGCCACTGTACTCTAGCCTGGGTGACAGAGCGAGACCCTGTCTCAAATTAAAAAAAAAAAAACCAAAAAAAAAGGCTTCTCCCGCCCTTCCCTCCCTTGACCTGCCTCCTGGCCCTCAGATGGATTCCTTGAGAGAGTCATCTTCACTTGCTCCTCAGCTCCCTCAGTGCACACTCATTTTTCAACAGATTCCTAAAAGGCCACGGGTGGAATCATTCCAGGCCATAGCGAACCGGTGGTGCTCATCCTAAAACACAGGCGCTTGAAATGCGTATTTAAAAGCAACACACGCGCAGTGCAGAAAACAAAAACAGATACAAGCAAAAAGTAAGACGCCTATAATCCCTCCCCTCAAAGATAACCACTGTCAACACTTTTGTGTCTATTCTTTTAATATAGCCTTTATTAAAAGACTGTCATATCACACTGCACCTGTGGGTGTGTAGCTGGCTTTCATTTTGAAATAAAAGTAACACATGTAAACATTTAAAAAAATATTATCAAGCACTTATTGTAATGGAAATTGGCTGTCCCCTGCCTGGCCCCTCCACACGCCAATTCCTGGTACCTAAGATAATCATTTTTAATTTTTTTTTTTTTTTTTTTTTTTTGAGAAAGAGTCTCGCTCTGTCGCCCAGGCTGGAGTGCAGTTACATGATCCCGGCTCACTGCAACCTCTGCCTCCCGGGTTCAAGCAATTCTCCTGCCTCAGCCTCCTGAGTAGCTGGGATTACAGGTGTGTGCCACCACACCCAGCTAACTTCTGTGTTTTTAGTAGCGACAGGGTTTCACCATGTTGGCCAGGCTGGTGTGGAACTCCTGACCTCAGGTGATCCACCCACCTTGGCCTCCTAAAATGTTGGTATTACAGGCGTGAGCCACTGCACCCCGCCTTCAAATATTTTTAACCCTTTTTTTTCTTGAGTTTATCTTCAAGTTGTGAAATAATTCATTTATATAATGTAAATGGATTCTAGTTCTTATTTAGCCAGTGCATGTCATAAAGTGTTACATGCAATTTCTTTTTCTAATTTAGGTTCTATCTCTTTACTTACTAGAATGGAAGATGAGATTCAGCTCACTTGTAGTGCCCCCAAAACACTGGCTGCTGTGGGATGAGGGAGAAGTTGTGTGGGTCTCTCTTCCTAGACACCAAGGCATCCTCAGCTGTTGGAAATGTGATGAATAAGCTTACAGTGTAAAGAACAATTCATCATTTGTCAGTTTTCTCTTAGGATAGTAATTCTAGATTTTTCTTCAACTGTTATCATCCCATCTTTCATGTTGGAAGCTTTTCTAAAATACTTGGTTATCTCCAGCTGTTTATACTTCAGAGTGAGGTGCCTAAAAGCTGGCTGGAATCCATCGGTATTGTTGGGCTTGTACACTGGACTGTCCTTTGTGTGATTCAGTTGGAACCCATCTTTTTTCTTGGAGACCCCCAGATGTTGGTGTCCATATTAGTCCGTTTTCACGCTGCTGATAAAGACACACCTGAGACTGGGTAATTTACAAAAGAAAAAGGCTTAATGGACTTACATTTCCATGTGGCTAGGGAGGTCTCACAATCCATGGTAGAAGGTGAAAGGCATGTCTCGCATGGCAGCAGACGAGAACAGAATGAGAACCAAGTGAAAGGGGTTTGCCCTTATAAAACCATCAGATCTCATGGGATTTATTCACTACCACAAGAACAGTATGGGGGAAACTGCCCCCATGATTCAGTTATCTCTGGTAACTGGGTCTCTCCCACAACACAAGAGAATTTTGGGAGCTACCATTCAAGATTTGGGTGGGGACATAGCCAAACCATATCAGTGTCCATAGGTCTTTTCTGCTGGGTTCTCGAGTTTCTACAGAGAAGACTTATCTCACATTCCGCTGTGGGGTGTGATCTTTGCTGCCAGAATTCTGTGATAAGAGCTGTAGAAGTGGGCTGGGAAGGGAAGGCCTTATAATTTGGGGTATAAACTTTGACTTGGCCTGGCATGGTGGCTCACACCTATAATCCCAGCACTTTGGGAGGCTGAGGCAGGTGGATCACGAGGTCAGGAGATCGAGACCATCCTGGTCTACCCCATCTCTACTAAAAATAGAAAAAAAAATTAGCTGGGCGTGGTGGCGGGTGCCTGTAGCCCCAGCTACTCGGAAGGCTGAGGCAGGAGAATGGCGTGAACCCGGGAGGCAGAGCTTACAGTGAGCCGAGATCAAGCCACTGCACTCCAGCCTGGGTGACTGAGCAAGACTCCATCTCAAAAAAACAAAACAAAACAAAACAAAAAACTTTTGACTTAATTCCTCATTTTTAGTAAAGCATCTGATTCCCACCTTTGGTTGTTCCCGGGCCCTTTGAGCTTAGGCCCTCCTAGATTCAGCCTCCACAGAAGAGATATCTCCTGCTTCTGCCGGGCTAGGGAAAGGGTAGCCAGGCTAGGGAAAGGCTAGGGAAAGGCTGCATGGGGTGGGAGATTGTGTTAGTTTTGCATTGCTATAAAGGAATGCCTGAGGCTAGGTAATTTATAAAGAAGAGAGGATTAATTGACTTGTAATTCTGTAGGCTGTACAAGCAGCATGGCGTTGGTATCTGCTTCTGGTGATGGCCCCAGTAAACTTCCAGTTGATCACAGTGGAAGGCAAAGGGGGAGCAGGCTGTGTCACATGGCAAGAGTGGGAGTGAGAGTGGGGAGGGGCCACGTACTTCTAAACAACCAGAACAAGATCCCTGGGTGAGCACCCAGGAAATGGTGCTAAACCACTCATGAGGCATCCACCCCCATGATCCAGTCACCTCCCACCAGGCCCTACCTCCAACACTAACCACATTTCAACATGAGATTTGGAGGGGACAGACATCCAAACCGTATCAGAAAATTTTCAGATTCTCAGCCAGTCTTCTTGTGTGGAGCCATATCTGTTTCCAGTGATACTTGATTCTTGCAGTTCCTGGGATTTGTCTTGAAATTGGCATGCTGCTGCTTGTCATCTCCCTCCACAGCCTTCAGTTTCAGCCTTCTTCCAAGTTAGTTGAGATTTTTCAGCTCACTTTATTTCTTCTAAAATATTATTGATGTTCTTGTTTTCTCTGGTGTCTCTTTCTTCTGGCTCCTTTTGTGGGAATCTGCCTTTGTAAAGTAATGTTTATCATTTTAGTGGGATTTTGGGAGGGAATAGGGGTGAATGCCTGAGTGCAGTCTGCTGTGTTGAATGAGGAATGGTAGTGGGCTGTCTTCACTTGATAAGTATTTTCCCCTGTTCCTTAGTATTTCTCCATAATGTGCATTTTAATGCCTGCATAATGATCAATTGTATGAGTCTATGATGCCTTATTGTCCTAATACTCTGTTGTTAGATTATGTGTTTCCTCATTTATATACCTTTCCCTGTGTTTACATTTGTTTTCTTAGGGTTGATTCCTACAAACAGAATTACAGAGTTTAAGCATTTTTAAGTCTTTTTTTTTTTAAGACAGAATTTTGCTCTTGTTGCTTTCTGAAAGAGTTGTATTGTATGTACATCCACCAGACATGCATGAGTATGGCCGTTTCATTGCAGATAGCACTTCTCCCTGCTGGTTTAGGTCCACACATGCCTACTAAGTGAAGGAAAAAATTGGGATGAACCAAATGAACTTCAGTAATTCTGTCAGCTCACATGTTAACGTAGCTTGGCTGTCTGAGGTTACATCCTGGCGCTGTGACCGACAGCAAATGACCTAACTGCCCTGGATTTCAGTTTTATCCCCTGCAAAGTGGGGTATAAGAGGAAGAATAATAAGTGAATAGACTTAAGTTTAGATTTTTGCCTGGCTGGCAGCGATGGAGAAGAGCAAAACCAATAAAGTCAGTTTCTTAGGTAGTAATGAAAAGATTGTTCTTTATTATTAAAAAGTGACTTGTTTGGGAAGAAGTGATACATTCTCATTATAAAAAAAATACAAAAAAGTAAAAAGAAGAAATGAAAAACCTCACCCTAAATCTTACCATTTAGAAATAATATTATTTATTTATTTATTTATTTATTTATTTATTTATTTATTTATTTGAGAGAGAGAGAGAGAGAGTCTCACTGTTGCCCAGGGGTGTGTGGCGCAATCACAGTTCAGTGTAACCTCAAACTCCTAGGCTCAAGCGATCCTCCTGCCTTGGCCTCCCAAAGTGCTGGGATTATAGACATGAGCCACTGTGCCTGGCCAATGATGTTGGTAACATTTTTTGAGCCCTGTCTAGAACTTGCCATGGTCATGGGGTCTTATCACACATGGTATTTAATACTTAAAGATGTAAAATAAAATAGACTTGAATTAAAGCAAAGGAAAAGAAACTAAAGCAAGATAGAAATGCTGACTTCATTGCAAGAGAGATTAGCGCTATCTTTTAGAAACTAAATTTATGACAAGATGATAAATAATAAATACTAAGAGATTAGAATAATTTCTTATAAACTATGAGTTTGTGAGACTCTCTCCTTTGAAAGCTAAAAAAAAAATAGAACTGACCTATGCTCCCCCTCTTTCCCAAGCTCCAAAATTTTATCAGTTAATTATGAATTTTACAGTGTGAAGGATTGTAACATTTCTATTCTAATAATGCCACAATTCCCATAGCTCTTTGACTTAGTCCCCTTTTAGGATGGATTCAGAACTTGTTAGTCTTTTTACTGTTTTTTTTTACCTTGCTTGAGTTTTAAATTTTGACTCATTGGTTGGTTCATTGTTTTATTTATTTAATCGATTTTATTTTTTGAGACAGGATCTTGCCCTGTCGCCCAGGCTGGAGTGCAGTGGTGCCATCATGGCTCACTGCTGCCTCACCCTCCTGGACTCAAGTGATCCTCCTATCTCAGCCTCCTGAGTAGCTGGGACTTACAGGCACACGCCCCCACACCTGGCTGATTTTTGTATTTTTTGTAGAGACTGAGTCTCGCCATATTGCCCAGGCTGGTCTCAAACTCCCGGGCTTTAGTGATCTACCTGCCTTGGCCTTCCAAAGTGCTGGGATTACAGGGGTAAACCCAGTGTGGCCGCATCCAGCCACATTATTTTATTTAGAGAAGCCCTGGTAGGTACTGTGTTCCTTGAGGTCTTAACACTTAAGGATAGCTGTTCCTTGCTTTTATATTTGAAGGACAATTTGGCCGAGTACCAAGGTCTTGGGCCACACGTTCTTGCCCTCAGAATTTCTTAGACATTGCTCCCATTCTTTTTTAGCACTGGATATTTCTGGAAGAGAAAGCTGAGGCTGGGTTAATGTTTCTTTCTTTTGCACATGACTAGCTTTTTCCATTGGATGTGCCCATGAGGTTCTCTGATTCTTTTTGAAGTTTAGAGTTTTACCAGCATTGCTTGGGCATTGGCTGTTTTATGTCACTTTCCTGGTATGTCCTATACCATAATATCTGTTGATTCAAGTCTGTCTTTATATCAGTAAAATTTTAAGATCCTTTAATATTTTTGCATATATTTTGAATGGTGCTCACTTTTTGGGAACCATAGTTGTTAGGTTTTATCTTCTTTGCCTTCTAAATCTAGCATCTATTCTTATTATCATTTGTGTATCTTTGTCCCTCTTGTTGTTCCTTTTTAGTAATTTTGAGTGATTTCCTTGTTTGTTCTCTGCCTCTGTTTACAGAAGCTTACACTATGTTTTACTGTAGTTGTGTGGCTTCCATTCTGGATATTTTTTTTTCTAGTCCATTTATTTCTTCAACTCTATCAGTCCATTTAAAATCTCTTAGATTGATGACTGTCAGTTCTTTGGAACTTCATATCTAGTCTCTGAGCTCCCCATTTTTAGAAGGACCATTTTATCTTTAATATTTTTGAGACAATGGAGGACTATTTTTTCTGAGCTCTTAGTCTGTTACCTTCGTTTTTCAGGCCCAGATTCCTGGGCATGGGACCTCTGCATCCACTTAAGGGTCCACGCTTGGACGAATGCTCCCGTCATTGTCTTGAAATTGTTAATAATTTCTGAACAGCGGGCACTGCATTTTTGTTATGCAGCAGCTTCTGTTGATTATTTTTACAAACGCACCTTATTAGCTGCCTTTGCCTGTGTTCTTATTCAGTGGTCGCTCATCTTTGAATGAGGCCGAGCTGTTTGCCGCAAAAACTGGTGTGGGGTATGCTGAGGACTGGAAGGCAGGGGTGGGGAGTGTTGTGAAACCTGCTCATACTCGCTGCCTCCACTGTCCTCCAAACAATTGTTATTTCTTTTACCTTGAGAATGATCCTCCTTCGGTTTTTGGCTTTTAGGAGGCTTGTGTGTCTCTCTCACAGCCAGTCCCCTTAGCGCCCTGGCTCTCTGAGGCTTGACATATGGTGGGCATGGCGGTTGTTCCCCCAGGCCCTTTCTTCACCCTCACTTTCCTTGTTAATCCAGGCCAGGTCATAGGTATTAAAAATGACATCCACATGGTTTCTCCTTCAGTTCCACCTTCCCAGTTAGATTTTAACTTTTAAAATACTTGAGAAGGGAGAGCAGTGTCAGACTCAAAAAGCCAGCAAGCATTGTTTTTTGTTTGTTTTTTTTTGAGATGGAGTTTTCACTCTTGTTGCCCAGGCCGGAGAGTGGTGGTGAGATCTCGGCTCACTGCAACCTCTGCCTTCTGGGTTCAAGCGATTCTCCTGCCTCAGCCTCCCAAGAAGCTGGGATTGTAGGCGCCTGCCACCCCACCCGGCTAATTTTTGTATTTTTAGTAGAGATGGGGTTTCACCGTGTTGGCCAGGCTGCTTTCGAACTCGTGACTTCAGGTGATCCACCTGCCTCCCAAAGTGCTGGGATTACAGGCATGAGCCACCACGCCCGGCTGCCTTTTAATGTGTCATTTTAATGTGTCATTTTAAAGTTCTGTGCTAATAAGGATGTAGGAGGTTATTTGATTTTTGGAAAATTGTTCATACTATATTAACATGTAAAGGTGCTTTATGAAACAGTATGTGGAGTGTGATTCACCTGTTGTTGCTTCTTAAGGAAGTACGACTCTACATTAAAAAATATTTGAAGGGAAAAAAATACCAAAATGCGATTGCCTGGATTCCTAATGTCCATCCTGCTTCCGCCTTTGGTGATGGTGTATAGCAGTGGCCAACTCCACAGCCTTTACATTTTCTCAGTGATCCTATGCTCTAAGAATTTGTGAGGGACTTGTTTTTAAAAAGATTGTTTCTAGTACCGTGTCTACTCTCTTTTGTGGATTAAAATAAATTCATTCTGATGTTTTTGGCAAATACTTCAAGTGTATTTTAAAATACATAATTTTATTGACAAGATACTTTGAACAGGGAAGAACCAGTTTCACAACCAGCTCTCTTGAAAAACAAAAACAAAACTCTAATTCATAGAGTTTGCCAGTTTCCGTGGTGTAAATATTTCCACCATGGCCAGTTGCAGGCTACCAACATGACATCATTGCACACAGAGTTAGGAAAAAGTGTGTGGTAGCACATTCCTATGTAGTATTGTTACCATCCAGATGCAGCAGGCAAAATAACCTCACAATCACAGATAGATAAAAGTAAAATGTAAAATAATTGGGAAGTGATGATTTTTGAGTATTCATTACTTCTGTAAAATTTATGCTTAATAAATATTGATATAATTTATTTTAATCCATATCTTTATATAATAACTGGCTGGTAAAAATTCCTGAAAATTTAACAGCAGGTCCCCATGAGTTGATACAAAAGCAGTATACCGCTGGAAAGAGCCCTTGAATTTTTAGAAAGGGCTTAACAGGGCAAGTCAAGAAAGTGAAGCATGCAGGCGTTGGGATTGGTAAGATAAAGCTCTCTATGGTTGGTTCAGGTGTCGTTTTGTCCTAGATCTTTATGTTGGGGGGGCTTCCTTTTCTGTTTAAGGTTCCTCGTGATCAGAACACCCATAGAAAACTTGGGGAGATAAGCAAGTGCTCTGCTCTTTAGTATGTAATTTTCTTGGCATTCGAAATGGGATGCTACCTTTCTTGATACCATTCCTGGGAAGCAGCATAGGTTCCTTTAGAAACCTTTTAACACATACCAGGTGATTTTGATTCTGATAATTAGTTTTTTTTTTTTTTGGCTGTGGTGGTAAAATATGCATAAAATTTGATGGGTTTGTTTGTTTGTTTTTTTGAGATGGAGTCTCTCTCTGTCGCCCAGGCTGGAATGCAGTGGCACGATCTCAGCTCACTGCAACCTCCGCCTCCTGGGTTCAAGCAGTTTTCCTGCCTCAGCCTCCCAAGTAGCTGGGATTATAGGTGCGTGCCACCATGCCCGGCTAATTTTTGTAATTTTAGTAGAGACAGGGTTTTTCCATGTTGACTAGGCTGGTCTCGAACTCCTGACCTCAGGTGATCCGCCTGCCTCGGCCTCCCAAAGTGCTGAGATTATAGGCGTGAGCCACCGCGTCCGGCCACATTTACTGTTTTGATCATTTTCAAGCATGCAGCACAGTGGTATTCAGTGCACTCACATTATTGTGCCACCATCACCATCATCTATCTGCAGAACGTTTTCTTTTTCTTTTCTTTTTTTTTGAAACGGAGTTTCGCTCTTGTTGCCCAGGCTGGCTGGAGTGCAATGGCACGATCTTGGCTCACCGCAACCTCTGCCTCCCTGGTTCAAGCGATTCTCCTGCCTCAGCCTCCTGAGTAGCTGGGATTACAGGCATGAGCCACCACGCCTGGCTAACTTTTTGTATTTTTAGTAGAGATGGGGTTTCTCCATGTTGATCAGGCTGATCTTGAACTCCCAACTTCAGGTGATCCACCCACCTCGACCTCCCAAAGTGCTGGGATTACAGATGTGAGCCACCGCGCCTGGCGCTCCAGAACATTTTCCATCTTTCTTCTCTCTCTCCCCTGCCCCTGGTAACTCTTCTACTTTCTGTCTGTCTGAATTTCCCTGTTCTGGATATCTCATGTAAGGAGCATCATACAGTAGTCATCCTTTTGTGACTGGCTAATTTCACTTAGCATAATCTCTTCGTGCTTCATGTTGTAGCATGCGTCAGAATTTCCTTCTTTTTAAAGGCTGCGTAATAATCCATTGTATGTATATCCCATGTTTTGTTTATCCATCTATTTGTTGCTTCTACGTTTTGGCTGTTGTGAATAAAGATGATATGGGCCGGGCGTGGTGGCTCACACCTGTAATCCCAGCACTTTGGGAGGTCGAGGTGGGTGGATCAGTTGAGGTCAGGAGTTCAAGAGTAGCCTGGCCAACGTGGTGAAACTCCATCTCTACTAAAAATACAAAAATTAGCTGGGCGTGGTGGCATGTGCCTGTAATCCCAGCTACTCAGGAGGCTGAGGCGTAAGAATTGCTTGAACCCAGGAGTTAGAGGTTGCAGTGAGCCAAGATCGCGCCACTGCACTCTAGCCTGGGAGATGGAGCGAGATTCTGTCTCAAAAAAAAAAAAAAAAAAAAAAAAAAAGCCATTAACGTGCACATACAGATATATGTGTTCAAATCCCTCCTTCCATTTCTTTTGAGTTTATACCCAGAAGTGGAATCACTGTATCGTATGGCAATTCTATATTTAATTTTTTGAGGAATTGCCATTCCATTTTCTACAGCTCATTCATTATTTTTTGACCTGGAAACTAATGTATCTTTCCAAAATGATTGCACTGACTTATGTCCCTTCCCTTGCAGGTAGAATGTCTTTCTGTGAGCCTCCTCTTTGGTGATGGTGTTCTTTCAACATATCTCATATTTGAATGTTTACACTGTAATGTGATAGCCCAATTAAGAGTGGAGATGCTGTCACATAAGGCACCGTATGATAAGTGTCAGAAGAGAAACACAAGATGCTTTGAGCTCCCAAATAGAGGGGAATGGAAAAAGTTTCATGGCATTTGAGATAATCTTTGATAAAGGAGCAGAATGTTGGCAGGTGGAGATGTGGGGGAGGAGGATCCAGGCAGTGGTAAGGAAGGGGGCTCTGTGTCCTGGGGAGAAATAGAGAAAGTCTTGGAAAGTAAGTTCATGTCACCTTACAGGGCCTTGAATGTCAGGCGAAATAACTTATTCAACTTCGTAGGTGATGAGAGCTGTGGAAGGCTTTGAGCAGGAGAGCAACATGGTTATAGCTGAGTGGAAATCATTTGAGTCCAGAAGTTGCTGGATTACCATATGGAGCTGGAGACTATAGCTGCAGAAATCGTGTGGCTGTTGAAATAATCTAGTGGAGAGGGCTGTTGGGGACATGTACAGTTAGTTATCTTATTTTCATTTTCCTCCTGTTGATGTAATTTCTGTGACCAGAGTCTTGTTCTATTTTAATCTGCAAAGCATGCTGTTCAGTATGACATGTAATAAATGTTGAACCCTCTTTGGGGAGTCAGTCAATCATGAAGACAATTATTTTGACTTGAGACAAAGAAAATGAAAGTCCTGAGGAAAAGTGTTCACATTTGCTATTTTAAGCTGGGAGAGCAAATGTTCTCAGAACTCTGCGGTCCCTTGGATTGGGTGCAGTTTGCTCTGCTGAGCGTGAGTTGGCAGCCCTGCCTGCTTGAACATGGCTGCCGCTTGTTGTTCAGGTTGAGTGGACTTTCCTGGTGGGGCCGAACACCCCTCGCATTTCGGCAGCACCCACGTGGGCCTCTTGTTCACAGGAGTGTCCTGAACAGAACAGTTTCTGTAAGAAAGAAGCCTTCATAAATATTTGTTAAAGAAGTTTCAGGCCGGGTGCGGTGGCTCACACCTGTAATCCCAGCACTTTGGGAGGCCGAGGCGGGCGGATCACGAGGTCAGGAGTTCGAGACCAGCCTGACCAACACTGGTGAAACCCCGTCTCTACTAAAAATACAAAGAAAAAAAATAAAGCTGGGCGTGGTGGTGTGTGCCTGTAATCCCAGCTACTCGGGAGGCTGAGGCAGGAGAATCGCTTGAATCCTGGAGGTGGAGGTTGCAGTGAGCCGAGATCATGCCATTACACTCCAGCCTGGGGGACAGGGTGAGACTCCGTCTCAAAAGAAAAAAAAAGGAGAAAGAAGTTTTCTAGCTAGAAAGGAGAGGCTAAGATGTCTGAAGGCTTAAAGCGGTGCCCTTGTGCCTTGACTGCTTCCTGGGTTGCCCAGGCTGACCTGCGGGTCCCCTGTGGGCTTCACTATGGCTCTAAGGGAGGTGGAGTCTGCGGTGTCCACACCCCCTGCACTCTGAAGGACCCTCCTTCCTTGAGAGAAGTCCCTGCGAAGTCCTCCTTCAGAAGTGTTCGGGGGGTGAAACGGGGACGCATGTCCTGCACATCCGAGGCTCACCGTATGGGCCCAGGCTCCTTTCTGTCATTGATACCAATTGACCTTATGTGTGCTGAGGACAGTCTTTGGCCCTGGACCCAGGATGTTTCTGAGGTTACAAGTCCAGCTTGGTGGCAAACCGATAAGGCCCATGAAGGCTCGCCAGCTCCACAGGTGTCAGACGGGCCTCAGGGCAGGAGTGTCTTTCTCCTCTCCTTGTCCTGTGATGCAGGTCACTTCCCATGATGTCCCCAGTGAATGGCCCGGGCTGGGTTGCCTGATGGGTGCTGGCCTGTGGGAATGTACTCCTTAACAAGGAGGAAGAGCCAGGTGTGCCCAGTGGCCAAGAACATGAACCCATGCCCCCTTGCAGGGCTTCAAGTAGATCAGGCAGCTGGGGCAGATTTCTTAAGGCTGTGGTCAGAAATGAGTACTTTTTTTTTTTTTTTGGTCATCATAAAGCAGTACAGGAAAAGCACTTAAAATATATTTAAGGCCTTTAATTTATAATGCATTCTTAAATAAATGTTCTTTGTCTACCTAAATTACCATGGACTGTTTCAGACCAAGTTCACAGAAGGTATTTTTTCATTTTTTGTGCCATACTTTGGTCATTTTAACAGGCAGACAAGAACAGCTTTTGATGATGAGAGAATCATTAAAGATTCTGTTAAGAAACCTGGTATTATAATGAGCAGAACAGAAAGGAACTTGAGTATATGATAAATTAGTTAACCAGATTATGTAAGTTGTAGGAATAGAAATTCCCTAACCAGCCCAATATGTATTCAAATTAAATACGTATTCGAGAGGGAGAATATTTACTTATTATTGCCATGCATATTATAGAAAACTTCTCAAGTCAGGCATCGTTGAATTTTCAATTTAAAAACTAGTTTGAGGCATAATGTAATAAATCTGTTTTGCATTTTTATTTTCAGTTTCCCAGGAAAGATTTCAGTTATAGATGGTGTATTATCACAATTTCAGGAGCAACAGTTGAGATTTGTGATTTCTATTAACCAAAGCCTTTTGGGTTGGCTATTCTTGTTGAAAAACTTAATTAAAAATTATTTTTTACTGCTTATTTAAAACATTTTTACCTTTTTCATGCAAGTTCTCTGTCTTCAAATTATACCGTGTTTCCTTTACTAGAAATGTCTGTATTTAGTGACCGAAGATTGCCCTTGTCTTCTGTTCTTGGCCAGTTGCCACTGTCCCTCCCCCTCATCCCTGCACCGTTGGTTCTCTTGACCCTGTCTGTAATGGCTTTATATTAACTTTTCTCTTTTTGAGTTGATCCGCTGAAAAATTTTAATGGTGGTGGGATTAAAGAGATCCCCACTTCTTTGTCATTTCCTTTAAAAATATTTTACAATTTTCTCCTTTTCTACAAGGTTTTTTTGCATCAATATAGGAACAATTATGGTGCAAACCTTTTACAACAAACTCTATTCCTGCATTGTACCTCCACACCACCAGGGTAAATGGTAAAACTCTGAGAACTTCCCTTTTTCTCAGGCTGTTGTTTCTAGAGATACATTCATTATAAATCAGTGTTGAAAAAGCTCCTACCTCAAAGTCTTTAACTCTGTATATGTTTATTTTGTGCTCTCTCTTATCTTCCAAACTTATTAGAAGCAAAATCAAGGTTGACTGATAGGAAATTAGCAGGATCCCTTTCCTTCCCAGCTGGGAAATGGGTAATAAGCATCAGATGACATTTCATTTACTTATTTATTATTATTTTTAGAAACAGGGTCTCGCTCTGTTACTGAGGCTGGAGTGCAGTGGCACAATCATAGCTCACTGCAGTCTCAGCTCCTGGTCTCAAGCCATCCTCCCATCTCAGCATCCTGAGAAGCTAGGACTATAGGTGCATGCCACCATGCCCAGCTTTTTAAGTTTTTTTTTTTTTTTTTGGAGAGACAGGGTCTTGAACTTCTGGCCTCAAGTGATTCTCCCCGCTTGGCCTCCCAAAGTGCTTAGATTACAGGCATGAGCCAACATGCCCAGCCTCATATGATATTTCAAGTAGATCTATGAGTGATCATTCCATGATTTTCTTTTTTAAAATAAAAACAGTGACATAGGTAGTCCTTGACTCCAGAATACCAATTACAAGTGTTCTGGATATATGGACACTGCATCTTATCATCTCCCCCGGTCCTGCCTCTGGCACTGTGCCCACCCATGCCCAATCCTTCCTAAAAGCAGAGCTGACACGCAACGTGGCCAGGACCTTTCCTCTCCGGCCCGACACTGCTGGAGGCATTAAGGGAACTCCCGGGCCTACCCCAGCTGTCGTGGTGACCTCTGATGCTGCTAGGTTCCTCATAATGGTGCCTGTTTTTCCTATTTCCAGGAGCTTCAACCTGTAGAACCCTTGACCGTACTAACCTTTGAGAACACTGCCTGTGTTCTCAACATCAAAGAGCAACCTTGGGAGTCTCGGACTGGGTGAAACGAGCACTGGGGATGTTGAACTGGGCTTCAGAATATACTTGTCAACAGAAATGAAACTAAATAGCAGTTAGGTCTTGTTCATAGTGTTGTTAAGCTTCATCGTGGTGAAATGGGCTTTCCAGGGTTGACTTGAGAACTCTTCCACCATGTAATAGTGGAAAATGCTTTGGGGTATGAAGTATTCATCAATATGAGAGTAAATATTTGGAATATAAACCTGTTCATACTGTATAGACTACCAACGTGAATTTCATCTCAATTATGAAAGCATTCTGGGAGACTATGCTTCTTCATTTTATTTTCAGTATTTCTTTTTTTCCTTCCTGTAATATAGCAATAAGACCAACCTCTTAGTTAAATAAATTTGGCCAGGTACAGTGGCTCATGCCTGTAATCCCAGCACTTTGGGAGGCCGAGGCGGGCAGATCACCTGAGGTTAGGAGTTTGAGACCAACTTGGCCAACATGGAAAAACCCCGTCCCTACTAAAAATACAAAAGTTAGCTGGGTGTGGTGGCGCATGCCTGTAATCTCAGCTACTCGGGAGGCTGAAGCAGGAGAATCACTTGAACCCAGGAGGCAGAGGTGGCAGTGAGGCAAGATCATGCCACTGCACTCCAGCCTGGGTGACAGAGCAAGACTCTGTCTTAAATAAATTAAATACGTAAGTAAATAAATAAATTTTAGAGAAAAATGACTTGTAGTCCCGAAACCCCAGCAAGTCAAATTCTTTGCATCTGACATCCAGACACTGTGTATTCCTACTCGTTGTGCAGAAGCAATTTTTAAATTCTTTAAAAAAAAAACAAACTTTAACATCATAACAAATTGAGTCCTCTGCATTTCACAGTCTTCATGTTTGTGATTTTTGAGTGTAGACTGTTCTAGGCAGCAGATATGCTACAGTTTGGTTAACCTTTCTTTGCGTTTATAGCCTTTTTATTGCTTGTGTTTATAGCCTTTTTATTCCTTGGGATGATTTCCCAAAGCCAAATTCCTATAAGTGACAAATTATGGGTATTTATGGTATTGGTCCACATTGATTTCTGTGTGTGTTGAATCACATTGCCATCAACCCCAGCAATGTAACATTGACTGTTACTTTTTTTTTTCTGAGATGGAGTCTTGCTCTGTCTCCCAGACTGGAGTGCAGTGGCATGATTTCAGCTCACTGCAACCTCTGCCTCTCAGGTTCAAGGGATTCTCCTGCCTCAGCCTTTCGAGTAGCTGGGATTACAGACATCTGCTACGACGCCTGGGTAATTTTCTGTATGTTTAGTAGAGACAGGGTTTCACCATGTTGGCCAGGCTGGTCTCCAACTCCTGACTTCAGGTGGTCCACCTGCCACAGCCTCCCAAAGTGCTGGGATTACAAGTGTGAGTCACTGCGCCCGGCTGACTTGTTATTCTACTTTCAAAAAGATGATCTCCAGAAAAATTTCCTGGGCCATTTTAAGAAAAATTATTGATTATAGGCAGCTGTTTTAAATTGACCAGAAAAGTGAGGAAGCCAGAGAAATTTGCTTGTACAAGTAATAAAAAAGAACTTGGTCCGTCTAATTTTGAGTTGGTATTTTATCAAGTGAAGTAGATTTAATGAGATGTCTATGTTTCTTCAGTCCCTCACCTAAGCCACAAGTTGTATACGTGTCACACACGCAAACCCCGGCAGGGTGTGTCAGCAACCATTCACAAGTAAGATGCCATGCTGCCAGCCCTTGTCTTCCAATAATTATGGTTGCCAATTACCAGACAACCAGACTGTTCTTTTTTTTTTTTTTCGAGATGGAGTCTCACTCTGTTGCCCAGGCTGGAGTGCAGTGGTGCAATCTAGGCTCACTGCAACATCTGTCTCCCGGGTTCAAGCGATTCTTCTGCCTCAGCCTCCCAAGTAGCTGAGACTACAGGCTTGCACCACCACGCCTGGCTAATTTTTGTATTTTTAGTAGAGACAGGGTTTCACCATATTGGCCAGACTGGTCTTGAACTCCTGACCTCGTGATCCACCCGCCTCGGCCTCCCAAAGTGCTGGGATTACAGGCGTGAGCCACTACGCCCAGCCAAGACTCTTCTTACATATGTTTATTTCCCCTCATAGAAGCAGCCAGCTGACTTATTTAGAGCAACCTGTCAGAGTGCGTGGGATCGTAGTCTACGAAGTGATGTCTTGTGTAGAGCAATGGTGTATTCCTGTCAAATTTCCTGCTGGCATTTCTTGGTGTTAGTGTTTTCTTATCCAAAAATAGGGCTTGCATGTCATTAAAACCTTCGTTGAAGCAATTAATAAAAGATTCTGGTAAGTTTCTGGAGACATTCTTTAATTATTCAAAACTCTTTGGGCACATTCTTCAAGTAGCAACCCACTTTGCTGTACCTTCATCCAGCCCCAATTCCTGTCTAATTCACAACCATGTCATGCTTGTTTCTTCCAAATGCCTTGTGGAAATCCAGCTATGATATGGCTCTAACAGTCTCCTTATCTCCCAGCCTAGACATCTGTCAAAGACAGAAAGGAGATGATTGTGGCCTGATTTAGTCTTAATGAAGCCATCTTAGCTTCTAGTGATCCTTGCTTCATTTCCTGAGTCCTTTTATTTATAACAGTCCATTTGGACATAGTCTTTTAGCAGTATATTTTAATTTCTTGAACTACACAAAAATTAATAGATTCTTTAGTTCATTGCCTGTTTATTTTCTAGATGGATTTTCTTTTGCTTTATCATGCTCTATAATGCATTCTTCATGGATTTTTGTATTGCTGAAAATTTGTATATGAATAATTTTATTTTTATTATACACCATTTTATTTTATTTTCTATTTATTATTATTATTATTTTTTGAGACGAAGTTTTGCTCTTGTTGCCCAGGCTGGAGCGCAATGGCACAATCTCGGCTTGTTGCAACCTCCGCCTCCTGGGTTCAAGCGATTCTCCTGCCTCAGCCTCCCGAGTAGCTGGGATTACAGGCGCCTGCTACCATGCCTGGCTGATTTTTATTTAACTAGTAGAGACAGGGTTTCACCACGTTGACCAGGCTGGTCTGGAACTTCTGACCTCAGGTGATCCACCCGCCTCGGCCTCCCAAAGTGCTGGGATTACAGGCGTGAGCCACCGTACCTGGCTCCTATTTTTTAAAATTTCTTTTCATAGAATACATTTCACATTATATGCCCAGTGTTCCATTATTGGAACGCTAAGCATGTGGAAGTTATTTATATCTTGTTCAAAGTCATTGCCAAGGTCTGATTTTGCAGTTCAAAAAATTGCAACCTCAGGCATAAATGGGTTAGTGATTCCCACGGTGGGAAAATAACAATTTATTACTTAGAATTTTATTTTTGTGGACAGATTATTTTAGATCAAGTAAAACACATTTGAGAATTAAGTCTCAGTTTAGAGTCTGTAATATTTTGATACATCAACAAGGGGGACCTAGTCCTTAAATGGAACTTCTCTATATTCAGAAGCTCTCCAAGCCTTTCTTTCTAGGATTTAGAAATTCATAATGTGAGAGATCAGCATCTCCTAATTTTAAAGTGTTCCTAGTGTATGTAACCATCAGTGGCGGGTATCTACTGAACAGTGAGGAAGTTTTCAAAAATTAAACACTGTCTGATTTTCTGCAGAGTTTTTATTCAGAATGTGCTTGGACTTCCCAGCCCCTTCTCAGCTTTCTTGTTTTTGGCAGATGCTTCAAGTAAAGCTTTCTTCTTCAGGTACCTACGCCATAGGGTCGTTGTGTAGAATCGGGAGTGTTAAATGATGCAAATAAGTGCTTCAAGACTGGCCCTTCTTATTATGTAAAATCACTTTGTGGGAAAGTGAAATGATTTGAGTGAAAAACTTGTATTTCTCAACAGTTACAGGAATAGAGACACTGTGCTTGGATGTTGCATTTCAGACCATGGCCTGTCCTTTTGGCTGGAAAGTGACTTGGGACTTAGCCCTCAATTCCACTCCACTGTCCTTTTTCCCTTTTGTGGTATGCACCTAAGGTTGCTCCTCGATCTGCCTATTTAAACCAAGCTGTGATTTACATGGGAACTGAGCATTTGCTTTGGGGAATATATGTATTCCCCCGGGCTGTTTGTTTGTTTGTTTGGTTGGTTTTTGCCCACTAGTGTCTACTGCGTGTGTGTCTCAGTATTACGGGAAGCTCTGCAGTTTTAAACTATATTTATTTAAGGGCAGTGAGTTTGCATGTGCCCTGGGTGTGTTTAGTTCTAACCCAGACTTCAGGCGGGGCATCCAGAGCGTTGTTGGAGCGCCTTTCTGATTGCACAAGGAAGGGAGGGCAGTGGGTGCCATAGTGCCTTTCTTTTGTGGGTACTCAGTGTATTCTCTGATCCGCTGTGTCAGTAGAGTGTTTGCTATAAATCCTTGCTAATGGAAGGGAGAAGGGTTTTAAGACATTTACAACTTTCATAATTTAGACCCATAAAACGACTACCGGCCAGGTGTGGTGACTCACACTTGCAATCCCAGCACTTTGGGAAGCCAAGATGGAAGGATTGCTGCCCCAGAAGTTCGAGACCAGCCTGGGCAACACAGTGAAACTCTGTCTCTACAAAAATTTTAAAAAATTCGCTGGGCGTGGTGGTACATGCCTGTGGTCCCAGCTACTCAGGAGGCTGAGGTGAGAGGATCACTTGAGCCTGGGAGTTGGAGGCTGCAGTGAACTGTGATCGTATCACTGCACTCCAGCTTGGGTGACAGAGCAAGACACTGTCTTCAAGACATATTAGTAGACCTCTTTATAGGTCTAGTAACAATTCTAGTACACATTTTGATAATTTGATAGGTTTTCTCCTGAGGCATCCTCAGTAGCTTAGTGATTTGCCCAGCAGCTTGATTGGCACTTTTGTGCTCAAACAGGTGAGAGGTTTGGGGAGACTTTGTGATTGCATCTAAAATGACTGAATCATAAAGTCGCTGGATGGTAGAGAGGGTGACGGCTTTAGAAATCATCATGTACAAGAGGGCCCTTGGCATGGGAGTTGAGACCAAGCACTCTGGCACCAGCCTGTCTGCATCTGGTCCCATGTCTGCCACTTACGAGCTGGGTGACTGTGGGCAAGTTAATCTCTTGTGTCTCAGTTTCCTCATCTGTAAAAAGGGGTCAGGGTAGTGTCAGTCTAATGGCGGTTGTGAGGATTAAATGAGTTAGAATTTATAAAGCTCTGAGAACAGTGCCTGCCATGGAGAAAGTGCTACATAAGTGCTGGCTAAATAAAATAATAATACTTACTGTGTTTTCACATTCCATGAATGAGAAACCTAAAATCCAGGAAAGAGGAAGTTAATTTTACAATACACTGAAAATGTCAAAAGTTAGGATTAGAACCAGGCCTCTCTTGGCTAGTGATTTTTCTCTTTGTCATGCTGCAGAATGACTCCAGTCTGGTGGTCAACCTGATAGCGCCTAAATAATTTTCCCTCCCTTTCAGCAATCTGCAGCAACAATGTGCTGTTCATAATCATTAATTTCTTTAGTAGACATTGTTTAATTAAATGCCTTATCAACCAGGCTGACATTTAAACTTTCTCATTTTCCCACAAGGGATTTCACTATTTTATTACATACTTTTTTCCTTGACATTTCACTATTGTAATTAATCATTAATTCTAGTTGAAGTATTCCAGGATAAGGTACCCTTTACACATCTGTTGTATTTTATAGTATCCTTTGGCTTATAATAATACTGCATAGTTTATTTCTTGAAGAATATTGAAACTGTTAGAAAATTGTGTGGTCTGCTTTTTAATGGCTTAATGGAAATTGCTTTTCTTTTCCCAACTTGAAGGAAGCCCTATCATTTCTAATTTACTGAATTTGGTAAGCTTTAGGAAATGGCTTCCTTTTTCATAAAGTTGTATAAGATGATGATGTTGGCCAGGCGTGGTGGCTCACGCCTGTGATCCCAGCACTTTGGGAGGCCGAGGTGGGTGGATCACCTGAGGTCGGGAGTTCGAGACCAGCCTGACCAACATGGAGAAACCCCGTCTCTACTAAAAATACAAAATTAGACAGGCTTGGTGGCGCATGCCTGTAATCCCAGCTACTCGGGAGGCTGAGGCAGGAGAATTGCTTGAACCTGGGAGGCGGAGGTTGCAGTGAGCTGAGATCGCGCCATTGCACTCCAGCCTGGGCAACAAGAGCAAAACTCCATCTCAAAAAAAAGAAGATGATGTTATTCATTCCATAATAGATGTCTGTGGATGATAACACAGGATGCAGGTAACATTTACATTTTGGCATGTATTTCTTAAGTATCATTTTCAGAATGTCCAAAACTTCAGCAGAAAATGGTAGAGGGCAGGAGAACTTTTGACTAAAAACTTCCTTAATTTTTTTTTTTGAGATGGAGTCTCGCTCTGTCACCCAGGCTGGAGTGCAGTGGCGCGATCTAGGCTCACTGCAAGCTCCGCCTCCCGGGTTCACGCCATTCTTCTGCCTCAGCCTCCCGAGTAGCTGGGTCTACAGGCACCCGCCACCACGCCCGGCTAATTTTTTGTACTTTTTTAGTAGAGACGGGGTTTCACTGTTTAGCCAGGATGGTCTCGATCTCCTGACCTCGTGATCCGTTCGCCTCGTCCTCCCAAAGTGCTGAGATTACAGGCATGAGCCACCGCGCCCGGCCAAAAGTTACTTATTAAATAATGAGGCTGTTGGGAATATGCTGACTAGATTTGGAAACAAACAATAATTCTTTACAGTTTATTAAAGAAAATACCCATTGGTGTTTATTTCTTTTACATAGCTTTCCAGACACATTTTTATTTATTAAGTCCTGTCATTTTCTCCTGAACTCAAGGAGGCAAGTTATCTCTCTGATAAGGACCTCAGCAATCAGCTGAATTACCTGCCAGAGGCTATAAAGGGGCTTGTCTGAGCCAGAAATTCACAGCAGTGTCTGCCAGTGAGCCCCAGGACTTTGCTTCTCGTTTCCAACCTTAAGTTGATCCTGCTGTCTTTGTAGAGGTAACATCTACTTGCTCCTATATCTGCACCTGAAAAGCATCTCAACATAGCCCAAAACTGGAAGCAACCACAATGTTTTTCTGTAGGGGAATGGATAAACTGTGGTATATCCATACAGATGGGATATTATTAAGCAATACAAAGACATGAGCTAGCAAGCTACAAAATTCATGGAGGCCAGGCGCGGTGGCTCATACTGTAATCCCGGTACTTTGGGAGGCTGAGGTGGGAGGATCCCTTGAGCCCAGGAGTTCGAGATGAGCCTAGGCTGTATAGCAAGACCCCTCCCTCTCTAGAAATAATTTAAAAACTTAGCCATGGCTGGGCACTGTGGGCCATGCCTGTAATCCCAGCATTTTGGAAGGCTGAGGAGGGCGGATCACTTAAGGCCAGGAGTTAGAAACCAGCCTGGCCAACACAGTGAAACCCTGTCTCTACTAAAAATAGAAAAGATTAGCTGGGCACGGTGGCACATGCCTGTAATCCCAGGTACTAAGGAGGCCAAGGCATGAGAATTGCTTGAACCCAGGAGGCCAAGATTGCAGTGAGCTGAGATTGCACCACTGCACTCCAGCCTAGGTGACAGAGCCAGACTCCATCTCAATCTCAACCCTCCCTGCTCCGCTCCCCCTCCCCCTTTCCCCCTCCCCCCACAAACTTAGGTATGGTGGTGTGCACCTATAGTCCCAGCTACTCGGGAGTCTGAGGCTGGAGGATTACTGAGCCCAAGAATTTGAGGCAGCTGTGCACTATTTCAGGCAGACCAAAAGCTGCCTCTCACCTGCGTATTTAATTTTCTTTTCTCTATTTTCGCACTTCTATTAGTCGGATCCGCTATTGGCACACCTTTCAGTACATGGTGGATGCTTAGTAAATACCACTGGATGCACAAACGTGAGTCCTACCCACACCATGCCATCTGCCATCACTGCTATTTAAGAACCTTTTTTCAGGGACTAGTTGATGTCTCAGTTCCTCAGTGAGGTGGCATCCTTATTTCTGAGGCTTTTAAAATTCGTTTAATACCTATTGTCAGAAGTAAACATGTTGCCTTGAACAGTCATCTCTGAGTTACCTGTTCTCTTGCCTGATAGATTATGCATCTCATAAAGACAAAACGATATTGTGCCACATTATTACTTTGTGTCCTATAGGGTGTGAAATGTAGTTGCTGAAACATAATAGGCCCTCATAAATGTTTGTTAATGGTGATGATCTCGATTATGGTGACACTTGAATGATAGTATACTTTGAACATTGGGTTTGTTATTTTCAAAGGCATTGAGTAAGCAAAGCCAGTAATTCACTGCATCCTCATTATGGGCCAGGCAAGGGTTGGGTGCTTTCTACAAATATTTGGAGAGGCTGACTGGTGTCGATTAGAGAAGACTTTCCTTAGTGAGTGGAAGAGAATGATGTGTGTTAAGTCGAGTGAGGTTGGCTGCAGACTAAAAAATGCGCCTGTTTACATTGCAGTGACCTTGTTAGTGTGGGAATTCAGAGGGGCTGGAAGCTGGTGGCTATCTTCCTTACATTTAATTCACCCTGACCTTTTCCTTAGAGGTAGAATGAGGGGTGAGCTAAAGTTTAAAGTTTGTACTCTCAGAATCATTGAGAAATTGACATCATTAGAATGGGAATGATTGGAGATTTTTTTCTGGTTTCCTGATTTTTCTGGAGATCAAAAAGCCTTCTCTTCTGGTAATTTTCACCTCCACTTCCATTCTACACATTTTTGTCTTTGCATATCTGTTTAATGGAGGATATGTGCTCTACCGAATCAGTGAAAGTGCAAAGCCAAAGTATTGACTTAGATTGTTTTTAGAACAAGGTTGGAGTAGAAATTAAAAATTGATTGGAAAAGGCATGCCACTTTTTCTTGCGAGGAGCTGCTGAAAACAGGCACTCACGACCTTTGGCACATGTGCAAAACATGGCAGAGTGTCCCTCTTTTCTTGGGGAAGTTACCTAACCAAGTAAGTGCTTGGCTTGTGTCTGGTGGTTTTACAACTGTCATTTTAGCTAATCTTTACGGAGACCCTCAGAAGTGGAGCAGGAGCAGTGCTTCTCAGACCAGAGCCTGCATCAGAATCACCTGGAATGCAACCTTCACCCCCCCCCCCTCCCCTTTGTGATTCAGTGGGGCTGAGCTGGGCTGAGATGAAGAATTGTATTTCTAATGAGCTCGCAGGTGATGTGGATGCTGATTTGTGGGCACATTTTAAGAAGCACTGCAGTAGAGAGTAGGCTTTCTCTCCATCTTTTAGGTACGGAGAATGACTTCTGGGATGGATAAGTGACTGGCCTGATGTTCTCACAGTTCCTAAGTTGAGACTAGAGCTGTCTCTAGCACTTACGCAAGAAAAGTGATGTCAGGCTCCCAGGTAAGGGAGACCCCTGCCCTCGGGACTCCCTTGGAAAAGGCTTGGAAAAGAGGAGAAAGGCCTGTAAAGCCTGTGAAGTAGAAGCTAAATGTAAACAACACCCCAGGGAAGATGAAGTGAGTATTTTTTTCCTAAACCATTGGATCAGGAAAGTCTTTCTGGGTGAGGTGACACTGGGACTGGCTAGAGAAGTGTTTTTTTTCTTTTGAATGTAAGTGTTTTATTTTTCTCTCCCAGTCTTTTATCTTTTTAAAATTGAGATTCATAGTTGTATATATTTTTGAGGTACATGTGATATTTTGATACATGTATACAATGTGTAATGATCAAGTCAGGGTAATTGGGATAGCCATTGTCTTTTCTTTGTGTTGGGGACATTCCAATTCTCTTCTAGCTCTTTTGAAATAGATAACACATTATTGTTAACTATAATTTCCCTGCTGTATTTTTGTACCCATTAGCCAACTCAAAGATGGTGTTTTAGCAGGAAGAAACAGAACAGGCTGGGCACAGTGGTTCATGCCTGTACTCCCAGCACTTCGGGAGGCCAAGGTGAGCAGATCCCTAAAGTCTGGGAGTTCAAGACCAGCCTGGCTAACATAACCAGACTCTTTCACTACAAAAATTAAAAACCTACGTGGGCATGGTAGCAGGTGCCTGCAGCCCAGCTATTCAGGAGGCTGAACGGGGGAGGAACGCTTGAGCCCAGGAGTTAGAGGTTACAGTGAGCAGTGAGCTGAGATCGCGCCACTGCACTGCAGCCTGGGTGACAGAGCGAGACCCTGCCTCAAAGAAACAGAACGGCAAAAGCTTAGTGCCAGGAAGATACAAGAGTGTTGAACAGCAGAGTTCAGCTGGATTAGAAGATGGTTTAGTTGAAAGGAGAGACATCATGGCAGATGGTTGAAATGCCTTGCTGGGAATTTTTACATTTAACTCGGTTTTGATTGGACTCAGGTGTTTGAGTAGAAAAGGGATATGGGTAGAACTGGACATTTGAAATAACCCCTATGAAAATGATAAAGATGAGAAAATTTCTCTTTTGCTCTGAGTTTTCCTTATTTTCCAGAGACTTGTCAGGGTTATTTAAGATAACCTATTTAATTAAAAAAATTGTTAAAAAATATGGTTGCCAAGAAGGAACAGTGAAGCGAGAATCTTGAGCTCTGCAGTTAATTCTCATTTCCTTGCTTTGTTGTTGAAATAGGGGTACCCTGCTCGTAGACAGTTAATAGCCTGGTCTCCTTTTTCCAAATGATCAAACAGGCCGAACAGTTCCTCCTCTGTTTGAAGTGTCTGGTTGATGTAAAACAGTTGATCTGCAGTTGTTTCTTTTGCTCACAGACTTTTTGGAAATAAGCAAATCCATCCACACAGATAGCTGTTTTTGAACTTTCTCAAAACCCCTTACCTAACCCCTTGTGAGAAGTCAAACTGAGCTGCTTTGCTTTTGAGGAGGGCCGGGCTGGCAGCTTTTCTAGTTTATCTCCACCCCAGCCTCCCCTGGGGCCAGCTCCTGGCGTGTGGCTCCCCCGGGACAGAGGCACAAGGTGGCTTTGTGGCAGCTTCCGGCTCATAAGAGCAGAGCCAGATGCACGGAGCTGTTGGAGATTGATCACACGCCCTTTGCCCTTTGCTCTTTGCTCTCCTGGGTGTCTGACACTTGATTTTTTGCCCTCACTCAATGGCACATCCACACTTCTTTGCTTTCAACATGGGGCACAGAAGTGGTTGGAGGACCCAGAACCCAGCCCTTTGGCTTCCTGCAGCTCTGCCACTTGGACTTCTTCTTTGAATAACACGTTTCTGTGAGTTTTTCTTAACCTGGAATTTTTCAGTTGCTTGTATTTAAAACTGGAAGAGGGGAAACAAACTCTTGCAAAAAGTTTCTCTTCATCTACCCGGCTTGATTGAAAGTAGTTCCTCTTCACTGTGATTTCATCTCACTCGATTTATGCTCTCAGTGGGGCAGGAGTAGTTGGTAGGAGTGTGTGCTTTTAGTAGATTAAATTAAAAATTGTTTAATTACTTCTTAATGAAACATAGTCTTCTTAATTACTTTTTTTTTTCTTTTTTAAGAGATAGGGTCTTGCTTTGTTGCCCGGATTGGAGTGCAGTGGTACAATCATAGCTCACCACAGCCACAAATTTCTGGTCTCAAGTGATCCTCTTGCCTCAGCACTGCAAGTAGCTGGGACTGCAGGTGCTTACCACCATGCCTGGGTAGTTTTTAAATTTTTTGTGGAGACGGGGTTTTGCTATGTTGCCTAGACTGATCTCAAACTACTGGCCTCAAGTGATCCTCCTGCCTCAGCCTCCCAAAATGTTGGGATTACAGGCATGAGACACTGCCCCTGGCCCAAATTACTTCTTAATTAAACATATAGGTATATGGTACAAAATTAAAAAGGTCCAAAAGAGCATCTGATGAAAAGCCAGTCCCCAGCCTGCCTTGCTTTTGTCCCAGGCCAGGCTGGCCGCCTCACTGGAGTCAGCTCTCCTTCCAGTTACCTCCCTCTCCTTCCAGAGAGGCTCTTTGTGTTCACAGGAATATTCACGGACACATAGACATTTTTAGATTTATGGAGGTGTAATCACAAATCGTAACTTTGACCTGTTTCAGGTGTACAATTCAAAGGTTTTTAGTCAGTTTACAGAGTTGGGTGACCATCACCACGGTCCAGTTTCAGAACATTTCTATCTCCCCAAAAAGACCACAATTCTTTGTGCCCTTTGCTGTTGATCGAGCTCCGAATCCCAGCCCCAGGCAACTACTTTCTGGATATTTATCCTCCTGATAAAGCCTTGGCTGGATATTACATTTAATAGGATCATAGGTTTATGGTGTCTTTTGCATGTGGCTCTTGTCACTCAGCAAAATGTTTGCGAGGTCCATCTATGTGGCGTGTGTCAGCATTTTGCATCTTTTTGTGGCAGAACAATATTCCCTGGTATGGATAGATCGCATTTGGTTTATTCACTCACCAGTTGATGACTATTTGGATTATTGGGTTATCCACTTGTTGGCCCTTTTTTGGCTGTGGACATCTGCATGTACTTCTGTGCAGACATATGTTTTCATTTGTCCTGGGAAGATACCTAGGAGTGGAATTGCGGGGTCACCAGGAGAAGGGTTTGCTGGGTTTCATGCCAAACTTATGATTACAATTTTAAGAAACTGCCAAAATGCTTTTTAAAGTGTTTGCAGCATTTTATATTCCTTCCAGCAACCAGCAGTATATGAGTTTCAGATTTTTCACATTCTTGAGAGCTTATTTGGAAGTCCTAGCAGGGGGGAGCACAGCTACTCGTATACCCTTGACCGAAAACCGGTCCTCCTCTATCGGGGATGGTCGTCCTCTTCTGCCAAGCACACAGTTTTGGAAGGGACACACATGGAGTGGTGAGGGAGGAAAGGAACACCCGCCTAGCCAGCCAGGTTAGCTAGATCAACCCTGGCAATCACCCCTAGCCCAATGAACCCTGACGATCAATGGGGTGACAGATGTCACAGCCAGATGGCCCTCACATCCAGATTCTCCACATTCTTGATAACACTTGTTATTGTCTGTCTTTTTTGTTATAACCATTACAGTGGGTGTGAAATATCTTATTGTGTGTATAATTTGCATTTCCTAATGATTAATGATGTTGAACATCTTTTCATGTGCTTGACCATCTTCATGTTTTTGCAGATTTAAAATCTTCCTATTATCAGTTTTAAAACATGAGGTAATAGGTAACTTACAGTGCCTCTCACCATTTCTACTCCTTTCCCTGCCAGTTTTTTAGCTGCATTATTTCTACATTGTCAGGCATTATATAATATTCTGTGGCTGTTACAATTATTTTTTTCTTTCTCTTAAAGTATAAATGGTTGTAAAGTTTACTAATAATTGTTTTTCATTCTTTCACCATTTACCTTTTGTTTTGCTGAAGTTTATCCTTTAGTAGTTTTTTTGAGAAGGGATTGGCTAACATTCTTCTGAATTCTCACCTGTTTAAAATGTTTGGCTATTGGCTGCATGTGGTGGCTTATGCCTGTAGTCCCAGCACTTTGGAGGCCAAGGCAGAAAGATTGCTTGAGGCTAGGAGTGCAAGACTAGCCTGGGCAACATAGCAAGACTTTGTGCATACTAACTGGTGGTGGTGGTGGTGCATATTTGCAGTCTCAGCTACTTGGGAGGCTGAGGCAGGAGGATCGCTTGAGCCCAGGAGCTCGAGGTTACAGTGAGCTGTGATCATGCCACTGCTCTCTAGCCCAGGTGACAGAGTGAGACCCTATCTAAAAAAAAAATAGCAAAACAATTTGGCTATTATAGTTGAATGAAAATTTGCTTGTGATGAAAGTTTTGATTCTGTTACAATTCTTTGAGGATGTTTTTGGCATTTAAGCCTTGGATGTTGCTGTGGACAATTCTAAAATTTTGTCCCCTCATACTTTATTTGAACTTTTTGCCTAGCTGCCCAAATGATTCCTTCCTAAAGTTTGAAGACCAGCTATGACTCAGGAAATGAGTTGTCAAATTATCTTTGTGGTGATCATTTTATGGTAGTTATCCCTGGAATAGGATATCTTCATTTATTATGCACAAGTATCTTTAATTTCTAAAATGTTTTCCTGAATTATGCCTTAAGCTTTTTTTTTCCTGTTCTATTCTTTGATTTTTGTTTCTTTAGGGATACCGATTGTGGGTATGTTGGATCATCTCTCTCTGTCTTCCATATCTATCAGTTCTCTGTGTTTTTTTTAGACAGAGTCTCACTCTGTCACCCAGGCTGGAGTACAGTGGCGTGATCTCGGCTCACTGCAAGCTCCACCTCCCGGGTTCATGCCATTCTCTTGCCTTAGCTTCCTGAGTAGCTGGGACTTCAGGTGCCCACCACCATGCCCGGCTAATTTTTTTGTATTTTTAGTAGAGACGGGGTTTCACTGTGTTAGCCAGGGTGGTCTCGATCTCCTGACCTTGTGATCCACCTGCCTTGGCCTCCCAAAGTGCTGGGATTACAGGTGTGAGCCACCGTGCCCAGCCAGTTCTCTGTGTTTTAAATCTATTGCTTGCTTTTCTCAGTCTTTCCCATTAGGTCCTTCATATTTTCACCAGTGCATATTTCCTTTTAGCTGCTTCCCATTTGGCCTGTATTTTGGTGATATTTTCATTCTTCCATTTTGTCCTCCTAAGGTCTGCCACCCTTATTCTTTATTTCCTGCTAATGTCTTCCCATAGCTTCCCTGAACTCTTGTAAATCCTTTTATGTTTTTGTCTATGGAATCAGTTATTTCATGAAGTTTTATTAATTTATAACTATGTTTGGACAAAGCTTTAATCTGTTGCATGTAACATTTTCTTTGGATGTTCATCTGTCATTTTTCTTTTTTCTTGCAGCATCTTTGTAAAGGTTTTTTTGTTTGTTTGTTTTTTGGTTAGTAGGTATGAAGTAGCTCTTTGCAGGAGCCTCAGTGGGCCAGCAGACAGAGCCGTGTTCCATACTAATAGGAATTTTCATGACTTGAGGTTGTGTGTGTGTGTGTGTGTGTGTGTGTGTGTGTGTGTGTGATCCTTTCAACCTTTGCTATTCCCTTATTTGCTGAAACTTTGGTAGTCAACCTTGGTGGTATGTCTAATGCAGTCTGTCTTTTTCATCTTGCCTCAGCGACAGACTGCTTCCTACAAATATGGCTTGCCTGTATGGTTTCTCATTTCATATCAATCTCACTATGTCCAGGGAAGCTGTTACTGTGAATCTGCACACCTGTCCCTGTTATTCCAAGAAAGTTATGACTGGTTTGCTGCTTATTTGAAGCTCCGCCATTTTTATCTGAGATCTGTAGCCATGAGCAGCCTCTCCAAGCATTTTCCTTCCCTTCTTTCTGACCTTCACTGCAGCTTGGCACATTTTTGTTACATTTTCTGGTTTGGGGCTACAGATGTCTCCCAGTTTCCTCAGGGATGGAATTTGTGTTTTTTAGTTTACTGCTTATTGCTTTTGGATGAATTGCAAGAGGAAGTCCTTATAAGTCAGGATACTAAGACAAGACAACTCTAGTTTTTTACCTTTTCTCTGGCGGTTAAAAATCTTGTTACTTCTTTGTTGTTACTTTTTTAAAGTAATTTCTCAAATAGAGCTAACTAATAAAGTAGTTTTGCAAGCAGCTTTTAACTTTAAGGTCTGGAATAATCACTTTAGTAATAAGGTATCACAAGGAAAGAAATAGTCTATATTTTGACTATTCCTCAAGAATTTCAGAAGTCAGGAAGTTAATGGAGATAAATTCAGAATAGAGCATAGGTTAATATTTATACACTAGAGGCCTTTCGGTTTGTTGGATTTGTTTATCTGGAAGACGGCATTTTATTACTGGGCTTACCAGTTTTGCTATCAAGCATCAACTGTGGTTACCCATTTATGACTTGCCAGCGTTCCTGAGATGTTCCCTTAGCGTTCTTAGGATGCTCAACTCAAAACTCTTGGCTGGATTTATGATTGAATTAAACAGACTTTTCCATGTACAGCAACAGTCTGCATGCAAGTATGATAACAGAGAGAAAGTATGACATACTTTGTTCAAGCATCAGTATCCAGAAGTAGAAATAACCTAGACATGAGATCATTTGAGAACTAAAGAGAAAGGAAGTTAAGCTACCAAGTATCTGTTAATGACTAACTCAATTAAATTTTTAAATGCCAAGGTGCTAAAAATTAGAATATATATTTATCTGGGGATTTTGGGCAAGAGGGAGAGAAAGGATTCAGTTCAGAGGATGAGGAGTCTTGCTTTTTGCTTAGGTAGGACAAGGAGAAGATATCTGCAGGGAGGGTCTGAGCACCTTTAGGCTGGGGTGAGGTGGGAGAGTAGAGCCCTTCCTTCCTGCCGTCATCGGCTCCCTGGATGGGCATCAACACCATAGCCAGGTCCATGCCTGCTTGACTCAGAGTGACAAGCCCAGCTATAGCCCAGTGTGAATTACCGTGCACAGGGCCTGTCCCTGCTGAGCAAGTGCAGGGCAGAAGGGGTGGGGTGGGGGAGGGGCCACACCAAAGTACGAAAAGTGCATGGAGGGGCTGGGAATGGGGAAGGCCAACTTGACTGATGGCATAGTTTTCTCTGGAGATTGCATTTATTTTTAACCATGAGACAGTGAACAGAAAACATATATGGAATAGAAGTAATTTTGCCTGGCTTGTGAAGATTATTTTGGACACAACTGACTTCATAATGAATATACTGCTCCCCGACCACCACCTCCACACACACACACACACACACACACACACACACACACACACACACACACACACACACACACTTTGATTCATTGGCCCAGTATTGAGGATCTCTCTTCCACTTCGGTGAAGGGCACTAGGCTGGGATTCTAGATTAACCAGGCTGGTCTCATCTCTCAAGGCTAATGAGTGAATGAACCAAAGCAGAGATCACACAACCAAACAGATTAGAAACAGATGCTTAGAAAAAGCTTATTTGAGGCAGAAGTGAGAAAGGCACTTATATAACAGACCTGTGGAATCAGGCATTCAAAAAAGAAGGGGCCAGCGTGGTGGCTAACTCCTGTAATCCCAGCACTTGGATCATTTGAAGTCAGGAGTTCAAGACCAGCCTAGCCAACATGGTGAAACCCCATCTCTACTGGGGAGAAAAAAAAAAAAAAAAGCCGGGCATGGTGGTGGGCATCTGTAATCCCAGCTACTGGGGAGGTTGAGGCAGGAGAATCGCTTGAACCTGGAAGGCAGAGGTTGCAGTGAGCCGAGATTGCGCCATTGCACTCCAGCCTGGGTGACAGAACAAGACTCCATCTCAAAAAAAAAAAAAAAGCAGTTCTCAGATCTTCACTCCATATGTCATCTGGTAACACTGGGGTTCTGAGACAGACAGTGTTAGCTCCAGAAGCATTGCCTGTCTTAGAACCCCTATGTTACCAGACGACATAAGGAGTGAATAAAATCTTCAAAAGGCTTTGATGGACCGTAGGTGAGGAAGGTGAGTGTGGGAGAAGTCAGGAGTAAATGGTGTTTCCTAGACAGTGATCAGGTGTTTCCTAGACATGTTCGATGGAAGGACACGCCCTTTTAGGCCCTGGTGATTTGAGTCGCTGTGGATGTGATCCCATAGTTTCTGATTTGCTGACCTCAGGGCCAGCCCTTGTGTCTATGGTGACAGCATTAGAGGTTTCATTGCAGAGGAAGTAAGGAATTCATTAGGAAACTTCTGGGGACCTACTCTTAAGGAAAAGGCTGAGAATGAGTTAGGGAAGAAAACTCTACAAAATGAGATTTGGAAACCGGATGGTTTTCCTGAAGAGAAGGCTTTAACACTTTCCTGAGTTTTGTTTGTTTGTTTTTGTATTTGAGACAGAGTCTTGCTCTGTCACCCAGGCTGGAGTGCAGTGGCACGATCTCGGCTCACTGTAAGCTCCGCCTCCCGGGTTCACGCCATTCTCCTGCCTCAGCCTCCCGAGTAGCTGGGACTATAGGCGCCCACCACCATGCCCGGCTAATTTTTTGTATTTTTAGTAGAGACAGGGTTTCGCCGTGTTGTCCAGGATGGTCTCGATCTCCTGACCTCGTGATCCACCCGCCTTGGCCTCCCAAAGTGCTGGGATTACAGGCGTGAGCCACCGCGCCCAGCCAACTTTCCTGAGTTTTAAAGCAGTGGTAGAAGTTTCCAGGTGAAGAAAGAGGGCAAAGTGCTGAGCCACAGTGAGCCACGTGTGGAGACCTGGAGGCAGACAGAGGCAGCGGGAGGGGAGGGAGAAGCTGAGGGATCAGGAGACAGACTATCTGGGGAGGAAAGATTTTTTTTTTTTTTTTTTTTTTTTAAGGAAAATAACTTTGTTGGCTGGGCACGGTGGGTCACGCCTGTAATCCCAGCACTTTGGGAGGCTGAGGCGGGTGGATTACTTGAGGTCAGGAGTTCAAGACCAGCCTAGCCAACATGGTGAAACCCTGTCTCTACTAAAAATACAACAATTAGCTGGGTGTGGTGGTGTGCGCCTGTGATCCCAGCTACTCGGGATGCTGAGGCAGGAGAATCGCTTGAACCTGGGAGACAGAGGTTGCAGTGAGCCAAGATGTTGCTATTGCACTCCAGCCTGGGCAATAGAGTAAAACTGTGTCTCAAAAAAAAAAAAAAAAAAAAAAAAAAAAAAAAAGAAAAAGCCGGGGGTGGTGGTGCACGCCTGTAATCCCAGCTACCCGGGAGGCTGAGGCAGGAGAATTGCTTGAACCTGGGAGGTGGAGGTTGCAGTGAGCCGAGATTGCGCCACTGCACTCCAGCCTAGGTAACAGAGTTTGAGATTCCATTGCAAATAATAATAATAATCATAATAATAATAGTAAAATAAAATTAATAAAAAATAAAAAAAACTTTGTTGATACTATAGTACAATGTATAGAATGGTAGAATGGCTTCTTGGGAAAGGGGGAATAGTTGGTGGGGTGGGTGGCTGGAAAGAAATGAAGGGTGACTTTTTCTCAAATGTGAGTGAGACGCAGCTCACAGTTCCATTCCTTGCACCCCAGATAGCTCTGTGGTGCCCCTTCTGTGGCCCCTTTGTCCAGAAGTGCCCCCTGGGGGTCTCTTTTTCCCATTTCTTCTTTCTCCATGACCCTCACCATTGGGCCTGATGGTTCATTTTGCTTTTTTGGTTATACATTCACCTCCTTTCATTGATTCTAATGGCTTTCACCCTGAACCCATAGCCCAGACCCAGCCTGGACAGGACAGCTCCCAGACAGGACAACCCACAGGATGTCCTTTTATAGCCCCAGGGAGCATTCCAAAGCACACTCACACCTCCCCCTCCTACTTCCTCCCTTCTGCCCTGATTTCAAACTTTCTCATCAGTGTTGGACTTTCTTTTTCGTTTTTCTATCTTTTCTTTTTTTTTGAGACAGAGTCTCGCTCTGTCGCCCAGGCTGGAGTGCGGTGGCGCGATCTTGGCTCACTGCAACCTCCGCCTTCCGGGTTCACGCCATTCTCCTGCCTCAGCCTCCCGAGTAGCTGGGACTACAGGCGCCCGCCACCACGCCTGGCTAATTTTCTGTATTTTTAGTAGAGACGGGGTTTCACCATGTTAGCCAGGATAGTCTCCATCTCCTGACCTCGTGATCTGCCCGCCTCAGCCTCCCAAAGTACTGGGATTACAGGCGTGAGCCACCGCACCCAGCCCAGTGTTGGACCTTTACCTCCTCTTGGTAGCTAACCATTTTTAACATTGGGTTAGTTTTTCCACAGAAGTAGATTTTATAGCATCACCTTTTGATTTCCATTGCTGCTGTCCAGATTGGCACTTCAAGCATGAATTGTTACAGGTGATTTGTAACTGGATGCCCCAGCCCCTGCCCTCCCAACCCTCTTTCTTTAGTTATATATAGTACCATCCTCAGGCTCATTTTTCTGAAATTGTTGTTGTTGTGTTGTTACTCTTCCCTCAGTGGCTCCTGCTGCCTGCAGGGTAAAGACCATATTTTTCAGCCAGGCATTTGAAGTCCTCTAAAGGAGGGGTCCCCAGATCCTGGGCCGTGGACCAGTGGTCCGTGGCCTTTCAGGAACTGGGCCGCACAGCAGGAGGTGAGCGGCAGGCGAGCATCACCACCTGAGCTCCGCCTCCTGTCAGATCAGCTGCAAGCATTAGATTCTCATAGGAGCACAGACCCTGTTGGGAACTGCGCATGCGAGGGATCTAGATTGTGCGCTCCTTATGAGAATCTAATGCCTGATGATCTGAGGTGGAACCATTTCATCCCGCAACCATTGCCTCTACTTTGTCTGTGGAAAAACTGTCTTCCACAAAACAAGTCCCTGGTGCCACAAAGGTTGGGGACCGCTGCTCTAGCACCTGACTTCAAATCATTTCTAAAATACATCTTGAACTCTCTGGCTCTGATTCTCACTCTTTTTTGCCTGTGCCATCGTGTTTCTGTCCCGTAACTCTGTGGATGCCATTCCACTTCCCAGGAGTGCCTTTTCCTTGTCTGTCTCCTGTCTCTTTCCAAGTATTTTCCAACATTTGAGACCAACTTGAGTTCAATTCTCACCTTCTCCATGATGGAAGGCTTCCCTCTCTTTTAACCACTTCATCTCACCTGGAAATCTCGTTCCCTTATGTCCTTCTGACACTAAATATGCAGCCACATATAAATATACTGGCTGAGTGGTCCAGTCGTTAAGCAGCCAGTATTGACCTCCACTCCGTGTGAGGCATTGTGCCTAGGTAGGCGCTGAGCTGCAAAGGACATTCGAGATTGGGTTCCTGCTTTAAGGGCATCACAGTGCCTTCTCCACACACGTGGGCTCAACCACCATGATGTGGCTTTGACAGCCACGAGCACAGAGGGGATAACACATGTGCTCTGCACCAGATGCCAGGATGTGACATTTGTTTTCGTTTTTGAGATGGAGTTTCACGCTTGTCCCCCAGGCTGGAGTGCAGTGGTGCAATGTTGGCTCACTGCAACCTCCACCTCCTGGCTTCAAGCGATTCTCCTGCCTCAGCCTCCCAAGTAGCCAGGACTACAGGTACATGCCACCACACCTGGCTAATTTTTGTGTTTTTAGTAGAGGTGGGGTTTCACTATGTTGGCCAGGCTGGTCTCGAACTCCTGACCTCAGGTGATTCACCCACCTTGGCCTCCGAAAGTGCTGGGATTACAGGCGTGAGCCACCGTGCCTGGCTGGGATGTGACATTTGAACTGAATTTTAAAGCAGTGGTAGAAGTTTCCAGGTGAAGAAAGAGGGCAAAGCACTCAGCCACAGCAAGCCACGCATGTGGAGACCTGGAGCCAGACAGAGGCAGCGAGAGGGGAGGGAGAAGCTGAGGGTGTCATTAGACAAGAGTAGACTATCTGGGGAGGAAAGATGATTGTTTTTAGGAAAATAACTGTTGATAGTATAGTATAGTGTGTAGAATGGCTTCTTGGGAAAGGGGAAATAGTTGGGGGGGTGGGTGGCTGGAAAGAAATGAATTATTAGGTGGTTATTGTAATAGAAATAGACACTAGAAACCAAGAAAAATGACCCTACTCTCTGTTGCCTCTGTATGAGTGTATGTCTGCGAGTGTATGTCTATTTCCTCAACCAGATTATTAGCCCGAGCTCTGCAGTGCGCGTTTTACCTGTTTATCTTTAGAATACCCACAGTACTTAGCATGTAACTATGTCCATAAAGGTAATTAATGGATGCTAATGATATGGTTTAGGCACTGTTTATCATCTTCCCACCAGACTTCAATGTGTAAAAAGTAGTGCCTAGCCTAGCTCATTGTAGACACTGAATAATTAAGAACAGACTGTAAAACGAGAAAGGAATAAAATATGCAACAATATGCAAAATTATTCAAAAGAATAAAGTATGCAAAAAGTATTTGCATGCCTTGAGTGCTTAAAGGTGACTTTGTGAGTGAACCGATGCCTCCCTATATGTGATTCCTGTGCAGGGGATGGAGCCCCCTGCCCACCTGGGTGGGGTTCAAGGTGGCACACAGCTTGGGTGGTAGTCTCCTATTCTGATGTGTTTTTCTTTCTCACTGCTTCCTGCAGATATTCTCTAAGCCGCTTTCATCATGGGAGAAATAGAGCAGAGGCCGACCCCAGGATCACGACTGGGGGCCCCGGAAAATTCGGGGATCAGTACCTTGGAACGTGGACAGAAGCCGCCCCCAACACCTTCAGGAAAACTCGTGTCCATCAAAATCCAGATGCTGGATGACACCCAGGAGGCATTTGAAGTTCCAGTAAGTTGGGGGCTTATCTGTAACCCAGGAGTGTGGTAGGGGACAGCCTTTGGTGTGAGGAGGTTCGGCTCATTCCCATGGCCAGTGACATGAGGCGGCTGGAGGTCCTGCATGTTCAGCACCTCCCTCCCCGCCCCCCAATGGCCCCGCTGACCCGTTCTGGTTTCGAGCTCTCCAGTGTCTAGATTTATGCTTGAACCACCCACATAGTGATGTCAGTGGCCTCGGCACTTGAATTTTACTATGAACTTTCATTCAAATATATATATGTAATCTAAGTGCATATGTATATGTTATGTATATATATGTAACTGGAGGGAAGAGTGGTCTTGTGGCTGGATCCCAGTTTAATTTACTGGTCATAGACAATTCCTCTCTCACATTGGTGCTTGTGCGTGTGTGTTTGTGGCAGGGGGGCTGTCGAACTCAAGTCCCGGTTACTGGCAAGAACAGTCCCGAGAGCATCATTAAAGAGCCACGTGTGTTTTCATGTGAGGGAATCAGGAGAGCCTGTGCATGCAACCCCACAGGGCAGGTGTGGGAGTATCGAAAAGCCTCCTTCCGAGCCTGCCATATGGCAGCCCTAGAGATGGGGAGGCCCTGCCACCGCAGGGCCCTGGACAGAGCAGCCTGGGGGCCGGAGGTGTCACAGGAGGAGCCGGCAGCCTGGGCCCCTCAGCAGCTGGAGCCGTTGGAGCCGCTGGAACCTCTGGTGCTCCTCACTTCTGCTGTTCTTCTCCGAGCCCCTGCCTGGCCTCTCCCAGCCTCCTCCTCAGATCGCTCCTGCGGGAGGATGAGAAGCTGCCGCCTGCTTCGTGCAGCTGGTGCACATCTTATTCCCGGCAGGAGAGGAAGTGGGAGTGTCTGGCTGGCTAAGCAGCAGGCCCACTCCCTCTCATCGGCTCAGTCCAGAGAACTCTTAACACTCCTCGGATCTAGTATTTTGGGTTTTCTGTCTGGAGTATCAAATACCATGTCTAATATTGTTTGTGGAGGAGGAAGATAACTCTTGAATTCCAAGCAGCCAACTTACAAACAAACTCTGGGAGCACACCTGTTTTTAACATAGAGATGATCTGTGTGTCATTCCTGTTGGCTAGAGGGGCTGGAATTTAGTAGTCGGCATTAACGTTGGTAACCCATCATTTAATCACTTATGGGATATGAGTCAGCGAATTATATTTATTTCAAAGAACATTGCTCAGAGCACATGAACTAACATTAAATGTCTCAGGAAAAGATAAACTCAGAACAGCTATGCTTAAAACCACCAATTTATTGCGCACTGCAAACAACCTTTGTGTTTTCTGATTTTCTTGTGGAATTTGTATCTTTCAAGGACTTGGGACAGCTTTGTATTTTGGTGAACAAAGCTATTGCTCATCTGCTAAAATCATAGACTGTTGAGGAGAGCCCCTGCCATGCAGTTAGAATTGGGCCTCCTGGCACACGTGGTCCGTATGTGCGCCACCTCACCCACTTTTTTGTCTTTGTTGCCAGACTGGTTCAGTGAGGTGTTTCGTTTCAGTGTTTCCTGTTGAGCACTGTGAAGGACTTCTGAGCCCAGGTTTCTAGCACACACATTCTATTACACGGTGTTTCTGAGTGGGTTGGACTGTGGAACTGGCAAATGCTGCTCTTGTGTGCACTCACTCCAGGGATCGTTGGACTGTGCTCACCTGCAGTTCTTCTTGAAACCAAAGAAAGTCAAGACCCCATTCCTAGCTACTATTTAGCAGCTATCCAGGAACTCCCTGCCCAAGAAGTAGTAATAGAAATGTGTTTTTATCTTTTAAAATGATTTTTCTTCATAATTTCTGATGGCTTATGCTTTGCATTTATAAGCCCTTTGTCTGGAAGGAACCTTTCTCATGCTCTCTAATAAACTCCTGTGCATTCTTAAAAGCCCTATCAGTTTTACCTGGATGCCTACTCTCTCAAGCAGGGCTTTTTCTTCCTTCCTGCAGACCACTTTACTCATATACCTGTCAGATGCACAAGGGAGCCTGGGTTCAAATCCCAGCATCTCCTACTGAGAGTTGTGCAGCGTGAACAAGTTATTTAACCTGTCTGTATCGATAAAATGAGGCTAATAATAAACTCGACTTTATACTATATGAGAATAAAAAAAGAGGTGACACAAAGTGTTTGGAGCAATTCTTGACATGTAGTAAGAGCTTAACTAAATAGTAGTAATGACATGCACGTCCAACTGCCTGCCTGTTCTGTCTATATCCCCAGCATCTAGCATGGCACCTGGCATATAGTAGCTGCTAATTAAATGTTTGCTGACTGTTAGAGTGAGTGTGAGTTTATTTTACAAGTAGAATTAATGCCATTGTTCGTTTTCACATGTCTCCTCCATTCATATTTTTCTTTTTCTCTTTTTTTTTTTTGAGACGGAGTCTTGCTGTGTCTCTAGGCTGAAGTGCAGTGGTGCGATCTCAGCTCATTGCAAACTCCTCCACCTGGGTTTAAGCGATTCTTCTGCCTCAGCCTCCCAAGTAGCTGGTACGATAGGTGCCTGCCACCACACCCAGCCAATTTTTGTGTTTTTAGTAGAGACGGGCTTTTACCATGTTGACCAGGATGGTCTTGATCTCCTGACCTCGTGATCCGTCCGCCTTGGCCTCCCAAAGTGCTGGGATTACAGGTGGGAGCCATCACACCTGGCCATATTTTAATTTTTCTAGTTTGGTCAGAATCTTTCTCTTAACCTCTGGGAAACAGATGTATTCCTTAACTGGCTGTAGAAAGTCACATATCAGCATTTTTATTGGTGGAGCTGATTCTGAGTCAGTACCTCATGCTGTTTAAGAGCAGCCACGGCCAGGCCAGCAGCAGCTGAAAGGCATGGGGGCTGGCTGTGATGGCCCAGTCATCAGGGATTGGGAGGAAGGTGACTACAGGGTTGTGAGAGACTCAGCTCCCCAGTCTTGCTTTAAAACCTTGCTGTGAAACTTTTTGCTGGGAATTCAAGGCCAAGTGTCTGACCCTGGAAACGTCCTTTGATGGAGTGCCCCAAGTGAATGACTTCTCATGGCTCAGTCACATTTGCCACGCAGCTGAGCTGGGCACGTGGCCAGAAGTCCCTGCAGTTTCCTTTGGGGATGACTGGTGTCTTTCCCTGGGGGTTGAATTTCCTGGGCCTTTGCTTATTAATTTTATTTTAAAATACGGAATTATAGGCAAAGCAGTCATTTAAAATGCAAATCCCCTAAACACTTCCTGGAACAAAGAACCACACCATCTTCTCCATGGTGTCTCCGTCCTTCTTTGTACCCTAAAAAAATTATTATTAAAGAGATCTACCTTTTGGGAGGCTTTGGCAGTTAGCTCCACGATCTTTTCCATTCTGTAGCTGTTTCCACAAGCACCTCTGTGGTTGAACTTGGACTGTCTTTTTAGGTATTTCCTCTGCAGAGTGGAAAGTTCAAGCGCAGTATTTATAGTAAATTCTTGCATGGTGTTTTTTCATCTTTATGTGGAAAACACCGTGCAAATAAGCTTCAGCCTGTGGTTTATGATATATGCAGCTTTCTCTTCCAACCAGAGGTTATGAAACAGAGTGACTCTTGGGCATCTGAAAGGGTTAATAAGGTGCCCCTATGCCCGCCCAGGCCATTTCCCTGATGGTTCCTGGGAAGGTTTTCTGTGTCCCCTCCTCGTGACCCGGCGGGTAAACAAACACAGTTCCCACTGACATTAGTAGGATGAAGCAGATGGTTTCCTCTCCAAGTGTTTATTCAGTTTATGTATTTTCATTAGCAGTGTTTCTATAGGAAGAGCAGAGGAAATAAGACACAGCCATTTTTATTTTTTATTTTTATTTTTATTTTTTGCTTCTTTTGAGCAGCCCTGGTAAAAAAAAATGCTTGGGGAAGATGCTCACAGGTGACAAAAAAGACACCTAGTGCCTGTCGAAGGGTTAGAAGGAGTGGTGGCCAGTTGCAGGCGGGTGGACGATGGCAGAAGCCCAGAAGCCCCCCAGGAGAGCAGGGGCAGGAGTTAGTTGCTGCAGAGGGAACTCGGCGTCTACGACCGTCGTCGCAGGAAATGATCCTTGTAACTTTCTCGTGTTGCTGTCTTGTCACTGCTGTACTCGAGCTTTTGTAGCTCCTGAGACTTAAGTAGCATTCATCCTTTGCCTGAGGATCAAGTGTGGGCTTCGTAGCTCGGGGAGCCTGGGAGAGAGCAATGAGCCTCCATGGAGGGGCCCTGTACACCGGGAGGTGCCTGGGCAACTCCCATGGCTCATCTCAACCACAGTCCTCGGCGGTTTGTTTTCTGCATTAGCTTCTCATGCCAGAACACCCTCTTATTTGTTTACCTGCTTAGTGTTGGCCTCTTGCAGGTAGAGTGGCCACTCCTTGGAGGGCAAGGCCTCTTGTTCTTGTTCGTCATCATATCCTACGCCGCAGCGGTGCCTGTGCATGAAACTGACTGGTGACAGTTCTGCTCGGTCGTTTAACTATACGAGAGTTGGTGCTGTCCTAGCATAACAAGGGAAAGAGCAAGTGGGAAGAGCTTCTGAGTCCCTTCCTCGTGTTTTCACAGCGTGAAGGTGGGGCTGGGATTGGAGTCCGGCCCGCCAGACCCTCAACTTACCCATCTTCTGGGCACTAAGAGCCGCCTCCTTTGTGAGATTCGCGGACTTCCTCTGCCTCCTACTCCCACAGAGGTGGTCCCTGTTCAGCTTGGCCCGGCCCTCCCCCACCCCACATCCTCGCCCCACATCCTCACCCCATGCTGCCCTGTTCTTACCTCTTTCTAAACACCCACGCCATCCTCACCCCGAACACATTGATCAAAATCCCACCAACTGCCAGGCCTCTCCCAGGCTTGTGCTCCAGGCCAGCCTTCTCTCCTGACAGTGCTGATAGCTCACCTCCAATCAGACCTTGAATCATGGTCTCTAATCTTGCCCCTCGCACTCATTATTCCTGGTGCAGTGACTCAGTTTTTTAATCTGCAAAATTAGGCACTGGGGCCTGATGATGTTAAAGGCTACCCCCAACCCCTTTCCTTCTTTGGAAGTGAGGACCCTGTGTTGACATGCTCCTTGACAAATTAACTTTTTGTGACTGTATTTGTGAATTCTCCAGACAGATGGTAAAATCTTTGAGGAAAGAGGTTTTTAATCTTAGAGCAAACCTTGAGGCCCCCAAAGCCTGATTAGACACAGTGGGTACCGTGTGTCTACTGTTAAAGAAAGCTATGTGATGAGAGTGAAGAAGCATGCCACGATTTATATGTCCCATGCCAGTTGCGGGCCGCAGGAAATGTTGTGATTGGCCTTATGTGCGTGTGGGGTGGCTGTTTTCATAAAACTCACTGCACTCCATGCTGCACTCCAGGCTGAACTCTATGCTGTTTGACCATGGGAAATGGAAGACGGAAAGAAATATTTTCTTGATAATACATTATTAGTAGAAAATTCAAGTTTAAGTTGAAATCAGAGAAGACCTAAAGTTTTTGAGAAAAGTAATGAGTTTGTATGTCATAAAAGACCACGTAGGTTCTTTTCTGGTGTCAGAATCGCCTGTGCTATCTTGGAGACCTAATTAGGAGTGTTACAAATTCAGTCCCATACATGATTAAACATTGATTTCATTTCATTATTATACCTTTTGAAATGTAACAGTTCTTTCATTCCTTTAATTTTCACTGAAACCTAGGTTTGAGATCAATAGGGAGCTTATTCTCTGAGAGCTCTGGTTCAGAGTAAGGTGTCCACTGGTGACAGATTCTAGAGCTGGCTCCATAAGCTCCATCTCAGAAAAAGGGACGGAGCCGAAGTTTGTCTTTTCAGAAAGCTCAGGGTTTCCTCTTTGTGGCCCTGCAGTTGACATCAGGAGCTGGGCTTGTGCTCATTGGTAGCAACTGTGCCTTTATGGAAGTGTGTTCATTTTCTCTGTCTTTGTCTATATTTATTTATTAAAAAGTCTTTTTTTTTTTTGAGACAAGATCTTGCTCTGTCACCCAGGTTGGAGTGCAGTGGCATGATCATAGCTCACTGCAGCCTCAAACTCCTGCCTTAGCCTCCCTAGTAGCTGGGACTACAGGTGCATGCCACCACACCGGGCTAATTTATTTTTATTTTTATTTGTAGAGATGAGGTCTTGCTATGTTGTCCAGTCTGGAACTCCTGGTCAAGCAGTCCTCCCGTTTGGCCTCCCAAAGTATTGGGATGACGGGCATGAGCCACTGCACCCAGCCACATATTTTTTATTTCTAATGAATTTTGTTTCCCAATTTATTTTCATTTTTTGAGACAGAGTCTTCTCTGTCACCCAGGCTGGAGTGCAGTGGAGCAATCTTGGCTCACTGCCGCCTTGACCTTCTGGGCTCAGCGGGCCTCCCACCACAGTCCCCCCTAGTTGCTGAGACTACAGGCACGCATCACCACACCTAGCTATTTTTTTTTTACTTTTTGTAGAGACAGGGGTCTCGCTATGTTGCCCAGGCTGGTCTCAAACTCCTGGACTGAAGTGATCCTCCTGCATTGGCCTCCTAAAGCGCTGTGATTGCAGGCATGAGCTACTGTGCCCAGCCTGTTTTCCTTCTTAATTTCTCTTTCAGCCATCTTAGGGAATGTGCCCTTTTTGGTAAGCTGAAGAAAGTATTTTTTTTTTTTCTTTTTCTTTTTCTCCCCGCAAAGAGGTGAAATACACATTTAACTAAAGGTCTTGAGGGGGCGGGGTCTATCTCTTCTGTAAGTGTAGCGGTTCCGACTCTCCTGGAATGGAGTCCCTCCCTGACAGTGGGGTTGTCCCTCCAGTGGTCTGATTGTACTGATAATGGAAGGAAGGTGTTTAGATCCCAGGACTACTTAATTTTCTTCTTTTGCCCCAAATGCTTCACACATAAGAGGTGGAGGTGGTGGAGGAGGAGGAGGATAGACCCAAATAAAATTTAATTGGCCCTTTCAGACCTGCAGGGAGGTGTGTGTGCCCAGAACTGCTTTTGCCGCCGCTTAAGCAGCTGGGCTTTGAACTAGAGCAAGCAGAGGGAACTTAGCATGTTCACCCAGCTTTAAAAAATAAGTCAGCGTTTCTTTTTTCTTATCACTGTTTCTTTTGGCTCCTTTTATTTGCAAAGTTTCTGAAACAGAATTTAAGGCTACTTTGCTTGGCATGGTCATTTCTGTGTTTTATTTAACTTTGATAAATGGTGCTTGTCTGAGTGTAGCCCCATGAGATTAAATTTAAAGGCTATTTTGGCTATTTTAATAGAGGAAAAAAATTTTTTTCATAAATCATTTTAGCTAAATACTGTTAGCTTTCCTTTCTGGCGTCTCAGGAGCAAAGAGTAGAATTTAAGAGCTGGCTTGAAATGTTTGTGTGCACCCCTTTCAGCTGTAGTTAAGACCCTTGTGATCAAAGTCAGTTCTCTAGCTCTGATATGCTTGCAGTAATTCTTTAACAGCTGTTTGCTATTTTATCCCTGAAAAAAAAAACCAGTATAACCTAATTAAAAGAATAAACTAATTGAGAATGTCTGAATCTGACTTTAAAATGGGCCATGATCTGAGAAAATGGAGGAAGTTTGAAAAGCTGCTTTTTTTCTCTTTTAAGTGGAAACAATATTCTCAATGATAAGAAACGGAGGGGTTAAAGGGGAAGTGCAGGCCCTGGGTCTGGGCCGCCTCGCTTCCTACCTATGTGGCGCTGCATGAGTGGCTGCCCATTCTCATCTCTACACATGGAGAATACCGACCACTTGAGGCCCAGGTGAGGCTCTAATGAGATCTTCTGCAAAAACACCTTGCAGAGAACACAGATTTGGTTCTCATGAAAGTAGGTTGTCTTCCTTCCTTTCACCCTGAACTTTAGTTTCCTTCTTGTTCTTTCACGGAATTGAGGCTCTGCTTTCAATGTAGAGCTGTTGGCTGGATCAATGGGAGAAAAGAAAGCGAATGAAAGCACTTAAGAATAAAAAATCATGTGCTTCTGTCAGATGGAGTCATTCCTCTTAGACCACAGCTGCCTGTGTAGTCTCACATCAAACTGGGGCTTTCTTTGGAGGGGAATCATTACCTAAGCCAAAGCTGTGTCCCAAGGGGCCTTTTGGAAGGTCTATAAGAACCAAGCACCACTTGGACAATTGCCGTGAAACCTCCATTTCTGCCAAGCTCGTTTACTGCGTTTTTGTGGACTTACGTGCAGCTTCTGTGAGCTTCAGTTTAATCAACTTGAAAATTGAGGGGGTTGCACTTTGCGCTCAGAAATTTTACGTGCATTTTTGCTTTCCTGATTTCTTGATCTCCTCTATTTTCTTAGCTTCAAAACTTTTCCATTTTCCTAGAGTCAGGATGTTCCTGGGTGAATCATGTGTCCCTCTACCATGGACTGGATGAATGGTTTTAAGGTAGACATAGGATTTCAAGATCCTCTAGGGTAGGTCTTCTCAATATGGGCTCTGTGGGTTCATTTGAAGGAAGTGCTCAGTCAGCTGGATGCTCTTGTGTTAGAATGTAAATATAAAAACATTGCACATATTAAATGGACTGATTTTAAAAAACTATCTGCCATGTTTGAATGTTCAATTATTTGCTGTCTTCTATCACTTTGAGCATTTGAGCTGGAGGTAATGATTTTAACTCATAAGACAGACACAGAATGACTTAGTTTGGGATTTCTCTTCTGTAGATAGAATGATCATGTAAAAGAGCAGTTCTCAAAGCTGTTAGCACTTTGTAACTTTGAAGGAGAGCCTCATAGGTCTCTGTTTCCTCATTTATACAAACAGGAAGTTGGACCAGATACCCACAGTGGAATTCTGTGGCTCTGGTTTTATTTTATGGAATGTGGTCTTGGAAACATGATACGGGTTTCACAAATGTGTATCAACATGGAAGGCAAGGTGCTACTGGTGATAAGAAAATGAATAAAAACAATAACTACCCTCTGAAAAATCCCTTGCTGTGTGCCAGACATTGTGCCAAGTCTGCCCGTACATTATCTCATTTGTTGCTAAGTGAACCTGTGAGGCAGGTGAGAATAACACCGATTAGTCTCACAGGGCATAAGTGACTTGGCGCGGGTCAGAGTGCTGGAGAGAAGGAGCTGGAGTCCCAGCCCAGGACCACATACACCTAAGCCTGTGTGTCACTCACTTTGTTAATGGTCTGGGGCCATAAAGAGCCGTTAGGATAATACAACATGTTGGCTGTGCTAGTGCCTGTGACAGGTGCCAGTGGAGGGTGCTTTTTTTTTTTGTTTTTTGAGACGGAGTCTTGCTCTGTTGCTAGGCTGGAGTGCAGTGGAATGATCTCCGCTCACTGCAACCTCCGCCTCCCGGGTTCAAGTGATTCTCCTGCCTCAGCCTCCCCAGTAGGTAGGACTAGGACTGCAGGCGTGCACCACCATGCCCAGCTAATTTTTTTTTTTTTTTTTTTTTTAAGTAGACATGGGGTTTCACCATGTTGGCCAGGATGGTCTTGGTCTCTTGACCTCGCAACCCGGCTGCCTTGGCCTCCTAAAGTGCTGAGATTACAGACATGAGCCACCGTGCCTGGCCGGAAGGTGCTCTTAAGTGGGCAGGATGGGTTGAAGAGGGCGGAGTCTGCAGAAGGAAAGCCCAGTGACCAGGGTTTTGGCAATATCATCTCCACATGGTAGTTACTGATAAGGGCCAGGGCCCTGCAGAAGCAATGTCAGGGGACTGACAGATACAGGAGAAACCCAGGACGTAGACCTGACAGGGCGTGGCAGCTGATGGGACAGAAGCAGGGAGCCCCCCAGGAGTGGGAGAGCACCTGCAGTCATCAGTTTTACAGCCTGGATGGCTCAGTGCTGTCACCAAGGGCTGAGAAGTCAACTCTGTGACAAATGTTTTACTTGAAATAATGTCTTCCTTCAGTTGACATGAAAGGAACATTGGTAGTGTTGCCAAAAGAAGGCATTTCTTTTTGTTTGTTTGTTTGTTTGAGACAGAGTCTTGCTCTGTCACCAGGCTGGAGTGCAGTGGCACGATATTGGCTCACTGCAACCTCCGCCTCCGGGGTTCAAGTGATTCTCTTGCCTCAGTCCCCCGACAGCTGGGACTACGGGCACCCGCCACCATGCCCGGCTAATTTTTGTATTTTTTAGGAGAGATGGAGTTTCACCATATTGTCCAGGCTGGTCTCGAACTCCTGATCTCAGGTGATCCACCCGCCTCGGCCTCCCAAAGTCCTGGAATTACAGGTGTGAGCCACAGCGCCTGGCCATAGAAGACATTGCTTTGTTTTTTATCACAAAGAATCTGTGGCTCTGGAAATTAACTTCCAGGATTCTTAGTGATTATGTAAATGGTACAAACTGGAAGTAACAAATGGAAGTTGATTGCTTGGTTTCAATTTATGTTAGGAAAGTTATTTTTACTTCTTGCATTCCAATTTCCTCATCTCCCCAGAAGCTACTCTGTTAAGCTTGCCACACCTGGGTGCCCACCAAGCTGGAAAAGCATTTAGATCCAGTGTTTTCAAAGGACTCTGTTCAAAAGCATTAGAAAGGAGCAGGTCAGTTGCTTTCTTCAGCTCATTGTTTAGTTTTGATGTAATTTGCCTGTGACATGAACTATAAAATGCAATTGGCTATTATCCCATCTTCCAGTGGCCATTTGTCAGTGAGTATTTCTGCCAGCAAACAGAACTCAGGTGCTCCATTTCCTTTGATCTAGGCATAAGACTGAGTGTGTAAAGCATTGCAGAGCAAGACCAGAGGGCATTTGTGGAGTTGTTAGGTTATCACAACAATACCTTTTTTCATGTTTGAAAGCTGAATTACTTTCCCAGGGCAGCCATAACAAAGTACTACAAACCCGTGGCTTAAAAAATAGGCAGTTACGGCCAGGCGTGGTGGCTCATGCCTGTAATCCCAGCACTTTGGGAGGCCGAGGCAGGTGGATCACGAGGTCAGGAGATCAAGACCATCCTGGCTAACATGGTGAAACCCCGTCTCTACTAAAAATACAAAAAATTAGCTGGGCGTGGTGGCGAGTGCCTGTAGTCCCAGCTACTCGGGAGGCTGAGGCAGGAGAATGGCGTGAACCCCAGAGGCGGAGCTTGCAGTGAGCCAAGATCGTGCCACTGCACTCCAGCCTGGGCGACAGAGTGAGACTCTGTCTCAAAAAAAAAAAAAAAAAAAGAAAAAAAAAAAGAAAACACAAAACAATAGGTAGTTACTATCTTACAGTGCTGGAGGGGCAGGTGAAACAGAGCTGAGTCCCTATCTTCTTGACTACCCATCCCTTGCCAGGGACTCCCATTTGCTGACCCCAACCAGAAGCCCCAGAGTAAGAGAGCTGAGGTGAGCAGTTTGTGGAGCTGGGCCTGCAGGCAGGCAGTGAGAGAAGAGCCAGGGCACCCTCTGTGGTTGGAGGCGACCATGACTTCTGCCTCACAGAGAACATGAAGGCTGTGAGGCGTGGGCTGCTTCCACCCCTGCCTCGCTAACCTCAGGCTCTCTTCCTCTGCCTTGGCTTCCATTCCTGCATTCTCTGGCCACGGGATCCTTTTTACCTCCCGACTGATCCTTCATCCCTTCACCTACAGGACATGGCTTCACATGGCAGGCATCAATAAGAATACCTTTCATTCACACTTCAGTCCTGGGATTCACAGACATGCTCTGAATTTCTAGACGGTCTTAGCAGTAGAATTCAAATGATGAAGAAAGAGACTGCTTTGTGTAGTAGTCACAGCATAAGTTGAATATAAGAGCTGAAAAAACCTCAGATGTTACTATTAACCATCTTATCTCTTAGCCTGATCATTTTTGTAAGGACGAAGATGACATATTTTATTAGAGCTGTTAAACGGGACGTCTGGTTTCGTGATCCAGTGCCGAGAACAACTCTTTTCCTTTTATTGACTTGATTTCAGTTGCATTTCACAGCTCATTGCACCCAAGTAGATTTCTCCACGATGATCAGACCTCCTGTGTGTCGCCCACAGGACTGAGCTGCTTGGACTCGCACCATTCCTCTGATCATGCCCTGGGGTTTATTACGATCTCACCCATTATTCCCATCACACGAGGAGAACTCTCGCTCCAAGTACAACAGTACGAGTGTTTGCTAACTGTGGACTCTGCACTCCCTCATGAAACCAAGAGTGTTTCTTCTTCGTTTCCCTTCCTTTCCATTTTAAGGACCATTTCTCTAAGGCAGACTTTCCCGTCAGGACCCTCCCCTGCCTTGTGTCTCTTTTGAAGCTCCTGAAAGGCCCGTGGCCATCTTAGAAAAATAAAGTTCTGATTTTCTCCAGAAAACTGGTTCAGCAGAAACCAAGACACTGCCAACAGCCCTCCGGCGTCCTGCCAACCGGGCTGTTAGAGTCTTTATGTGGGTAGGTACAAGTTGCCTTGCTTAGCTTCCAAACTTATTTTTGCCCTCTTGTCTGGCTCCTAAAATGCTGGATCCAGGGGCCTGGAGAGTTGGTTTTGTCTCTGGTTATTGTTTAGTGGCACACAAGGTACTGACTGAAAACAAGGGCGTTTTTGTACATCCCTTTTACCCACATGCACTCTTGGGGAGGTCAGTGATGGTTGGAAGTCCCTGCTGGCACCGTCTCTGCCATAGCATTGGGGGAGCACTTTAGTTGTCCGTTTTTCCAGGCTAATCCATTCCTTAATGACTTAAGTTGACATTTGTTGAATTATGGAGTACGAGTTCGCTAGCACTGCTATAACAAAGTACCACAAACTGGGTGGCTTGAAGAATCTCAGTGTATGGTCTCAGCTCTGGAGACCAGCTGTCTGAGATCAAGGTGTCTTCAGGGTTGGTTCCTTCCAAGGGTTGTGAGGAAAAGCTGGTCCTGTGCTTCTCTCCTGGCTCCTGGAGGTTTGCTGGTAATCTGTGGCATTCCTTGGTTTATAGATACATTGCCTCTGTCTCTGCGGTCATCTTCACGTGATTTTCTTGCTGCGCAAGTGTTTCTGTATTTTCCCCTTTCGTAAGGACATGGTCATATTAGATTAGGGCCCGCCCTACTGACTTCATTGCAACTTGATCATTTTCAAAGACCTGATTTCCAAATAAGTTCATACTCACAGGTACCAGGGATTAGGACTTCATCTTTTTTTTTTTTTGTGGAGGAGGGGAGATGTAGTTTAACACAACTGTATAACAACTCCCATTGTTTTATTTTAACAAACCGTTTGAAAAATGGCTGTGCTGTTGACTGCTGCTGTGACTTCTAGCTGTGTAACTCATTTCCCCAGTTTTCTGCTCTTGTTCTTTTGGAGCATAATGTAGTCTGGGACATTTTCCCAGTAAGTGGAGGAGACCAGAACTCTTAAATCACATGTATGTGTACTTGGAATTAGAACTGAAGTACGGGTGGCCATATGAGATGAGAAATCCCAGCTGTATTAATCAAGTGAACTGTAAGAGCGATTGGTTTTTTTTGTTGTTGTTTTTGAGTTATTTTTCTTCACCATCACTCTCCCACCACCATTTCCCGGTGGATCAGTAGTGGGAGAGTGCGAGTTTGAAAGCTACCAGGAGCACCTCTCAACCAATCATGTTGCATTTCTTTCTTTCTTTCTTTTTTTTTTTGAGATGGAGTCTTGCTCTGTTGTCCAGATTGGAGTGCAGTGGCACGATCTCGGCTCACTGCAAGCTACGCCTCCCGGGTTCACGTCATTCTCTAGCCTCAGCCTCCTGAGTAGCTGGGACTACAGGCGCCCGCCACCATGCCCGGCTAAGTTCTTTTGTATTTTTAGTAGAGACGGGGTTTCACTGTGTTAGTCAGGATGGTCTCGATCTCCTGACCTCATGATCCGCCCGCCTTGGCCTCCCAAAGTGCTGGGATAGCAGGCGTGAGCCACCGCGCCCTGGCCTCCTGTTGCATTTCTAACGTTCATGTTCATTCCGGCAAATGTCTGTTCTTTAGATGGATTAGTCCACGTTGAAAAAATGTCTTCACCATTATCCTAGCATTCACTCAGGCTTCCAGAAGCTATGTTGGGGAACATCACTAATCATTTAAGAAATGCAAATCAAAATCACAGTGAGATACCAGCTCACACTTACTAGGATGGCTACTATTAAAAAAAAAAAAAACAGAAAAAAACGAGTACTGATGAGGATATGGAGAAATTGGTACTCTGTGCACTGTTGGTGAGAATGTAAGATGGTGCAGCTGCTGTAGAAAATATTATGGCAGTTCTAAAGAAATGTAAAATAGAGTTGCTGTATGATCCAGCAATCCTCCTTTGGGGGCATGCCCAGATTGAAAGCAGGATCTCGTCGAGATAATTGAACACCCATGTTCATAGCAGTACTGTTCACGCTAGCCAGGAGGTAGAAGGATCCCAAACATCCATCCTTGGATAAATGGAGAAGCAAAGTGTGTTATATACGTGCAAAATGGTGTACTATTCAGTCTTAAAAAGGAAGGAAATCCTGCCATATGCCACAACATAGATGAACCTTGAGAACATTATGCTAAGTGAAATAAGCCAGTTACAAAAAGAAAAATACTATATGATTCTACTAATATGGGGTACATAAATAGAAACAGTAGAATGGTGGTTGCTGTGGGAAGGCAGAAATGGGAGCTGTCTAATGGGTACAGAGTTTGTTTTGCCAGATGAAAACATTGGGAGATCTTTTTCACAACAATGCGAATATACCTAGCACTACTGAATGTGCACTTAAAAATGGCTAAAATGGGCCGGGCGTGGTGGCTCATGCCTGTAATCCCAGCACTTTGGGAGGCCAGGGCGGGTGGATCACCTGAAGTCAGGAGTTTGAGACTAGTCTGACCAACATGGTGAAACCCTGTCTCTACTAAAAATACAAAGAATTAGCTGGGCATGGTGGCGGGCGCCTGTAATCCCAGCTACTGGGGAGGCTGAGTCAGGAGAATTGCTTGAACCCAGGAGGCGGAGGCTGCCGTGAGCCAAGATCGTGCCATTGCACTTCAGCCTGGGCAACAAGAGTGAAAATCAGTCTCAAAAAATAAAAAGAAAAAGGAAAAATGGCTAAAATGGTAAACCCCATGTTACCTGTTTTTTTAAATCACAATTAAAAAAAAAAATGCCACAGAGCAGCAATGTGATTTGGAAACTAGTTAAATTAGCCCCAGCTGATTGAAGTTTAAAATTCAAGTTTCCCTACCATTCATCGCATCATTTGGCGGTTATCTATTGTTTGTATAGTATATCGTTAGTTACCATTTTATGGATCTCGCCTTACAGATCCATCAGACCCTTTAAGGCTGTGACTGGCTTCTCTGGGATTTCCCCGGTTGCCAGAGTGTTTCTTGCACATACCAGGAGTAAAAAGTTAATGGAACTTTTTTTTTCTGTTCATTGATCCACTTACGGGATCTTCTGCAGATTACCTAATTCTAAGGATTGGTTCACCTCTTCTTGCATGATTTGCTTGGTTTCTAGGCTATCCGATGATTGAAAACACATTGCAAAGATATAGAATGTTAAAATGATACTGAAGTTACTAAAGGGATTAGATGTTCTTTATTTTCTAGTAGTTGCTATATGCACTGACCAGTTGAGTAATAAGATTCTCATAACCTCAGAAATAGGAATTTGTTATTCTTTTTAACAAATACAAGATTACAGAATCTTTTAATATTTGTATAAAACTTATCTTTGAGCAAGCAAGCCAAGTAGCATCTCCCTGCTGCTCTAGACATGCAGATCCTGCAATTAAATATTGTTTTTTGAATAACATATGACATTCCAAGCAGAGAGCTGCCAAGACATAGCATGTGGACCTTGCTCTAGTTAATTCCTCGCTAGTGACACATTTTCTATTTACCCTTCTACCCACATTTCCCCACATTTCTTTGCAAAGATTCAGCTAGCAGTGAAGATGAAGATAGAACACATCAAGAATGGTGTTTGTGCTGTTGTGTTGTAGCATTTGGAAACTTGCAGTGTGGGATTTTTTTGCAAGAAATTTAAAAGTTATGTTTTAATAAAAGGGTAGCATTTGGGTAAATTTCCCCATTATGAAACCTTTTCTATTTATATTTTATTTACAACATGAGGCCTCTGAGTAACAATGTAAAATATTATTAACTTTTATAACAGGGACAGGACATATATACATTAATAACATAATCTCAGATTTCTTTTTTTTTTTTGGAGACAGGGTCTCTCTGTTGCCCAGGCTAGAGCAAGTGCAGTGGTGCCGTCATGGCTCACTGCAGCCTCAACCACCTGGGCTCAAGCGGTCCTCCCACCCCAGCCTCCTGTTTAGCTGGGACCACTCTCCACCAGCGAATTTTTAGATGATTATTATATACTTTATTTCTTTTTTTTTTTTTTTTAATAAAGATGGCATCTTGCTTTGTTTCCCAAGCTTCAGTTCTTTTTTTTGTTTTTAGTGGATAAGGGTTACACAGCATAGCATATAATAAAAACTACAAAGGTCATGTCAGCAACCCTGGTGGAAAGCCATGGGGCTTGCAGTATCTCACTTGAGTTACTACGCCTCTCTCTACTGTATTGGCTGTTATGGGTTAAGAATATGAAATAAAAATAAAAGGTAGACAATACACAGATTTATTGTATGAGTGTTGAAGAAATACTCAGAAAGCAAGTGTTGTTTAAAATCAAGTTGTGATGGTATAAACGACATTTCCTAGCAGGCAGCCTGATGGTCACTGGTCGTGCCTAGTACCGTAGGATAAATGAGACATTGCCTCTTACTTGCTTTAGAGAAGTGGGCACTCCCCTCCCCTCACCCAAGAGAGACTTATTTGGGCATTATTGAAAAAAATTTGTCATTGTCTGTGAGCCTGTTATAGGTAATTTTAATAATTACATGTTAACATTACAACTTTGAGTATAAGAGGTTTTGGCATCTTTGAACACATTATAGGCTTTAGTGAGAACCAGAGAAACATATTTGGTCTTTCACAGAAATTAACCCTAACCCTCCGAGTTCCTTAGTATTCACCCCAGTGCAATCTATGTTTATTGTAGCAAATTGAGAAAATGCATAAATGGTTAAAGAAATAAAAGCTTCCATCAGTCAACCAAACAAAAGCATTGATGATTTAGATTATGTCTTTGCAGTTGTTTTCTTTTATCTATGTTCTCAATTAAGAACCTTTGCATTGTAAGCAACAGTAAGTGACTCTGGTTAATGTCAGCAGAGAAGTGGGCTTGTTGTGAGGTCCCTGGGCAGCTCACCATGGTCAAAGAGTGTGGACATGAATTACTGTGACCTAGGCAGTCACCCCATTTGTCTTTTTTCTGCTTTTTTTTAATAAAACCAGAATATATTATACATGGTGCGTGTTCCTCACTTTCTGTGCCTTGGGAAACACTGCTGTGATGGGCATAACGAGTCTCAAAGAGGAAGGATCTACGGGTAAAGGAGATGCATGCAGAAACAGCCTCTAATTTGTCAGTAAGCCATGCAGTTAGCAGGTGTATTAGTCTGTTCTCATGCTGATAATAAAGATATACCAGAGACTGGGTAATTTATAAAGGAAAGAGGTTTAATGGACTCACAGGTTGGGAAGGCCTCACACTCATGGCAGAAGGTGAAGGAGGAGCAAAGGCACATCTTACATGGCGGCAGACAAGAGAAAGTGTACGGGGGAGTTGCCCTTTATAAAACCATCAGATCTCGTGAGACTTATTCACTACCACGAGAACAGTAAGGGGGGAACTGCCCCCCCCATAATTCAGTTATCTCCACCTAGCCCTGTCCTTGATACATGGGGATTATTACAGTTCAAGGTGAGATTTGGGTGGGGACACAGCCAAATCATATCAGCAGGGAATGGTTTAGCAGTTCACAATGACAAGCCTGGGTGCAAGGATAACCCCAAGATACTGCTTCGGCCAAGCTGATATTTGGACGGAGGACACAGAAAATAAATTCTTAAGCTCTGGAGCTAGGGAGAACAGAGGATGTAAAAAAAAAATACTCTGGACAAGCTTAGTGGCAGTCAAGGAAAGCAGAAGCAGTCAAGCAGTTTTACAGGGCAGTGCACGCTTTCCATGTAGATGCTATGTTGTCATTCATTTCTATTTTCTATTTCTTATTTTATTTTATTTTATTTTATTTGAGACAGAGGCTCGCTCTACTGCCCAAGCTGGAGTGCAGTGGCATAATCTTGGCTCACTGCAACCTCCGCCTTCTGGGACCAAGTGATTCTCCTGCCTCAGCTTCCCAAGTAGCTGGCATTACTGGTGCCTGCCGCCATGCCCGGCTAATTTTTTGTATTTTTAGTAGAGACAGGGTTCCACCATGTTGGCCAGGCTGGTCTCAAACTCCTGACTTAAGGTGATCTGTCTGCCTTGGCCTCCGAAAGTGTTGGTGAGCCACCACACCCGGCCTCATTTCTGTTTTGGAGTTCAGATTTACAAAGGGACTAGAGTACTTTTTTTCCTCATAGAGAATAAAATATCCTCTTTAAAATTTGCCCTTTTGCTTTATTTTTATTTAATTTTTTTGAGATGGAGTTTTGCTCTTGTGGCCCAGGCTTGAGTGCAATGGCACAATCTTGGCTTACTGCAACCTCTGCCTCCCAGGTTCAAGTGATTTTCCTGCCTCAGCCTCCCAAGTAGCTGGGATTACAGGTACTCGTCACCACGCCCAGCTAATTTCTTTGTATTTTTAGTAAAGATGGGGTTTCGCCATGTTAGCCAGGCTGGTCTTGAACTTCTGACCTCAGGCGATCTGCCCACTTTGGCCTCCCAAAGTGCTGGGATTACAGGCATGAGCCACCGTGCCCGGCTTTTTTTGTTTGGTTGGTTTTTTTTTTTTTTTTTTTTTGCTTAACTAATGAATCTTTAGGGGCCTGTTGTTTTTAATTCACTTAGTCTCACTTTACCACCATGTAAACTACAGTTTGGTATACAGTCACTTCAGATTTTATTTACTTTTGTTTTGAAGGAGAACTGCTGGTATTTATAGGAAAAGATTTCTGTCAGAAGTAGTTTTCAGATTTTCATGCTAGGAGTGTAGATTTCATAAATGGGCACCAATGTGCCTAGTTAATAATGTATGCAAAGATCATCTCCTTACAGATTCCAGGCATGCCTCATCTTATTGCTCTTTGCTTTATTTGCCTTTGCAGATATTGCGTTTTTTACAAGTTGAAGGTTGGTGGCAATTCTGCATTTCGCATGTCTATTGGCCCCATTTTTCCAACAGCATGTGCTTATTTCATGTCTCTGTGTTAGCATTTTTTAGCAATAAAGTATTTTTAAGGTATGCACACTGTTTTTAAAGACATGCTGTTGCACACTTACTAGACTACAGTATGGTGTAAACATTTTTTTTATGCACTGGGAAACCAAAAAATTTGTGTGACTCATTTTATTGAAATATTTGCTTTATTGCGGTGGTCTGGAACCAAACTCATAGTATCTCCAAGGTATGCCTAGATATCTGTTCTGAGAAAGCTGCGGTTTGAAACTTCATATTGAGTGAATGATGATTTCAATACTACTGTCTGATTTTTCCCAGAAATCAATCTCTAATGGTTTCCCTATTGACAGAAGATCAAGTGAGGACCCTGTGAAGGCCTTTCATGGTATCTGTTGTCATTTAGGAGGCTCAGAAGTTCAAGGGCCTTTGTCTGCAGGCTGGTGTGTTCTTCTGGGCCCCAGGCCCTCAGGCTTTGAGGCTGTAAGCGAGCACTTGCCTGGGGGTAACTATCCAGCTCAGTGGGTAGGTTTTTCCAAGGCATGGATGGTTGACAGCTTGGCAGAGCATCTCATCCAGACCATCTCACTTTTTCCATTTGTATAGAATTCTCTGTTAAAACAAAGGTGTTGTCTAATGTTAAGAGGGAGTGGTGTTAATAAATAACATCTTCCTCTCCTGAGTTCAGAACTAATTAAGAAAGAGGCATGATATCCATGGCTAGTCACAGTGTCCACCCTGTTACTGATGAATGCTGGACCTTGATGCCTGTCAGCCAGGCTGGTTAACTATGCCCTGAATTAGACACTCAGTCACTGGTGTGCAGACTGGGAAGCCACAGGCTCCCCCACGTGAGAACTCTCCAGAATGTGTGCTCTCGGTGAGCAGGTAGAAGTTACAGGAGAGGGGAAAGAACTCAGCCAAGGAGTCCCAGCTCCTTCCCCCAAATACACTCATTAGATAGACAAGCCCCAGGGTGGGGCCAGGAGGGTTCCCCAGCTGAAACTTGTCCACGGGTACCATGAAGAGGAAATTGTGTTTAAATGTTATTACAAGTCCTCCAAGCTTCTATGCATGTGAAGAAATTTGAATTCTCAGGGGGAAACTGAAAAGCTCTGGAAATCACGTACTGCTCAATTCAATTCAGAAGGTGTGAGTTCCTAAGGAGCATTTTCACTTCCTTTCAAACTTAAAAAATTGTGGTCCAAGGAATGACATGGGATTCTGACTTTTTATGACCCATGCTAACTGATTTGGTGACTTCTGCCAGTGCAGGAGGCTCGGATTTTCCCCTGAAAGAGCGCCCTGCTCATCTCAGAAAGGTTCAGGCTGTCGGGTCCATTCCGCAAGGACTCGCTTCATGTATTTCCTTTACAAGTCAGAAATGGAAAAAGAGGAAATTACCATCCCACATCTTTTCTTGATGTGTATGAATGCGTCTGCCTCCAACTCTGAGGGTTTCTTCTCCAATCAGGAAAAAGTTGACATTTGCCACCAAGTCAGTACGCTTCTAAGCTTTCATTTTATTTCATCAGGACTGACTGAGCGTCAGCATTCTGGCCGAGTCCTGCAGTTTTACCCACTGTGCAGGTCAGCGTTTTCTTCAAGGACTCTGGCCCTGGCTTGCTGGCATCCTCAGAGTGTCTGGATGTTACCCAGGGGCTTCCTCTCACCTCACCTTCATTCTTGTTCCTTGTTCTTAGATGGATGGGAGGTTCAGTTGTTGGAAACTACCAGTTAGACTAAGAAAGCTGGACTTCTTTCATACTCCTTAAGGCAAGTAGGGTATAAGTAAGTGGCCTGTTGGCTGATCTCAAACATGAGAGAGCATTAGGTTCATTAATAATATTCTGACTTTTTCTTATCTAAGCCAGTTTACTGATTAAGAAATCATCTGGTGAAATTAATCTCAAATATTTTTAAATGCTCAAAGAACATATTGCTTCAGCTTCATTAAATACTTGTCTAAACACCTGGAAAAAATTTCCACCTCCGTTTCACAATACTTTGTGTAGTGAAACCTGATGGAGTGATAGTGTGTTAGTTATTATGGAAATATTGTGGACAATTCACAAGCAGAGTGTTTGTTCCATAAAATTAAACCTGAAATATGTTTGCTTGCTCTTAAGTTAGAAGTATTGACAAGCAGGAAACAAAAAGAGAAATAAATGAATGTATGGACAAGCAGCTGAAGAGGAAGCTCAGAGATTCTGTAGTATTTCTTTGGCTGTCTATCTAAATATGACACAACAGCCTCCATTCTGAGAAAGCAAATTGAGCTGACAGGTGCCGCCAAGCCCATCTTTCCACATAGGACCGAAAGACTCTGAAACACTCCCAACTTCTCCATTTTTAATATTCTCTTAGAAACACTGGATTTGTAATAATGCCTTTTAAGCCAGGGGTTAGTAACATCTTTTAATTCCAGTGATATCAATCAAAATAAATTTTCTTTAGAGGATAAACAGAGCTAACTAGATTTCTTCCCATATCCCTCATTGAGTAATAAAAAGTAGGTAGTTTGGGTCTCTCCTGACCTTGATGGCAGTGACAGTGCTGGCGAGATTTTTATGTCTGAGTCCTTGTGTGTACCCCACCTTCTGGCTTCTTTGATGGCTGTGGTGGAGCTGCTTGGCATTTTTACACCCCTGAACACCTTCATCAGTTTTACAGAGAACTTAGTGTGGTCCTCCCCAGGCAATACCCCCAGAGCCACATAAGTTTCATCACAGTGCCCAAGGCTGTGGGCCCCAGGGAATCGAGGGTAATATTCTAACACAAATCAAAAGTCTCAAAAAAGCCACAAGTGACTTGAAGGCACTGAGAAGAAATTCTAAAGTGATTTATGTCTGATATCATGCCTAGAATTCCATTATGCCTGATGTTTCAAATATAAAGAAATCTCCTGGGGAGGTGATAAAAGGAGCTACACAGGTATCGGAGACAGAGGGGGAAACTCCCTCTCTCCACAGCGGAGTGATGCCCGGGTGTGGGATACTCTAGGTAGGAATGGAACATTTGACCGATAGCTTAGAGTGGGTGGGATGTCATAAAGCTCACCATCTTAATCATTTTTAAGTACACGTTTCACTAGTGTTAATAAGTATATTCACGTTGCTATGCATCAGAGCTCCAGAGCTCTTTCCTTTTTAAAACTGAAACTCTAGATACATTAAACAGCCCCCATTTCCCCGTCCCCCAGCCCCTGCCAACCATCTAGGCTCATTTTATACACTGGTTTATTCCGTATCATTCATAAACCGTACAATTCACCTCTGTCTTTTTTTTTTTTTTTCCCTGAGACAGAGTTTCGCTCTTGTTGCCCAGGCTGGAATGTAATGGTGTGATCTCGGCTCACGGCAACCTCCGCCTCCTGGGTTAAAGCAATTCCCCTGCCTCAGCCTCCAGAGTAGCTGGGATTACAGGCATGTCCCACTACACACAACTAATTTTTGTATTTTTAGTAGAAAAGGGGTTTCTCCATGTTTGTCAGGCTGGTCTCGAACTCCCGACCTCAGGTGATCTGCCCGCCTCGGCCTTCCGAAACTCATATAATTGGAATCATCCTATATGTGGCCTTTTGTGACTGGCTTCTTTTCTAGGCCCGTTTTTAGAACAAAGAGGGATGAACCTTTGCTTTACCATAAATAACCCTCATCACATGGCATTTTTTCTTCTTCAAAAACCTTGATTTGTAGCCGGGAAAAAGTGATTTTGTGAAGATATGGAGCTCTCCATCTAAGCAGCACCTGTATGAAAACTTACGAAAAAGAACTATGCTTCCAAACACGATTTAATTAAAACCATGTAAGGCCATAAATCTAGTAATATGATACCTGCTCAGAGCCTTCCTTAGCTTGCACGGAAAATGCATAGACGTTGCCAACATCTCCTACGTGCATTTCTAAAATAATACAGTTGGCCATTGAACAACACAGGTTTGAACTTCTCAAGTCCAATGTTATGCAGAGTTTTAAAAATAAATATATTGGAAAATTTTTTGGAGGTATGTGACAATTTGAAAAAAACAGATGAACCTCATAGCCAAGAAATAAAAAAATTAAGAAAGTGAGATATGTCATGAATATATAAAATATATGTTGGTAGTCTATTTTATCATTTACTACCATAAAATGAACACAGATCTATTACAGAAAGTTAAAATTTGCCAGGCGTGGTGGCTCACGCCTGTAATGTTAGTACTTTGGGAAGCCAAGGCAGGTGGGTCACGAGGTCAGGAGTTTGAGACCAGCCTGGCCAACTTGGTGAAACCCCATCTCTACTAAAAATACAAAAATAAATTCGCCAGGCGTGGTGGCACACGCCTGTAATCCCAGCTACTCCGGAGGCTGAGGCAGAAGAATCACTTAAACCCAGGAGGTGGAGGCTGCCATGAGCCAAGACTGCGCCATTGCACTCCAGCCTGGGCAACAGAGCAAGACTCTGTCTCAGGGGGAAAAAAAGAAAACGTTAAAATTTAGGCCGGGCGCGTGTGGCTCATGTCTGTAATCCCAGCATTTTGGGAGGCTGAGGCAGGTGGATCACTTGAAGTCAGGAGTTCAAGACCAGCCTGACCAACATGGCGAAAACCCATCTCTACTAAAAATACAAAATTTGCCGGGCATGGTGGTGGGTGCCTATAATCCCAGGTACTCGGGAGGCTGAGGCAGGAGAATCGCTTGAACCTGGGATGCGGAGGTTGGAGTGAGCTGAGATCACGCCATTGTACTCCAGCCTGGGCAACAAGATCGAAACTCCGTCTCAAAAAAAAAAAAAAGTTAAAATTTATCAAAACTTACACAAACGCTGACGGACTGTATGTGGCACCGATTGCAGTTGAGAGAAATGTAAACAAATGTAAAGATGCAGCATTAAATCATGACTGCATGAAATTAACTGTAGTAACACTATACTACTGTCCCAGTCTCATAGCCACTTCCTGTTGCTGTTGCAGTGAACTCAAGTGTTTTTAGTATCTGCTTCAAATGTGGATCATCTCCGTCATGAGCGGTTCATCTCCACTAAATTGCTTATCTCAGTAAAAAGTGATCACTCGTGGTTCTTGCGTATTTTTTCATCACATTTAGTGCAATACTGTAAACTTTGAATGACACTATGGGACCCGTATGAAGTGGCACCATTGATTCTGGAAGTGCTCTCAGGAAGCAGAGAAAAGTCATGTCATTACAAGAAAAAGTTGAATTGCTTGATATGTAGCATAGATTGAGGACTGCAGCTTCAGTTGCCCACCATTTCAAGATAAATGAATCTAGCATAAGGACCATTTTTTTTTTAAAGAAAGAAAGAAAAATTAGTCAAGTGGTCGCTATGGCTACATCAGCAGGTCTGAAAACCTTGTGCTTTTTGCGAAATGCTGTTTTATCTTGTATTGAAAATGCAGCTTTTATGTGAGTGCAGGCTTGCTCTAAGAAAGTCATACCTATAGACTCTAATAATATGATTTGGGGAAAGTGAAAACTTAAGGCAAAAGGAAGGTGAAGGATCTAAAGCTGGAGAATGTCATGCCAGCAAAAGCATGGTTTGATAATTTTAGAAAAAGGTTTGACTTAAAAAATGTTAAGATGACAGGAGAAGCAGCTTCTCCCGACTAAGAGGCAGTAGATGAGTTCCCAGATGCCATCAGGAAAATCATAGAGGAGAAAGCATATCTGCGAAACAGGTTTTCATGCAGATGTCTCTGCTGCCCTTGAGACAGCAAGACCAACCCCTCCTCTTCCTCCTCAGCCCACTTGAGGTGACGCTGTTGAGGATGAACCCTTATGATGATCCACTTCCACTTAGTAAACAGATTTTCTTAATAACATTTTCTTGTCTGTAGCTTTTTTGTAAGAATACAGTAATAATACACATACAAATTATGTGTTAATCGACTGTATTCCGTTCTCATGGTGCTAATAAAGACATATCTGAGACTGGGTAATTTATTAAAAAAAGAGGGTTATTGGACTCGCAGTTCCACATGGGTGGGGAGGCCTCACAATCATGGCAGAAGGCAAAGGAGGAGAAAGGCATGTCTTACGTGGTGGCAGGCAAAGAGAGAGTGTGCAGGGAAACTCCCCTTTATAAAACTATCTGATCTCCTGAGACTTATTCACTGTCATGAGAACAGCATAGGAAAGACCTGCCCCCATGATTCAGTTACCTCCCACCAAGTCCTTCCCAGGACATGTGGGAAGTATGGGAACTACAATTCGAGATGAGATTTGGGTGGGGACACAGCCAAACCATATCATTGACTGGCTATGTTACTGATAAGGTCAACAATAGGCTATGAGTAGTTAATTTTTGGGGGAGTCAAAAGTTCTACTCAGATTTTTGACTGTGGAGGGGGTCTGTGCGCCAACCCCCACATTGTTCAAGGGCCAGCTGTACTTGAGGTAGCAAAATAACTAACCCACTTAGCATGCGTTACCTTTGTTGTTTTAGAGAAAAACCCAACTTCCTGCCTGGGAAAGTCTGATTAGTGGTATGGATGGGGTCTTACCTGTTAAAACTCACAGGGAATTGGACTTCCTTATGGGTTAATGTATCTACAGACTACTTTCAGCATATTTTTGAAGATTTACTGCAGTTGTGGGGAAATAACACCAGCATTCAGTATATTGAACACTTAAGATACTTACCCTATGGAGAAAGGAGCCCCAAGGGAACAAGTGCCGGTTTACGCAGCTGTCTCCTATTAGGTTCTCTACCCTGGACCGACCCTGGTTGTGTTTTCTCTCCCTCATCCCATCATAAAAACTGGAGCCCACATCCAGGTTCAGCCAAGGCCCTCAGGGCAAACACTGGCTCCACTGCCCCTTTATTGCGTGCTTGCAATTGGAGCTCTTTGGGCCTGAGTTTCCTTACTGTTTTGCTTGATCAGCAGTGCGTTGACAAAGATGTTGTTTATATTTTATCCAGCATTTTTAGCTGTTTCATACGATTTCTACACTGTGGAATCATTTTAAGTGGTGTGAGGGGTGGAGGGGGAGGAGACATGGCTGGAGCTGAAGAACTGATCTCCAGCATGAGTGGGGCTGAGGTCCGGATTAGGCAGTGCTGTTAGAGACTCCAGCAGGCCTCAGGCAGGGATGGCAGGCACCAAGTGGCCTGGGGGCAGTGGGGAGAGGTGGTCCCTTGGGTTTCTGGCTGGGCCACTGAGTGGCGGGTGGCATTGGTTATTGAAGGGCTGCTCCCGGAGGAGATGAGCGGGGAGGGGGTGCTCAGGTGAGACTTCTGGGGAGCAGGTGACTCTCTGGCTCCAAGCGGGGAGCCCCACCTGGACTTGCTGGTGGGGCTGCTGGTCCAGACTGTGCTAGAGGAGAGAGAAAGGGCTGCTATTGTTTGCCTCCCAGCAGGTGAAGGAGGAGGGGCCCAAAGACACCTGGGCAGGTAACTTCATCAGGAAGACGGCTACCTCTCTTCTCCAGAGAGCGAGAGTGAAGTGAGCAGGTGATATCCGTGGTGATCCCTCCACAAGGAGGGAAGGAGGCAGGAGGGGAGGTGGCTTTAGCTCCCTTTCCTTTAGCCCTGTGGACTGGAGGGGCCTTGATCATCTCTTCTACCCTTGCACGGGGTCACCCTTGGCCAGGGACGCCTGTGGCCAGTGGCTGGGGCCTTGTGCTGCTTAAAGCATGAGTTATTAGCACAACCGATTCAGGGTAGACGCACGTTTTTTGGGACTTTTGGAAAAGGAACACGCGATGACGAATGAATGATTAGATCTGAGGCCTTGGAGGGGTCAGCGAGTGCTGGCCTTGAAACTCAAGCTGCTTTGGCCTTGGTGGGAGTCTTGCCTGCGTGGTGATGGTGACGGTTGGAGTGGCCTTCCCAGGCAGGAAGGGAGGATGCGGCGATGCTCCCAGTTTATTGAAACCTGACTTTGTTCCCTGCTGGCAGCTGTTCTGAGAGAAGAAGGGAGGTGCAGGGCACTGGGGGCAGGCAAACAGAGAAGGATGGTTGCATTCTATGACAAGTTGACAGCATTATGAGAAACTGTACCAGATACTTTGTTGGTGGATGGTCTGGGGCTTTGGGTAGAAAAAGAAAACATTAGAGCTGAGATGAAAAGGAAAAGAAATCATCTGACCAGCAAGACTGGAGTCTAGAGAGGTGGTCCGCCTGCGGACGTCATCTCACTGGTCGGGAGAGGATGAGAATTTCAGTGATTTCAACACGAGATCACCATACTGACAAATAACACCTGAGAGAGTGGGTTGGTTTTGTGTCGTGTTCTAGTGCGTTTTCATCGTGAACATCTTAGGATGGGAAGGCCTCAGGGAAGGGCTTTCGGGGAAGGACAGAACCAAGAGGCTTTAGTAGAACCCGGAAACCTGGCATTCCTTTACGATCCGGCATTGAGCTTTGCCCTGGACTTCCTAGGAGTTACAAGATCTGAAGCTGCTGTTTGAGATGCACAGCAGGACTCTGGTGGGTGACTCAGGAGAAGGAAGGCAGAAGGCAGAATCCCCGCCCTAGCGAAGATTCGAATCCAGCACGCGCACATGGCAGTCGAAGAAGAGAGTGTAGACAGTGGGCAAACTTAAGGGACTGTCGTATGGGGTGAACGAAATTCTTAAGTGCCAAGGAATGCAAAAACTGGCCCTGGGAAGAGTCAGGAATGAGGTGGTTTCTGCCAGAGGTGAGGTCTAAGTGGAGTTTTCAAGAAGGCTGTGGGTGTGGCGGGCAGAGTTCTAGGGTCCTTGGGGTGCTGCTGGCAGGACGAGCCTGAGAGCTTCTGGGGAGGTGGACGGCATGTGCTGGGGGCCCAGAAGCTTTTGAGAAGCACCTCCAGGGGAGTGTGGGGCATTTTGATGGGCAAGGCCCTTAAATACGGCATGTTGCACACGATGGGGTGGACTCCACAACAGGCACATGGAAGAGACCACCTCTCTGCAGGGTCGTGTCCTGCACATCTGGACTAGAATGCAAGCTTCTCTTTTTAGAAAAATGGGGCCAGGCATGGTGGCTCATGCCTGTAATCCCAGCACTTTGGGAGGCCCAGGCAGCAGGATCTCTTGAGGCCAGGAGCTCAAGACCAGCCTGGGCAATATAGTGAGATGTCGTCTCTACAAAAAACTTTAAAAACTGGCCAGGTGTGGTGGCTCACGCCTGTAATCCTAGCATTTTGGGAGGCTGAGGTGGGTGGATCACCTGAGGTCATCAGGGGTTCGAGACCAGCCTGGTCAACATGGTGAAACCCCATCTCTACTAAAAATACAAAAATTAGCTGAGCGTGGTGGTGCATGCCTGTGATCTCAGCTACTTGGGAGGCTGAGGCAGGAGAATCGCTTGAACCCAGGAGGTGGAGGTTGCAGTGAGCCGAGATTGCGCCACTGCACAACAGCCTGGGCGACAGATTGAGACTCTGTCTAAACAACAGCAACAACAACAACAACAAAACTTAAAAAATTAACCAGGCACGGTGGTATGTGCCTGTAGTCCCAGCTACTCAGGAGGCTAAGCCGGGAGGATCGCTTGAGCCTGGGAGGTCCATGGACAGGTCCTCTGCTGTACAGCTTGTTTTTCTATTTTATGTGACAGATGTAGCAATGTGTCTTGCATTGACAGGCTCTGCTTGCAGTCATTTTATATTAAACACAACCTATGTTTAGATGGACCACCCTGAAAGTGTTGTTTGAGATCTATTAAAGAAACATATTTCTATGAATGTTCGTAGCGTACTCCCCCTCCCTCGAGGCCGTAGGGACCGTTAGTGTTTACTACCTTATGGAAACTGTTTTTCTCCATGCTTTTATCTGGAATAGCACTCAACATTCATTAGCTAAATAGGAAACTTATTTCAGAGGGGATCATTTTTCATCCTAAAGAGGATTTTTAAAAATTTGGGGCCAGATGCAGTGGCTTATGCCTGTAATCCCAGCACTTTGTGAGGCCGAGGTGAGAAGATCTCTTATGGCCAGGAGTTCGAGACCAGCCTGGGCAACATAGTGAGACCTCCATCTCTACAAAGAAAATTTAAAAGGTAGCCACGTGTGGTGCTGTGTGCCTATAGTCCCAGCTGCTTAGGAGGCTGAGATGGGAGGATTGCTTGAGCCAAGGAGGTTGATGCTGCAGAGCTGAGATTGTACCACTGCATTCCGGCCTGGGCAACAGAGCAAGACCCTGTCTCAAAGAAATCTGGACTTAATATAAAATTTTGAAAGATGTAAGGCTATGGAAAAACATAGTAAAAAATTATTCAAGAATATTTTGTAATGCATGAAAGCTTTTGAAAGGCTAATTTTATCTTTAGTTGTATAAATATATTTTGGAAGAGAATAAGATTTTAATATGTGTATCTACATTATCTGTGTCTTTCACTAATAAGACAAGGTTCAACATCTGTCTTCAGATTGCATTTTCTGTGGGAAGAACTTAGGTTGTAGGCATTTAGCTCAGAGAAAGGGGAAAAGGTACTTTCACTGCTCACTTTTTGCTATTTCTGCCCCAAGACCTACTGTTCATTCTCCAGACTTGCTGTATTTTATGTCGAAAGGTTTTACTGTTTCCATGAGGAACTGTGGTTCATTTTCCCCAGGCTTATAATCAGTAAGTAGTGATTTTCTTTTCAGTGTTACTTACTGTGATACTGTAAAATCAAACTAACAATAAGGTGCCACAACGCCATAAAAAATTAATAATATTGGGAAGATGTTGATTCCCAAACTAAGATTTGGGCTTTGGTTTTGAACTGTTAATTTGTTCATTCATTTTAATATTTCCTTTGACTGTCTCAGATATACCAAAGCGTGGTGCATTGTGGAATGTGTGCCAGTCTCAATGCATGTAGCTCTGTAGGATGGAAAGTCAGTTATGAAGAGAGACTTCTTTTTCTTCTGTGTCCTGTTGATTAAGAAGAATCTGTATGGCCGGGCACGGTGGCTCACGCCTGTAATCCCAGCACTTTGGAAGGCTGAGGGGGGTGGATCACGAGGTCAGGAGTTCAAGATGAACTTGGCCAAGATAGTGAAACCCTGTCTCTACTAAAAATAAAAAAAAAAATTAGCCGGGCGTGGTGGTGGGCGCCTGTAATCTCAGCTACTTGGGAGGCTGAGACAGAGAATTGCTTGAACCCAGGAGGCGGAGGTTGCAGTGAGCCTAGATCGTGCCACTGCGCTCCAGCCTGGGCGACAGAGAGAGACTCCATCTCAAAAAAAAAAAAAAAAAAAAAATCTGTATAACTTGCATTGCCCTTTCAGGTAATTAATCACCCTTTTTTTCCAGCAGGGTTAAAGATTGTAGTATTGACTATCAGTTATTTTGTAACAAAAACTGGACCTAAAGTTCAATTCACTGTTGACTTTTTCAAGAGGAGTATTAAATTTTTACTCCCTGCTGTACATGTGGAATTTCAGTGTAATTTTAAGCCAAATTCTTTAAAATATGTGAAACTCATAGTGCTATTACAAAATAATTACAAAGGAAGCAAGTTTTCTCCCCTGAGCATCTTATTTCTAGATTTTTTTTTTTCCTAAGCAATCTCTTGAAAAGGAATATCAGTGAGCAGATTTCTCTGGGGCCATTTGAACTTCATTAAAATTTCAGAGAGGGCTTTTCAATGAGAATATATTCATGTAAGCACTGGAGAGTTTTGCATAATTTTAAAGTTGAACAGAATTGGGTACAATTAGTGATGAAAATACAGTCCATCCCAGATTCCTAGCTGATTGCCATTTTGGTTTTCCCAGCAAACACCCTTTCTACCCCACTTCCTAGCTTTATTGAGATATATCTGGTATATAAAAAATTGTACATAACTAATGTATACAATTTGGTGAGTTTGGATATAAGTATAGGCTGGTGTTACCATCACCCAGTCAAGGTAATAAACATATCCATCACTTCCAAAACTTTGCTGTGTCTCTTTATTGTTACTGTTTTTTAAAAAACAACAACAAAAAGCGCCTTTTCAAGGGAGTAGCATTTGCTCTCCTCTCTTCCCAGATGGTGTCCTCATCCTCCTTCCTCAAAGCCACCGGCTCCTCCTGGACGGGTTGGGTACTGAGATGCTCCATGAAGCCCAAGCACCATTCACATCTAATTGAGAAGTTTGGAGAGGACAGAATTCTCACTCATCTTACAGGCTCTATTTCTTACACAAACTGGGCTGGAAGTAGAAGCTTAGCGGTCACAGTCACTGAAGAGCTTCTTAATCTTTTTTGAGTCAGGACTTGAAGTCCTGTTTCATTATTTCATTCAAAGAAATTGATTGGCAATGGCCAGAGTTAAATTCAAAGGTGACATTAACACATTTCAGTGCCCAATAAGTGATTTTTCTGCTGGGTAGGAGTAGATACAGATGTGATCTCAGATACGTGAAGCTGCATACAGAGGGGCCCATCCACTCCTAAACGGGTCTCCAGGAGGCTTGGTTTGATCTACTAGATTTGGTGCCTCTTAAAGGGAAGCAATACAGCTTTTCTGCTGTGGGTTGTTTGCCACTAGGGGAAGATTCATTTCTATTCCAGCCATAAATTAGACCAAAGAGAGGGATTTGGTTTATTGCTAGTGCAGAAGTTAAAAACCATCTTCCTTTCCTGAGTGGTCTCTTAATTAGATTCTTTAGTTTTTAAATGTTAACTGGAATTGCTGAAGTTTAATTCCTGAAAGGGTTTAGTTTTTAAAAGGAGTACCTCATTTACCATATTACTGTGTTCTGAGAAATCTACAGTAATTTTTGTGTAACTTTTTTATTCAAAGAATGGATTGTTAATTGTAAAGCCATTTAGAAAGGCGAATAAAGTCAGATCTACTTTAATACATGTTTGTCTTACCAGCTTATTGATAAGCACTTTGTGGGATGTTTATGTGAGAACAGTTGATTTTAATGAGAAAACAGATTTTCAGCTCCCATGTTCAGTGTTTTATGTGACAAAATCATACACTGCAGCAACTAAGTAATACGAAGTGAGTACTTTAATTGAAACAATTAGAGTGACACAGGAGGCATTTTCTACTTGTGTAAACGCAAAGCTTAATTTTTAAAAAGCCTCCCCCAGTTTTCCTTCCTAAAGGAAGTGGATGATCAAGCCTGAGCTAGATAGAATAGCAGATGTGTATTTCATTATTAATACAAGAGGAATCTTTTTGGGTTAATAGAACTATTCTTTAGAAGAAGAACTTGTTTTGTGTTACAAAGGTGTTACATGGTTACTTACAGTAACAATTTCGAGCAGCACAGAAAATGCAGAAATGTATCCCATTCTTAGGATTTTTGAGATAAATTCTTTTTTTTATTTGGAGAGGGAGTCTCACTCTGTCACCCAGGCTGGAGTGCAGTGGTGCGATCTCGGCTCACAGCAACCTCCGCCTCCCGGGTTCAAGCAATTCTCCTGCCTCAGCCTCCCGGGTAGCTGGGACTACAGATGCACGCCGCCACGCCACCATGCCCAGCCAACTTTTTATATTTTAGTAGAGACGAGGTTTCACCGTGTTGCCCAGGCTGGTCTCGAATTCATGAGCTCAGGCAATCTGCCCCCCTCAGCCTCCCAAAGTGTTGGGATTACAGGTGTGAGCCACTGCGCCCGGCCGAGATAAATTCTTTTTTTTTTTTTTTTTTTTTTTTTTTGAGACGGAGTCTCGCTGTCACCCAGGCTGGAGTGCAGTGGCGCAATCTCGGCTCACTGCAGGCTCCGCCCCCTGGGGTTCACGCCATTCTCCTGCCTCAGCCTCCCGAGTAGCTAGGACTACAGGCGCCCGCCACCTCGCCCGGCTAATTTTTTGTATTTTTAGTAGAGACGGGGTTTCACCGTGTTAGCCAGGATGGTCTCGATCTCCTGACCTCGTGATCCCCGCCTCGGCCTCCCAAAGTGCTGGGATTACAGGCGTGAGCCACCGCGCCCAGCCCCGAGATAAATTCTTAATTCTCATCTGTAGATCAGCAAAAATAAGCTTAGTCTTCTGATTCTTGTAACTTAAAAAAAAATTAGAGTCTATAGTTTTTGTCTAGGAAACATGGTTGTCAGTTTTCATTGTTAGAGTCTCAAAATAAGTGGTGTGTGTGTGCTTGCTTGTGTGCCTGTGTGTTTGTGAGTGTTGTGTGTGTGTGTTTACATACTATACTCCCTCCTTCTCCTCTGGGGATAATCTAAAAAGCTCAAAGTTCTTAGTCCTGGGTACTGAAACAATGCTATAAGGGAGGCATTTAGAAAAGCTTAATTTTAACCAGGTACTTACACCACAAACAGAATGACATCACTAAGCACACAGCACGTTAGTGAACAGTGGCTTTGTCAGAGCTTTCTACCCAGAGCCCTGAAATGGAACATTGTTAATTAGCTTTAAAAAATCCAGCTGTTCCTTGAGCCCATGGATTCTGCCTGTGCACTTCCTGCATACAACCGTCTACACAGAACCGAGGGCTGGAACTCCTGTGTTTAAGAAGGCAGCTGTTCCTTGGCGGGGCACAGTTGCTCACGCCTGTAATCCCAGCACTTTGGGAGGCCAAGGTGGACGGATCACCTGAGGTCAGGGGTTCAAGACCCAGCCTGGCCAACATGGTGAAACCACGTCTCTACTAAAAATACAAAAGTTAACTGGGCGTGATGGCGCATGCCTGTAACCCGCATGCCTGTAATCCCAGCTATTCGGGAGGCTGAGGCAGAAGAATCACTGGAACCCAGGAGGCGGAGGTTGCAGTGAGCTGAGATCGCACCACTGCACTCCAGACTGGGTGGCGGTGAGACTCTGTCTCCAAAAAAAAAGTAGCTGTTCCTTTCTACACCTAGAAGACGATGCGTGCCATCTACCAATAGTGTCACGCCCAGGGTGTGTACTCTGTTGGTGGTGTGCAGCCTTCCACACCCCTGGCTGGGCCCACTTTGGCCCCCACATAGAGTTCTTTAACTGCCCTTTAAGAAAGTCACACTAAGCTCTAAATGACCAGGCCGGGTCACTAACGCAGACAGACACCCCAGTATGACTGGCTGGGCTATCCATCCCCGCAGCCCTGCTGGGGGAGTGGAGCTCACTGGGAGGACAGGTGGTGTGAAACAGAGAGAGCTATTTGAACTAACATGGGAGGAGGGAAGACGGAGAAGGATACAACAGACAGTGAGCTCAGGGCTCTGCTGGGATCCAGGGCAGGGGAGGAACCTTTCCCAGAGAAAGTTAGGAAGGTGAGCAAAGGTTGGTAGGTTGACCCCAGCTTCCACCTTCAACGGATTCCAGGCAGTTCACGAGGAGCCAGAGTGTAGATGATGCGGATTGGGAGCCGATAAGAAAGTCCAGGCAAACAGAAACAGAGAACAGGGGCAAGATGTCCGCAGCATCCAGAAGGAGGCCTCTTCACAAAGTGAATGCCACCAAGCCACGGATGTGGTCATCAGCTTCCAGCGATCCTTGTGAAGAGCTGTGTATTGAATGCTGGACACTTGATCAGCAGTCGTATGATAAGAATAAACCAGTTCTCAGAAGAGTCGCAGATTCCTGACACTAAGACCAGAAACACATCTCTGCCAAGGGTCCAAGAAGGAAACAAATTTTATGAACAAAAACCTTCGCAGCCTCTCTCAGCATCAGAGAGGCGGGTACCTCGGACCTGTCTTCCCAAACAGGCCAATGGGTGCAATCCCGTCCAGCCCAGCAAACAGCAACTCTAATGAGAGAAATGGGCCAATGACACCTCTGTCTAATATCTGGCATGAGTAAAGGATAGATTTTGCAGTACCTAGAAAAATAGTGAACCAGTTCTCTCTGAAATATTCTGTGATTTTTGAACTCTTTTCTACTGTATTTGGGTGGAATGAGATTTAATAGTGGACTCAGGGACACTGAGGGTAGAGGGAGGGGTAAGGAGATACCTCCTAGCAGTGATGTGAGCTGTTTCTCCCCGGGTAGAGGGCTTCCCCAAGGTATTTTCCTGTGGCCATAGACATAATACAGTATCCTTTTATAGGATGGGATAGTGTCAGGAAACAAAATGTCTCATGTTTTAAGAAATCATGAGAAGCTTCAGAAATACTTTTGGATATTAATGTTAAATCTAGGATATGCTGAGTCCTTACCACACTGGATAACACATTCTTCATGGATTCCGTATTTGTGAATCCACCTACTCCCTAAAATTTGTAGTCCCCAAATCAAGCTTGTGGTGCTTTCCTGGTCATTTGTGGACCTGCCCAGGATTACAGAAAAATGTGAGTTGCCCAATGTGCACATTCTCAGCTGAACTCAAATGAGGGTCTGCCTTCTTGTCTCAGCTCTCGCGCTGGAAACAGGTGCCTTTTTGATGATCTAGTTAGTGCCGTGATTTGTTTGCGTTTTCGTGCTTTTTGTTGGTGATTTCACTGTTTAAAATGGCTCTGAAGTGTAGTGCTAGAAGCACTGTCCAGGGTTCCTGAGCGCAAGAAGGCTGAGAATGTGCCTTACAGAGAAAACGGGTGTTAGGGAAGCTTCATTTAGGCATAAGTTCTAGTGCTACTTACTGGCCATTAATTCAACATTAATGAGTCAACAGTGTATATTAAGTAAAGTGTCTTTTAACAGAAACACACATTAAACAAATTTATATTGTTCAGTTGATGAGAATATGACAGAAGATCTCAGAATCTAATCTTGTATTTCTCCTAGACGCAACAGTTCAGTGTTCCCTAGTTCAGTGGTGACCATGTAGAGTGCAACTACAGCAAATAATGAGAATCGACTGTATTTCAACTAAGTGAGCACCCATGGGTGCTCATTTAGACGAATAGGAATTTTCAGGTATCTTTTGTGATGCTTTAATTGAATTATTTTACTGTTACAACTTTGCCTTTGGAAATATTGCAAGTATAGCTCCTTGTTAATGTACTTGGTGAACTTTTTTGGGAACATAAAATTTTTAATGATACGATACTTCTTTTATGTGACATGGTAAGAACTTAAACTCTTGTAAGATAGACGCTTTTTTGCAAGAGTGTTACAGCCCATTATTGAGGGAAGAGGTCTGATTTTTGCTTGAGGAATACATCATTAAAAAGAACTTCTGGTCTGCTTACTGTTTTACTTTTTCCTTGTGGCAACAGAGATATTTTGGCAGAAGTCTTGTGTTTCCCCACCATGTTCTTCACCCAGCTAATGGCCCATTGATGACACAGAAATTGTTTGGCTATTGGAATGATTAATGTCACTCAGGCCTATGTCTCGGGGAGGCAGGAAGGTAACAAGATGTACATCTCCCAAAGAAATATCACACAGGCCTTGTGTTTACACCTGTCTTTGAGCATTATAGAAGAAAAAAGACAGACGGAAACCTGAGGCCATACCGTTTCTTAGTGATGGTTCCCCGTGGTGGTATTGACAACATGAAATTCCAGGGGCAAATGAACAGTCTGGTTCCCCACCTCTCTCCCTTCAGTTACATATGCGATGTTTGACAGCTCCTTCCCCAAATTTCTTTTGGAAATCTTCAAAATTCATCAGGGTTTAGATTGTTGACCTGTTTTGAAAACCTAATTTTTAAGTTTTCAATCTTTTAAGCCTTGGAAAGGATAGGCATTTAATAAAAGAGAAAATAGATGATTTTATATGTATGAGAAAATACATCGCTTTAAATTTACTCGTGAGATTCACCAATGATTTCTGAACACCAAACATTGGGGTGGCCCAGTGACTTAATCGGAGAAACACAGACACTTTGAAAAGAAATGTGGGATTTAAAAACCTGCAAAACTGAGTCTGTCATTCTTTAAAATGCCATCTCAAGTCACAAAATAATGATGTTAAAATCTGAAACCATATGTGTTTTGAATGGTTTAGGTTCTAAAGAAAGGTACAATAATGCCAGTCTTTTGGGTTTGTACATGATTTGTTTCTTTCTCACATAATCTGTCAAAACTTTAAATTGTGAAATATGGCATATTTACAAAAGAGGCTATAAAAAGTGTAAGTATAGTTTAACAAATAAAAATATGAGGGCCGGGCACGGTGGCTCACACTTATAATCCCAGCACTTTGGGAGGCCGAGGCGGGTGGATCACGAGGTCAAGAGTTTGAGACCAGCGTGGCTAACATGGTGAAACCCCATCTCTGCTAAAAATACAAAAATTAGCTGGGCATGGTGGCAGGTGCCTGTAATCCCAGCTACTTGGGAGGCTGAGGCAGGAGAATCGCTTGAACCCGAGAGGCAGAGGTTGCAGTGAGCCGAGATCACACCACTGCACTCTAGCCTGGGCGACAGAGCAAGACTCTGTCTCAAAAAAAAAAAGAAAAGGAAAAAGAAAAAAATATATAACACTACCAGTATGGGCCACTCTCTGAAGACTTTTAACCCCCATCCCTTAAGAAGTAATCCCAGCCTAAATTCTGTGTTGGTCACTCATCTGCCTCTTTTTATAGTTTAACACATGTGTGTAATTCTAAACCACTGCATGATTTGGTTTGTAAATTACTGGTTCAGTGCCTGTCTTCCCCACTTAGCTGTAAGGAGAGGGATTGTGTGGCCCCTGGTCTTTGATCTGTCCTAGGCTCGAGCACAGTGCTTGGCACATAGCAGGGACTTCATAGATGTTTATGAACTTGTGAATACATAAATATGTTTATTCTTAGAAAAATGACGATTTCTAATATATGAATAAGGCACATACATGTGTGTACATTTGAATCATAAAGAATATTAAATCTTATTGTTGAACCATGAAGTTAAGTGGACAGCTGTTAGAACTGGAAGACCTGGATGCCCATTTCTCAAAGAAAGAAGTGAGGCTCAAACAGGTGCTTTGTCCAAGTTCATTCAGTTAGACGGTGGCTAAGGCGGGGCCACAGTTCATATCTTCTGCCTCCTTGTCTAGGATTCTAGGCCCTGTGCACTCTCAGGATGGTTTTATGCAAGAGATATAGACGACTTTATTTGCTTAATAGAAAGTCCCCACTGGGGGCCGGGCATGGTATTCTTACGCCTGTAATCCCAGCACTTTGGGAGGCTGAGGCGGGTGGATCACTTGAGGTCAGGAATTTGAGGCCAGCCTGGCCAACATGGTGAAACCCCACCTCTACTAAAAATACAAAAATTAGCTGGGCATGGTGGCGCACACCTGTAATCCCAGCTACTTGGGAGGCTGAGGCAGGAGAATGGCTTGAACCCGGGAGGTGGAGGTTGCAGTAAGCTGAGATCACGCCATTGCACTCCAGCCTGAGTGACAGAGTGAGACTCCATCTCAAAAAAAAAAAAAAGAAAAAAAAGTCCCCATTAGGGAAGAGGGAGGACAAACAACTACCAAAGCCCTCCAGCATCACCTGTTGGCATCACGCAATTTGATAAAGTCCATGATAAACCATAAAAAGATAGCAGATTGGATAGTAATATAGCTAATTGTATGTATGTATGTATGTGTGTATTTTGAGATGGTGTCTCATTCACTCTGTTGCCCAGGGTGTGCAGTGACGCAATCTTGGCTCAATGCAGTCTCCGCCTCCTGGGTCCAAGCGATTCTCCTGCGTCAGCCTCCTGAAGAGCTGGGATTGCAGGATCCTGCCACCATGCCCGGTTATTTTTTGTATTTTTAGTAGAGACAGGGTTTCACTATGTTGGCCAACCTGGTCTCAAACTCCTGACTTCAAGTGATCTGCCCTCTTCGGCCTCCCAAAGTGCTGGGATTACAGGCGTGAGCCACCGTGCCCACCTATATATGTATTTAACAACAATGTTAATAATATGTATTATATTAGCATATTAGGAGATTAGAGTTATAATGACTTTATTATCAGATGAATTTTTCAAAATGCCCATTTGCATTTTGACTGTTCAGACTTCCTGACTATTCAATGTGAGACTCATAAGACTAAAAGAATATCAGTGCATGTGATGTGACTCAATAACTTTAAGACTTCAGCGTGGCTCTTGTCAGGTTCACATTCATGTTCTTGGGTAGGTTCAATAGAACGTTCATTACCTGCATATTTTCATTTATTAAAATTAAAACCGACCCCAACACAGAGTGAAGATGACTTTTTCACATTACTTTGACTTGTACCTCAAAGACAAGCCAACAATGGCCCAGCTAATGGACAGGAGTGCCCTGGTGGCAGATGGTCTGGCTTGACCCTCATGGATGCTACCAAATGCTGAGATTTCCTCTCACAGGCTGCTGTAGAATGTGCCCTCCAAAATGCCAGGTATCTCTGTACTGTGTTCTTTAAACATTTATTGAAGACCTTTGTCTTTAATACCCACCCACTTAGTTGCCTGTGCCTTCCCAGGACCTGAAATTGGATGTAAGTCAATGTCAAAGAAAGTGTCCAGTGTTGTTCTTTAAGGAAGATTATCTATTATCCTGCTCTAACATTCAAGTCAGCGACCCAGTGAGCCCCGGTGATCATGTATACTTCAGAGGAAAATATATCTGCCTCAGATTCTCAGGGTGTTATTTTTAGAAAAATACTTCCAAATTGTTTGACACCAACATTTTTCAACTTGATTTTGGCAAGCATAGGCCCCTGAGATTTTAAAGTAGCTTTTATCAAAACAAAACTAGCTACTTAGCTATGACTGCGTAGAATTCCAAAGGTTGGAGAGAACCTTGGTGGCACCCATACTCAAAGTAGGGAGTGTGGTGCATTAATAGCTGTATGTTGATTTAGTCTGCGACGAAAGCAATGTTCAAGCCAAGTTTGTCCAGCAAGGAAAAATGTTAAGTTTCTGATCTTTAAAAAGGGTGTTGAGGGAGATGAAAATTAATCTGAAGCATTAAGGAATGCTGTTAAATGCTTGTTGGCAAGTAGTCCTGAGTTTAGCCTTTTATTTCTCTTAACCCACTGCTGGGGCTGCAGAAGATGACGCCAGTGATTGGTAATAAAAGTCTCAGTAGCTGCCGTTGACTGAGTGCTGTTGCAGAGGATTTTCCTGATGCTCTCGCAGGAAATGCCCATAGCAACCGCATGAGTCAGATATCCCAATCTGGCTTATCAGTGAAGAAACTGAGACTCAGATCAAAGACTTTGATGTGAGACAAAAACTGGATTTGGACCCTGCCTGCCTCTGCCACTTTTAAACTATGGCCTGGGTTTCACCATTTGTGAAATGAGGATGATGGTCTCCACCTCAAAAGGTGGTTGTGAGGATTAAGCGAGATGATGTATTTATAACAACACATCACTTACAAAGTAGGAAGTGTAGACTGCTGTGGGCTTTGCTGCGTTCATCCAAGGTCGCACCGCTAAGTCATCGTTGAGCTCGGTTTCCAGCCCAGATGTTTCCAGCCAGATGTGCTCTGCTCTTGGCCTTTTATTTTATAGTTGCTGCATCAGTTCATAGCAAACATTTCATGGAAACTGGGCCATGTGGTTAGTTTTAGGTTTGCTGTAATGAAGAGCGCCCTGGGTGGAGGCAGAATTTCTGGGTTTGAGGTCAGAATCCACTGTCTTGTTTGTGTGTGTATGACAGTTTTCATGCATGCTTTCCATGTGGGGTTTGGAACAAACTGATGGGCAGTTTTGGCTCTTCATAACACAAAGTGGGGCTCATCGCATAGTTATATACAGCTTTGAAAATACCACTCTGTACTTCTGATGCATGTGATCATTTCAGGGTTCTGAGACCACCCCAACTCATTTGCCCATCATTATGGGACCTCTGAGTTTCCGGGCAAAGTGATAATCTGAGCGGGCAGTCGGTAGTGTGTGGGTGTCCCTGAAAAGTACTAAGTGTTCTCCTCACTTGTTCCCAAATACTCATCTCATAATGATGCACTAATACATGCCATTATTGGTGTTTGTGTCATTTTTGGATTTTGAGGTTGAAGTTGAAGAGAGATGACAGTTTAATTCTTAGCTCCGCTCTTAAAAACTATGGGATTCTGAACAAATTTCTTAACTTTAGTGAGTGCCAGTTATATCATCTGTAAAGTGTGGATGAGAATAGTATCTCTCTCCTTGTGTGTTAATAATGGTGCCTGCAAAATGACTAGATAACACATGTAAAATGATCAGACAGTTTTGGGCATCTAGTAGGTGCTCAATAAAAAGTGGGTATTCTATCCCAGTGATCATGAGCACGAAGAATTGTGTCTGTTGTATTTGTGGAGAGTCTACTGATGAGAAGTGTATCCTTCTGCCTGTGTTGCTGTAGGTGCAGAATGTGATTTAAGCCAAATGCATGGCGGTGTAGCCTGGCCAGCTGTTTACACATTCAGATTCAGCCTCAGCAGAAATAGCCTAGCCATGAATTCACAAGAAACTGCTGAGAATTCAGGATCTGAGCTCACTGCTGGGATTAATTTCTTTTCAACAGACTGACTGTCTAGAGAATGTCCATGATGCTATAAATGAAAACATATGTTAGTATAACCAATGGCAGTGGGGGAATGGGAAAGCAATGATGGGATATTCAGGAACCATTTCATGGAGAAGAACCACTAGCTTGGCTGTAGCTGGGGCAAAGAAAAAGACATATTTACTACAAGATCCTTTTGTGGCATCTTCCTCTTTTTTTTTTTAAAGGTTATTTTGCATTGAAAAACAAAGGAAGAATTTTTTACTTGTAGGAGCAATTTGTGAAACAATGAACTTCCATAACCTGAGAATGTGGCTTCATTTGAGAAATGAGATTTTGGGTAAAACAACAGTAGGGAGGGAGGTCTCTTTTTAGGGCCCCTTTGGCCACCTTCAGATAAGCTCAATGAATAGCCAAGACAAAAAAATTGTAGGCAGTGTTGTTAAACTGGCATTTTTCTTGTAAATGTAAAAGTGGTTGCTGTGGCCGGGCACGGTGGCTCACGCCTGTAATCCCAGCACTTTGGGAGGTGGAGGCGGGCGGATCACAAGGTCAGGAGATCGAGACCATCCTGGCTAACATGGTGAAACCCCGTCTCTACTAAAAATAGAAAAAAAAATAGCCGGGCATGGTGGCAGGCGCCTGTAGTCCCAGCTACTCGGGAGGCTGAGGCAGGAGAATGGCGTGAACCCAGGACGCGAAGCTTGCAGTGAGCCGAGATTGCGCCACTGCACTCAAGCCCGGGCAACAGAGTGAGACTTCATCTCAAAAAAAAAACAAAAACAAAAACTAGTGGTTGCTGTGTTGTGAAATACAGTGTTTTGCCGATACCTTAAAATATTATGAAACAATGCTCTTTTTAATTGTATTTGCCTTCATGGGTTGGTTTTGAAAGATGTTAGTAATATGCATAAGATGGAAAATATATTTTGTTTGTCTTTTTTATAGTTCCCCTACCTAGCAGATTTAAAAGTTAGCAAAGGCTAAGATCATACCTTCAACTTTCTTAATAAAACAGAGACCCTTTTGGAAATCTGATTCCTAGCTCATGACTGTGCTTGACCTTTGTGGATTTCTTGTACTGTATGTCAGGCAGAGCTCATGTGGGAAGTTCTCTTATGACTGCAAGAAAAGGAAGCGTAGTAGAAACATGTAGCTGGAACTGTAGGCCATTGTGTGCGCAGTCAGCCTCCCTTCCCAGCCCCCAAATCCAGAACAATCTGTCTGAACATTAGAAACACCAGTAAACGTTAAAGCAACAACCCTTCTGGTGGGCCATTTGGCAACTGGTCAAAAATCTTAAGAATGTGCACAGCTTTGTTCCAGCAGGTTCGCTTCTAGGAGGTGCTCTTACAGAGCCGGTAGAAATGAAATGCCCATCCAAAGATGTTCGTGAAAGTGTGGTTAATGATCAAAGAAAATCATAGGTCCACCTAAGTTACGGTTCATCATTCTATACAGGTATTAAAATGTTGATAAACATTTGTTAGGAATGAAAGTGAATAGGGACGTTGTGCTGTATTTTAGGTAATGAATCAGTATTTAAAATTCGAGGTTTTTAAAAAAGTTATCAATTCTGAATTCATGAAATTAAGTGAGATCTGTGAAATATATGTGCGATGGGGAGAAGAATGGTGGTTATCAGAGGCAGGGGAGAGGGGAAAATGGGAGTCGTTTAATGGATACACAGTTAGTTTTGCCAGATGAAGATGTTCTAGAGAGGATGGTGGTGATGGCTGCACCACTGTGACAAGTGTGCTTAATGTTATTGGTCTGTACCTTTAAAAATGGTAAATTTTTGTGTTATGTGCATCTTACCACTTTTTTTTTTTTTCTTTTTTTTGGAGACAGAGTTTCACTCTGTCACCCAGGCTGGAGTGCAGTGGCGTGATCTCAGTTCACTGCAACCTCCACCTCCCAGGTTCAAGTGATTCTTGTGCTTTGGCCTCCCGAGCAGCTGGGATTACAGGCATATGCTACCATGCCTGGCTAATTTTTGTATTTTCAGTAGAGATGAGATTTCACAGTGTTGGCCAGGCTGGTCTCAAACTCCTGGCCTCAAGTGATCCACCCGCCTCAGCCTCCCAAAGTGCTGGGATTACAGGCGTGAGCCACCACACTTGGCCTTACTACAGTTTTTTTTTTTTTTTTTTACAAGGAACAATAATAAAAAGAATGATAAATAATAACAATAATTTTCAAAGTATATATGTGGATATATATATATATATATATATATATATATATATATATATATACCGAAAGATTTCCCTTCTGAAGGAAAGTTTGGTTTTATTTATAATTATTTCAGTATACATCTCTAAAAGATCAAGCGTTCTTCAACATAATCACTATTCCCTCGTCACACTTCAGATACTAAAATTTTCCAAATATCATTGAATACAAAGGAAAACTTTGTGATTAAAAAACACAGCATTTTAATCAACTTAACTCAAGCATTTTTGGAGATGGACTCATCTGTGTATTTAAAACAACACTAGTCTTGGCAGTGTCAATAATCTGGTACGATGGAAATGTGTTCTGGAAGCTTTTGGACCTGGTAGGATTTTATGAAGGGAGAGAGGGAATGTGATAGGATTTGCTAATCTTTCTCACTGACACGTCTAATTTTGTCAAAAATACACATTCTTCTTTTCCTCGTCTGTTTTGTTACCTTCTCCTCATTCTGTACGCCCTTCTTTCTGCACTATCTATTATACATCTGTTTGAATCCCTCTTTAAGAAGTAGAACCCTGAGGCTGGGTGCAGTGGCTCATGTCTGTAATCCCAGCACTTTGGGACGCCAAGGTGGGTGGATAACAAGGTCAGGAATTTGAGACCAGCCTGACCAACATGGTGAAACCTGTCTGTACTAAAGATACAAAAATTAGCTAGGCATGGTGGCATGTGCCTGTAATCCTAGCTACTTGGGAGGCTGAGGCAGGAGAATCACTTGTATCCTGGAGGCGGAGGTTGTAGTGAGCCGAGATTGCACCACTGCACTCCAGCCTGGATGACGGAGCAAGACTCCATCTTGAGGGGGAAAAGAAAAAAAAGTAGGACCCTCATTGATGTGTGGCTACAGTGGAGATATCCAAGCTAAAACTTCTGATCTATTTGCTACTATGTTTTATGTTGAAAACAACGCATAGATGTGAAGTCACGCGTGTGTTAAATAGCTTGATGTAGCCATTCCACAGCGTGTACATCTATCAAAACATCATGTCGTACACCATTGATATATATAATTTTTTTTTTGAGATGGAGTCTCGCTCTGTTGCCCAGGCTAGAGTGCAGTGGCACGATCTTGGCTCACTGCAAGCTCTGCCTCCTGGGTTCACGCCATTCTCCTGCCTCAGCCTCCCGAGTAGCTGAGGCACCCGCGACCGTGCCCGGCTAATTTTTTTGTATTTTTAGTAGAGATGGGGTTTCACCATGTTAGCAAGGATGGTCTCAATCTCCTGACCTCATGATCCACCCGCGTCAGCCTCCCAAAGTGCTGGGATTACAGGCATGAGCAACCACACCCGGCCTGTAATTTTTACTTGTCAATTTAAAAAGTAAACTTAAAGAAAAAACATAAATAGAACATGAGAAGGACAGGTCATGAAACCTTTCCAGACTCCCTGTACTTTTAACTCTGAAGAATATTTAGAGTTTATGCAATCACTGCCTGGCATAGAGTTATATCAAAATGTCCTGGTAATACACCAGACCACGTGAGCATCGTGTTTGCTAATTTGTGACCTTGAATAGGTATTGTTTAATTTGATAAAGTTTCCAGGAGTATAGATTGAGGTAAAAGATCTGAATAGTGGCAAAGATGATGGGAAAAATCAGTTGGGTGCTGTCACTCATGCTTGTGATCACAGCATTTTGGGAGGCCGAGGTTGGAGGATCTCTTGAGGCCAGGAGATCAAGAGCAACCTGGGCAACATAGAGAGACTACATCTCTATTGTGGGGAAAAAAAAAAGCCAAGGTCAATTGTTCACTGTTTTCTGAGGCTCTTTCATCCTCTGCCTGACATCTAATTTCTTACCCTCTTGATGAGATGACAAATTCTAGATCAGGCAACCCAGGAATGCTGTCATCTGGTAGGATCCTTCATATGTATTTATGTGATTTTATTTGGTAATTGAATTTGAGAATTTAAAATGCTCTTGATTTCAGATTTACCTAAAAAATCATCAGGGCTGGGCCTGGTGGCTCACGCCTGTAATCCCAGCACTTTGGGAGGCCAAGGCGGGAGGATCGCTTGAGCTCAGGTGTTTGAGACCAGGCTGGGCAACATAGTGAGACCCTGTCTGTCTCTACAAAAAATAAAAAAAAATCTGAGTGTGGTAGGATGTGCCTATAAACACAGCTACTCCAGCGGCTGAGGTGGGAGGATTGCTCGAGCCTGGGAGGTCGAGGCTGCAGTGATCCATGGTTGTGACACTGCATGCCACTGTCACCCCTGGGCAACAGAGCAAGACCCTGTCTCAAAAATAGATATGTATATTTTTATATTCTCTCTCTATGTGTATATATAGAGTATATGTATATAGAGTATATATATAATACTCTCTATATAGAGTGTACATATCTATAAAGTGTGTATATATACACACATATATACGTGTGTGTGTGTGTGTATCAGCAGCTTGCATTTACTAGTTTTTAAGTGAGCCTTAGAAATGTCCTTAGGTGGCTCCCAGCATGTCACTTGGGGCTTAAGTGCAGCCTGTCTTACTGCTCACATGTCCCTGTGTTGGGCCTCCCTCAGGCTTGGCTCCAGAGGTTTCACCGTGAGCAGGGGACCAGTGTTTTGCCCCCCAGGTTTCCTGGCTGGTGAGCTGGCACCATCTTCACAGAGGCTTACAGTGTTTGATTATAAAAATGGCAGTGTTCAATTTTTAAAATGCATATTCCAAGTTGTCTTTTTTCCTAAATATTCCTAATTACATTTGATTTTTTTTCCAAGATGGTTGCTTGGAGCTTGACTTATTGCATGCTTGAGAGAAAGAGAAGGGGACAGAGGTTGTTGGAGTAAGTCAGGTGGAGCTTGGCTTAAACATCAGGATCCAAGATTCAGGTCGGATGAAGGGAAGGTGGCCTGTAGAATAGTCACGGTGCTTGAGAAATGGGAAATTTAAAGATACCTGAAAAGTGTGTGTGTGTGTGTGTGTGTGTGTGTGTGTGTGTGTATTGAGAAGACCTTGGGGCAGTTACCCTCTGAGCCTCAGTTTCCATGTTGATAAAACAAGGGAATCGGAATAATTGATTCTTCAAAGTTCTTTCCTTATTTAACCCACTGGGGCTCTGGACTATATTAAATGTGTAAAAATTGCATCTGCTAGGTGGGCGGCCCATTTCAAGGAAAATTCTAGAATAAGTAAGCCTTACATTGGGTAAATACAAGTTTTAAAAAAGCACACACACACGCCCCTCGTCAAGTTTCCTAATACAAGTTTTACTTCACAGTCTGCTTATAATTCTAGGTAGGTGCTGCACAGCATGAAGAAGGTATTATGTGTTGAGTTTTGTTGTATTTAGTAACCCATTGCTCATCTGACTGTAAAGTCTGTCTTATATTTCAAGGTGTTACTAATCATGGGTTCACACACCCCTCTGTTGCCTATTGATAGGTGAAACACTGCTTCATTTAACATTTTTCTTTGTTGTTCTTCAGTTTATTCCATTTTGGTATAGTCAGCTTCATCCTCACTGAGTTTAGCCTTTGCAGATATCCATTCCTCCCTGGTTACCTCTGCAGCATCTGAAAGACCCAGTCAGTGATACACAGAGGTCTGGAACTCAATCCAGCTCAACTCTGGGCCTGTGAAAGCAAAACAATGGGGACAAATCCAGCTGGCCCACGAGCACTTGCTTTATAAAGCTGCCCACACACTCTTCACTCTACTTGCTTTTTGGTCCCCTGTTTTTAGAGTTCCCTGATGCTTTAGCTAGAGGGGCTTTTTCATGTTGTTTCAAGGCTGTGAGTTCTAACACGTAAGCTGCGTTCTGGCTTTAGCCACTCTGTCCTGCCAAGAAGCTGACCACTGTTTGAAATCAACTTCTCATCTGCTTCTCGTCAGGTTTTCCAGAGCCCAGAGAACAGTGTTGAGTCAGGCCACAGATAGGATACAAAGGCCAGGACACAATTCCAAATCCCAGGGGGCTGGAGAGAGTCAGGGCCTTCAGTGTCAATCAGTTAAACACCGAGGCAGGAGGAAGGGACATTGGGAGACTTGCAGGATCCTGGACTTGTGTTCACATTTAATTCTGCTCTGTGTAGGGGTGTGTATTAGGACTGCAGGATGGACAGGTGTGACAGCTCTATGGGAGGAAGGGGAAACTCTGGTGTCCGCATCCTATGGGAATGCACAGTGCATTGCTGCGTGGTGACAGCTGTTGATGGGGCACGCTGCTCATGCAGACACTGGAAGGAACCACTGCTGTGGTCCCATGCTTTGCTTTTCTAGGTGAGGCCTGAGGCAGCGAGAGAGGAGATGCCCGGGCCAGGCTCCCACAGAGAAGTGCTGGCAGAGCTCATGTGTGGGCGACCCCTGGCCCTGAGCTGTGGGTGACTACAGCAACTGGGGGATTTGTCAGGACCTGGCCCATCCTTGGGGGAAAGAGTGTTGCCTTCCAGAAGGACATCCGGGTGTCCGTTCACCTTGACCTCCCATTGGATGCAACCTTTTGGTCCATAGCATCTTACTCCCCTCCTCCCTTCGTTGACCAGATCACATTCCTCTCTATAGATTTCAGTCAGCTCCCACTGGTATGCATGTCTGTGTACTTTTTTTTTTTTTTTGCCTAGAAAGTTTGCTTTGGGCTTTGAATACAATGGGAAGGGTGGATAAATTATGTGTGGGAAGGAATTTATGGTGTCATAGGAAGAACATTGACTGATGTTTGTAAAAATATGGGAGTTTGTAACATAGATGATATCTTTTTGATACATGTAACATGCTGTGTAGGTGTGGAGGAAAAGCAAGAGAAAGAAGCAAGGCATGCTTCGAATTTCTCTGTACAGATGATTCCTGTTAGTGCGTTTTGCGTTACAACCAACACTCTCCTGAGCTAATAGAGCGAGAACTCACTGTTGCTGTGGGGAGGGCATCAAGCCATTCATGAGGGATCCACTCCCATGACCCAGACACCTCTCACTAGGCTCCGTCTCCAACTCTGGGGTCACATTTCAGCATGAGATCTGGAGGGGACACCCAATTCCTTTAACTGCCCTCCTTGTGCTAGTTTTGCTTCCTATAGGTTGATACTGTGCCCACCCCCGCCCCCCCAACTTTTTTTTTTGAGATGGAGTCTTACTCTGTCACCCAGGCTGGAGTGCAGTGGTGTGATCTCAGCTCACTGCAACCTCCACCTCCCGGGGTCAAGTGATTTTCCAGCTTCAACCTCCCAAGTAGCTGGGACTGCAGGTGTGTGCTACCGCGCCCTGCTAATTTTTTTTTTTTTTTTTTAAAGAAACATGGTTTTACCATGTTGTGTAGGCTGGTCTTGAACTCTGGAGCTCAAAGAGATCCACCTGCCTTAGCCTCTCAAAGTGCTGGGATTACAGGCATGAGCCACTATGCCTGGCAATACTGCATTCTTTTATTTGCCGACTTTTCTTCTTCCTCCAGGCTCCAGACATGTAATGTACAACACCCTCAGCTGGTTTTTGGGACACTTAAGTGGCTGGAGGGCAGCCTGTGAATATGGTTTTTCTCTGTGTTGGGTGAGGTGATCATGTGTTTTTCTATTGAAGATCATGGAAAGCTGAGGTCATGAAGGAGACTCGCAAAGACTGGCAGTTAAAATGGACAGAAATGAAAGGATCGCATTACAGGTTTCATAGAAACTGGTTATTCCAGGCATATGTTAATGAAATTCACGCATTTTGTGTTTATTGGAATACCGAATGGTCATATTCACTAGCATTGAATTAATGTGTTAAAGTGAGGTTTTGATGACATTAGTTGCACATGACTTTTAGTTGAAAATTTTTTTCAAGAAGTAAAATTAAAGCAATGGAAATAGAGCCAGTAATCTGTCAGGCCTGATCTCTGTCAGACCCGAAGTTAACTTACCAGATCATTCAAATTACTGTTCATTAGAGTGTGGAGGTATCGGGCCTGTTTTGGAGAAGCTAAGTATTACAGTGGCCTGGTATAAATGTTGACTGTAACATTTATAAAGAGGAGTTAGCACGTCATTTTACTAAGTCTCTGCCCCTTTTACAGTGTCACTTTCCTAATACAGTTTCATCTTAAACATTATTATTATTATTATTATTATTGTTTTTTGGGACAGAGCTTTGCTCTTGTTGCCCAGGCTGGAGTGCCGTCGCGCAATCTCGGCTCACCGCAACCTCCACCTCCCGGTTTCAAGCGATTCTCCTGCCTCAGCCTCCTGAGTAGCTGGGATTACATGCTGTGCCACCATGCCTGGCTAATTTTTGTACTTTTAATAGAGATGGGGTTTCTCCATGTTGGTCAGGCTGGTCTCAAACTCCTGACCTCAGGTTATCTGCCCGGCTCGGCCTCCCAAAGTGCTGAGATTACAGGCATGAGCCACCACGCCCGGCCACACTACTTTTATTTATAATGTTTATGTTTAGAAAGAATCCCTATGCTTATATTTAGAAAGCTAGGAAGGTGGAATGGGAATAATTGTATTCATAATGTTTTATTTCTGTTATTAAAAAACTTGAAATGTGAGAAAATATTTGTCATTACTCTTGTATCATCTTTTGTACTTGGATCTATTTTCAAGACTGTTCTCAAAAGAGAAAAAAGTTTATGCTCACTATTGAAAATTTGTAAAATAACGAACATAATGAAGAAAATAAAAATCATCCATGATCCAGTGTGCAATTTCAATACACAGTTTTTCAATTAGCAATTGCTCTTTGAAGCAATCTCTTCTAAGGAAATAGGTAGATCTGTGTGCAAAAATGTAGCCCAGTAGATGTTTAATAGTAGGTTATTGAGTAAACCATGGTACACCCATCAAGTAATATGTTCTCTGAATATTAAATGATATTTATCTTAGAATTGATCTCACATTTGTGAATCTTAACCTTTTATATTGTGACATCCTTCAATTGATTTTCCTTTTCCCATTTATTTTTAGTGCTCCCCCCCCAACAACATTTTATTAGTTTTTCCAGCTAGTTTGGAAATACAATGACTTGTTATAACCGTTGGAGCATCCTTGATTCTAACTTTTACTAAGTTACTAATTTACTGGTGGCCTTGCACAAATCACCTTCCATTGTCATTGAATAAGTCACCATTCATTGAGCCCCAAGCACTGGGCAAAAGTGTGTTAGGCAGAGGGCACAAGGCAGGCATAGCCAGACTCCCACAGAGCTTTGGGTCATCTACCTCTGCCCTAATGTGCTAACCTGCAAAACGGTGCTAATACTATCTACCTCATTTCCCACAAGCTATTTAGAGATTAGCTGGGGAGATGCTCTTGGCAGTATGGCCATACCTCCTCCCTCAGGGCCCCCAATCCTCAGTTTCTCTTTCTGTAGTTTGTTAACCTTGGTCAACTGTGGTTCAAAAATGTTAAAGGGAAAATTCCAGAACTAAGCAATTCCTAGGTTTTAAATTGCATGCCATTCTGAGCAGCGTGATGGACTCTCATGCCATCTCACTTCGTCCCGCCAGGGACATGAATCCTCCTTTTGTCCAGTGGATCCATGCTGTCCGTGCTCCCCGTCCGCCAGTCACTCAGGAGCTGCCTTGGTGCTCAGACCGACTGTCGTGGCACCACAGGGCTTGTGTTCAAGTCACCCTTATTTGACTCTTGTGCCCCAAGGCACAAGAGTAGTGATGCTGGCAATCTGGATATGCCAAAGAGAAGCCATGAAGTCCTTCCTTTAAGTGAAAAAGCAGAAGTTCTCTACTTAATAAGGAAAAGAAAAGCTCAAATACCAAGGTTGCCAAGAATGCATTCTATAGTAAGAATTCTATAGTAAGAATGAATGGTAAGAATACTATTGATTAGTAAGAATTACTATTCAATAGTAGGAATTTTTATTCTATAGTTAGAATTCTTACTATTCAATAGTAATAATAAGAATTACTAATATCGAATAGAATTACTATTCGATAGTAATCATTATTATTCTGTAGTTCGAATTCTTACTATTCATTCTATAGTCTCAGGCATTATCCCATTTGGGAAGTCCACGCCACCTCTGTACCTCTGACATGGTTACCGAACCTTACAAACTGTATTCTTAGTACTTGCTTATCTAGCATGGTACTCAGCCAGGCTTTGGGCCATTAAAGGCAAGATCCTGGTCTTAGTTAACTTTGTAACCCAACTAGGTGCCAGTGGTGTTCCCGGCCCACACTAGTGCTCGTAAAGTGTTTGTGGAAATGAACTGAAGGCACTTAGGAAATTATACAGTACAAAGCATGTGAAGGTGGTATTAATGAGGACATCTCAGTGTGGTGTCTTGACTCCCTGGGTATGGCCAGGTGTTATTGTTGGACAACAGATTGTGATATTTTTGTGTTAGCGATGCTGGTTAGTGCATGACATACACCCACCCACCCACACCCCTCCTTCCTGAATTTTTTTTTTTTTTTTTTTTTTTTTTGAGACGGAGTCTCGCTCTGTCGCCCAGGCTGGAGTGCAGTGGCGGGATCTCGGCTCACTGCAAGCTCCGCCTCCCGGGTTCACGCCATTCTCCTGCCTCAGCCTCCCAAGTAGCTGGGACTACAGGCGCCCGCCACTACGCCCGGCTAATTTTTTGTATTTTTAGTAGAGACGGGGTTTCACCGTTTTAGCCGGGATGGTCTCGATCTCCTGACCTCGTGATCCGCCCGCCTTGGCCTCCCAAAGTGCTGGGATTACAGGCGTGAGCCACCGCGCCCAGCCCTTCCTGAATTTATATACGACATGTGAGATCATATCCAGCTGTTTAGACACACACACAATTAGGTGATTTTAACTGTGCTTCTCTGAGCTACACCCATCCCTTGTTGCTTAACTGTAAAAATGTTTATTTAATTTCTACTTGCAACAACTCATGTATATGGGGCTTCTGTTCTGCTGGAAGCTCTGGATCCTGTGGCGTGGGGATGCCGTCACAGACTTCACAGTCTGATAGAGGAGGCAGCTGATATAAGTGCCACCTCCATATGTCAAGCTGCATGTCAGATGGTACGCTGGGACTAGTTGATTCTCTGTGACTTGCCGCAAAAGTTCCTTGCCACAGTAATCCCTTGTTTCCCAAGGGTGATGTAGATCATCCTATGTGACAGTAACAATAGGCTAAAAACAGCCAAAGGACTTGAAAGCGCTTTTTTTTCCCATTTTTTTTTCCTAGAGTGACTGAATAATGAGGGCAAAATGGGTGTCAGTGGGCATGAAATGAATGAATGCCATTTGCACCAACCTGTTTTAGATGAGGAGGGTGGGACCTGGTGAGGAGTGACCACTGGGTGAGCATTCTGTGTCAATGGATTTCCAGCTCACATTGGCAGCGATTTGTACATTATTTCATCCCATTCCTGTGTGATCCATCTGAAAAGCCGCGAGACAGAGGGACACACATTCATTTTGGTGTCAAAGATCTGGGCTTCAGTCCCAGTTCGGCCACATACTAGCTGTGTGGTCTTGGGCAGGTTTGCTCTCTGGGCCTCTGTCCTGCTCTGTAAAGCAGGATTCACAATAGTGACCTTGTCCTTTGGAGGAAGTAGGAGGTGAAGTCCCTGGGCCCAGCTCAGCGTCCACAGCAAACTCCTATCAGGCCTGATCACCCTGGTGTGAACATTAACCCAGAACTAGCTTACTTACTTGCTCTGCCAAGAAGCAAGAGTTCTGGGTTGGTCTGAACTACTCTTTGGAAAAACTACTTTTGGCAGATTTCAAACCAGTTCCTAAAATTTCCATGTATTACATTTAGATTAAAGAGGAAAAAACAACCCCAAGATGTTCTTTAATTATCAATAAGACACACATTGAAAATTCTACACGGATGGCATGAGGCCGGGCGTGGTGGCTCGCACCTATAATCCCAGCATTTTGGGAGGCAGAGGTGGGTGGATCGCTTGAGGTCAGGAGTTCGAGACCAGCCTGGCCAACATAAGTGAGACCCCATCTCTACTAAAAATACAAAAAATTAGCCGGGTGCGGTGGTGCACGTCTGTAATCCCAGCTACTCAGGAGGCTGAGGCAGGAAAATCTCTTGAACCTGGGAGGTGGAGGTTGCAGTGAGCCAAGGTCACACCACTGTACTCCAGCCTGGGTGATGGTCAAGACTCCCATCTCAAAAAAAAAAAAAAAAAAAAAGGGGTGGTATACAAGTGCAGAGAAAGGGGTTATTATTTCACCTAGGTGTTAAATGAATAGCACAGTAAGAAAAAATATTTTTACCTAAACGGTTTCAGCCACAGGCTAAATCTGGACAAGGGCCACCACTATGTTTTTCTTAAAGATACACTCACACTCTGACTTAACCCTTTGATACCGTGGCAGCATGGTGCAGACTGACTGCAGTTGTCTTTGGGGCGTGTCTTCCTGCTTCACAGTAACTGCTTTCACTGCTTTGAGTAAACTTGGCCTCTGCACCTCTGTCTGGTTATTGGCTGGATGTGGAAAGGGCCGGTTGTGTCGGCCGAGCCCATTTTCCCTTCGGTGGTGTTGTAAATGCTTTCTGTAGCCTGTCCAGACTGTTTTGCTCAAACCTGTTCTTGACTTTTCTGCTGGTCTGCTGCTGTGGTTGGGGGTTGCAGACGCTCCCACCCCCCCATATCCTTCCCAAGGTTGGACTCTCGGCCTATGGAGGGCTGCTGATGAGGCCCGTGGATCCTTCTCAAATCCAGTTTCTATATCCTTATTGGAAAATGTTCCAGCCCCGTAGGTCCACACAAGCTGAAGGGATGTGCCTCACAGTTCAGAAGCCTTCAGGCAAGGTCAACAGAAACACGACGGGAATCCAGACAGTGTATGTCCCCTCACCCTGCAGGCGCAGCCGCGGACCTCAGGCCTTTGCCTTCCCACCGAGGACTGCAGGACGTGCTGGGTTCCTGGGGCCTCTGATCCTGGGCCTTGTCCAGTGATGTCTGACTGCTGTCTACTCACTTTTGGTTAACCTGCAGTACACCTCATATCCTGTTTCAAAATGAAATTGGAAGGTGGGGCTCCCTCAGGGGCAGCAAAGCTACAGCTTCAAGGCCAGACACGGATACTTAAAAAAATCTTCTAAAATTGTGGTAGAGTACACATAACATACAATTTATCATCTTCACCATTTGCAAGGGCTCAGTTGGGCAGCATTACATACAGGCACATTGTTCGACCTCCAGAACTTTTTCACGCTGCAGAACGGAAACTCTGTATCCATTTACATTTTTAACTGGTTGAAGATGGAAAAAGAAGGCTATTTTGGGGACATGTGAAAATGACATGAAATTCACATTTCAGTGTCCAGAGATGAAATTTTATTGACTAAAGTCCTGCCCATTTGTTTTGGGGTTGCCTGTGGGGGCTCTTGTGCCACAGCAGCAGAGTCAAGACCAAGTGGACCACAAAGCTGAAATTTGTGCTGTCTGGCCCTTTGCAGAAAAAGGTTGCCGTTGCCTGGAATAAATAGGTTTGCATGTATGGAGGATTCAGCTGAAGATAAGGCCATGGGGTTGGGTCAGCAGGAAGAGATACTGGCCAGCAGAAACCTCTTCCCACTCCCCAAAGCACATCTACGCTGACTAAAGATTCTGTTTCTCCCTTCTCTTTTATTTTTTGAGATGGAGTCTCGCTCTGTCACCCAGGCTGGAGTGCAGTGGCGCGATCTCAGCTCACTGCAACCTCCACCTCCTGGGTTCAAATGATTCTCCTGCGTCAGCCTCCTGAGTACCTGGGATTACAGGCGCCCACCAACACGCCCGGCTAATTTTTGTATTTTTAGTAGAGACAGGGTTTCATCATGTTGGCCAGGATGGTCTCGAACTTCTGACCTCAAGTGATCCTCTTGCCTTGGCTTGCCAAAGTGCTGGGATTACAGGTGTGAGCTACTGCATCTGGCCTTTCCCTTCTTTGTGTGTGTGTGTGTGTGTGTGTGTGTGTGTGTGTGTGTGTATACAGCTTCCCAAGTAGCTGAGACTACAGGTATGTGCCACCACGCTCGGCTAATTTTTATTTATTTTTATTTTTTTATTTTTATTTTTATTTGTAGAAACGAGGTTTCGCCATATTCCCCAGGCTGGTCTTGAACTCCTGGGCTCAAGGGATACTCCTGCCTTGGCCTCCCAAAGTTCTGGGATTACAGGCATGAGCCATCATGCCCAGCCTCTCCCTTCTGGTAGCTGAGTTAAGGGACTCTGTGGATGGCTTTATTGTGCAGCTATAGTATTTAATAAATATTGGTAATTTACTGGCTTTGTTTTAATATTAAAATTATGGTAAAATGAACTGCCCTGACCCTTGATATGCTTGTTTCTACCCTACCTTCCCTCAGTCAGTCAACCTCATCTAAATATATCTCCCTGCAGTTCTAATGGTGATCTTTCTAGGTGAATGTCATGAGCTGCTTTTTGATGCTCTTTCATTATCTGTGAAAAAGGATAAAAGTAGTTAAGTGGATAACTTAAGTATAAACAAAATCTTCATGGATTCTTTTAGCAGGAAAATGAGCTTGAATTGAGTGGTCATTTCTGTTCATTAAGTTCAGATTTTGAGGCCCTCCCCGCCAAGATGATTCTAGTTACTAGTGCTTACATTCGTGTACTGTGTTCTAAGCCATTTGGCATCTCAACAGACTCATCCACAGCAGCCCTATGAAATTGATGGGGCAGATATTTCTATTTGCTTTTGGCAAATGAGGACATGAGGCTCATGAGGGGCCTGTCAGGCCCAGAAACACTGAACCTTGTCCCACTCTTGGGTCAACATAATATTTAGCTTTCAGTGACTGCTCATTCTTGACCTTGTTGTTTGTCAAGGAAGGGGTTGGGGAAGAGAAAATTTAATTTGTTACTATTTTTCTTAACTACTGGGACTATATTGCCTGAGTGAGTGGTCGGGGGGTGTCAGCGAAGATGTTGGTTCAGGTAAGAATAAAATTCAGTTGTTATTTATTTAAGACTTACCATGGGCTGGGCCCAGTGGCTCACGCCTGTAATTCCAGCACTTTGGAAGGCCGAGGTGGGTGGATCACTTTGAGTTCAGGAGTTTGAGACGGGCCTGAGCAACATGTCTCTACTAAAAATACAAAATTAGCCGGGCTTGGTAGTGCACGCCTGTAGTCCCAACTACTTGGGAGGCTGAGGCCAGAGAATCACTTGAACCTGAGAGGCGGAGGTTGCAGTGAGCTGAGATCACTGAATCTAACTGAAAGGCTTTTGAGAATAGGTAATTTTATAGAAGGAGAAATGCAGTACATAAAATTGGCTTTATGTTTATCTTGAATACCAAGAAAATTGTTTTTCTTGGGTAAATTTAGGTGATTTTCCAGTGGTGCTTTCTTGCACATTTGACCATAGAAGAACATGTGTTAAGCCCATCCCTTCTCATTTGGTCAAGGTCCATCCTTGGTCTCTATGACAGTTGAATGAAGATTGAGCTGTTCACACATCCTCAGTAATATACAAGTAGTATATCCGTCAAAAGGGTTTTGTGCTTATTTTCCAAGAGCTCTCGGTGCTCTAAATTCTTTATATGAACATGTAAGATTGCACATCTGGTTTTAAATGTGGACATGGGCATTGTAGGGTCCTGGTTTTTAAACTATTCATGACTTACAATGCCTCAGCGTATCTTCCTTGGGAGAATTCATTTTGTTGAATGCTCATCCTGAGGACGCAGCTCCCTTCCTAGAAATGAGGTAGCTCCTGGCACCTTGAGAGTTCCTCTGTGTGCAGGAAACCGATGAGTTTGCAGATACCAGCTTCATGATAGCCTGACTGAAACTTGTTGAGGAGCAATGCAGGATGGTGAATATTTTCATGATCTAGATCAGTTAACTCATCCTGCACATGGCTAACTTTATGTCATGAGAACAGATTTCTTAGCCTGAGAATTGGGACAACTTAGAAATTGGGAAACTAAGCATGTATATCTTTTAATTTTTTTCTTTTCTCTCTTCTCTTCTAAATGGAACATTCACGCAAGGCAGTGTACAGAGATGGTGTGGTATACTGCAGAGAGCAGGGGCCCCGAGGGCAGGCCAGGGTACGAGTCTAGATGCCACCCTCTGAGCCATCGTTTCTTCACGGTTTTACATTGCTGTCCTCTGAATCAGAAATCATGATGTAAGACGAGGCGAATTGCAGTTGTGTGAGCTCTCTTTTCATGAAGACGATTATACATTTTGCTGATGTCTCAATAATTTCCCAAGTCAGGATGACAGAAGAGCTGAAAGCAGCCTACTTAGGATTATTCAAGGAAATGAAAGAACTGTTTCCTTCATTCATAAACACCTGAGAGTCTGCTCTGGCTTAGACACTACGCTAGTTGTTGAGAAACAACTCAACAAATTAGGCCGAGAATCTGCCCTAATGAAATCTAGAGTTTGGAAGAGAGAACACATCTACAAACCAGCACACGGTGACGACTTTTTTCCAAGGACCCACTTGGCGTCATTTGCTAAATGCTCCTCTTAACGGTGGTGAGTCTTATCTCCTCTTACATTGACAGTACTGACAAGTATACATATATATATTTTTAAATTTTACTTTAAGTTCTGGGATACATGTGTAGAACGTGCAGGTTTGTTACATAGGTATACATGTGCCATGGTGGTTTGCTGCACCCATCAACCCGTCATCTAGGTTTTAAGCCCCACATGCATTAGGTATTTGTCCTAATGCTGTCCCTGCCCTTTCTCCCCACCCCTCGACAGGCCCCAGTATGTGATATTCCCCTCCCTGGGTCCATGTGTTCTCATTGTTCAGCTCCCACTTATGAGTGAGAACGTGTGGTGTTTGGTTTTCTGTTCCTGTGTTAGTTTGCTGAGAATGATGGTTTCCAGCTTCATCCATGTCCCTGCAAAGGGCATGAACTCATTCTCTTTTAAGGCTGCATAGTATTTATGGTGTATATGTGCCACATTTTCTTTATCTAATCTATCACTGATTTGATAGACTGTATATCAGTATATCACTGATTTGGGTTGCTTCCAAATCTTTGCTATTGTAAATAGTGCTGCAATAAATGTACGTGTGCATGCTTCCTTATCATAGAATGATTTATAATCCTTTGGGTTTATACCCAGTAATGGAATTGCTGGGTCAAATGGTATTTCTAGTTCTAGATCCTTGAGGAATCGCCATACTGTCTCAAAATACATTTTTTTTTCTTTTTCTTTTTGAGGTGTAGTCTCGCTCTGTCTCCCAGGCTAGAGTGCAGTGGTGCGATCTTGGCTCACTGCAACCTGTACCTCCTGGGTTCAAGTGATTCTCCTGCCTCAGCCTCCCAAGTACCTGGGATTATAGGCGCCTCCCACCACGCCAGTCTAGTTTTTGTATTTTTAGTAGAGATGGAGTTTCACCATGTTGGCCAGGCTTGCCTTGAACTCCTGAGCTCAGGTGATCCGCCCACCTCACCCTCCCAAAGTGCTGGGATTACAGGTGTGAGCCACCTCTCCTGGCCAAAATACATATTTTTTAAGTACCTCAAAATAGCCCTTTTGCACGCTAATGGAAAGCCCAACAGTCATTATGATAGAGAATAATCTTCAGTAAAAGATAAGGAGGAAATTTTAATTTGGGAACCCGTTCGTGAAATGCATACCCTTCTGTTTTCCCTCTGACTTCCTTGTCCTTTGTGTTTAGGAGCTTAAGGGATCCTTCTGTTTAAGTCACTAGGGGCTCAATATTAACGTGCAGATATGTGGGGAAAATGTCACTTGTTTGGTTGCAGTTTTGCCAGCTCTAAAATCAGTTGGTAGTGGCTGCCTGGAGTATCTTGTCCTGAAAGATTGGGAGTTTGAATTGAGGATCAAAGGGGGTGTCAGAGATTAGTGATGTCTTCTGTCAGGAGGGCTGGTTGCCATGGTTGCTACCCTGGCTTGAGCTCCTATCAGCTCACATTTCAGAGATGATTAGTGAGGATTATAAGGATTGGGCTCAGAGTGGGGCCATGGGGCAGAAAGAAGACACTGGCTGAACTATTCTGAACTCTTAATGGGCACCCAAAACAAGTATGTTCAATTTTGTCAAAAGCTAGAAGGGCCCTGGCCACACTTGTGTTAATGGAAAAACCAGACTCCATAAAATATTCTAAAGAGGTATATTCTGAGCGAGTATGAGAGACTGGGAAACGTAGTCTGAAGAGGTCCTGAGAAAGTGCGCCCAAGGTGGTTGGGTTACAGTTTGGTTTTGTATATTTCAGGGAGACAGGAGTGCAGGTGAAGACATGAATCAATACAAGGTTAGTATGCGTTGGTTTGCCCTGAAAAGGTGGGATATCTTGAGGCAGGGGCTTATAGGTGGATTCAGAGATTCTTCAATGTGTCATTGGTTAAAAGAGTAAAGCTTTGTCTAAAAATGTGGAGTCAGCAGAAAGGAATGTTTAAGATAAGGACGTCTGTTAACCAAGATACTGGGTCAGAGTCACCTGTAGGGATGTGGGACTTAATCCTTGTCTGTTTGGCCTTAGGTCCTTTGATGTCTTGCTGTCACAAAGAGTCTGTTTTGCGAATCTTATGATCTCTAGTTTAACATTAATGCTGGTCAGTTGTGCCTAAACTCCAAAAGGGAGGGGATGTAACGAGGTATGTCTAACCTCCCTTCCCATCCTGGCCAGGAATTCAGTTCTTAAGGTTCTTCTGAGGTCCCGTTAGCCAAGAGGCGTTTGTTCAGTTGGTGGAGGGCTTAGGAATTTCTTTTTAGTTTACACTGAAATGAGCTGTGCAAGGCCTGGGGCCTCATCTCTCTAACTTCTTGTCCACGGAAGCATCTGGCACAGTGGGCATTCAGTAAGCGTTTGTTGAAGTAACAGTGATGAAAATCATATTCTGTTGATAACATAGCTCGTGTGAAGCAGCAAATGCTATTTTGTGTGTAGAGAAATAGAAGGTCAGAGCCCACAATGAACTAAGCTCTGTGAGGGCCTCCAGGGAGACCTCCAAGAAGTTCAAGGTCACACAGTAGCGGGCCCAGCAGAGCAGGGATTTGAACCTAGGTTTGCCTCATAACAAAGCTCATCTTCTTTCCCCCACAAAAGGAAGTGTGAGAATGATGGCGGTCAATGACAGACTTAGCCACTTATAATCAGTTTTTGTTTAAAAATGACAACACCATGGTTTGACCTGGGTAGGGAGGAAGAAATGGAGTTTGCTAGGTCTGGCTGTTGACTGTGGTTGCTTCTGAGGGGACAGACTTTTCAGGGCAACCACCCTCTCCACCAGCATACAGAGATTGCTTTTTTAATCTAGGATTGCTTTTCTCGTCATACTTTGTCCCTATTCAGATGTACCTGTAGGCCTGGTTATTTTGTCTGTGTGATTGTTAGAGGAAAAAAGTGAAAAGATTTGAAAAATGATCAAGAAGAGCACGAGATATCCCCAGGTTATACAGAGAGATTCCCTGGAGGCTTTGTTGGCGCACAGGGCCATGCTTGGTTTAGAAAAGGCAGCGCGGGGCAGCGTGGGGCTCCTCCGGTTTCTCTTTGTCTGAAATGCTGAGTTTCACAGGCTCCTTACTGAGTTCAGATTTCCCTGGGGCAGAAGAGACTGAGGGAGGAAGGAAGGTTGCCGTTTATTTCATTGATTAATGGCAACAACTGCAATTACTTTTGCACCAACCTAATATTTCTACGATAATAGTTTTTTTTTTAACACAGCAAAAATCAGGGATTGAAAGTTTGAAACCTGAGCTTTTAGGCAAACTCCTCCCCTAAAAGTAAACAATGAGATAAACAGCAGCCTTTTAATGGAAAAAACTGCAATTACTTTTGCTCCAACCTAATAATTTACTTTCTGAAATCCTCCCCAGCAGACTTCCTAAAATCAAAGTGACCGGATGGTCCCATTGAGAGGATTTCAGTCTAAACATAAAACACTAGTAAACGATTACTAACCAGCTCCCAAGTTGGTGACCATCAAAAATCTCACATATTAAAAGCTGGTACCAGTATCCTTCAAGTAAGTGAAAACCTCCTTTAATATGTTAGGGTTTTATCTGGACATCAGGTAAATTTTGTATTCAGATCAGATCACTTTATTCTCAAGGTTTTAATTTAGGTCAGATAATAGATGCTTGGCTATAACACTATCTGTTTGTTCCTAAAGTAATATGATTGTATTAAAAAGTGTTCTTCAGCCATGCAATACTGTATTCATCTTGCCATCCTTGAGTGAGTCAGTGAATTATCTTGTGATACAGGACTGCATTTATCTGACAGATATCTTTTGAAAGTAACATGATATCTGTGAGAGGTCTGAGGCTGTGATTTCACTTTGGTTTTCTGTATGTGATTCTGTAATAAGTTAATGCCTTAACTTAAACTCTAATGTTACAGAATATCGTAAACACGAACAGATGAATTCAGATTCCTTTTCAAAAGTAGATTTGACACACTGAGCTATTTATGCATGGAATACATGATGTCAGAGATTTGCTTCCACATAGAATAGGTGGCAGTGAATGTGGGTAAGGAGAGAGAGAGAGAGAGAGAGAGAGAGAGATAATATTTATATATTTTTATATATATTCATATATATATATGTAGGTGAAACAGGATTGGCCATGAGTTGATGATTGTTGAAGTTAGGTAATGATTTGGTAAATATTTTAAAATATTTTATGAATTTTTAATAGGTTTAATTGTGTTTTCCTAAAGGCAAAATCTGACAAGCTTCTAGGGAGGAGATTGGCAGAATAGAGTAATTCCTAACATTGTTAGAGTTTGAAAGGAAATGGTCCCCCCACTTCTTTTCTCTTTCTCTCTTTTTTTTTTTTTTTTTTGCATCTCTGAAAGACTGAGCTGAACGATTGTGACAATTAGTTAGTATATAAAATGTCCCACTTTCCTGGTGAGTGGTTGACATTGGTGGCTAAGCAATTTCAGGCATGAGAAGAGAATAAACCTTTACTGATTAATGGTTGACTTGTGACCTCCTGGTCACTTTCTGGGCTGGCAGCAGCATGATTTGTGTAACATTTAAACATAGTTGAGAATCATAAAATATTCTTTTCATGCATTGATTTCTTAATGCATTTTTGAAGTGTTTTCATTAAGACTGGAAAAATTATGATCTGTGTGTGAAACTGACAAAGGTCGGCGGGGGTATGATGGATGTCATTATGGAAAGTCCTAAGTGATCATGGAAATCCCTTCTTCCTTTTTCTGAGGCATACAGGCAGATGGAATTCTGCCTTGTTTCATGTTGACATCTCTGCATGTTCATTCTGAGAGGCTCACAGGATGGCTGGCCTGGCTATCCCTGAGGGCTCATGGCCTGTCCCCAGAGGAATTAAGCATAGCTGAAGGCTAGCCTTCCCTCTATTGATGTAATTGATGAAATGAGGAAGCAAGATGCTAAGAACAAGACCCATTTCTCAATTATTGAGTGTTGTAGAGTCTCTGAAAAAGATATTTAGAAGCACCAGAGCCTGCTAATTTTGCCTGGGGTTTAGGATTTATATATAACCAATGAGACAGAGCAAGAATTCCCTTTTGGGCAATATGGTCTACTCTGCCCTGTTTATGGAGTTGTTGATTCATAATATTATGGCATAACAGTTGAAAAAAAGCAAAACACAAGATTATAGGTAAGACTTGATTACAAAAGCTATGTGATGATTTTGTACTGGTACAGACAAAAGAGAGGAGCTAAACAAATGTAAAAATAATTGGGTTAGGGTAGAGGGGATGTGGATAACTTTTTTTCTTGCTTAAAAGCATCTTTATTATTATATTGTTTTTACGTTTGGATTTTGTTTACAAAAGAACCAAAGTAAGTCATCTTCTTGGTATTCAAAAGTTCCAAAGATGGAATTTTCCCATCAGAGTGCGATGGTTTAAATAGAAGTTAGGTTCCTAGGAAGAATAAATGAACCATAATATAATTGCATAGGATGTAGAATATCCATTGCTTTCCCCAAGACCAGAATGATACCTCTCACAGGCAATGCGAGGAGTCCTCCACCCCTGCCACCCACACTGGGTGTGTGACCCAGCAAGGGGGCATGGGTGGGGTGGGAGGAAGGTAAAAAGGGGAAGACCACAATAGCTGTTCATATACAGGATTATTTGCTATTCTGTTCTTAAAGATTGCTTGATATTTTGTTTTGATTGCAAAAGGTGATTGATATGAAAATGTCAACATTTCAAACACAAGTATTCGTTTTGTTCAAAATGTTTGTTAGATCAAATCAGAATATGATCCCAGAACATGTCTGAGCTCTTGGATCTGCTCTAGAAAAATACACACACACACACACACACACACACACACACACACACACCCCATATGTATATATTAGAAGCAGGGAGTGGCTCTGTCACCCAGGCTGGAGTGCAGTGGCATGTGTGGTCATAGCTCACTGTAACTTTGAACTCCTGGGCTCAAGTGGTCCTCTGGCCATGGCCTCGCGTGTAGCTGGGACTGCAGACACACACCACCTTGCCTGGCTAATTTTTATTTTTATTTATTTATATATTTTCTGTAGAAACAGGATCTTGCTTTGTTGCCCAGGTTGGTCTTGAACTCCTGGCCTTAGGTGATCCTCCTGCCTCAGCCTCCCAAAGTGCTGGTTTTATACCATGCCTGGCTTTAGAAAGAAATATATTAATTAACATCTACAAAGAGATGATCCATGTCCACATAATTGGTTCTGCTTATTCAACAAGCCGTTTTTCAGTGCTGAGACTTCCTCTGAGGAGGTATGGGTGGTGGCGCTGGGAAAGGGGTGAGGCCTTCTGGGAGACCTTCGGGGACGCCACCTTGAGGGTGGAGTCCTGTGCTAGTGGCAGAGCACTGTTTAGAGTCAGCCGAGTGAGTCTCAGTTCCCTGGGCTTGTTTTATGCATGCGGCGCCTGTTTCAGGTTCTCAAGAAACATGGTATTCAGTTCATTGAGAGCACTGGTTCTTCATGCCAGCTGCCTATTAGAATCATCTAGAAATCTCTTGGAAAACATGGATGCTCAACTTCCACCCCCCAGAAATTCTGATTCAATTGGTTGGGCGGGGGCCTAGGCATTGTTATTTCTGAAAAGCTTTCCAGGTGATTCTATTGTGCAGCGAGGGTCAAAATCTGGTGATCTGTTATTTAACAAGCTATTGTTTTAAATGGTCAAAATCTGGTGATCTGTTATTTAACAAGCTATTGTTTTAAATGGTCAAAATCTGGTGATCTGTTATTTAACAAGCTATTGTTTTAAATGGAGCTTAAGGGGAAGTATTACTGTGACTATTCAAAAGAGCTGTGTTTTCTTCTACCGGTCCACAGTGAGACTTTAATATCCAGGGTGTGTGTATGAGTGAGTGAGTGTGTGTGTGTGTGTGTATGTTCTGTGTGTCTTTGTGTTGTGTGTGAGTGTATGTGTGAGAACATGTTGTATGTGTGTGTTGTGTGTGTATGTGTATATTTTGTGAATGTGTGTATGTATGTGTGTGTGTGTGAGAGTATACTGCAAGTGTGTGTATATGTGTGTGAGTGTGAATGCGAGAGTATATTGTGTTTAAGTGCGTGTTTGTGTGCACGTTGCATATGTGTGTGAGTGTGCTTGTGTGAGCATTGTGTATATGTGTGAGAATGTGTGTGAGACAGTGTTGCAAGTGTGTGAGTGAGTGTGTTGTGTAACTCACCAGATGACCCTAATGTGCAAACAGGGTTGAGATCCAGAGCTGTGTCTGAGTGTTGTCTGTGTCCTCCCTGGAGAACATCCTTCGTTTTCTGGTTCGGAGTGTATATTGATTGGCATAATAACCACTACTCATCAGTAAACCTGTGTAAAGACCCATAAGACCTGCTAGCTGGGAAAATGGTAGATTTTTCACTTCTTCACTTCTACATTTCTACCTTGTGGTTTCATGGACTATGTCATAAATTTATTAATATTAATTATGAACACTTATGAAGGTGTTTTGATACCTGCTGTGACGAGGCTGCATTGTTTTTCTTATCATTTTAATGTTATTTATTTATTTATTTATTTTGAGACAGAGTCTCCCTCTGTTGCCCAGGCTGGAGTGCAGTGGTGCGATCTCGGCTCACTGCAACCTCCGCCTCCCGGGTTCATGCCATTCTCCTGCCTCAGCCTCCTGAGTAGCTGGGACTACAGGCACCTGCCACCACGCCCTGCTAATTTTTTTTTTTTTTTTGTATTTTTAGTAGAAATGGGGTTTCACTGTGTTGGCCAGGATGGTCTTGATCTCCTGACCTCGTTATCTGCCCGCCTCGGCCTCCCAAAGTGCTGGGATTACAGGCGTGAGCCAACGTGCCCGGCCCATTTTAATGTTTTTTAATCCAGATAGGCAGCATGCTAAATAAATAGTAAATTTCTAAGTACAATAGAAAAAATTGCTCATGAAATGTGCCAGTATTAACATTTATTTCTTCCATTACATTACTTTGAAAATTTTGTAGATTCAAGAGAATGTTGAAGTGGTGGTTACTTTTGTTTTCCACATTGATTCTCTTCACTGAGAATGTTGAAATAATAATGATTGTGAAGTGAAATTTCTTTTTATTAATGCAATTAAAAATTTGCTCCCCCTTGCATATGCCATTTGAAACAAATTCCACACATATTACAGTTTTACAGCAGTGCTGAATGGTGGAACTGCTGTGATGATGGAAATGTTCTGGGCTTCTGCTGTTTCAGTAGCCACTGGAAATGTGGTTCTGGATTGACTGAGCAACTGAATTCTTAATTGTATTTAATTTTAATTAACTTACTAGCCACATGTGGCTAGTGCCCGCCCCAGTGGGCAGAGCACGTGCAGAGGCTGGTTCTGTTCGGCTTGAGAGGAGCTTGGGTGGGGCCCCTGCAGCAGAGTGACAGCTGCCCCAGGGGATGTCAGGGACATCACCATTGCATATACCCTGGTAGGTGGGTTGTCTTCTGAAATCCTGTGCCTTGCTACTGTTACTCGTAGAGGCTTGGACAAGAATCAGTGATCCCAAGAAAGGATGTAGGATGTGGCTTTGTGGGGTATGACGTAGCTCAGATTGAAGACTTGTGGCCCCGGTACCAGGCGACGCCCCCCCTCTGTCTTCCGGGTCTCCCCCACGTTCTCCGCTGTCTGACCCTGATGTGCCCAGCACCTTTCTCAGGTGTTTTCAGCCTCTCCCTTGCTCCTGGCTCCTCCCAGGGGGAGGTAACCATTGCCACATCAGTGCCCCTGTGCCCTCCCCTGCATGCCCTGCTCCCAGCCATGCATGTCGCCTCCATTTCCTCTCTGCCTGCAGTGCCCGTGGCTCCCCTCCATGACCTCAATGCTGACTATTCTTTTGAGGAAATCCTTCTTTAACACACAAATCAGCTGGCGTCACTTCTGCTTAAAAACCAGCAGTGGCTTCCCCTAGAAAACAGCCTCCTGGGTGTGCTTCCGGGGTCTCCGGGATCAATTCCCCCATGCCCTCCCCCTCCACACCCAGCATCAGCTGGTTTTCCAGCCCAGCCCCGAGCCCCCACGGGAAATGGCCCGAGCTGGTGCAGCCTCAGCTTTCAGGCCTCGGCGGCTGCTCTCATGCCTTCCTGAGCAGTTCTGCCAGGCTTCATCCCAGGCTCACTCTTTCCTCATGTCTTGGCCGAGAAGACCCTTCTTTAGGTGTCCTTCCCATGTGCTCCCCGCTCACCCCAGCTCTCTGTCTGCTCCTGTCTGTGTCCCTGTTGAATCCGTATAGCTGCACAGAGCCTGGCCGGACACCCGGTGTACTGTCAGCACCCACGACTGTGGTAAACGAGCAACTTGAACAAGTTCATCATGTAACCCAAACCCTGGGGGGTTTCTGTTCACAGACACTTCTTCAAATCCTAAGTTTGACAAATTAATGAATTTTTCCAGAAAACTCAACTGCCTGGACTTCATCCCTCAACTTCTTTACTGATCGTTTACTCAATTCCATTGACTCCATTTTTATTCTTCATTTTACAAAAGCACGATCGTATTCTTTCTCTGGATGTTATTAGCCCACTTATTTAGGGCCCATGGTAGTTTAATCAGAGAAAATAGATGGCTGGGTTCGTTCTGAGAAAAGCAAAAATACAGAGAGGGATGTTTTTGTTAGGAGTGAATTTTTAAATTTACACCTAACATGATTAATGTAATCCTAATCTGTTACTACTTAATGCAATTAAAACTTTTTTGGACAATTATGTATTATAAATAGTAAAAGCAAAAATATATTTATTAATAATGGCTAGTTATAAAGTTTATTTCAGGTTGGGCTCAGTGGCTCATGCCTGTAATCCCAGCACTTTGAAAGGCCGAGGTGGGCAGATCATGAGGTCAGGAGTTGGAGACTAGCCTGGCCAACATGGTAAAGCCTGTCTCTACTAAAAATGCAAAAATTAGCTGGGTGTGGTGGCACGCACCTGTAATCTCAGCTGAGTAGGAGGCTGAGGCAGGGGAATTGCTTGATCCCAGGAGGCGGAGGTTGCAGTGAGCCGGTTGCAGTGAGCTGAGATCGTGCCACTGTTCTCCAGCCTGGGCAACAGAGCAAGACTCTGTCTTGGAGGGAAAAAAAAAAAAGTTCCTTTCAGCAAGCTTGTTTAAGAAGGCATAGCTTTTTAGTGGCTCTTGTATGTCTATTCATTTCCATCCTCTTTAATCACAGTGCAGTTATTTGCACCTGGCCTGGATCTCCTTATTGCCCTCCTGTCAGGGAATCTGTATTCACTACAGTCCACATTCACTCCATGTCTCTACCTTCCCATACAACAAGCACAAGAAAGTCACTAAAAGTGGAGCATCAAAATGCTTTTACCTCTAGCTAATTTTAAAGGTAAAATGAAAATGTACTAACTGCAAACAAGAAATCTGCTCCATGGTCAACATTAATGATGAGTCTTTGGCATTTGACAATACAGGGGAGTGATATTCCTCAGCTGTTATGAACTGCGAGGCCCTCTGATTATTCCAAGAATTATCTGGTACCCTTGATTCTGGTTAATAGTAAGTTACCCAGCTAATTTTCTGTTAACTGAAATTTGGACTTCAGCTGTTATTTGGAGGGCACGCATCTTACTGCCTCAACTTCTTTTAAGGCAGATGTGAAATTCTAATGTGGGGTCCGTGGGGCATGAACCTCTGAATGCATCACTTGGCAGAAATCCTCTGCCCATCAGCCGAGTACTTTACTCCTTAGTTCCTCATTCAAAACATGATGAGGCCGGGCGCAGTGGCTCACGCCTATAATCTCAATGCTTTGGGAGGCCTAGGTGGGCGGATCACTTGAGCTCAGCAGTTCCAGACCACCCTGGGCAAAATGGTGAAACCCTGTCTCTAAAAAAATGGAAAAATTAGCCAGGCATGGTGGTGTGTGCCTGTGGTTCCAGTTACTTGGGAGGCTGAGGTGGAAGGGTCACCTGAGCATAGGGACCTGTGATCACAGCACTGTACTTCAGCCTGGGGGACAGAGTGGGACCCTGTCTCAAAAAAGGAAAAAACAAAAAACAAAAACCCCATGATTAACAAACTCAATTAACCTACACAGGCTTAGTTATTGTTCCTAGGACATAGAAGGTTGGAAAGAGATAGAGCAAAGTGAGCTGTGAGAATTGATAGCAGAGGCTCTGACTCTACAAAAGTAAATAGTAACTCAAAAGTTGACAGGCTTAGAATACTATAGTAAAAATAGTAATAATAATGGATGTTTGATAAATGGTCTAAGATCAGTTCTCTCTCTAAGAACTCAAGGAATTATAAACCTACTCAGAAATTATTTCTATCAGAGGATTAAAAGATTTGACCTTAAAAGAGAATTTCTGGGCCAGGCGCCGTGGCTCACACCTGTAATCCCAGCACTTTGAGAGGCCGAGGCAGGCGGATCACAAAGTCAAAAGATCGAGACCATCCTGGCTAACATGGTGAAACCCTGTCTCTACTAAAAATACAAAAATTAGCTGGTGTGCGGCACGTGCCTGTAGTCCCAGCTACTCAGGAGGCTGAGGCAGGAGAATCGCTTGAACCCAGGAGGTGAAGGTTGCAGTGAGCAGAGATCACGCCACTGCACTCCGGCCTGGCAACAGGGCGAGACTCCGTCTCAAAAAAAAATAAAAAAAAATAAAAAATTTTCTGGAAAATTCTCTCCTGTCAAATGCTTTATTTTTTTTGACATTGCCATAAAAACAATATGTCATTATACCTACTATCTTAGAAGATGCATTTTACTGAAATAATCATGCTTATCAGTATGCACATGTTATTATGCATTTCTCTGTATAATGAAGGACTTTATGTGCACTTGAGCGAATTTGTCTACACCTTAAAGAGGATCATTTTGACTTGATTGAACAGGATAACTCTGCATAAATGCTATAATCTATATGCTTTGAAAGTGGCTTTCCTGTCATTTGACTTAGTTAGGAATTTTCATAAGGAAAATCAGGACATCTTCATTCTAAGGAGAAAACCAAAGGGAAGTTTTAGAGGAAGCCGTTCATGCAAATTTAAGGTCAAGAAAGACTAAAATTACTTGGGTTTTGTCTTCAAATTTTTTAGAACAGTAGAATGCAAGAGGCTATCCTGGAAAATGCCATGTACAGCAATTAAAAGCTTAGTCTTCTCCCCAGAAGCCTAAGGATGCAGCAGAGTTTACCGAAGCCCTTGCAGAGAGGCAGGATAATAAACAGAGGCTACCAAACAGGACAGAATCCAAGTGTTGGGTGTTCTGGCGTTCTAAGAAGCTGGTTTTGTTTCTGTTTTTTTCATCTGAGAAAAATCTTTGGATAATAAACCTTCCGATTTTATCAGCCTATTCACTAATATTTTTAAGATATTTGTTCTTGCTTTAGGAGAAAGCACCCTGAAGGTTGTGCTCTTCTATAATTAGCATATACCTTTAAGTGAAATTTTCCTCAGCCTATAATGTGGTTAGTTTATATATCTCTGCAGATGAAGATAATTACTTAGCTTGTTTATAGAATACACTGCCACAAATATGGGTATTTGCTGACTATAATTAAGGATGTACAAGTTACTGGGTAAAATAAATCCCAAAATGTTCAAAGTTAGAATTTTCTGTTTGGAAGGGCAGCTAACAAAGAAGGTAGGTTGTGTCCTTTAAATCTATGCTGTGCAGTGTGGAAGGGCTCCAGCAACATATAGTGATTTCAGTTTAAATGAAATACAATTAAAATGTTTGCTCCTCAGTTGCACTGGTCATGTTTGAAGTTCTCAATAGCCTCATGTGGCTGGTGGCTGCCATATTGGACAGTGCAGATATATCTAGAACAAGTTTGTCCAACGCCCATGGCCCAGGATGGCTTTGAATGAGGCCCAACACAAGTTTGTAAGTGTTCTTAAAACATTATGAGACTTTTTGTGTGATTTTTTTTTTTCCTCATCAGCTATTGTTAGTGTTAGTGTATATTATGTGTGGCCCAAGGCAATTCTTCCTCTTCTTCCAGTGTGGCCCAGGGAAACCAAAAGATTGTTGGTCAACACTTGGATAACCAATGCCACCACCTTCCTTCTATGTATAAATGTCTTTAAATGACCAAGATGATACATATCCATAACTTGCCCTTCCTATGCCCTGCCCCATCCCTGCCCTCACCTCACGGTACCTAGGCAACAAACAAAGCTAAATCCCTGAGAAGTGTTCCCCCAACCCGAGAGCTAGACATTTGATCCCCAAGAACTAAGTGGCTAAACTGGCTTCAGCAGACACATAGATATTTGGGAAAAAAAATAGCAGTCTCATTACGGAATTAGATGAATGAACCCATTGCTCTTTTTCTTCTTCTGATTACATTAAGGATATCTAGACTTTTCCAAATGCCCAGTCTCAAGTATCTGAGTTACTGACTCCCTTTGTCCCTCAATGTTTTTTCCTGATTATATTTGCAAGTGAAGTTTGTTTCTACTCTCAGTGAGTTGAGAAAATTAATTTCTAATATTCAGAGGATCTCAGTCTGCCTCAGAGTAATTTGAGTGAAGTGTTGGATTAAAACCAGGCTCTGGAATCGTTCTTCCTGTGCCAGCTGCTAGCTATTGACTCTCCTTGAGCTGAGGCACACTTCTTGCTAGTTCTCTGTGTACGCATTTCCTATTAGACAGATGGGAAAATGTCACTCCTGTTAACAGAGGTGGGCCCCCTTGGACCTGAAAGCCACACAGAGTCTGTCTAATTTATGGTCTGGCCCTAGATCCGACTTTGGAATGAAAGATTTTGAAACCTGCTTCCATGTTGCTACTTTTCCAAAAGGTGCGAGTATTATTATTCAGTAGCTAAAAGGTAATGCTGCAGTGCTCATGGAAATGCATTCCATTCAATCAAGCAGGCAGTCTAGATTGTAACAATGTGCATGTCCCCTTATTGGACTTAACAAAGCTTTTTTATTTTGAAGGGAAAAAATGTAACATGTACACATTAAAAAATTTTAAAATATGGAATCCCTCCCCACCCCCCATAACCTGGAGGCATTCTTACTTATAAGAAGTTTAAAAAATTGAAATAAAACAGATTAATGTGTGTTTTCTCGTCATGAATGCTAGCTCCTTTCCTTTTTCTCCTAATCTCCTCATTTTATTTCATTCAGAATTTTCTGAGCATTTTTTTCTTCATCTCAAAGAGCCCCTGGGAAGCTGCGTGGTTGCTTAGTGATGTCACTCACAGTCTGAGAAAGCCAGGTGCCTGCTAGACATTAAAACATGCTCATTATCCTTCCTGTAATCTGCTGCCTTGTCTCACAGAAATTTGAAACCTAAGTGGATCCTGGTTGTAATGAAAAGAATCATCATCAGCCCTTTTTACATCTGACATTGGGGTAATTTTGTTTTGCGTATTTGGTCTCAACTGCTTTTTAATCCAACAGGCAGCATTCAAACGACTCTCTTCCTTTATGGAGATGATCTTGTTCAACTGCTTCCGCTGTTATTAGTCTTAAGAGTTGAAAATAAAATGCTTATAGTAGGAAGCTTACTAAGAAGACAAGTTGTTGCTTTTCAACCATCGTTTGGGAGTAACAGTGAACTTGACAGGAGTCAGTATTTGCCAGAAAAATGATCCCAAGCCTTGCTCCAGGCTACTGTCTTCTCACCCACTGTTCCACGGCCCCTTCCTGGCCCGTTTGGGGGTCCCCTGTGTCTATTTCAGGCCACGTCTCCCTCTGCATGCAGACCTATGTATGCCGCTTCCTCTTTGCTGCCCCTTAGGTACCCTGAGATCAGTATATCTAACACTGAATTGACTCTCTCACTGCTCATAATACCTTATTCTTTCCTCGCTTAGAACCCCTGGCCTCACTGTCCCTTCCACCCAGTCTGCAAACCAGAAACCTGCGTGGCCCATGGGTTTCTCCTGCCCACTCGTCTCTTGTAGCCAAGCAGTCACCAGATCTTGTGATCCTGCGTCTCGTTATCTGCCCCTCTCTCCTGCATCTGCTCCTTCCTGAGCACAAGCCTCATTATTTCATAGAGCCCTCCTGTGACCAGCTGGTCTTTCTGCCTCCCTTAGTATCTGTCCCCTTGATATGGTTTGGCTGTGTCCCCACCTAAATCTCAACTTGAATTATAGCTCCCATAGTTCCCACGTGTTGTGCAAGGGACCCCATGGGAGATAATTGAATCACAGGAGTGGTCTCTCCCATACTGTTCTCATGGTAGTGAGTAAGTCTCACACGTTCTGATGGTTTTATAAGGGGGTTCTGCTTTTGCTTCTCTCTCTTCTCTTGTCTGCCGCCATGTGAGACATACCTTTCACCTTCTGCCATAATTTTGAGGCCTCCCCAGCCATGTGGAACTGTGAGTCCTTTAAACCTCTTTCTTTTGTAAATTGTTCTGTCTTGGGTTTCCCTTTATCAGCAGCGTGAAAATGGACTAAAACACCCCTTTTCAGTCCACCCTACTAGAGACAACACATTGATTACCGATGGACTCATTGATCCAGTCAACATTTACTCAGTACCTACTTTGTCCCAGGCACTTCTTCTTGTTGTTGTTTAAAGAAATTAGCTTTTATAAATAAAAAGAACAATGAGGAAGAATAATAACAGAATTTTGGATTGATGGGCTTCAGGGATCCTTGCTGTACTGTGAGCTTATCCAGTCAGATTTTGTTTCCATGATATCACATCATTTTGTTACCTGAGCCAATTTAATTAAAAAACTCTCATACTGTTTATGTAGCATCGTACTGACCCAACCTGTTGCAATTTAATCTTTGCATGTGTTTTCATGACATGCTCCCAATAAAACAAAACAGAAACCAGTTTCTGCTATAGTCACTGTGCTTTGCACTACAGATACAAAATGTTCGCTTTTCCTTTCATCTTCCAAATATTTTTGTTTTCTCTGCAAAAAGTCAATGTCATAGGCATTTGTCCTTTCCAAATTAACCATCAGACATGTCTTTTTTTTTTTTTTTTTTTTTTTTTTTTTTTTTTTTTTTTGAGATGGAGTCTTGCTCTCTCTCCCAGGCTGGAGTGCAGTGGCTCAGTCTCGGCCACTGCAACCTTCTCCTCCCGGGTTCATGCCATTCTCCTGCCTCAGCCTCCCGAGTAGCTGGGACTACAGGCGCCCGCCACCACACCTGGCTAATTTTTTGTATTTTTAGTAGAGACGGGGTTTCACCATGTTAGCCAGGATGGTCTCAATCTCCTGACCTCGTGATCCGCCCATCTCAGCCTCCCAAAGTGCGGGATTACAGGTGTGAGCCACTGTGCCCAGCCAAGACGTGTCTTTACCATGATTATTCTGACTTTGCTTTTACACATTGGCAACCAGATTCTACTTGACTGATTCTAGATTGTTTGCCCCCTACCTGTTATTTAAAAGCACATATTTCAACATATTGAATTTCCTAAGCTACAGTTGATTTCAATTTTCTTTAGCTCATTTTTAATTCTCTTCATGCATAATCTTTAAAAAAAAATCCAATATGATGTTTTGTGCTGTGCCGTTTGACAGCTTGAAAACTGGTTATGCCATGTCCCAGGCACTTCTTTTTTTTTTTTTTTTTTTTGAGACGTAGTCTCGCTCTGTCACCAGGCTGCAGTGCAGTGGCACGGTCTCGGCTCACTGCAACCTCTGACTCCCTGGTTCAAGCGATTCTTCTGCCTCAGCCTCCCGAGTAGCTGGGACTACGGGCACCCACCACCATGCCCGGCTAATTTTTGTAATTTTAGTAGAGACAGAGTTTCACCATCTTGGCCAGGATGGTCTGGATCTCCTGACCTCGTGATCCGCCCACGTCGGCCTCCCAAAGTGCTGGGATTACAGACGTGAGCCTCCGTACCCGGCCCCACACACTTCTTTTGATGATAGGAATACATGGGTGAACAAAACCCATGCAGTCCCTGTTCTCATGGAGCTTAGGGTCGCTGGGGGAGGACTGACATTCAATTAGTAAGTAGCACAATAAAGACTGAGGAGGGATGGTATAGGTTTGCTTATGCATAGCTAAGTGTGTTATTCTTCAGTGGTTTTCCTTCATCTTTGGGATAAAATCTAAGCTTCATAGCACGTACATATGGCTATTCTGGAACTGACGGGAGCCTCTTGATATACTTACAGATCCTCTCCACGCTCCCGCCCCATGTCTGCGCTTCATTGGAATGCCTTGGCCTCTTGCTTCTTGAACAGACTTCAGTATGAGCCAAAGCACTATTACTTCCTTGGAGTCTTTCCTGCTTTCTTATTCATGATATTTCTCCTTGGTGCGCTTGTGGCCTCACTGTGTCCCATCACCAACCCCTTCACTGTGTAATTTTGTATTGTCTCCTTTAAATAGATTCTGAGGCCCTTGGGCCCAGAAATGCGGTTTTCTGTCATTTTATCCTTAGTGTCTGTCTTAACATCTGATAGGTGCTGGAGGAGTCTCATGGTTAGTGGTGCCTACAGACGGATCATTGTTTTGATGGCGGTAACAGCACCTGGGTTCCACAAGTGTTTGAACGAATACACACACCCCTGCTGGATATCCAGTGAATGAGATTTCAGCTTTGGGCGAGATGCTGGCCTATGTGGTGTTTAAATGTTTTGAAAGTTATCACTGCTTTTTTTCTATTACATAATTATTTATTTTTACCAAGCTCTCAAATGTCTTAATTGTGCCAGTCATATGTTATGAATTCTATTTCTGGGTATTGTAGGAACAGCAGTTCCTATGGCTTTTTTTTTTTTTTTTCTGTGTATGAGCAATTCGACTCAGTGGGATGATATTTTCTTTTATAACTCATTAATGTTTGCGATACCGTGTACTCAAATATTCAATGTCAGCTGTCAGCTACCATTGGGATCCATCCCACAGACCATCAAAATGTACTTTTGGGCTGAATTAGTCCTATGCCAAGACTTGTGGGTGGATCCAGCAGCAGTTGGGAACCACGTGCCAGGCCTGGTGTATGTGCTCACGGACACATTAATCCGATCATACCTTTCTTCCCTTAAAGAAACAATTAATGTTAATGTTATTGTACTTTGGCTAATGCAGAGTCTCAAAGTTAAATTAAGCACAACATAGGAAATTCTAAGTGGTTACCCGTAAAATGGAAGACCGTTTCATTCCCGCTGAGTGCAAATCTGGTGTCTCCGTATACTCAACATGAATGGCCGTAATACTTAATGCTTTAAAAAATGCATCTATTTCCAATGATAGATGAAAAGCATTTATTTGAGCCATCCGCATGCAGTGAACAATCTGTAAAATATTTGGTTATCTTCAGCTGGGCAGCATTCTTCCAGCTCGTATTGAGCTTGACTACGTCTAGATCTCATGCAAGGCATCCGGGCCAGCCATGAAGGAGGATGAGGTCCCTGCTCTCAAGGAGATCACTGTCTCGATACACAGATGCTCAGAGCCCTGCAGGACCCCTCTGGCTCTTGGTGTGGACTGTGCACTGCATGCTATTTCTCTTGAAAACTCTAGAGAACTGCTCGCTGTCCTGTGGGTTAAGTCACTTAGTGTAATCCCGAGGGAATAAGCAGACGCCCTCCCGAAAGCCTGGCATCTGGGACTGTCAACATTGATTACTACAGGGACCCAATGAGATGGAATTAAAATTAGCCCATACAGAAAAAGAGCACAGGAACTGTCAGGGAGATAGGAACATTTGTCCTGGAAATACCTGGGTTTTTGAATAGGTTTCCTGATGCAAAGGTCAGTGTTTCATACACACGCGTACTTCTCCCCACAACACCCCCATTTTACACCTTTCAGTACAACTCTGATTTAGAGAAGTGTGGTGGAGATTTATCTTTTTTTTTTTTTTTTGGTGTTGGGTGGCGAGGAGGGAGTGGTGAGGTTGGGAAGGGCAGTCCGTCATCCCCAAGCCTTACTTCTGGGGGATTTCCCCCTTGTAGAGGGCTGGGAACTTACGTTCCAGTACAGAAAGACAGGAAAAGACCTAACTACATCATATGCCAGGTGGTACTAAGTACTACAAAGAAAAACAAAGTAAGGGAGGAAGGAGAGAGCATAATGGTGTGCAAATGGATATATACATGTTCATATTTTATAAAACTTGTCAGACAGGCCTCTCTGAAAAAGTGACATTTAGCAGAGACCTATGGGAAATGACCTCAAAAATGACTTCCCCATTTCCCATGGGTCTCTGCTAAATGTCCAAGTTTTAGAGAGCAAAAAGAGAACGTGCAAAGGCCCTGAGGTAGAGAGCATGTTCTGTGTCTTTAAGGAACCGCAAGGTGTCCTCCATGGCTGTAGAGAACAGGTGAGGGACAGTGTGGTATAGGGTTGGATGCCCAGAGAAATTGCAGTAGGCCAGGAACAGTTCAGAGTTTATTCTGAAGGACGGATCTGACCTGACCTTGCAAAAGGACCACATTGGCTGCTGAGTTGGGACAGTAGTGGCCAGGAGACCAATGGCGGTGGCTTTGAGTAACATCGTACTGGTGTAGGTGGTGGGAAGTGCTGGGGTTCCAGCTACATTTTGACAGTAGAGCTGACAAGATCTCCTAAAGAATTGGGTATTGAATGTGTGAGAAAGAGGAGTCATGGATGACTCCAAGGTTTTTGGGCCAAGGAGCTGGCAAAATGGAGTTGCCGTTTTCAGAAGGGAAAGACCAAGGGGGCAAACACATGAAAAGAACATTAGCCCCTGAATTTTAGATACTTTCTTTGCTCCATATGAAAGGAACTTGAAATTTGAAAGGATGCACATCTCTGATTATATAAGTAAATATTACAGTTGCCTAGTTCTTGAGATTACAGTTGATCCGTGAACAACGCAGGTTGGGGTGCCCAACCTGTGCAGTCAGAAATCCACGTATACCTTTTGACTCCCCAAAAACTTAACTACTAATAGCCTACTGTTAATCAGAAGCCTTACCAATAACATAGTCAATTAACATGTTTTGTATGTTGTATGTATTATATACTGAGATTCCTACAGTAAAGTAAGCTAGAGTCAAGGAAAATGTTATTAAGAAAATCATAAGGAAGAGAGAATACATTTACGATTTGTTTAATGGAAGTGGATCATCCGAAAGGCCTTCCTCCTCATCGTCTTCATGTTGAGTGGGCTGAGGAGGAGGAGGAGGATGAGTGGCTGGTCATGCTGTCTCTGGGACGGCAGAGGCAGAAGAAAATCCACATGTAAATGGATCCTCACAGTTCAAATCCATGTCGTTCAGAGGCCAAATGTATTTGGGTCTGTGAAACTGGCCTTTGCTTTCCATCGTGGGCAGAGTTAGCTGATTATAAAATCATTCGTTCAGCAGAACTTGGTGGTTGGATTCCAAACCTGCAAAGGAACTATCATGAGGGGCAAGTTTCTGCCAGCGGGTATATCCCATCCCAGCAACACTGTTCTGAGCCCCTCAGCAAGATTCCATGTCCTGGTGCAGGGAGTCACTCCTTGTACTCCCAACAAGCTAGCCAGAGTACTCCTGCCCCGTCAGCCTCCCTCCCCACCTTCTCATCACTGTTTGCTGTCTCTCCTTTGAGCGCCTCCAGGTCTCTAAGTCTTTGGTGTAAGTGGCCCTGCCAACTCTCTCTTGGTCATTCAAAGAACAGTCTGTGTAAACAGCACCAAGTTGACACCATCTGGCCCAATTCCCCTGCATTTTCTTGGAGAGTGATTGTCTTGTGAAGCATTGAGACAAAGCCTTATTTGAGGAGAGTCCTTGGTGGGGAAACAATAGCTTCTGTGTTCTTCACAAGAACCTCTTTGGAGAGCAAACTAAACTTGGGTGGGTGGATATTGAAAAGGCTTTTCCAAGGGTAGGAAGCAAAATGTAATTATCTTCCTCTGCAGGAGTTTTTCTGTTGACATTTCCTGCTCTTAACAAAGTATAGTGTGTGCCCTTAAGTGTGTTGTTCTGGAAGCATCCACAGCCCTTTCAGTGTATCTTACATGCTGTGGATAATTTAAAAAGTACCCATTTATTTTACAAGTTGGAGGGAGTGTAAGACCCACTGAATTCAATACATAGCATCCACATTTTTAACCAGAAATCTGAAGTGTTAATTTGCTTCCCGTTTGTCCAGTGAACTTGACTCTTAACATTTTCTTAAATTAGGGGAATGGGAGCTGTAAGTTACAGTAGATGCCAAGTACTTGGTAAAAATGAAATGTTGGTGGGGGAAAGCCATGGGGAAAATGTATTTGTCAAAACACTTTAGGCTAAATAACTTAATAATAAATGTAGTATCTCATGGCCAGGCAGTGCAACATTCAATACAGTAGTCACTTGCCACATGTGGCTATTTAAATTTAAATTAAATAAAATTGAAAACACAGTTGCACTAGCCATACTCAAGGGCTCATTAGCCATCTGTGGCCAGTGGCTACTGAATTAGCACAGATATAGAACATTCCCTCCCTGGTAGAACATTGTATTGGGCAGTACTGATGGAGAACATAGTATAGGAACCATCTATGATAAATTATCATACATGTCACTCATTGTTGTCCAGCCCAAAGCCTGAGGGTAGGAGATGCTAAGAGACTTGAAGAAAATCTTGTTCTACAGTGGCATGATCTTGGTGGTGTAGGATGGGAAGCTCAAGTTTTGTACCCTTCAGTTGAAACATTTATCCTGCTGGTAACTCTGGTCTAGGACAGTAACAGTGTACTGAGCTACACGATCCTGTGTAGATAACGTGCTTTGTTCTAAGACACTTACATAGAAAATATAACCTATTTTAATAAGAAAATAATGGAGTCATTTCAACTCATGGGGTAAATAAAATGTAGGAAAGAAAGGGGGAAGCAGAGGTGGAGTGAATTTTGAAAGTCCCCCGTTTGTGTCGGTGGGTATGTGATCTGACTTTGAATAAAAGAGAATCAGATGGACGAATCTTTTCTTAACTCAATGGTGGATGACTGACATTGCCCTATTTTCCAGTTACATTTAAATGGAATCAATTGTTTTCTCTTCTAGCATAAAGAGCAGGCAAAGGATGGTTATCATGCTTTGGCTGAGACCAGGCATGCTGGATAAATATTTACCAAGCTAAGGAGGTCTGTGAGAACAGGGCTGGGTCAGGGATGCCCAGGAGTAAGTGACATTGTTCTCATAGCAGAGCCATGTTGTGCTACTGCTGCCAGATGACCCAGCAGGCTCAGAGTCATACTTCAGAGGAGGGGAACACAGGTCACCTGAGGAAAGGTAGCGTGACTTCAAACACTGGGCCACTAAGAAAGGTGGACCCCATCTCTGAGGTACCAGGCTACATGCTGTGGTTGACACCAGAATCCATGGAGAAACCTCTGGGTGTCCTGCACCCCACAGAGAGGTTTGGAAGCAGGCTGCAAATGGCACAGGGATACTGTCAACAATATGTAAAATGTAGTCAGTCAGTGTAAGGAATCGAAATTTCCATGATCACAACTTATCCTGAATGTGTGTGGAAGTAAAGCCAGGGGCTATTGTACTGACAAATAGGAATAGGAGAAGGTGACCTCCCTGAGCCTAGAGAAAGGCAGGGCAGGGATTTATCGGGTTAACATGGGCCAGTGGAGAGGGTGCGGCCTCCTGCCCACTGGGAAGAAAGGGCCAGGCATCCTGTCTTTAAACTAAGATGGCCATTTTGCTTACCCACATTTTTTTGCTCAGCTCACTATTGAGTCAACAAATCTTTTGATCATGGCAGGGTTCCCAGATGTTTTTGGGATTGTAAGGCAAATGTGAGGATGCCTCAAGAGATGCTGGTCTACTTGGGCTTTACTCTTTACCAAGTAGGTATATTTATGTGTGTCGAAGTCCATCTATGAATGGTCTGTGGACTTGAGCTATTTCCCTGGTATTTGATCATCTCTAACCAAGCTGATCAGTCATTTTTCATTCCTGAAAGGAGGAAAAAGAACAAACAGCATTTTGGCCCCACTGTGGCTTCCCTTACTCTCATTTGACCCTTGGCCCTCCTTCTCACTGAGGCCTGTGGAAAGCACAGCTCCGTGAAATTTAACATTATTCTTGTTATGATCACCAGTGAAGAAACTCATTTGCAAAGCCACTAACTCAAGGAGGGCAGGTTATGGGATGCCATGAAGGGTTCAACCATTGATAAGATAAGGGTTCAACCATGAAGGGTTCAACCATTGATAAGAATGCTCTTATCAAGCATTCAACAAATATTGATAAATACTGTTATAATATTTATTTGTAAACTATATTTGTATCATGTCATGCAGTGAACTAAGAGTTCTCCCACATGTCATATTACTTAATTTAAAATAAAAACACACTTGTGAGGTGAGGACAGTGCTTGCTTATTACTTTTCGGCACAAGTCATTATAGGGAAAGATAAAATGAAATAGACACACACCTGGCCTTTGGCATAAAGGTAAATTTACAGTATTATTAATTTGGAGAGAGCACTTTAGAGATTGGCTTTGTTTGTTGTATTTCTTCTTTCTGTTTTGGCAGGAGTGAAAAGCATTTTATTCTTCAAAAAATATGTATGTCCCCAAGGCCAGGCATGGTGGCTCATGCCTGTAATCCCAGCCCTTTGGGAGGCTGAGGCAGGCGGATCACCTGAGGCCAGGAGTTCAAGACCAGCCTGGCCAACATGATGAAACCCCGTCTCTACTAAAAATACAAAAATTAGCTGGGCGTGGTGGAGGGCACCTGTAATTCCAGCTACTGGGGAAGCTGAGGCAGGATAATCGCTTGATCCCGAGAGGCAGAGGTTGCAGTGAGCTGAGATCACACCATTGCACTCCAGCCTGGGCAACAAGAGCAAAACTCCGTCTCAGAAAAAAAAAATTATATATATATATATTACACACACACACACACACACACACACACACACACACACACACACACACACACACACACATATATCCCCAGGCATTATTTATTTATTTATTTTTTGCAAGTCTGTCTACTTACATAAAGGGCTATGTTGTTAATTTAAATGAAAGGGATTCATGTTTAGGGCTTCTTGCCTGGTATACCTTGGTGCTCTTTTGAAGTGATATTAAATTTTAGGGCAGGAATCGTAAATTGATTTTTATTCCACTGCCAAGTTTAGAGGAGTCATGGCAGCAGAGGGAGCCCTGGGCAGGCAATGCCACGAGACTCGCGTGTCCTCAGTGGATATGGGGAGGATGAAGGGGCAGTGGACACAACCCAGGTTTGCTATTCTTGCTCCGTGGGGGAATGCTAGCCATTTAGATTTAAGGAAGCTCGCTGGGTTACTACCTCTGCTTATAAACTCCAGATTTGTCAATAAGATGACCTTTGAAAGCATAAAAAGCCTGCAGATAAAAATAACCTCCCAGTCCCCCTCTCCTCCCCCATGTTCTTCTGGCTGGGTGAGTCAGTTTCTTATGCATCTTTGACTTGCTGATCTTGTTCCATAAAGCATCACCATCTTAAAGAATGGTTCAAATAATAAAGAGACATTTGGAATTTTCTTCCCAGCCTAAAGACTTACTCCAGAAATAAAGGTCAGTTCAGATTTGTTAACATCTGCATTAATTAGGACATCTAGCATGTCAAGTAATAAAAGCTAAAATTCTTTCTGCAACGATAAAGAATTGTATCTGGAAGACTGGGGTATGTATGCATGTGGTATTCTGAGAGTCCTTTCTTCCCATCCTTTTATATTTTGCATTCTTAAAATTAAGAAATTAAAGAGCCATAATCACTGCAGTTTAAAATATAAGAAAGAGCCCTGAACTTGGATGACCTTAGGTGGTTGCTTAGCCTCTAGCCCAGGGCTTGTCCAGGCCAACTGCACATTAGCCTCACCTGGGGAGCTTTTTAAAAGAATACTGATTCCCAGGTGCGACACCAGCTAACTGCATCAGAGCTTTGGGGATGAGACCCGAGCATCGATACATTATTTTAAAGAGCTTCCACATGGAGCATGTCCTGGTTTGAGAGCAGCTACTCTAGCAGATCTGTGTCTTCAGTTTCCTCATCTATAAACTCCCATTATCAATCAACTGGGAAGACCTTCGTGGATTAGGCTCGTCACCTTCTCCAGCCTCACCGCCATCATTCCTTCCTGTCCCGTGGCCCCCCGATTGCAGGTACACCTTGCCGCCAGCACATGCGCACACTCTCCTTTCTGCCTTGAATGCTATTTCCCCAGTTTCTTCCCATTCCAGTTCTCTGGATGAAATGACTTTCCCTGTAAAAATCCGAATCAGTGCTTCTCCCCTTGTAGAAACCCCCGTTCTCGCCAGAGTGGACATGGGCATCCTTCTCCTATGTTTCCATGATCTGTGAAGACAGGGACCCCCCGCTCTTCATGCACATCCTCCACTCCTAGCACAGGAGATGTTCAGGAAGCCTTTGCTAATGGGAGCCTTTTTTGCGTAGAATGTCTGTTTTCCCTTCTGAAGTTCTGAGCCACATTAGAGTACTTGTAAACTGTAAAGGATTTTACAAATATAAAGTGACTTAATGGCCTTTTTTTTTTTTTTTTTTCCTGAGACAGAATCTCCCTCTGTCTGCCAGGCTAGAGTGCAGTGACATAGCTCACTGCAGCCTCTGCTTCCCAACTCAGGTGATCCTCTCACCTCTGCCTCTTGAGTAGCTGGGACCACAGGTGCTAGCCACCATGCCTGGCTAATTTTTGTATTTTTTGTGGGGACAAAGTGTCACTACATTGCCCAGGCTGGTTTCAAACTCCTGAGCTCAAGTGATCCTCCTACCTTGGCCTCCCAAAGCTGGGATTACACGGCCCTAAATGACTTTTTAAATGACACTGATTTAAATGATTTCAAATGATGGTTTTTTAATAACAGCAAATGAATATTCATATATCACCTTTCTGTAATCTCTGCTTTTCTTCAAGTGAGAATATGGGGCATAGGGCTTTCTTTATTGTGCACAGCACAGTCTGGTTGCCCTCAGGGGAGATGCCGGATTGTTCCCATAGGAAGATAGGCTGTAGGGTAGCCTTAGTGCTGTCAACTGCAAAGTGACGTTCAGCTGATCAGCAGGAGCTACTTAGATGGTGTGTGCCCTGGGCAGCAGCTCCATAAAACCAAAACCTTGTCCAAATAACGGAGCTGCCCATGAACTTTTATTATGTGGACTTACCTCTCTCGAAGCCATCTGTGTGTGTGGTTTTGTGAAGCAATTAAGCTCCAGGTGTGCAATAGAAATGAAGTAGCCGCTTAATTATTTGGTGAAACAGCAGGCATTTGGGATTCAAGATTGGCTTTAAAACTTCCCAGGCTTTGTTCATGCTATTTTGTTCTTAGGAATTTTAACACAGCCTAGAGAGAAAGGGTGAATTACTATGACTACAGCCAACTGTAGGTACGATAATTTTAAAAACTCAAACTGCCCCGTGTTTAAATGAAATTATAAGAAGATCTGCCTGATTCTCTTTGGGTTATTACTACTGTGGGAAGGAGGACATTTGGGTGGGGACGTTATGTTTATGAACGGGCTGACATGTAAGCAAAATTTGGGTAGATGTGTATGTTTGGGGGAAGGAAGCCCCTCTCTCTCATCTGATTCTCAAAAGGGTCCTGTCTCCCTCCACCGCTTCACCCCCACCAATAGGAATGGAGTCTTCAGTGCTGTTTTATGTTACTTTGAAGTTGTCAGTTGTATCTAAGAATTAAAGATAGATTTTGAATAAGTTCCTTGTCATGTTACATGGCATAGAAGCAGATCCCTATCAGAGCGGGTTTCTGAATTATCCACGTTCCCTGTATCTTGTTTGCCATCATCCTGTGCGTTTGCATTTTGACCTTGACATTTCTGATGAGAAATGGCAGAGAAGTAGAAAATGAAATAAAGCAGAATGCCGAGAAACAGGGCGACCCAGGATTTCCATGTCAGGCTGTGTAGGACTGTGATGGGAACTGCCCCAAGCCCCAGAGCTGCGCAGCACGGTGGCCCTGCGTGTGCTCTGCATATTTGAGCATCTGTCCTCTATCAGGCATTATGTGTATACTTTCCTTTTTAGTTCCTTTAACAGCATTTTCAAGGCTTGGTTATCCCATTTTGCCAAGGAAAAGGGAAGACACCATGGCTTGTGTTTAAATACATTGCCTTGGGATCACACATCTCTACGTTCATTCGTGTCGCATAATCTGAAGACTGATTGACAAGGTCCCATGCTTGCACAGAGGTGGACTCACTAAACATTTGTTAGCTGTAACTTACTAGCATAGAAGACAGTTTCCAAAGGTGCAGATAGAAACTCTTATGGGACTGCACCCCATGCTTCTTTTTGTTTTATCATCTGCTTGTATGAAAGAGTTGGTTGGGATGAAGCAATCAGCTTAATTTTTTTCCCCTTACCTGTGGCTTTCAAGTATTTTGTGTTTGCTCTGCCAGCTGTTCCCAGGAATGGAGTGAAACCCTTGTTTTGTTTTTGTCTCTGTGTTTATGCTGTTGGGCTTTCATATCTTTTCATCAGCACTTCATTAATTCTTTGGTTATGGGACATGAGCAATGTATAGAGGAGTTAAAAACAGTCCCTGGCCTTCTAGGAGCTTAGAGCATTAAAAAGGAGCTTTCTGTCTTTTCAACGCCTTGGTTGTGTAATAATGTAGGTGAGTTACACCCGCTGATGGATGAGTAGTATGTTTCTTGCTGTAAAGTGGAAATAGAAAGGAATAAATGGTGAGCAGGCTTTAGGAATGTATTTGGTCATTTACTAACATTGTATATATGAGGATTTTCAGACCTGTGCTGAATGGAACTGCAAGTTTTAAGTGGAGGGGCTGCCAAAAATGAAGGCACGTGCTGCTAAGATGCTATCTGGCGGGAGGGATGGAACAGGAAAGCGGAGGTTTCTTTGGGAATGCAGTGAGTGGCCCCCTTGGGATTATGTGCACAACTTCAGAAAATATTGATTATATTTAAAAAATATTGATTTTAATGCTGGGTAATAAAGCAATACATGTTCCTATCAAAAACATTTGAACCGACAGCAACTAAAAAAAGCCACAGTTCTACCATGCAGAAGTAACCATTGTTACAAAACTTTGCTGTCTGTTTTTTTGGCATAGGGTGTTTTATTAATATTGACCTTTGCTAGAAACAACCTTTTCTCTTCCTCTCTATCCTCACACCCTCTCTCCCAGGCACTGAGAACAAGATGGTTACCAGCCAAGAGACATAAAAGCATACTCTGGCTGGCTCTATTTGAAAGATGGGGCCCAGCAGGCGAAATGTATGAACACGTAGGGGCTGTCTACTGAAGTGAGAGCTTTGACATTACGCCTTCAAATTATTCCTTTCCTTGCCTATTCTACAGAAGACTCATAAGCCTTGAGCAATTGTGTGTGGAGTTATGCTCCTGGGTGGCAACATAAATGCTAAAGTAGGAAAAATATTAGTAAAGATACAGTCTGGGCCCCAAAGAACCACATTAGAGTCTTAACTCCAATTATAGTCTTGGAAACCTGAATTCATAATTTCCTTCCATCCTTCTGCAGCCTTAGGAAGATGTAATTCTTTAATCACTTTATTTGAGAGCTTAGGAAAATAAACAGTAACAAAAAGCTGTTCAGTGGAGCTATATGGCTGCAACACACGACTGCACGGACAAAAATGTGGTGCTGAAATCACTGCTATTTTAATAATCGGTACATTTAATTCTAGCTCTTTATTATTTTAAAATAGTTTTTTGTTTCTATGTTTTTGGATGCTTTCTGCCTCCCAGATGATCTGCTGCTTCAAGTATGTGTGCTAATCAGTAGCTAATCAGGGGGACTGAAATGCTACAGGAGCATTGAAAGCTTCCTCTTTTGTTCTGGCCTCACTATTGAATAGTTTCTAATGTTCCCCCAAATAATGTTTAAAGAATTTATTAAAACACTCCCTCTCAGTCCCAGTAATAGGCCAAGAGCCAACCACACACAGAATTTGGCCACACCCTTTCCCCTGAGAGCACTGTATCTAGATTAAGATATTTATTGAGGCAAAGAGAAAGTTGGTGTTAGGTTAGGAGGTCTGGAGTGAGAAGACAGTCCGTCCATGCTGCCTTATGGGGTTGGCCTCGAGTAGTGTGGGGACGACAGGCTTTCACGTTAGTCACTTAGAGGTCACTGGGAACTGTTCCTTGGGGCCCTGGGCCACTGTCGTTTGCACGGACCCCGTGTCTCTCTCAGCCTTGGTAGCAGTCATCCAACCACATCTCTATCATCGTTCTAACCGGCAGTGAAGAGAGCTGGGCAGATGCTTTGGGAGCCCTCTTGGTTTGGTACCCAGGATGTCCGCGTATTCTTTTTGAGTGGATTGATTTCCAGGGAAAATGTTACATTATATAACAGCAGTTTTATAAACATATACAAAATGTGTTCTGTACATGTAAAAGGGTCTTGCCTTCTGACTGTGCCCTCTTGCCGGTGGCTTCATCAGCTCTTCCATCTCTGCAGGTGAAGCCACTTCTCTGCTCCGCCCAGCAGGGCCACCCTTCCCCGTCCCCTCTGTACTTTTTTTCTAAAATATAGAAAGAACAGCATTATGAATATTACTTGCTTTACCAAATGATGGTTTCAAATATATATGGGGCACTTAATGTCCAGTTTTCTTTGAAAATAGACTTCTCCAAAAATGTTGGCCTGGTCAGGCACTGAGGCTTCTGTCTTCTGTGCTGCTGCCGACTTGGGGGCTCCATGGCCTTGGAGAGTTACCCTTTAAGGGACTCCATTAATGCATCCCAAATGACAAAGCCCCTGCCTGGATGATCTCTCAGGTCTCTCCAACCCTGGAATTGGTGATCCTGTTGTTGGTCCAGACCAGCTGTCATCAACTTGGGGCCATTGCGCCATCCAGGGGACATCGAGCTGGGTCCAGAGACTGCTTTGGTTGTCATCTAATGGCATCTTGAGGAAAGAGGCCAAGGCACTGCTGATCATCCTACAAGGCATAGGACAGTCCACCCTGCCCCCAACAAAGGAACACCTGCTCAAATGTCAGTAATGCAGAGCTCATGCCAGCCCCCACCTGGAGGAGCCCTGGGCAAGTACATTGACCAGCTCCTGGCCACTTTAATGCACTTTTTTCTTTCTCTCTGTTGGACTTGTAGGGCTTTCTCTGGTCCACGTGTCACTTTCCACGTCTGTTTACCATCTGAAAGTTCTGTAGGTGAAGAGGTGGAGAAGTCAGACAGGTCTGCTTGGCAGAAACAGAGCTTCTATTGTATGAGGTTGCTGGCAAGTGAGAGAAGCCTGAAGTCAAGCCTTCTGCGGAGGTGTGGGTTTTCTGAGCCACATTAAAAATGTGTGGCTCGTTCTCTTCTCTCTGTTAGAATTTTCCTGGCAGTGACTTAGGAGCTTGGCATTTGTTTACTTTTCCATTTTGTTTATGTCTTTCTACATTCCTGGGACTTGGATTGTTGAAAGCTCAGCGTTTTCTAGATAATACTGTGCATTTAATATTTTAGAGGGGATAGAACCTAAAGAAGAGGTGTTTTGATCGTATAAACCTTTCGGGCTTTTGGGGGGAAATCAAGTCCCCAAAATGGTAGTACATTGAAAACACACAGAGGGATACTTAACTTGCCTTAAGAAGCCAGTGTTTTTATGTTTATTTAAGTGTACACGTACTCGGTGGTGTATGGCTCAGACTTCTTTAAAAAGCAGAAAGTAAAGACTGTCCTCTGAGCCAAAGCCAGGGCATGGAGGATGCGTGCAACAGCCTTGTTAATTCGGGTGACCGGATTTCTCAAACAAAACAGATCATCCTGTCTGTCGACTTTAAAATTCATGATCATTTTTTTTTTCCCCTAAGGAAACCTGATTCCTTTTAAGGAATACTTGGTGTAGACACACCTCAAAATTGACCCCGTACACAGACTGGCTCTGTACCCATTAACTTCCCTGCATAGAAGTAGGAAGCAAAAAGGAACTTTCCATGAATTGGGCTGACTTAGCTGCCACATTTTGGCACAAAAGCAGGGGCCACCAAGTTAGCTGTTAACTCTGCTCTTTAATGGAAAGCCATAATCAAACCTCCAGAATAATGGGGCAAACACGTGGAATGAACTCTCTTTCCACCACTTTTGTAAAATCTACCATGAATGGCAAGTGCCAGCTTATGCCTGTAATCTTACCCATATCAAAAAATTCTTTTCTAGCTCACATTCATTCCTCCATTTTCCCCAGTTGCTATATTTTCAACCTCCCACACTCATCTTTTTTTTCACCCCTGCCCACACCAGTGGCCAAAGATGGTCACTTTCTTTTTCCGAGAGCTGCTTCTCCCTGTCCGGGGCAGATCAGCTTTGCCACACTTCACCCTTCCTGGGCGTGCTCAGGCAAAAAGCACTGCAGCCCTCTCTCCTAGCACCAACCTAGCCTGGGTGCTAGCACTGACCAAGGTCTGGGCATTTGAGGAATTTTTACCTATAACATCGTTGTCTGGAGAGATCAAGGAAAGGCAAGGTGAAGAGCAAAGAGGAACTTCTTCAGGATCCCATTGGGGTGAGAATGGAAGCCATTAGTTCTCAGTTGTGGGATGCATTTCTCCTTGCTGAGAGATTGAGGTCGATGAGGTAGCATGGTTGATATTGATCCCTTGGGACCAGAGTAGGGGCAGGAGCAGCTCTTATCTGCAGCTGTGGGTGCTTTGAAACCAGGGGCGAGGAGAGTTAAGGTGAGTGCAATAAGCCCATTTGGGCAAGAGAGAGAGCAGGGAGTATCAGGCCCCAACGAGGAGAGCTCCTGAGCTGAGGGAGGAGGTAGTGATGTGGCAGCCTGTAGAAGTGTGGAGGTGGCCACTTGGTCCTGGTGGAGTTTTCATGAATTTTGCGGGCCCACTCTGTATGTAGCAGGCTCTGTTTTGATTGTAAAGGGAATATCAATATAATTTACCTTGATTGGTTATGCTCAACATGCACGAACCTCCAGAAACTTTATGCTGTGTGAATAAAGTCAGATACACATGATGACGTGTTGTTTGAAGCCATTTATGTGAAATGTCCAGAAAAGTCAAATCTTAGAGGCAGAAAGCTGATGTTGGGTGGTTGTCTTGGCCTGGGAGTGGGAACAGAAATTGACTGCAGACTGGCTTGAGGGAAAGTTTAAGGGTGATATGGAAATGTTTCAGAACTGGATTGTGGTGATGTTTGCACAGTCCTAGAAATGTACTAAAAAGTCATTGAACTGTATACTTACAGTAGTTGAATTTTATAGCATGTACATCTACTTCAGTAAACCTGTTAACATTTTATTTAAACTGGATTTTGTTTTGAGGCTTGTGGCGAGGGTTGAGAACCTACAAAAAGATTTATATGAGGGAACTTGGTCCTCGTTGTGTATGTTCTGGGGAACATGTTCATAAATGATGCTGTTAAGAGTTGGAACTTGTAAATTAAGTCCTCTCTGAACCTACGCCCTTAGCTTTAGTAAGCAGATGTTCCAGAGTCCCCGTTGTCGTCTTCTGAAATGCTCAACATACAAATGGCTTCATGGCTTGTGTATATAGGACATAGATTTATGTATATGGGAAAATCTCACTAACTGGGATATTTTACTTTAGCCTCAATTAGTAAAATCGATATGTGTAACAGGAGTGGAATTCTATGGAATCTCAGGGTTGGAAAGGGCTTTAAAGGTTAAGCGCCAGAGGAGGGATTCTGCAAAGAAAAACAGACAATTAAGAAATTCAAAGACTGCACTGTATTTGACTAGCTGATTGAAAGACCTGAAAGTTAATTTATGCCTCTTTGATTAGAAAGTTCCATTCATCAGAGTTCACTCGTTACTTGACCGAAGTGGTGGTCTGAGTGTCACTGCAAGCCTCCTTTTTCCCTGGTGTGTAGAAAACTCTACCTAACGGTCCTCTCTGTTTACTTTGGGAAATGCAGCAATTATTAGCGAGGTTGCTGAGAGTCACTTCAGGCCTGGTAAAAACAAACCGTGAGCTCCCTTTTCCCCTGTCCCCATGGGTAGATTCATCTTGGTGTATGACATAGTGGGGCCCGAGACCCCTCCAGCAGAAGGGTCTGCTGCTCTGCCAGACCTGCATATGGAAGCCAGTGAAATTACTGGGTAATGGAGTGTAGGACTTCCAGCTGCTTAATTGAAGGCTCTTGTTTTTACCCATATTTACTAGGGAGTTTATCTTTATGATTTTCATTCATCTAAGAACTAGGTGGGAAGAAAAATTATTTTAAAATGGTTTATAGATTATCAAGGGCTTTTGAAGTGACTTGTGCTTCTGTTTCATTCATTTATTCAGTCAGCAGACATGTACTCCTTGGGGTGTTAGGTCCAGAAAGGTGCAGATTCCGAGGTGGGTCCTGCTTTGAGATAACTCTAGGCTGGTGGAGAAGAGGGCTGCAGAGCGGTACAGGCCTGGAGCCTGGAGACACAGGAACCAGGAAAGCTACCCATTCGATGGGCACAGCCAAGGCGGTGACACGAGTTTCTTGCAGGCGGGCAGGTGCCATGATTTTAAGTGGTATCACCTTCGCAGACCAAACTGATGAACTGAGAAATTGTATGCGATGCTGATGTTTCTGTCTGAAGCCAAAAGACATTTATTTCTCACAGCTCATGCCTCCCTGTCTCTCTTCAACTACTAAAAAGTTGAGACCTTGTCTGAGCTGGGCATAAATTCATGCATAGAAAATTAACGTATTATCTGTCAGCCATTGGAACATGCTGTTCATATCTTTCCATTTAACCTTAAAGAATATAACAAAGCATGTGCCACAAAGAAATACACTTGAATTCTGCTTCCGAATCTTTCAGCCTCATCTGTCTGTGGTCTGTATTCTTTGTGTTGAGTAGAGAAGTATTAGGCATGGCCATAATGCTTTTAGCAAGAGAGAGAGAGAGAGGAGTGAAGGTTCACTGTAATTTGTGGTTGAAAGATGATAGGGGCTCAGTAAGAATATTTAAATGTGTATATATATATATATTTTTTAATTTATTTATTTTTTATTTTTATTATTTATTTATTTATTTTCCTTGGGGAAAATCCTTTCCTCATTCACTAACAACAACTTGTATTTGTCAGAGAGGATGTGATCCTAGTACTGGCTGCCATTTGGGTACTCATGCATTTAGATCAGTTTCCAACATTTTATCCCTCGCACTTTCAATGCCATGACGTATCTCTGAGAATTTCTTTCTTTTTTTTTTTTGAGACGGAGTTTCGCTCTTGTTGCCAAGGCTGGAGTGCAAAGACGTGATCTCAGCTCACCGCAGCCTCCATCTCCACCTCCTGGGTTCAAGCGATTCTCCTGCCTCAGCCTCCCGAATAGCTGGGATTACAGGCACCCGCCACCACGCCCAGCTAACTTTTGTATTTTTAGTAGAGACGGGGTTTCTCCATGTTGGTCAGGCTGGTGTTGAACTCCTGACTTCTGGTAATCCGCCCATCTCGGCCTCCCAAAGTGTTGGAATTACAGGCGTGAGCCACCACGCGGGCCCTGAGAATTTCCTTAATGTGAAAAGCTTCACTTCTTTAAGGACGCCTTCATCATTTGCATCACAACCTCTTTCCTCATTTCTGTCAATAATCCACCTTCACTAAGCTTCTCTGGCTGCACATCTAGAGTCTCTCAAAGGGCCAGTGTTGACGTTCCCCTGGTCCACTGTTTCTTCTAAAACTCCACTTAAGTTCAACTCAAATTTTACTTCTTGTATTATTACTTTCCCTTTTTTTTTTCTTGCACTTTCATCTTCATTGGCCAGTTTCCCTTTTCAGTTACCCATTTTTGTAAAATGTGATTCTGGGCGAATCACTGGGAGACAAGGAGGCAACACAACTCCACGCTTTGCTGTCTGTGTGGAGACTGAACTATCCATGTGCAGAGACCCATCTTCAGTAGACTATGAAAGAAGTGATGGGGTTGGTCACTGATCATGCATAACGTGCATCTGTATTTCATGGAGTGATGTGTAGACTGGACAGCTGATTGCAACGTTTGCGCTTTATGCAGTTACTTACAGTTAACTATGTTCTAATAACTGAAGTTTGCATTGTGTTGTTGGGAGACTGGTGTGATTTAACTAAACCAGAGTAACTGAAACTGGTGCATATCAACCATGCCAAGCTTAAACATATGGGAAAAGGAGAAATTGCCTGACCCACTCTAGTACCTTTTCTTACGAGGGGAAGAGGTGGGAGGGGACTAGCAGTGACTCAGCTTCTGTTGCATGCCCCTGTGCTAGACACTTTACATGTTCCATTTTGTAGGAAAGAAAACAGTCGAAGAGTTTTAGTCACTTGCTTGAATACAGTTACAAACGACAAGACTTAGAATTCAGGCCCAGGCCTTCCAGCTCCAAAATCTTTTTTATCTTTTTCTTTCTTTCTTTTTTGTTTTGAGAAAGGATCTCACTCTGTTGCCCAGGCTGGAGTGCAGTCGTGCAATTGTGGCCCGCTGCAGCCTCGAACTCCTGGGCTTGATCAGTCCTTCTGCCTCAGCCTCCTGAGTAGCTGGGACTACAGGTACATGCCACCACACCCGGCTAACTTTTTTTTTTATTTCATTTTTTGTCGAGATGAGGTCTCTCTATGTTACCCAGGCTAGCCTCGAACTCCTGGCCTCAAGCAATCCTCCTATGTTGGCCTCCCAAAGTACTGGGATTACAGGTGTGAGCCACCGTGCCCGGCCTCTAGCTCCAAAATCTGTGCTCTTTATACCATACCACTCTTGGAAAAGAAACAAAATATTGTGTTAGGAAAAGAGAAAGGAGTTAACATTCATTAAATATTGGGCTTGGGCCATGTCATTCTTATTCTTCATGACCACCCTCCCAGAAACCTATTATTGTCCCCATTACAAACGAAGAAACAGAGCAGAGCTGAGAAGCTCAACAGCTAACCTCGTCACAGCTGGCTAATTGTGGAGGGCTCAATGTACAAATGACAGGACAGAGATGAGAGGTCCCTCTTGACTCGCATGCTGTTTCTTAGGCTTTAGTCTTGAGTTTCATTCTGGCTTTATGATTCCGCAGATTAGAAAGCCGGAGAAAGCAAAGGATGAGAGGTTTACCTATGAAGTTGATTGAATGCGTTTTTCTCAGAAGGCAGTTTGGGTTGATATGAAGTCATTGATTTTTGAATTAGGTTGAGAATTTTTTGAAATGTATTGGAGGTTGAATTCTAATACCTCACACAGATTCTGTTATGGATGGAGTTGACAGAACTAATACCTAATGAAAAGTGGCTCCTCCTGAAACGCGTCCCTTGCCCCGGTTTCCCCCACCACCCCAGCCTTCCTTGACCTCTGACTTGCCCATCTCTGTCTCGTGGGCTGTGAGCTGGTATCTCCTGCCCAGCCTTGTGGGTGTCCCGAGGTGGTGTCGTGAGTCCTGTTCACACGCTACAGGCCTCGAGTCTTTGAGATTTCCACCGCAGGCTCACAGCGCGTTCATGTCGGTGCCTCTTCATCAGCTCCCTCCTTCTCCCGAGGCCACACCAAGTCTCAAGTCCCCTTGTATTTCCTGCTAAATAAATATTTTCACATCTGTTTCCTCCTGTTTATCTCTGACTCTGCTGCTTTGTTTAGATCTTTGCAATTACTAACTGGAAATAATGAAGCCTCTCCGGTCCCTTACGTTTCTGTCTTTCTCCCTCCAATATTATCTTACTCTCTGCCAGAGTTTCTAAAGCCCAAATTTGATAATGTTACTCTTTTGGAAAAAAAACTATCAGTGACTTTTCATTGCTTGCTGGATAAAGTTCTTAGTACTTAGCAAGGCACGCAAGATCGTTTACAATCTGACGGCAGCCTAGCTTCCTGCCTTATGTTCCTTAGCCCTTGAACAGGCTGCCCCTGGCCTGGACTGCCTGCCCCCCTCCGCCCGCCCCCACTCTCTCTCTTTTTTTTTTTTTTTTTTTTTTTTTTTTTTTTGCTAAATGCAGCTCCAAGGGTTTCTTGGACTGTGAAACCCACGGAATTTATCCTAGCCTTTTTTCCTCCTGTGGCTCCACAGCACATGCATTCCTTGAATATAGCACGTATCACATTTGACTTTGTTTACGTGGTTTTTCCCAAAGGATTGTGTTGAGACCTTGAGGATGATAACTGTCCTATCTGTGTTAATCAGGTAGTAGGTGTTCAGCAAATATTCAGTGAATCGATTTCAAGGTCACCGCTCTTCTCGTGCTCCCTCAGGGGCACGTGGGGCCTGAGTGCCAGGGTTATGAAGGGCGTTCTTTGTAGGTCCCGTAGCTGAGACTGACAAACGTGGTACCCCCTTAGGTGGTGCAGCGAATGCATCACCTGAGGAAGGGGAATGGACGAAGATAGAAGATGAGGTCAGAGGCTGGAGCCGCTGTCCAGGACAGCCTGACGAGCCACATGCACTGGACGGCACCTGAGACATGGCTCCTCCAGACTAGAGTGTGCTGGATTTGCCTGAGACACACTCAATTTCAAAGACTTAACAACAACAACAAAGAATGTAAGATAACTCAGTGTTTTATCTTGAAGTTTTAATATGTGTAATTTTATTTTTTGTTTGTTTGTTTTGAGATGGGGTCTCACTCTGCTGGCCAGGCTGGAGTGCAGAGGCGCAGTCTTGGCTCACTGCAACCTCTGCCTCCTGGGTTCAAGTGATCCTCCCGCTGCAGCCTCCCGAGTAGCTGGTACCACAGGCATGCCACCACCATGCCTGGCTGATTTTTTGTATTTTTGGGGTTTCACAAAAACGGGGTTTCACCACGTTGCCCAGGCTGGTCTTGAACTCCTGGGCTCAAGTGATTTGCCCACCTCAGCCCCCCACCAAAGTGCTGGGATTACAGGCGTGAGCCACTATGCCCGGCCAATAGGTATAATTTTATATTATAAAATATTAGACATAATAATTTAAAGTGATCTTTATAAATTCACATGATCTTGTTGGCAATTTTGAAATGGATCATTTTAATATGTTAAAGTGATAATATTTTGGACCTATTAGATTACATAAAATATATTAATATTAATTTTAAGAGGCCTTTTTTTTTTTTTTTTTTTTTTTTTTTTTTGGAGACGGAGTCTCGCTCTGTGGCCCAGGCGGGAGTGCAGTGGCGCAATCTCGGCTCACTGCAAGCTCCGCCTCCCGGGTTCACGCCATTCTCCTGCCTCAGCCTCCCGAGTAGCTGGGCCTACAGGCGCCCACCATCACGCCCGGCTATTTTTTTTTTGTATTTTTAGTAGAGACGGGGTTTCACCGTGTTAGCCAGGATGGTCTCGATCTCCTGACCTCGTGATCCGCCCGCCTCGGCCTCCCAAAGTGCTGGGATTACAAGCGTGAGCCACCGCGCCCGGCCAAGAGGCCTTTTTTTAAACTTTTTAAAATATGGCTACTAGAAACTTTTAACTTATATTTGTAGCTCATATTCTATTTCTCCTGGACAGAGATGGGATAGAGAGAAGCTGTAGGAAGCAGAAGAGGCTGGTGCGAGATGGGAGACTTCCATGCTTAAAAAATGCTTAAAAAAGAATAAAAAGTGGAACGAAAGGAGGGAGGAGTTGCCATATTTGGCAGAACAAGGAAGGCAGAAACTGCCAAAAACAGCAAACGCCGTCAAGGCACTGTTGAGGGGTTAGGTGATGCGGAACTGTGCCTGTGTAGGCAACAGCCCCTTACCCCAAACGGACAAACTCGAAACGGTGGGTGAACGCTTGCATTGTTTTCCCTTGTGACAAAGCCATTCCCGTGCACTTTAACACAATGGGAGATACAGCAAAAAGGGGAAAATATATTCCGCATCTGTAATCCTGGTCTTCAGAAGTAATCCCCATACACTTGGGATACTGTCCTCTCTCCGACCTCTTCCTCTGTCTGTGTGCGTTGATGTCTGGTTTTTACGCCGATGGGACCATCCTCTCTCTCTCTATTCCTCCAATCTGCTCTTTTGTTCCACTTAATAGATTACATGTTTTTTTTTTTTCCCATAATAGGCTTAAGTGTAAGATAATCTCGATGGCCTTCAGGGAAATAAAGACACAGAATGACGATGACTTCCACAGTGCAGCTTGCTTGCCTCCCCTTCCCGACGGCAGCTTTGACAGTCCTAGACCGGATCCCATCACTCCAGAGAGGCAGGTCGCCTCTGTGCCTCCCCAGGAATGGTTCCTTTGGTGGAGTTTCCTAAATACCATGGCTAAACCCCTCCCTCCTCTGAAGGGTTATAGCCACAGCCTGAAATAAATCTGTACATCAGTAATTAGGCATCACAAAGATGACACAGACATCCTCATCATCCACACAGCTGTGCTTATGCCCAGGTGCATCTGCCTTCATGTGGCCCAGAGCACATTAGATTGAAGAATTTGAAACTAGGAATTTAAATATTCCAATCTTAGTGAAATTTTCAAAAATGGCTATTTTGCTAATTTATAAAGTCTGAAATGTGGAGGTTTCGAGTTGACATTTGGAGATGGGGTAGATATCAGTTACAAGTGTGAACACTTGGTAGATTTTAGAGGATGGGATGAAACTCGTGGGCTGTCCAGTTGAAGGTGTTGTGTGACTGGTGGTGGTGGGTGGTGGTGGGTGGTGTGGGCCAGGATGTTGATTTGTTTCAAAGAGTAACTTTATCCCCTAAGAAAGACAGTATTTTTGAGTACACTCAAATTGTTTATTGAGATTTGATTTTATTTGTCTTAAGTTTCCTGTTGGAGATGAATCTCAATATATCCTTCCTCCTGCCCCCTTGCAGAGAGAAGCTCTTTGGAAATGCAGGGTCAGAGTCCCCTTCCCCATTACCTAAGAAGGAGAGGTCAAAGGGCATAGCAATAGCATTCCCAGAAATTGTTAGGGTTCATGGAGCAGGAAACAGGCTCTATCTGTGGGAAGTTTGTGAAAGGCAAGGGAGGTAGTAAGGAAATTCAGTGGAAAACTGGGTTAAGGACCTGTTGCTTCTTAGTAATCATTAACTTCTTAGTTACAGCAGAAACAATCACACTTACAAATTAACAGCAGCACCACTCTTGATTGAACTTTCACTGTGGCCCTGGTGGCCTAATGTATCTATTGTGATATTTTTCATGTTTACTGCAAACCTGCAAGCTTCAGGAAGTTATCCTCATTTTGCACATGGGAAACTGAAGCCCAAAATGATCAGTACTATGTCAAAGTCCCATGGCTAAGGAATGACTGAGTGGGATTTAATCCCAGGTTTTTTTTGTTTGTTTGTTTCCTCTCCCAAAGGAAAGCAGTTGCCAAAGTACTAGCAGGTCTGTGTGTGACTCCCTCTCCCACCTCCAGCCCTGGTTTGCTTCCTGTTAGGGCAATGAATTTTGGCCTTTTAAATATTTTAGTATCTTTTAATTTCATGACATACTCTCTTCATCCTTTCCTGCCAGTTGAGAGCAAGGAAAATCGGCAGATAGCAAATCAGGGTGCTGTGTGTGTGTGTGCATGTGCGTGTGTGTGTGTGCACACACGTGCACACGTTGGGAAAGTGGTGGCTTTTCAATGCAATCCCAGCCGTATTCTGGTTGGTGGCCCTTTCTTACACTTTAAAAATCTTATCCTTCTGGAGAAACTTTAAATAAAGTAAGAGCCTTTGAAATTCTCCTAGAGAGAACTCGTACTTTCAAAAATAAACTTTGATGAGCAGGAATGGCTACCGTAATGATGGGTTTGCCTGCCTGCAATGTAACTGCTGTTCTTTTATTTCGTTTTGTTTTTTTTTGTTGTTTTTTGTTTTTTTTTGAGACGGAGTCTCGCTCTGTCACCCAGGCTGGAGTATAGTGGCACGATCTTGGCTCACTACAACCTCCGCCTCCCAGGTTCAAGCAGTTCTCCTGCCTCAGCCTCTGGAGTAGCTGGGATTATAGGCACCTACCACCATGCTTGGCTAATTTTTGTATTTTTTTAGGTAGAGACAGGGTTTCACCATGTTGGCCAGGCTGGTCTTGAACTCCTTACCTAAGGCGATCTGCCTGCATTGACCTCCCAAAGTGCTGGGATTGCAGGTGGTAACTGCTTTTTTTTTTTTTTTTTTTCTTTGAGACGGAGTCTCGCTCTGTCGCCCAGGCTGGAGTGGAGTGGCGTGATCTTGGCTCACTGCAAGCTCCACCTCCCGGGTTCATGCCATTCTCCTGCCTCAGCCTCCCTAGTAGCTGGGACTACAGGCGCCCGCTACCACGCCTGGCTAATTTTTGTATTTTTAGTAGAGACAGGGTTTCACCGTGTTAGCCAGGATGGTCTCAATCTCCTGACCTTGTGATCTGCCTGCCTCGGCCTCCCAAAATGCTGGGATTACAGGCGTGAGACACTGCGCCCAGCCAGTAAATGCTATTTTTAAGGTGGTCATAGCTCAGTTTGCAAGGTGCATGTTTGTGCTTCAAACTGTAAGTATTCAAGATAGAGAAAAGATGGATTTATTCTAGCATTTCAGTTTTAATTTTGATGATACAAGAAATTCATAATGCTTCCCCCCCCACCGGAAAAGAGGTCAGTATAGCTCAGTGGAATAATTAGTACACCCAGCTGGGGCAGAGCTGTTTTTTAAAACTAGGAGGCTTTAGAAGATGGGGACATTATTTATAAGAAAAAATTTGAAGCATCTCTTACATCAGTTTATAAGCCTCTCCTGCATAAGAACCATCACAACAGAGCCGCGGCGTTTTCTTGAGTCACTATAGAGGCCGTGTGCACAGGGCGCTCTGCCTTCTCCCTCAGCTGGGCTCACTGGCTTACCCGAGGTCTTTACAGTGCGGCTTCTGACTTTATCACAGACATAATTTGGCTAAAGAGGGCAGGAGGAGAAGTGGGCCAGGGTTTTCTTTCATGGGCTACTCCAGAAGTCAAGCTGTTTTAGGTTGAACTGTGCTCCCTCCAAAATATGTTGAAGTCCTAAGCCCTGTGAATGTGACTTAATTTGGAAGCAGAGTCCTTACAGATGTAATGAAGATGTAAGTTAAAGTGAAGTCACTCTGGAATCGGGTGGGTCATAATACACACACACACACACACACACACACACACACTCACTCGAATCGGGTGGGTCATAATACACACATACACTCTGGAATCGGGTGGGTCATAATACACACACACACATACACTCTGGAATCGGGTGGGTCATAATACACACACACACACACACACACACACACACACTCTGGAATCGGGTGGGTCATAATCCTCCCCTTCCCCCAAACACACACACACACACACACACACACCTGCACAAACGTGCAGGCCCAGGGAGAAGGCCGTGTGATGATGGGGGCAGAGACTGCAGTGCTGGAGCCACAAACCCAGGAGCGGGATGCCAGGGCTTGCCAGCGCCACCAGGAGAGGCATGGAGCAGATTCTCCCAGAACCTTCAGGAGGAACCGGCCCTGCTAATGCCTTGACCTTGGACTTACTGGCCTCCTGAACTGTGAGAGAATAAACTTCTGTTCCTTTAAGCCACCCATGAATGGACCTTTGTCCCTAAGAAACTGATACTCAAGCCAGCTACCTAAGGCTGCTGTTGGACTTACTCTCTATGATAGCTAAGGCTCCCCTCGCAGCCCCAGCTGAAAGATTTTTGCTTTGGTCTGCTAGCCTTTTTAGCATGAGTCTATCGTCATTCCTTTAGAGAAAAAAAATGCGGAAGAAGTAACATGGCACAACACTGGGAAGGGATCATAGGGAAGGACCTGCCAGCCGCCTCCTCATCTCGGCCCGCTCTTTGCTCACCTCCTCGCCCCACAAGAGCGCCTGTGATAGCCCACTTTTAGGAAAGACTAGACTTCGAGAAAAACCCACCACCTTGCAAGTCATCATCATCTAAACAAAGACTGGGTTTAGGATGAGGGTCCCATCCTCACGGCTCACTCACCGTTTGGCAGGTTGCCAAGGCTGCCCAAGCTACAGGTCCCTCTTGTGTAACACGGATTGAGCTGGGTCCAAGCTCAGGCATGTAGGGAGAAGAACGTGTGTGCGGATGGGTACAGGTGCAGGCAGGGAGGCTTGGGGTTGAACACTAGATCTTACGTCAGTGTTTGACATGGAGCCAGTGTTATAAGTCACATTCTTCTTGGTGAGAAAGTGAAAGTAGCAAACATTTTCCTGAGATCCTACTATATACCTGGCATTCTGCTGGTTAGCAACATTTATTATATTTTATGTCTTTTTTTTTTTTTTTTTTTTTTTTGAGATGGAGTCTTGCTTTGTCGCCAGGCTGGAGTGCACTGGCGCAATCTCGGCTCACTGCAACCTCCGTCTCCCGGGTTCAAGCGATTCTCCTGCCTCAGCCTCCCGAGTAGCTGGGACTACAGGCGTGTGCCACCATGCCCAGCTAATTTTTGTATTTTTAGTAGAGACAGGGTTTCACCATGTTGGCCAGGATGGTCTCGATCTCTTGACCTCATGATCTGCCCGCCTCGGCCTCCCAAAGTGCTGGGATTACAGGCATGAGCCACCGTGCCCAGCCTATGTCATCTTGTTATTCATTTTATAATTTCAAGACGGCTCAAAAAAGAAAGAGGTGGGGAAATGTTTGTGGTGGAATCCTGGGTAGTTTGACATGACAGCAGAATTTGCTTAAAGCAAATTAAATGAAATCAGCCAGGCCCTGCAAATTGCTGTCTCCTTTTTGAGGCAATTAGACCCCACGAATAACCCAGCTCTTGTGGTCCTGCGGGACGCATTTCCCAGAGCACCTCTAGGGAAATAGGATGAGCCAATTAAGGAAGAGAGGGGCAGACCGATTGTCCTTATTGTATGTATGTATTGTTGGGAGGAGCTTTGTGTTTGCTTGGGACTCGGATTGAAGATAGCAGATGGTTCAAAGACTTGGAGTGGAGAAGGTTGGAAAAACACCAGGACCCTGTGTGGGCGAGAGAGAAGCTAAAACACCCAGAGCTGGGAGGCCAAGTCATGGATGGCCAACAGGACAGCGCTCCCAGGGCTCCTTAAATGGCTCTTTGGGCCTTCTCAGATGGTTACACAATAACAATCGACTGTGAGTTAAAGATGAAATTTTGTTCATTTGTTTGTTTTTTAAAACAGGGTCTTGCCCTGTCACTCAGGGTGGAGTGCTGTGGTGTGATTCTGGCTCACTGCAGCCACAGTACACCTCAGCCTCCTGAGTAGCTGGGACCACAGGCACATACCACCATGCCCAGCTGTTTAACGTTTTTGCTGAGACAGAGATCTCACTATATTGCCCAAGCTGTCTCGAACTCCTGGGCTCAAGCAATGCCCCGCCTCTGCCTCCCAAAGTGCTGGGATTACAGGTATGAGCACCCCTCCCAGACAAGGATGAAGTGTTTTATGCGAAGATGGTCCATTAAACCAGCTGATGTGTTATGATCAAGCACTTATCTAAATTTTCCTGAACTTTACAACTCAAGTTACTTGTGCCCGTTTGTCTCCACTCCTAAAGGAGTTTCAGGAGATAGATGTGAGAACAGGTGGCCTTTCATGAAAGTGCCATGTGCAGTAGGAAAAACCAGGCTGTGTCTGGGAAGGCTGAGGAGTGCAGCAGTGGGTGGAGACGGCCGTGCTTAGGAGCTCACATCTGCTCGCTCTTCCTTCCTTCGCCTCGTGGTGTCCTGGAAAACAAAAGATGCAGAGGAGACTGTGAATGCTTGAGTCACTGCAGTGAGGAGACTTCAGAATTCACTGGTGGTTTTCTGAGTCCCAGCCCAGCAGTAAGAGCAGTCGGGCAGTAAGAAATTTCTTGCCAATTTCGCTTCCAAAGGTGAGTTACAATTGTGATCCTCAAATAAAATAGCTCCTAGAACTTCACATTTTTCAGCGTCTTATTGTCATTGATAATCTTCAGTGGTTTCAGATGTTCAGGCCTCTCCCTCCTATGGACAGTATCACCAGTGCCTTCCAACAGTGACACTGAAGTGCGGCTTATGTCATGGACCCGGGGAATGCGGAGGAATCTGTCACATGAGACGGTTTCGGCTGGAGTATGTCAACCCTCATGGTTGCTGTTGAATTTGTTTGTGAACATTTGACTGCAGGCTGCTCTCATTCAGTGTGTGTCAACCCTTGTCTCAGGAAGGTGCTGAGCTATTTTTAACAGTAGAGTGAAGAGCTACCGCCTTGGCTCGAACCAGCTGTCCCCTACTCTCAGATGTGGACTCCCTAAAAAAGTCATAACACCATTAACAAGCAAAACCCCTAGCCAACAGGGGGTTCCTGTTGGCAGTCAGGCACTGCTGGAAGTTGTTTCCTTGTGAAAAACTATTTAATCTCCATGAGAATCCTGCTAGGTAGTTCTTGGATCATCCCAAATTTTGTAGATGTGGAAACAAAGGCATAGAGAGGTTAAAGAACTTGTTCCAGGTCACACAGCCCATGCGTGGCAGATCCTCTGCAGCTCCTGGTGCACCCTGCAGACACAGGACCCGGAGCCCCCTCCCCATCCAGGTGAGGCCCATTGCCCTGGAGAGCTCAGCCTCCAGCAGCCATGCCTTTGGGGTCCCACCTCTTTCGCCTTGGGGGTCTCCCAAGTCATCTTCATCCTTGCGTTGTAACACAGCTAAAGTTTTTATTTGTAACTAGTGGATGCCAGAACACTGCGTTGCAAGCATGTGTATAGCTTTACCCAGTGATTCCGTCATGGGGAGATTTTGCCGAAATGAGTCTTGTCCCCTTCAGTTGGTTTGAGCAGCCACCGCTGTGATGGAACCAGAGATAACACCAGGCCTGACATTTGAGGGTGTGTGTAGGTAGGTTCTTTGTGAAGAATTAACTCCCGCTCAGAAGCAACCAGTTGGAAAGCAAATAGGGGTGCTTTTCACATCCCACTTTGGTTACACGTTCTCAGTAGGTTAGGAAAGTTTAGGAAGGAACACCTGTGAGGCTGATTCTGAAATCACCCCCAGAATTACAGTTTTTGCAAGTGTAGGGCTTCCTTTTGGAGAACAAGCAGCTCCATGCTCAGCACACAGACACACACAGCCATGTGGAGTGCAGGGCGACTTCTCTCTGCTTCCAGCTGCCACTCCCTATTTCTAGCGTTGCTGCCAAGAAGATGGGTTATTAGTTTGGCCAAAGCTAATCCTAAAGGAAATTGCAGGTACCAGAGAGAGAGAAGGGAGAGCAAGAGAGATTTCAAACATGAAATCTCATTTTTAAAAATTGCATGTGTGGTTTTGTTTGTTTGATTTTAGAGCTGGGGTCTTGCGCTGTCACCCAGGCTGGGGTGCAGTGGTACGATCATAGCTTACTGCAGCCATGAACTCCTGGGCTCAAGGGATCCGCCTGCCTCAGCTTCCTGAGTAGCTGGCACAGCCACTTGCCCACACAACTAGCAAATGAAACCCCATTTTGGGTGGTCTCCTTCCTTGTTTTGAACCGGAGGCATTGACTCCATAAGTATATTTGAAAATGGAAATTTGTCCTGACGACAAAATCCCCTTCCTTATAGTCCAAGACCCTTTCCAGCTGAAAAGGTGATTGGTTGCTATCCACTTGTTATCCAAAGAAGGTAAAGATGGGGTTTGAGTTTTTAATTGATTCCCCTCTGTCTTTTGCTGTAAGTGGCTCCATACCACTTAGGTGGGGCTGTCATAACCACACGTCACTGACTGGATGGCTTAAACAACAGAATTGTATTTGCTCACAGTTCTGGAGGCTGGAAGTCCAAGATCAAGGTGTTGGCCAATTCCAGTCCTGGTGAGGGCTCTCTTCCTGGTTTGCAGAGGGCCGCCTCCTTGTAGTGTCCTTTCATGGCAGAGAGAGAGCAAGCAAACTCTGGTGTCTCCTCCTCCTTTCTTTCTCTCTCTCTCTCCCTCCCTCCTTTCCTTCCTTCCTCTCTCCTTCCTTTCCTTCTTTCCTTCCTCTCTCCTGCGTTTCCTTCCTTCCTTCCTCTCTCCTTCCTCTTCCTCATCCTCCTCCTCCCTCTTCATCTCCTTCTTCCTCCTCCTCCCTCTTCATCTCCTTCCTTCCTTCTCCTCCTCCTTTTTTTTTTTTTTTTTTTTGAAACAGGGTCTTGCTTTGTTACCCAGGCTGGGTGCAGTGGCACAATCATGGCTCACAACAGCCTCAAGCTCAGCTCCCACCTGAGCTTCCCAGGTAGCTGTGACTACAGGCATGCACCACCACACCTGGCTAATTTTTGTATTTTTTTTTGTGGAGATATGGTCTCCCTGTGTTGTTCAGGCTGGTCTCAAACTCCTGAGCTTGCAACCTGCACACATTGGCCTTCCAAAACACTGGGATTTCAGGCATGAGCCACCACTCCCGACTATCTCTTCTTCTAAGAACGTGAATCCTATTGGATCAGGGCGGCATCGTTACGACCTCATTTAACCTTAATTGCTGTATTTCCTTACTTTAACCGTGGCCACACACAGGGTTAGGACTTCGACCTGTAAATTTGGATGGGGCACAGTTTAGTCCATAGCAGTGTCAAAGCTGCCATCTCACTTAATCAGGGAAGATGTGACCAAGGATGAGAGCCACAGGCTGCCCTGAGGCACCCTGGCATCTCCCTGGTAGAAGTGGCCATTGCTTTCCAGGGCTGCCGCACTTTCTCCATTTGACCTTGCATGGCGCCAGGTTGGGAGGGAGAGCTGGTTGCCCAGACTGCCACCACCCCACCCAGCAGTCTGCCTTCTCTTTGATGTCTTTTGCTGTCTGCCCTGTCTCTCTGGAGCTCCTGGCCCCTCCCTCCTGTTGTAGGCAGTAGGCAATGGGGCTGCCCTCACTTGTCTGTGTGCCTGGTGGCGTTTGTATCTTTCTGGAAAGTATGCGTGTTTCATTTATGCATCTGTGTGAAATACAAGACATATATGTCTTCATATGTACCTGTTGCTTCCTTTGGAGCTTAGTTTTTTCTTGTTTTTTTTTTTTTTTTTTTGTTTGTTTGTTTTGACAGGATCTCATTCTGTTGCCCAGGCTAGAGTGCAGTGGCAGGATCTCAGCTCACTGCAGCCTCGGCCCCCTGGGCTAAAGCAGTCCTCCCGCCTCAGCCTCCCAAGTAGCTGGGACCACAAGTGTGCACCACCAGCCCCGTCCAGTTTTTGTTTATTTTTTGTAGAGATGGGGTGTTGCTATGTTGCCCAGGCTGCTCTCAAACTCCTAGGCTCAAGCAGTCGACCACCTGGGACTCTCAAAATGTTGGGATTACAGGTATGAGCCACTATACCTGGCCTGAAACTTTGTTTTTAAATAGTAAAATACTTGGAAGGGAATAATATAATTTATTATAGAAAATAATCAGTTCGTCAGCCAGGTGCAGTGGCTCACGCCTGTAATCCCAGCACTTTGGGAGGCTGAGGCAGGCGGATCACAAGGTCAGGAGATCGAGACCATCCTCGCTAACATGGTGAAACCCCGTCTCTATTAAAAATACAAAAAATTAGCCAGGCGTGGTAGCAGGCACCTGTAGTCCCAGCTACTCTGGCGGCTGAGGCAGGAGAATGGTGTGAACCCGGGAGGCGGAGGTTGCAGTGAGCTGAGATTGCGCCACTGCACTCCAGCCTGGGCAACAGAGCAAGACTCTGTCTCAGAAAAGAATGAGTTCACAGCCTCCATTTATCTCTCTTCTTCCCCTTCATAAATGTATATGAAATATAAACCCACAGTAGAGCATGTGGATTCTTATTTTGTCAGGATCAAATTGTTTTTATTTTCCTCAAATAACTTGGTATAATCTGCCATTCTAGTAGATTTATAGCAAAACCAAGTCCAGTCTTTATCTTTGAAATCTGGATACCTACAGTTGCTGGGGGAAAAAAACAACAGACTTTTTTTTTTCTTGAAAATAAGTTGGAAAAAAAGTTAAAAGTGTGTTTCTGAATTAGGTATTACTTCTTCGGTTATAAATGAAGAACAACCTTGAGGTAACTTAAGCAGAAAAAGGAAATTGATCCTCACATTATGGGGGTGTCTGAAACACCCGGGGTGGAATGTAGCTGAGGATGGTGAGGTTACGTGAGCCAGGCCTGTGTGGTCAGACACCCTGTCTGTTTTCCTCCCGGGCTAGCTCTTCGGTGCCTGCCGTCTTCCCTTCATCTGCAGACCTGCATGCTTAGTGTCTCCAGGCCTCTTGGAAGATGCCCATTCTCATACGTGGGCCTGGAGTCAAGGCTCACAAGGAGAGAGAAAATTATTTTATCAGTTGTAGTTCCAGGTTCCTGAAAAGGTACCTGATCGGCCCAGGTGTGCTCAGGACTCCCTCTGTCCCTGCCCCCTACTCTCCGTACAATCTGGATGTGCGTGTCTTGCTGCCAGGTATTCGTACTATTATAGTTTTACCCAGTTTGCCCGTCACCACTTGGGAATAACACCTGTGCCTGTCCTCACCTATGTGAAGCTGTAGTTTCAAAATCATCTTTGGATGACTAGAATGAACTAGAACCAAGAACAGGTACTCACTTCTCCTTTAACCTCTTTATCCCTAGCAGCAGATAACATAACACCTCATGGAGATACTAAGGTGGTTTCTTAAGTCAGATAAGAATGAACAGATTTAACTTGCTTTTTTGGTATCCATGGACACCTTAGACTGTTAGAAAACTCTCAGGATTTGTTGGAATTTAAATTGTAAACAAAACTGTTTTAAAGCATTTATTCTGAACACCTCCAACAATGGTATCTTCAACAGTGATCTTCAAACTGGATACCATTCTTATCTTCTTTTCCAAAAAGCCTCCCAAAGGTTGGGCCCTGTGGGTTGATATGAGCTGCCAGACGAGATCCGGTTTAGATAGACACAGTTAGACAATTGCTGTTGTTGGCATGTTCAGGATTAGAGCCCTATCTCCTCCGAGTCACTCAGAAGGCCCGGAAATCTAAATGTAAAACTGGAGCTGTTGTTCACTCCCCGAGAGACACCTCCAGTTTGAGAAGGTGCAGGTGACCCTCGCAGGTGCCTTTCAATGTCTGTGACTCACGAACTGGGAGTCTTTGGGTTATGGAAGAAGAACGTGATGGTAACTTGTCATCACCACCTTTGACGTTGTTTGAAGCTATGATGTGTGAGTGTCCCCATGGCTGTTGGTCTTATTCAGCCATTGGATTCAGACAAACCCTCCAGGACTCTTGGTCTTTCCAGAAGAGCTGAGCTGTCACCACTGACCTTGTGGAATGGAGGATCCCACTCTCTCTTTTCGCTTGTATCCCCTGTGACCGAAACTGAGGATCCCATTTGTTTCTGTGGAGTCGTGGAGAAACTCAGCCGGATCATCTCATGGCCAATGAGTTAACTTGTTGAAAGTCTTGAGTCCAGGCTTGACTAAAGCACACTTGAGTTACATATCAAAGCGTGAAGTTAAACCCACGCTTAGACAAATGGTTGTGTCTGAAAAAGGTTCTAAGAATTGAAAACAGCTTCAGGGAAAGGACAAAAATCACCATCTGATTATCCAGGGTTGTGGTATGTCATGCTCTTTAAGTGACAGATAGACTGCTAGATTTATGGCCAAAGTAGCAATACCAGAAGACATTCCAGGGGGATGATGACCTGATGCCATTGCAGAAAAGAAACACTTTAATATGGAGGCAGAGACAGAAGGCTCTGTGACAAATTACCTGTGCGTGCTAAACGGGTGCTTCTTCTGTGAAATCAGTTAAGGGAAGCCTCTTGGCCTCATATGACTTTTGTATTTTAGCTACTTAGTCATTAAAAGAAAACCATAGCTCTTTGAGCATTGTTATTTGGAAATTTTATGGAATAGAAAAATGTTTGATAATATTAATCATCTGAGAGAATTTGATGTCACCACCTTCCAGCCTGGGCTTTGGATTTGAGCAAACTTGAGTTGAAATCTTAGATCTGCCACGTAATAGCTGGGGCAGTTATCAACCTTCCCTGCTCTTCAGTTTCTTCCTCCAGTACTTCCTGGTGGGGTTTCTGTGAGGGTTAAAATGGGTATTGTTTGATTGAAAAGTACCTAGCACAGGGCCAGGAGCGGTGGCTCACGCCTTTAGTCCCAGCACTCTGGAAGGCCGAGGCTGGCGGATCACCTGAGGTCAGGAATTCGAGACCAGCCTGGCCAATGTGGTGAAACCCTGTCTCTACTAAAAATATAAAAATGAGTGGGTCATGGTGGCAGGTGCCTGTAATCCCAGCTACTCCGGAGGCTGAGACAGGAGAATCACTTGAACCTGGGAGGCAGAGGTTGCAGTGAGTGGAGATTGCACCATTGCACTCTAGCTTGGGTGACAAGAGTGAAACTCCGTCTCAAAAACAAACAAACAAAAAAATGTGCCTGGCATAGGACTTAGGAGAGAGTCAGCACCACCTGAAAGGCACTCCAGGAAAAATACTGGCAATGTGAAGGATTGTTAGTGACATGATGCCACTTCCAGGGTGAACACCAGCCTAGCTCCAGCCCAAATCCACATGCTTCTGGGAGCACTGGGATTTGGACTGCAGTTCATCTTGCTTGCAAGAGCCACCATGCTGCACCATCATCCCTCTCACTTGTCAGTGCTCCTTAGCCGTCAGTGCTCCTTAGCCGAGTACAGTTCTGACTGCCATGCGACCAAGACCCGGAGCTTACATGCTCCTTATTGGAAACAGAAGGAAAACTCTTGTGTGATAGGAAGAAGGCACTGAGTAGAGGCTGTTCCCCGGGAATTATCCAAGAATCACAGCTCAGCCGAGGACTTTCTGGTACTGTGCATTTCAGATTTTAAATTTCACGGTTATAATAACCATCTTGCACAAAGGCAGCCGAAACCCAACCAACTGAAAACACGGGCACACACATACCGTATATACCACGCATACATGCATGTCAGCCACACACAGATGATTTGCCTAGAAATTTGTTTCTCCAGACCTTTTGGCAGAATAGCTATTTGTCATGGGAGAGGGAGGAAAATATTTGCATTCGTAATAGGAAGAGTTTATGGTTGTGAATAAGCTCATGTTTGAAAAAACAGTAATATTAGATATATGGTTGCTGGCACTACACAATTGCAGGATGTAATAGTGGCTACTAACATTAAACATTACTTAAAATTACATGCATTATAGAAATGGGGATATTTATCTCATGTTTAATGATCCGTGGTGAAAGGATTTGTTGCTTACAATCCTTAAAATGATCAATATATTATTTTAACACTTTTAAAAGGGAGTTGGTTTTTTGGTTGTGAGTTAGGAGCAGTTGTCATGCACATATTTTATAATAAAATTTTAGATTTGTTGCCACAGTTTCATTAATATATTTAAGCAGGTGTGCCCAGGTAGTGGAATCAGAAAGGCAACTCGATTTTATTTAAAATATGGTTCAAGTGGTCTCTGTAATGAGAAATTCACATGGCTTTTTTTTTTTTTTCTAATGAGTTTCCTGCTGGCTTCGGAGATGTGGTTGTTTACAGTAGAAGTATTTTTTTTTTCCATTTGAGGCTTCCATTATTATTATAAGATCAATAATAAATACACTGAATTTATGTCTGTTAAATATTTTTAGCCTGCTCCTAACACATGAAAATATTACATACCTGTTTTGATCTATTTGTATTCTGTTCCTTCCAAGTTTTTCTATTTTAAAGGAAAATTCTTGAAGGCCACCTTTTAAGGTTTCTCTAATTGGCACATCTCTGGTCATTAACTTTTTACTTTTAAAGGAGAGCAGAAAGACAGATTGTAAAAACAAAAAGTAGATATCTAGTTTATTTTGCTACTTGATAAGAAAAAAATCTCCAATTCTTGCATACTATTTGCAGTTAACTTTATTCAGCCTTTAGAGGAAAATGTCTCTTCCTTTCCAGAATTCAAGCCCCATAATTTTGTCTTCCTGTTGAGTGTCAACAATTTTTTTAAAGCCTATATGAGGAAGCTAACTTCCGAGCAATTAAGTACTCAAGAACCAGAATTGAATTTAGTCATTTTTATATTTATAACTAATACACATTTTGAGTTTCATCACAACTTGAACTATGTCTGAGGAGTTGCACATGAAGGATTTTATTACTTGATTAATATATTAAATGCACTAGGAAAATTTCCTCGTAAAGTTTCATTAAAGAGTTAAGATAGTCCTTTATTTCATGCGTACATTGAAGTTATGTATAATGGTGGCTGTGAAATGTTTTCTAAATTTCAGGTGGCTCTTGATTTTCTTTGTGTTTTCATTTGTGGCTTGGAAAGAAAAACAAAGGTCAAGTTACTCTCATCCTTTATCACCCAGTGTTTCATGAAGGAAGCCTCATTTTCATGAGGAAATCTTGGCGTGTCTACTCCAGCTTGTGTATTTTGGCAGTATGGAAAAGCGAAACACGGTTCCTGCTGCGCCCACTGCTTTTTGTGTAAGATCTATTTTGTATTGGGTAACCTTGGCATTCAGTGTTTTCACATTTAATTCGTAACTGTCTGCAAGTTGTTATGAAGCTGAAATTGATGATCCATCAGTTCAGTCTAAAGAGCGTGTTGGAATCATGATTTGATATTTTCTGGAAAGAGTTTACTTTTTGAAAGGATGCCCTTAGCTCTTTTTCTAATGTCTTCAGAAGAAAAAAAATGGTTTACTATTTTCAGAAAAAAAAGGCGATGTACTCACTGGTCTATTTTCTGTGATCAAAATGTGTTGACCACCTACCCCTGGTGTGTGTTTCTGAGCGTCCTTGGCAGCCTCTGCCTTCACAACCATTCTCTTTTCAAATTCCTCTCCTTTTCCCTTTCCCGTTTGTGCTAGTAAAGACTCTTGGAAGCATCAGGCCCTGATGAGCTGAAGCCCCCATTCCAGGGGTCTTTGGCTGCTGCATTTCTGACTTGAGCCACACAGCGAAGACCTTCTGACCTATGGCTTCTGACCTATTGGCCTTCATGGCCCATGGCTGCCTTCCGAACTATTATTTATGGTGGGCATTGAGGGATTCTGTTTGTTGGCCATGCCTTAATGCTCTGTTTTTTGAGGCCTTAACACAGTAGTTGAAATTTCTTGGCCAAATTGGATAGAGAATGTGAAATAGATACTGTAGAAGCACTTCAGAACACTCTGTCATGAACTATGGGATAATAATGAAGACTTCCCAGACTGACTGGTAAGTAGTCCGTAAGGAAGACTTGTGGAAATAAACCCTGAAAAATATGGTTTATGCATTTGATGTTGGAATAGAAGAAATTATTTTGTTTCTATGTTTCAACAGCCTATCTTTCCATGAGTATTGAAAACAGTGCTTCTATTTTTTACATTATTGGATTCATCTTTACACTCAAGTGATTACTAACTTGGTTAATAAAACTGTTGTGTTTTCCTTTTCTTTTTTTGTCTTTGTCACGGCTCTCTATCTCATATGTTCTGTTTCTGGTACTCTATCATCTGTACGACACTGCTGAAAGTGAAGGCTCCCACCTGACGCCCCAGCTTGCTGATTAAATTTAGGTTAGGCTGATGATTTAAGGAGTAAACCATCTCACCAGCACTGTTCCAGTTCTTCACTGGTGAACCAATGGTAATGTCTGGGTTGAGAGTTACAAACTGAAATCCAGGAGAAATGCTGATCTTCCCTGTCTTGCTAATCTACCTTGTACTGGAACCCAGAATCAGGTTCCTAAATTCTAGATTACACAGCCGTGACAGAAGGCATTGAGAAATCAGAGAGGCACATACTTCTCCAACACATACTCAGGTTTCCTCAAGAATATTTGTCATAATATTTGTAGCTTGTCCAGTTTGATCTGCATGGAGTTGTCATAAGAAAGTCTTTGTGGCTGAGGATTTGGTAAAATGCAGCATGCTGGTGAGAGTTATATCTCTTGTTTAAAACAAAACAAAACCTGAAACAACCAGGGCCTGAAAGCCGCACTGTGTTCCCAAGACTCCGCAACAGCCACAGGGCATTTTAGCAGAGAAAACAAAGCTTGTTTTATAGCTTCTCTTCATAGGTCTCCCTGACAGGCTTAGAGGGACATTGAGTGAAAATGGAGCTGTTAATGATATAATAAATGCTTCTGAAATTTTTCTATTGGGCAATCCCTCAATAGCTGACTGCTTTGAAAAATGAATGAAAATCAAACATAAAGACACAAATGGCTTCGTCTGCTTGGTAATGAATAAACATATGCAAAAGGACAATCAGTTGCAGGTGTGTTGCCTGTCTATAGTGTTTTGTTTCTGCTTTTGTGTTTGTCTTCCAAGCAATTAATAAACCAGCCTGGCCTATAATATCGTTCTGGAAACATTCTTTTTCACAGGCTCAGACTTGGAGATTTAGCCTTAATGCTTTCTTTTCTTGTTTTAGTTAAAAAAACCCACCTACATAAAATTTACCACCTTCATCGTTTTTAAGCATACAGTTCAGTAGCTTTTCGTATTTTCACATTGCTGTGAAACAGAGGTCCAGAACTTTTTCATCCTGCAATCTGAAACCCTATTCCCACTCAACAACTTCCCATTTCCCCCTCCCTTGGCCCCTGGTAAGCACCATTTTGTTTTCTGTTTCTGCGAATCTGTTGCCTGATTTCTTTTCCACACGTGCTGGTTCCTGCATCTCCTCTCCTGATTCACTACAATTGGGACTAATCATGCCTTTCAGGAGGAGAGAACAATATGTAATTTTCACAGTGGTTTTTATAAAATAGAGTACCTGGTACGTGCCCACTAGGATATGCAGCTCCAATAAACTTTTCTGTTGGCATAATTCTTTAGAATATGTTAAAGTCATCTCACGTAGTTGAGGAGTTAGATGGTGAAGGCAGATCTAAGCTTTTAAAACTAGATCATTTTGCTGCCTGTGTCAGCTAGAATTGAGTCTCAACTGTCCAATTCCTAGGCAAACCTCTGAACTCATCTTCTTTTAGGGCATGTATAATTTTTGACAGATGACAGATCTGTTTTAAAAATGTGCTTATTGTCCTTTGGTATTTTAATTTGATTTGTTTTGAGCACTCATGTTATTGTTTATAAATGTGGGCCAAATGCATTTAATGAGTACACGCAATTGGTAGAATACTGTCGCTCTGAATAACCTTAACTCTCTATGGAAGGAGACACACTCCATTTTCATTTGTGTAAATTCTTTGCTGTAGGTCACCACTGTAGATTCACATTTCGAATGCTGTCAAATCATAGAAGTATTAAAAAATATTTGTTTTTAAAGATGGCTCTTATTGCTTGCATTGCTTTTTCAGAAACCTCTCTCTGTTTTCCAATACGGCTTTTATGTCAGTGCTGGTATTAGGTCACTGTAGGCTGCCCATGTCACTAAATTTAGTTTATAATTTCACAGGATTTTTTTTAAAATGTGTCATCGAAACCCATGTTTCTTAGTATATATCTTACATTTGCCTTCAATTTTCAAACAGCTAACTTTTGCAGTGATGATACCTACATAAAAGGGAATTATCATTAAAACGGTGCTTGTTAGGATGGTTTACTTTAAGATAAGGCTTCATAACAAGGGACTTAAACTGAGCAAAAAACTCAAAACCAGTGTGAGTTAACAATGGAATGTGCTAAATCTCAGGCTTCCTTCTCTTGGCCAGATTTTAAAACAATCACATTGAGAGCAACAAAGTTAACTGGTGAGCCAGTTTAAAGGGAACTGAAGTTTCTGATAAAGTCTTTCCCTCTTGTCCATGGGGGATACATTCCAAGACCCCAGTGGATGCCTGAAGCCATGGATAGTACCAGACCTGATTGCTGTCACTCTGGACACGTTTCTGTTGTCAGCTGAAGGATGAGACAGTTTGTAAATTTGGAAAGGAGCTTTTTGTTTCTCATAAAGGGTCGCAGCCTGCAAAGCGGGCATTCTGACAGGCTAGGAAGCATAGCTTCTGGTCAGAAGCCAGAAACAGACACTTCAGAGGGGAAGAATAAGACAACAATTTATGCTGAATGGGGTGGGTAATAGGCATATTCAATAAGCTATGGGGGAGTCATGAATATTCATGAAACGAGAACCATGCGCACGCGATTGAGATTCACGGTCCCATGTTCAAAACATGGCAGTGTTAGCATGATCCAAGGGCAGAGTTTTCTGGACTCTAATGTGTTAAGCTGAAGCTGAGGACACGCAGGCCCTCACTGCACAGCCCCCACAGGCTGGTGGAATGCTGGTTTGTTGTTTCATTGACATCACAAAAGGGAGGGGTGGTGTCAGTCTGTTGGTTAAGTCCTAGGTGGAATCTTTGGAAAGAACTGGCTTTTGTTCAGCCCTTAGGGAAGAAAGCCTGTGGCCTTTAGCAAGCAAGGATGGGGGTGTAACCAGGCTCATCAGACCTCCCATCCCCTCACAGCCACAGACCCAGCTTTAAGGTTACTCTGGGGTCCCCTTGGCCAAGAGGAGGGTCTGTTCTGTGGGTTGAGAGCCTTAGGATTTTATTTTTCTTTCTTCTTGTTCATGCCTTCAACAAGTATAAAGCCCTTTCCATCTTAACTAAGCACTTATCACACACTGTGGCTGTAACTTCTGCAGCTTGAGGTGCGATGGCGAAAGTATTATTAATTTCTTTTTCCTTCTTCACAGTTTCCCAGACGGAAGATTATTCTTACTGCAGATCTTAGCAACCTCAGCACATGACTCTTTTTCTTTCCTCATTAAGTCAAGAACCTTTGGCCTTTTCACTTAAAAGAAGCACTCTAAGGCTTCGCTTTGACATACCCCAGTTGCCAGCATCACTACTGTTTGGGACCATTAGGAAGTAAATTCAGGGAGACTTGAACACAAGCACTGCTTATCTCGAAAGCTGATCTGCTCACCGAGGTGGCCCTTGAGCACGGACAGCCTGGATCTGCTGGGTAAAGGGAGAAGTTATGTCCAGGGTGGGACAGAGAGGACGGCGAGAGATTTCCTCACTACTCAGAACAGCGGGAAATTCAAAACTTAGGGATTATTTCTGAAATTTTCCATTTAAAATTTTCTATTTAAAATTGACGAAGGGTAACTGAAACCAGAGAAAGCAAGACTGACGATAAGGGAGGGGCCTCCTGTACTCCAAGAGCACTGAATCTGGAAAAACTCAACACATCGATGGAGTCATATATTTAATTTTTTCTTAAAAGCCGCCTGCGGGGTATTGTAGAAACGCTGCGCTGCCTATCACAGCTTGTGATGTGACACGTTCATTCTGCAAGTTTAAACTTCGCCTAGGTATTTCTTTTCCTGTGTGACCGTCACATGACTAGTTTTGTTGTGCATTGTTGTAGAAGTTAACATGTTTCCCTATCGAAAGAATGTCATCTTCTATTTTCTCTGTTTCTTTTAAGCTTTTTTCATATAGTTGGCCTTTTGTTAATGGTCAGCATTTATGGCTTTTTGCAGACAGCATCTCTTTGAGCAACAATTTCTTGAAATAAAAAAATATATTCTTGGCCAGGTGTGGTGGCTCACGCCTGTAATCCCAGCACTTTGGGAGGCCAAGGCGGATGGATCACTTGAGGTCAGGAGTTCAAGACCAGCCTGATCAACATGGCGAAACCCCATCTCTACTAAAAATACAAAAATTAGCCGACCGTGCTGGCGTGCACCTGTAATCCCAGCTACTTGGGAGGTTGAGACAGGAGAATCACTTGGACCTGGGAGGCAGAGGTTGCAGTGAGCCGAGATGGTACCACTGCACTCCATCCTGGGCAACAGAGCAAGACTCTGTCTCAAATATATATATATTTTCCCTAGTTGGCTTTAGACTCTTGACCCCAGCTTATAGTTGTTTTTGTTAAAGACTGTATTATTATGGTCTCTCCATGGGAATTATGGTTTTAAAATTATTTTATTCATTCAGCAAATCTTTATGAGCATCTACTATGCATCATGCTGTTCTCGTGAACAAAACAAGATCCATATCCTGAGGGAGTGTGCCTTCCAGCAGAGAAAGACGGCAGTGTGTAAGGAGCGTTAGAAGAAGATGTTGTCTTTTGTGTGTAGAAAGTGGTATGTAAAAGTGAAAAATAAAAAGAAATAGAGCAGAATCAGGGATGGAGGTGTGGGGCAAATTGTAATTTTGAATAGGGTAGTCAGGGTCGGCACTTTTGAAAGCCTGACGTGAGCAAAGCGAAGAAAGAGGTGAGGGAATTAGCCACAAAGATTTCTGGGGACAGAGTGTTCCAGCCTGTGCAAAGGCCTGGAGGTGGGTGTGTGCCTCGTGTGCTAGAGAACAGCTGGCCTGGCTGGAGAGGAGTGAGCCAGAGGGAGGACATTTGGATATGAGCTCAGGTAGGTGACAGGGGTGGGGCAGATCACTGGGGACCCTTTTTTCCATTGTGAGGACTGTGGCCTTTACTCTGAGTGAAAAACATTTTGAGTAGGGGAGTGACATGTCTGATTTAAAGTAGAAGATGATTGTTTCTGATAAAGCTGACTTGAGAAGCTATTTGGAAATTGTTTATGTGATAAGTCAGATAGTAATCATAAGTGACAGAGGTTAAATGCAGGCAGAGAAATTCAAGGAAATTGTCAGAAAAAATATTTCATCTACCGGGCATGGTGGCTCACTCCCAGCACTTTGGGAGGCCGAGGCAGGTGGATCACCTGAAGTCAGGAGTTCGAGACCAGCCTGACCAACATGGTGAAACCCCGTCTCTACTAAGAATACAAAAATTAGCTGGGCGTGGTGGCAGGCGCCTGTAATCCCAGCTACTCGAGAGGCTGAGGCAGGAGAATCACTTGAACCTGGGAGGCGGAGGTTGCAGTGCGCCAAGATCACGCCACTGCACTCCAGCTTGGGCAACAGAGTGAGACTCCATCTCAAAAAAAAAAAATTAAGGTACTCACAGAAGGTAAAGAATGTCATTAAGCTGCGTGGTATCCCAGTTCCTGAGTGTCATGAGTGTCCACAGATGTATGAGTGTGTATGTGCAGTAGAGTCATTGCAGGAACATTTAGGCATGTGAGGCTCTCTAGGTTTGGGGCCAGAGGACATGAGTGCTTAGAAGTTTTCAGGCAAGCCTCATTTCCAGAGTGCCCTTGGAATCACTGCTATCATCAGTTGGAATTAGTTCTTTAATTAAATCCTGGCCATCGATCAGCATCCCTTTCTATTGCATTTGACGGAGCTTACAGAATCTGTGTTGTAAACAAAGCAGAAGCATCTTATTTCCCAGAACTGTGGTTTATTAACACCTAAGGAAACTGGTTGTCTGATACTCATATTTTTAAAAAATGTGCTTAGTAATTCATAATCTTTTAGTCCTTCTAGACTGTCAGCATTGTTGGATATGCTTTATGTATACTTTTGTTATATGCTTATTTGTAAGTTTCTTTTTCCTAAATCGAGAATCTATGTGTTCGTATTTTGTCCTACTCTAGCAAGCTTTCAGTGGGAAGAGACTGCCATCCGTAGTGAACCCATATCATTTTTTGTTTCTTAGTCGTTTCCTCATTTGTGGATCATAGAGACCCCATTTCCCACCTTTTTCCTCTTCTAGTCAGTGTCTCATTCCCCAGCTGCTCATCAGAAGATAGTGAAATATGAGGGGAAGTTTAAGTTTTATTTTATAGTGATTAAAGTACGGTGAGGTTTAAAAATACTGAAGGTGGAATTTTCATAGCTACCAAACGTTGAAAATAACACAACATATTTCAACTAAAAATGAAGCAAGGTGGGTAACTGACTTCTTGAATCCCTGCTGGATGATGGCACTGGTGCTTAGCACTTTATGTATATTTCCTTCATTTAACTCTCACAACCACTCCTTTATCGGACGTCATCATTCCATTGTTCAGATGGGAAAGCCAGTGTCCAGGCAGGCCAGGAGACCTGCCTGAGCCCCACAGCTAGTAAGTGGCAAGCCAGCTTCAAAGTGTTGACGTGATGAGCCTAGAACCCCTGCCTTCCCCTATTCTATGCTGTTCCCAAATATCTCCCACAGTTTTGCGCCTAATAGTAATAGCTTCATCTGTTGAAAATGACATCAAAGTTAGTTTTCCTTCCATCTTTATAATGAAAATACTTTTTATAGTGCTTGACTTTTTCTACCCTCCCCACACCCACCCAGTTTACCAGTCCATTTTGTAGATTGTCAGTATTTTCGGATATGCTTTTTTCCCCATTTTTTAATTGTGGTAAAATATACGTAACATAACTTTACCATTTTAACCATTCTAAGTGTACAGTTCAGTGGTATTAAGTATGTTTATGTTGTTGCTCAGCCATCCCCATGTCTCCAGAACTTTTTCATCTTCCCAAACTGAAACTCTGTCCCCATTAAACACTAACTCCCCACTCCCCTCTCCCCTTCCTCCACCCCCAGCCCTACAACCACCATTCTCCTTTCTGTGTCTGTTGGATATGATTGTACTTTTGTTATATACCTGTTTGTAAAGTTCTTTTCCATATTAATCTGAGCTTTCCAGCTTTTCAAAGGAGAATAAATACCAAGTATCTGGTTAGAACTCTGACCTCTTTGCAGAACACAAAGCTGGAGCTGAAGCTCACCCCCACCCCCACTCACTCCCGTGGTTAACAGAATATTAAACCTGAAAAGTACATTTTAAAAAAAGAATGAAAAGTAAAAATGTTTGGGAAGTTTTCTGGAAACTAAAGAGCTAAGAATTCTTAAAGGATCCGGAAAGCTGTGTTTTCATACTTCAGTTTGATGCATGGATTTTCAGTTTAAAAGCCTTTTGCATAAAAACATTAAAGTCTCCTTCTAAGGGGTAAGAAAATCTTCCCATTCTCCCAACTGACTATTTGAAAAAAATGTTAAAAAAGTAGTTTCTGTAGAAAGTGTCTGTAAACAGAATAATTTTTCATTCACGTTAAGATCGGTTCTTGGGGAAAAGCTGTGCTTCAGAGACAAGGTTGAAGAACTTCGCCTGCATATGATGGAAGATGACAATGGGAACCACAGGTGTCATTGGTGGCTTTGTTTTACAAAGTCTTCACCTTTCTGCTGAGTCACGGGACTAAGTTCAACACAATTTCTACTTTCCGCCTTCCTTTGGAATAATAGTTTTGGAAGCCAAGTATTAGTATATGATACCAGGTGTGTTTTCTAAAGATTCAGGTTCAGTGGGCTGAATGCACTTTCATGACTTCATTAGACCACTGAGCCCAAGGAGAAAAGTGCCAATCTTACTAGACATGAGGAAAAAGACACATCTTTTGCTCTTGCTGGAAGTGGTGTCCTACTTTCTACAAGCAGTCGTCATCTGGTTTATACTTGCCTTGTTCAGTTTTTGTGTGATATTTTATTCTCTGCCTAATAGATATTAAAGTATCAAGCTGTCAAGATGATTTTTTAATTTAGATAAATTTTAGAATTTTTTATTCATCTACTTCTAAAAGGGTGAAAAGATAATGAATTACTCAAGATCAGGAGATGACAAACCTAGCACTATGAAGAGCTGGATTCTCCCCTAAATGTTTTTGTTTCTGTTGCTTGCTTCATACCAGGTTTGCAAGAAAGCAGTAGAAATCCCCCACATGTACACACACACACACACACACACACACACACACACACACACACAAAATCTATCTTTGCAGAGTTTTGGAATGAAAGAAGGAGGGAGTTGTGTACTAATGACGCCGTGGTTGTGTCGTTGCTCCATTATAGTGAGGGAGCTGAAAGGGCCCATTCTCTTCACAGCCTGGAGTCGGGGACTCTGAAACCTAATCTGAAGTGTGTTTAACGAGGGTTCTGAACGCTGGGACTTATTGCTGAGGGGAACAAGGAGACAGTGTGTCCTCAGGGGCAGTGTGGCCGCCCCTAGAGCCACAGCAAGCAGGAAGAATCGCAGCATTTGTGGTCAGAACCGATGGGCAGGCCTAAACATTTAGCTACTTTGCCCCAGAATGAAAGCCTTGTTCCAGCTCCCCAGGGTTTGGATTTAAAGTTTTAGTTCCTGTCGGTGGTCGCAGTTTCCTGACGAGGGTGCCATCCAGTCTGCTGTTCAGCTTTTGAGTCATTTAATTTTTCTTCTTCCAACTTCTCCTCCTCCACCTTCTCCTCCTCCACATCATCATCATCATCCCAAATACCCATTAGAGCTCGCCTAGTCTGGATGCCGTTCTAAGGGCATGGTGTATACTAAGTCGCTTAATCCTTACGGTGACCCAGTGAAGTGGTTCAATCTTTACGTCCATTTTATGTAAGAGGAAACTGAGGCACAAGAAGTAGCTTGCCTCCAGTGAGTGTGACTTTGGGCACTCCGTTGTCCTCCAGCCTGGAAAGTCCCAGTAGATACAGCACAGCTGAGGTGCAGGTGTGCAGGTATATCAATCCCTTCTGCCCACAGGGTAAAGCCCTAGAGCATTGCATCTGGTCTCAAGTGTCCAGGGCTCAAGTGTCCAGCTTTACACAGATGTTACTGCTGATGTCTGGAAAGTGAAAAAGGTAGTAACACCCTGTTCTGGCTTCTAATATACTTTTGATACACACAGGCAGAAGGGCAGTGTCAACTCATCCCCTGTAATTCATTCTGTAAATTTCCCTTCACCATCACGGTGGCAGCAATAATAAAGAATGTGTATCATGTGCCAGGCCTTTTGCTAGGTACTTTATGGTCATGGTTTCATTGAATTCTCACATTAGTCTTAAAAGGGAGATAATAATAGCATAAAATAGCATCTCTAGCCCTTTCATGACTCATGTGCTGTGGACTAAATTGTACTCCCCACCCTAATTAATTTATTGATGCCCTACCCACCATGTGGCTGTATTTGGAGTAAGGAAGTACACTAATTAAGGTAAAATGAGGTCATGAAGATGGAGCTCTGATCTGATAGAACTAGTGACCTTAGGAGAAGAGACACCAGAGGGCTCTCGCTTGCTGTCACTCAGCCATGTGAGGACACAAGGAGAAGGTGGCCATCTGCAAGCCAGGCAGGGAGCCCTCAGAGAACCAGATCAGCTCGTACCTTGAGTGTAGACTTCACACCCTCCAGAACTGTGAAAACATCAATTTCTATTGTTTAAGCCACCCAGTGCGTAGTGTTTGGTTATGTCCACCTGAGCATACTAAGTCATCACGTTTCCATCTGTGTTTACCTAGCAAACTCCTACTCATCCTTCAGGACCCATTCAAGTGGGCTACTTCTAAAAACACATTAGGTACTCCACTCTCAAAGAACACCTCCATCAGGGAGAATAGCCATTTGCTCTATTCTCTGACTTTCTACAGCTTTTTGCTAGTTCCTCTAACATGCCACTTACCATGTACTCCAATTTAGCTGGTTATTTTTGTACATCATCGACGGAAGTAGTCCATTTTCACACTGCTGTTAAAGACATACTTGAGACTGGGAAATTTATACAGGAAAGGGGCTTAATGGACCCACAGGTCCACATGGCTGGGGAGGCCTTACAATCATGGCAGAAGGCAAGGAGGAGCAAGTCATGTCTTACATGGATGGCAGCAGGCAAAGAGAGAGCTTGTGCAGAAAAACTTTTCCTTATAAAACCATCAGATCTTGTGAGACTTACTATCACGAGAACAGCATGGGAAGTACCTGCTCCCATGATTGACTCACCTCCTACAGGGTTCCTCCCACAACACATGGGAATCTACAATTCAAGATGAGATTGAATCTACAGTTCAAGATGAGATTTGGGTGGGGACACAGCCAAACCGTATCACTGACCCAAAGAGAGATGCTCATCTTCTTGCTTTCCTTTCTGTCTGCTTAGCATAGTGACTGCACACTGCAACTTGCTCGATAAATACACCGCAGCCTCCTCAAGCCATCATAGTTATTAATACCTCTGCCCACCTGGTCAAAATCTGCCAAAGGGCTGTAGGAAAATCTGTGACATTGTGATGCCCTAAGATGAGATGGGTCGAGAGTTGGTGGGTTATAGGATTTTGAACAATATTCTGATAGGTATCAGTGGTAGGGAGAAGGGCACAAGGCCTTCGAGACCAGCCATTCCCTTCTACTGAGTGAGAGCATGCCTTGGTTGTCATGGTTACGCTAATCCCAAAACAGCAAAAATGAAACACTTCCCAAAACGGCTCTCTGTAACCCCAGGAGGTGCAAACCTTGTAAACCTGGTCAAACATTATCAAGTTCTGTCTATGAGATGATTTCCACAAGGCAGTACTTTAGCTCTCTCAGGTAGGGAATTAATTGATTTAGATGATTTAATGTGGTAGGGAGAGGGAGAATATACTCCCAACCTATAGAAGGAATGGTGTCTTTATTCTTTTAGAAAAGAAAACAAAACATACTCCTGCTTAAAACTTTGTTATAGAAATAACCTGAAGACATAGAAATGTTGTTTCTGTTGTTGTTTTTGTTCGTTTGTTTGTTTGTTTTGAGACAGGGAGTCTTACTCTGTCGCCCGGGCTGGAGTGCAGTTGCGTGATCTTGGCTCTCTGCAACCTCTGCGGAGAGGTTGATTGAACCCGGGAGGGTTCAAGCAATTCTCCTGCTTCATCCTCCCAAGTAGCTGGGACTACAGGCACGCGCCACCACGCCCAGATAATTTTTTTGTATTTTTAGTAGAGATGGGGTTTTGCCGTGTTGGCCAGACTGGTCTCGAACTCCTGACCTCAGGTGATTCACCCGCCTTGGCCTCCCAAAGTGCTGGGATTACAGGTGTGAGCCACTGTGCCCGGCCTAGAAATGTTTTAAAGTCACAATAAACTGGAGCAACTTTGAGTCATAATTTGTAATAGCTTGAAGCGCTGTGTGAACATGCATGCTATTTAGTATTCAGTGCGTACTTGCCAGGCTTTCCCCATGAATGTAAACCTCCTCCTAAGTTTAATTTTATAGGCTCCAATGAAAAGCCAATTGAGGATGGAGAAGGCAACAGGGACACAGAGCATGGAGCCAGCCAACTGGTTGGTGCGCTAGATTAAAATTCAACTGCCTTTTAGAGCATCATTAAAAGTAGCCATTAAAAGAAAAGGACAAAAATTTCATTACATAGTTTCACGAATTGCTGGTTTGTTATTCCAAAATAGAACATTATAGTGACTGTTTGGCCTCTTATAAGGAGAACCCTTCAGGAATATTACGATTGAGACTGATAGTGAACGGGGTGGTTTCTTAGAGCTGATGGGAGCCTTAGAGAGATCTACCCCCAGCCCCAGCACAAACCCTTGAGGACATCATAAACATTCATTTGGGCCAGGTGCACTGGCTGACACCTATAATCCTAGCACTTTGGGAGGCCGAGGCAGGATGATCACCTGAGCTCAGGAGTTTGAGACCAGCCTGGGCAACATAGCAAGACCTCGTCTCTACTAAAAATAAAAATAAAAACATCAGCCAGATGCGGTTTTGCGCTCCTGTAGTCCCAGGTTCTTGGGAGGCTGAGGTGGGAGGATCGCTTGAGCCCAGAGATTGAGGTTGCAGTGAGCTACAGTGGTGCCACTGCACTCCAGCCAAGGCGACAGCAATACACTGTCTCCAAAAAAATGTTTAAATAACAGAAATAATTACTTTTCTTGGAAAAACAACAAAACACTCATTTGTCATCAGATCCTTCTCATATTAAACCATTACTCACATATATGGGTTTTCAAATGATGCCTAGATAAGTGGGTTTTGCTTTCTTGTGTATAGTAGTCTGTGTAGCCGTGTGTGTGTGTGTGTGTGTGTGTGTGTGTGTGTGTGTGTGTGTGTGTGTTTTGAAATAAGTTAACCTTTAAGAAAATACTTTCACTGATGAATTTTCCACAGGGCCTTTTTTCTTGAGTTCTGTCAGCTTAATCTGTGCTGTTTCCACCTTTTCCCCATTCAAACTTGACTTGTTTACAGGTTTGGTTTTTTAGCAATAAAAGGCTAGTGGATTTGTGGCTCTTGAATCTATCTCATCGTTGGCTTTCAGTGCAAAGCCTGCCCCAAATGCATAATTTGCCATTATTTCCAAAGATGTTCAGTTTATTCCTTTTTTTGCCAGACATATAAAAGAGCTCTTTGGGTAAAGAAATATTAGCAATTATTTAGTGCATACACATGGATAGTCACCCATTTTCCTCATGTGATAAGGTCCTACCTCATAATATTTTTCGAAGATCTCATGTAAAGAAAATAGATTCTTTGTTTTCTTATTTTTAAAAGTAGTGTTAACAGATTGCATTGTGAATTACCGTTTTCAGTTGTTTATAGATGTGAGCCCTGTTCCTCAACTACTTTTTCTCCCGTCTGCATTTTTTAAATTGTGGTAAAACACCTGTAACAAAACTTACCGTTTTTACATGTGTAGTTCAGGGGCATTAAGTACATTCACTCAGAGGCACTAAGTACATTAAGTACATCCACATCGTTGTGTGATTATCACCACCATCCATCTCTAGAACTCTTCTTACCTTGCAAAACTGAAGCTCTGATCCTGTTAATCACTAACTCCCCATTTCCCCTCCCCAAAGCCCCTGGCAACCCCCATTCTACTTTCTGTCTTTATGAATTTGCCTGCTCTAGGCACCTCATTGAAGTGGAATCGTCCAATATTTGTCCTTTGATGACTGGCTTATTTCACTTAGAACAGTGTCTGTAAGTTTCATTCATGATGTAGCATGTTCCTGAATCTCCTTTCTTTTGAAGGTTGCATCATCCTCCAGTGTGTGGAATCGTCCTCCTCATACTGTTTATCCATTCATTCAGCAGTGGACACCTGGGTTGCTTCTAGCTTTTGGCTATTGTGAATAATTCTTCTGTGAACGTGGATTTACAAAACTCTGCTTTCAGTTATTTTCGTTGTATACTCAGAAGTGAGATCGCTGTATCCTAGGATAAGACTATTTTTGTAATTTTGAGAAACTGCTGTACTGTTTTTCCATAGTGGCTGCACCATTTTGCATTCTGGGATGTGACGTGGAGCAGAATTACCTTCAGAGTGAAGTTCAAAAACTCACTGGGAATAAGTACAGAGAAATGATGCTGCAAGCTGATGAAATAAATTTACTATAGGAACAAAAGGAAGAATCATTTTCTTAATGAAATACAAGCTCTTTCTTTGCCTCTCTTCTCCGAGAAGCTTCCTCAGAAGCAGGCTTTAACCTGGTGTGCGTTGACACACTTAGATAGTTCAGGACCCCTTTCTAAAAGAAAGGGAGAGGAAGTCCTTGACCATGAGGGTATCTTTATGTCTTGAAGCGCTTTAGGCTTAGCTGCCCGGTACACATTGGGGTGTTAATGCACAGTCCACGTAGCACATTTGTATTCGTCCATTCTCACAGTGCTATAAAGAACCACCTGAGATTGGGTAATTTATGTAGAAAGGAGGTTTACTTGACTCATAGTTCCACAGCCTCTTCAGGAAGCATGGCTGGGAGGCCTCAGGAAACTTACAGTCACGGTAGAAGGTGAAGGAGAATAAGCACGTTTTACCATGGTGGAGCAGAAGAGAGAGAGAGCCCAAAGGGGGAGGTGCCACATACTTTTAAACCATCAGATCTCATGAGAACTCCTCATTATCAGGAGAACAGCAAGGGGGAAATCTGCCCCCATGATCCAGCTACCTCCCACCAGGTCCTTCCCCCAACATTGGGAGTTACAATTCAACATGAGATTTGGGTGGGGACACAGAGCCAAACATATCACCATTGTAGTGCCATTTACCCATGCCATTGTCATGTAGTGGGTGCATTTCAGCCCTTAGTGATGTTACATACGGAGTTTCCTTACAACCATAGATAGAGCCAGTATTCACAGGGGAATTTGTGTAATGCTTTATGGACATCTATTTTACAGATGAATTTTAGAAGCTATAAATATACTATTGAAACTATAAGTTGACATCACCCTATAAAAATTTGGTGCCAAAGAAAAGTCATTTTCTATAAACATTTTGTATAAAATAATTTTAACAGTTTTAAGGATCGACTTGTGATTTATTAGCTAGATCCTAAGTCTCTACTGCAAACCCATGACAATGCAGCTAGTTAATCATCATCGTTTCACTTGTCTCTGACAGGCCCTAAGGAGTGTGCAGTGCTGGGGCGGCAAGGCTGCAGGTTCTAGGACTCAACACGCCCTCATATTGTATGCACTCCATACATTCACAGAAACCGCTGCTGACTCGTTGGAGTACCCAGTGTAGATGTTAACTCTCCCCCTCCCCTCTTCTAAAGCGCTCAGTTTAACACCATGTCCATAAAGACATCCACTGTATATTAGTTTTTTTTTTTTAACTTTTTGAGATTTCTAGTATTGAATTTTTAAGTCTCATTTCCCAGACTCTGTAAATCTAGATGAAGTTATCAAATTCCCTTAGTTCCCAGAACTCTTTGGGAAATGTGAGTGCTTGCCAGCTGGTCAGATAATTGGTGGTTTATTTTCATCACAGATAGGAAATGTTAAGAGTTATGAGAAAGAAGGTTCTGAAACTGGAATGTGTTCTTCCTTTAAAAGAAAATCTTACAGTATGGGAATTCTTCCACAAGTTCTTATCCTTTGGTCCATTTTTATAATGTTCTATTTTTCCAGGCTGGAGTGCAGTGGTGTGATCTCGGCTCACTGCAACCTCCGCCTCCCAGGTTCAAGCAATTTTCCTGCCTCAGCCTCCTGAGTAGCTGGGATTACAGGAGCGGGCCACCACACCCGGGTAATTTTTGTATTTGTAGTAGAGATGGGGTTTCACCATGTTGGCCAGGCTGGTCTCGGAACTCCTGACCTCAAATCATCCACCCGCCTCGGCCTCCCAAAGTGCTGGGATTACAAGCGTGAGCCACCATGCCCGGCCTATAATGTTCTTATTAATGTCTGCAGATTTTATTGGAGTGAGAGGTGGACCCCGAATAAGTTGCTGTGCATAAGTTAACCATGCAGCTCTTGGCAGCTGGTGTGGGGACTCAAACCCAGGATTAGGGACTGGAATGGAGCAGCTCATTGCTCCCTACATTAACCGACCTGGGAAATGCTTGTCTGACCCTGTGTGTCGGAAACAGGGCACATTGCTGTAGCAAAGTGGTGAAGATAAGATTGGTGATCAGTGTTCCACTCTGCTCTCCTGACCCATTTCCTCTGGATAAGCATGCCTGGAGAAGAGGAGAGCTTGGCAGGGAAGAATGGGGGTTCCACGCAGTCACATGTGACTCCTGACATTCCTGCAGGTGATGTGACTCTGCCACTGTCAGGCATTTAAGATCTAGAGCCTGGAGAGTTTGGGGATCATCTGTGCAGAATGTGTATCTTCTGGATTGCAGTGAGGGCGAATGTGGGGGTGTAAAGCGGCATCTGTTAAAAAAAAAAAAGTACTTAATGTTGAGCATCAAGCAGCATCTTTCTTGGCTCCTCTGTTTCATGCTGGTACAGGCTCATGGACATGTCCATCCGTGTACTTGGCGGGCTTTGACTCCTGCTGTCACTCAGTCTCCAGGGTTACTAATTGGTTCCTAAAATGCTCTGTTCTCAGGGAAGAGGTGAGAAGTATAAAACAAGTAACTGTGGGCTGGGTGCAGTAGCTCACACCTGTAATCCCAGCACTTTGGGAGGCTGAGGCAGGCCGATTACGAGGTCAGGAGTTCGAGACCAGCGTGGTCAACATGGTGAAACCCCGTCTCTACTAAAAATACAAAAATTAGCTGGGCGTGGTGGCGGGCGCCTGTAATCCCAGCTACCTGGGAAGCTGAGGCAGGAGAATCACTTAAACCCAGAAGGCGGAGGTTGCAGTGAGCCAAGATCGTGCCACTGTACTCCAGCCTGGGTGAAAGAGGGAAACTCCGTTTCAAAAAAACAAAAACAAACAACAACAACAACAAAAATAAGTAACTGTGAATGGCAATGTCGTGAAAGCATTTGTCTCCCAAGATTTGATCTATATGGTGGAATTGATCCATTTTACTATCAGTCACTGGGAATGTACATAGTGAAAAGAAATTGAGGCATATGATTCTAAGCTCTTTAGGGTAGAACGTGGGTTCTTATATATAATATTCCCTTTCCCTATAGATCCAGTATGTAGAAAATGCATGAATAGTATTGATTTCAGCAGACATTGATTGATTGCCAGGTGCTGTGCTAGGCAATAAGAATACAAAGATGACCAAGTGGCCTGATACTAACTGGGGACATAGACACATAGGTACTAAACCATCTATAATACAGTGGAATGGATAACTTTTATTGATTTGTTCATTCGTTTCCACAAAATTGGTTGGTCTTTAGGCATTGTGGATACAGGGATGAACAAAATATGGCCTTTCCCTTCAATGTGGGTATAGTCTCGATGAGATACTGCACAGAGTGCTACAGGAATGTAGAGGAGGAAACCATCCATGTCATATTTGTGGACAAGGAGAGAGGCACAGGGACAGGGCTTTGACTGTTACAAAAAAGGCCTGGGGTCATGAGTTGAAAACTTAATGTCCACATAAAACCTGTCCAGAAATATTTATAACACCTGTATTCATAATTGTCAAAACTAGAAGCAACCAAAATGTCCTTCAGTAGGTGAATAAACTGTATTACATCCAGACAGTGGAATATTATTCCACAGTAAAAATAAACAAACTGGCTGGGTACGGTGGCTCGTACCTGTAGTCCCAGCACTTTGGGAGGCTGAGGCAGGTGGATCACCTGAAGTCAGGAGTTCGAGACCAGCCTGACCAACATGGTGAAACCCCATCTCTACTAAAAAATACAAAAATTAGCGGGGCATGGTGGCAGGTGCCTGTAATCCCAGCTACTCGGGAGGCCGAGGTAGGAGAATCACTTGAACCTGGGAGGCGGAGATTGCAGTGAGCTGAGATCGCGCCATTGCACTCCAGCCTGAGTGACAAAAGCAAGACTCTGTTTCAATAAATAAATAAGCTACCAAGTCATAAAAAGACATGGAAGGGGCAGGGCACAGTGGCTCATGCCTGTAATCCCAGCACTTTGGGAGGCTGAGGGAGGTGGATCACCTGAGGTGGGGAGTTTGAGACCAGCTTGACCAACATGGAGAAACCCCATCTCTACTAAAAATATAAAATTAGCTTGGCATGGTGGTACATGCCTGTAATCCCAGCTACTCCAGTGGCTGAGGCAGGAGAATCAGTTGAACCCGGGAGGTGGAGGTTGCAGTGAGCTGAGATCACACCATTGCACTCCAGCCTGGGCAATAAGAGCAAAACTCTGTCTCAAGAAAAAAAAAAAGACACAGAAGGATCTTATATGCATATTACTGAATGAAAGAAGGCAGTCTGCAAAGGCTACGTACTGTATGAGTCCTGTATGAGTCCAGCTAGATGACATTCTGGGAAAGGCAAACTATAGAGACAGTAAGATCAGTGTTCGCCAGGGATTAGGAGGGAGGGAGGGAGGAATAGCTGGAACACAGAGGAGTTTTAGGGTGAAATTCATATGAAGCAGTGAAACTATTCTGTATGATGCTGTAATGCAGACGGGTCACAACACATTTGTCATAGAACTTTACAGCACACGGAGTGAGCCTTGTGTGAGCTATGGAGTGTGAGTGATGATGCTGTGTCAATATTGGCTCCACAACTGTAGCAAATCTCTACCACCAAGGTTAATAACGGGACACTGTGTAGCGCGAAGAAGTTTTTGCTCAACTTTTTGTAAACCTAAAACTACTCTAAAAAAATAGTCGATTAATTGAATAAGGTGGGAGGAGTGATGCCTGGCGTTGGAGTGGGAAGAAAATGCTAAGAGATTTGCATCCAATTTTGGGAACAGCAGGTGCTGGGATACGGAGGTGTAGATGGGGCTGGCGTTCAGGGTGTCACGGAGGTGGGCGGTGGCAAGCTCTGAAGGACCTGCAGACTTAGGAATCCAGAGGTTTCCTGCAGCGAGGAGCTGTGGTTTGTTTTCATCCGTGCCTGCCTCAGGGATAACCCCTGTTGTTTCTGCTCACAGCAAAGAGCTCCTGGGAAGGTGCTGCTGGATGCAGTTTGCAACCACCTCAACCTCGTGGAAGGTGACTATTTTGGCCTCGAGTTTCCTGATCACAAAAAGATCACGGTAGGTGATGTCAACTTAATGTTACTATTTTACTGTCTGTTCATCTTGGTGGGGGGCTGGGCAGGGGCCAGTCTAAATGATTGTGAGTGAGATATTTTCATGCTGTCTGTTTTGTCTGTGAAGTCTTCAAATCTGGTGTGTATTTGACACCTCAGTACCTCTTGGTTTAGACTAGCCATGTTTCAAGTGCTCAGTCATCACATGTGGCCAAGGGCTATGTATCGGCCCTCACAGTTCTATACCCAAACTAATATGTTTGAGAAGCTGTTAATGCATTTAAAAGAGAGTGTGATATGATCTGATTTCTGGTTTAGAAAGAGAACTGTAGGCAGATTGGAATAGGACCAGACTGGAGTCAAGAAAGCCATCAGGATCTAGCGATGAGTCTGGTTGGAGATGGTGCTGGCTAGAACTAAGGGAGAGTAGAGGGGCTGGCAGGAGCTGGATGGATTCCAGAGGTGGGGTTGGGGGCAGTAGGAGAGGATGTGATTGAATGAATACCCCTGTGGAGGAGAGGGCTTGGAGTGGCTCAGTTTTCCAGCTTTGCCATCTGGGTGGACAGTAGTGCCCATCCCTGGGGAAGACCATGCCCGGGGGTGAAGATGAGTCCCATTCCAGCTTGAGGAGGCAGGGGCATCCGTGGCATTCAGTGGAGACATCCAGCAGGCAGTGCCAGAAGGTGTATTTCCTGGAGCACGGGAAAGAGATCTGGGTGGAAATTTGGATTCAAGAATCTTGTGATTATTATGAATGTCTGTCGAAGCTCTGAAACGGGATGAGAACATTCATTGTGAAGAGAAGGTGGCCACAGGTGGGACGGCAGCATCTACGGGAAGAGCCGTCAGAGGCAGTGCAGATCGAGCCTGGCTCTGAGCAGAGCAGGTGGTGAATGAACGGATCTGTCATGGGCCTAAAAATGAGAACAAGTTGTGTTTTCTCAATTTATTCCCACCTCCAAACACTCTGTCGTTTTCTAGTTTGTACTTCAAATCCAAGATTCCCTGACTCCCAGCCCTTTTTACAGTGTGGCATATGACCACAGACCTGCCAAATCTCATTCTGCCTTCTCCTATTCAGCTAACAATTATTTTGTGCCTACACTGTGTCTGGCATCAGACTTCACATGAAAGGTGAGATAAAGTGACAGCTAGCAAGAAGTAGTTACGGTTTCCATTCACTAGGCACACACAGCTTCTGAAGAGAGTCCAGGAAACAATTAGAGTGTAGCAAGTTATGCGGAATATTGTTTCATGCTCTTATTTCATGGTAAAATAATGATTCTCAAAACACCTGAAGATACCGTTATCTCATTATTTCTAACAACCCCGTTCTGTGCCTGCCTGAATTCCTTTAAGCTCCTGATGGCTTTCCTGACTCCAGTCTTGCCCAATTCCAGTCCTGCAGGAGCTGTTTGTCTAAACCAGAAATCGGCAGCAGTGTTTGGGCTTCACAGCTGAGGGCGCTAAGATTCTAAGAATTTCCCCATGTCTGAATCTACCAGTTAGCTAATGGCACAGCTAAGATTCTGTGTTCTTCTGACTCCAAGTTCAGCGTCTCTTCTGTTAACCATAGGTGCTTCTCTTTTGCTAGAATTTGTAAGCCTATTGTTCTTTCTAGGTACCGGGCAGGGCTGACTTCTTTCAAGTTGTTACCAGGCTTGACTTTTATGATTTCACTCCATTCTTACACTATTGTTTAGGAATGTATTCAACTGCAAAATAAAACCCACCGTTGATGACTTAAATAAGTAAGTGTTTGTCACATGTCACACAAAAGCCGCCCCATGAGTGCTTCCTATGTGCTGGAGTGTTCTAGTCCCTATGGGTACAGCAGCACGCATGACCCACGTTCTACAGCAGGGGTCACACCTTCTTTGTAAAGGGCCAGAGAGTACTGTAGGCCTTATAGGCCATGCAGTCTCTGCTGCAACTATTTGAATCTCCCCTTATCATGCAAAAGCAGCCACAGATAATATGTGAATGAATACATGTGTTTGTTCCAGCAGAACTTCATATAACAGGAAGCCATAGTCGGCCAACGCATGCTCTAGAGAGTGATAACTGCCAGGCACCGTGCTAGGTTCACATATAGTGTTTCATTTATTCCTGCAACGGTGCATTATAGCCCCTTTTTCTGATGAGGAAGTTAAGCCTTAAAGAGGTTAAGTTGTTCACCCAAAGGCACACAGCAAAGAAATGGGATTGAAGCTCGGATCTGTAGAAGTGCCTTCCCTCAGTCATCATCTTGTTCTGACCATATCACTAAACTGACTTGACTCTCTGTTAATTACTGAATTCCAGCCTGAGCTAATTGCATATAATTTTTTTTTTTTTTTTTTTTTGAGAAGGTGTCTTTCTCTGTCGCCCAGGCAGGAGTGCAGTGGTGCGAGCTTGGCTGACTGCAACCTCTGCCTTCTGGGTTCAAGCAATTCTCCTGCCTCAGCCTCCTGAGTAGCTGGGATTACAGGTGCCCACCATCACGCCCGGCTAATTTTTGTATTTTTAGTAGAGATGGGGTTTCACCATGTTGGCCAGACTGGTCTCGAACTCCTGACCTCAGGTGATCCGCCCGCCTCAATTTTTAAAAGTTCTTTTGAGGCCGGGTGTGGTGGCTCATGCCTGTAATCCCAGCACTTTGGGAGGCTCAGGCAGGAGGATCACTTAAGGTCAGGAGTTTGATACCAGCCTGGCCAACATAGTGAAACCCCATCTCTACTAAAAATACAAAAACTAGCTGGGTGTGGTGGCGCACGCCTGTAGTCCCAGTGACTCAGGAAGCTGAGGCAGGAGAATTGTCTGGACCCAGGAGGCAGAGGTTGCAGTGAGCTGAGATCGTTCCACTGCACTCCAGTTTGGGTGACAGAGTGAGATTCCATCTCAAAAAAAAAGTTCTTTTGATAGAATGGATCTGTGGTAATTGAGGGGATGCCGTAAATGACTGGAGGAGTTATAGGGATTGCTGCCAGGGTCTTGGGTGTGTTCTCTCTCTTGATCTGGATGCTGGTTCCGTGGATACAATCAGTTTGTAAAAATCCAGTGAGTTCTGCCTTACAACATGTGACATCGATAACTTCAATAATAGTTACAGATGCAAATGCAATGAAAGTTCCAAAATGCAATGAAAGCACACAGTAGCAGAAATGATGACCAAAAGGTCATCAGACAGAGTCTATTTTGGAAGTGCCACAGGCCAGTCTTGCTTGTATGAACTGAGGAAGAGCATCTCACCTTGTGAGAATCGTAAGCACCAGCTGGATTTTCCCCTCTGCCCCAGACACAGTTGCTTGACAATGTCTCTTAGCGTGCAACCCAGTGTCTGGGATCCATTGAAGTGTTCCAAAAGCATTATTTATGGAAACTTGTTACCATCGTCATCTTCGTAGTTATTATTTTTTTAATTGTGGTCAAAAACAAGTAACACATTTGTAACCATTTGTAAGTGTGTAGTTCAGAAGTGTTAACTACATGTACTTTGTCGTAGAGCAGATCTCTAGAATTTTTTTATCTTGTGAAGTGGAAACTCTACACCCACTGAAGAACTCCCCAGTTCCCCTTCCCCAGCCCCTGTTCTACTTTCTGTTACTGAGTCTATCTACTTTAGACACGTCATCAAGTAAGTGGAATCGTGTGGTCTTTGTCTTTTCGTGACTGGCTTATCTCACTCAGCATAATGTTCATCTGTGCAGTGGCATACAACAAGCTTTCCCTCCATTTTAAGGCCAAATACCATTTCCATTGTGTATATTCACCACGTCTCCAGTATCCATTCCTCCATGGATGGACACTTACATTGCCGTCACCTCTTGGCCATTGTGAGCCATGCTGCAATGAACGTGGGTGTGCCATCACTATTATTTTTTAATATCACCATCGTGACTGTCACCTCTGCCAGTCTTCATTTGGGAGACTGTGCACCTGTCTTCCAACCTGAGAAAAAGCATGGTTGGTTTCAAAATGCCCAATCATAGGGCTGTAACAACTGGGTTCACCCCATTTCTCTGTGTGTGATGTGTGGGAAACTAGTTTCCCCCAAGCACCTGGCATGTCAGGTTGTGAATCCTTGTCTCTAGGCAATAAGTTGTTGAATTTAGGCAGCTTGAATTTCTGCCCAGCCTTCTGTCTTTCTTCTCATCATTTCTGTCTTATAAATACCCAAGTCAGAGCCTTATTCATAGTAAGGATGTGAAGGAGTTTAAGGGGAAAATAAGGGTTTTTCATAGTCTAAGACGTGTTTCTCAAGATTGTAAATAAACTACTGATCATTATGAAATAATTATGTTCTACCCTTAATTAGACTTGTCCCAAGGCTTGTCAATTAAAAGAGTTGATTGCAGTGTTGACACGCAAGCTTGGCCTGCTCTTGCCCTTGGCTCTTGTCCTGCTCTTGCTCTTGTCCAGCACTGTCCCTAAAGGATCACTCCACAACAGAAGTGTTTTAATCAGCTGTTTAAAAGTATAGATTGAGCTTTCCATGGCAGAAACACTACTGATCATGGGAATCAAGACCCCGTGCTTATTACGGCTGCTAATTGGTACATAGAGTCTGAAGGCTGGGAAAGGGCCAGAAAGCCATTAGATGGCCATGGGGGCGAGTTCCGGGAGCTGGCCAGGGGACTCCCTCGAAACGGACTTTGCAGGATTCTTGCTAAAACTGGACACGGAAGCCTGAGGCTGAGGCCTCATGGAGAAGAGGAGCCTGGCTGAAGTTCAGGCCTGGTGAGAGGCTTTGTTACACTCAACTCTGTCTTCACAGAGCAGAAGCATCCGTAGACGATGTGAAATGAATGGATGTGGCTGTGTTCCAATACAGCTTTATTTATGGGCACAGAGATTTGGCTTTTATATAGTTTTCACATATCACGAAATGTGATTCTTTTGATTTTTTTTTTAACCACTGAAAAATGTAAAAGCCAATCTCTGCTTCGGACCTGTGCCAGAACAGGGAGTAGCCTGGCCGTATTTGGCCCATGTGCCGTAGTTTGCCAATCTCTGTGGTAGGTATTCTATAACCCAAATTTTACAGTGAGCAAATCCAGAGAAGTAACGTGCCCAGTCCTTAACAATGAAATGTGTAACCAGGATCCACACAGAGCCTCTCTTAGCTAAAGCTCATGTTCTGTATGTCGCATGTGGCTGCCTGTCCTTGGATCTCCCGTCGGAAAGAGCTGCACAAACCGTAACAGCAGAGATAGTTGTATACGGAAAATTTATCTCATTGGCCTATTGAGGCTAGCTGGAAAAGCTCTGCATTGTGGCTTGCATATCTGTTTAAACATTCGCTTTGTCATTTAGCTGCTAGGTTGATTCTTAACTTCCTTGATTTTGCACTTCATCTGAGAAATGAGAGGAATAAATGACCATTTTACAAGGTTATTATGAGGGCTAATCAGATACTTTACAATGATGAGCCCAGCAGGTCTCATGGCACATAGTAGGCACTCAGATATCTGTTGTATTTCATTTTTGCAATCTAACTCAGAAACCAGTGAAGCCAGCCCACCACTGTTTTATTAAAATGACATTGTGGCTGGGTGGGTGGCTCATGCCTGTAATCCCAGCACTTTGGGAGGCCGAGGCAGGCAGATCACTTGAGGTCAGGTGATTGACACCAGCCTGGCCAACATGGTGAAACCCCATCTCTACTAAAAATACAAAAATTAGCCCGTTTGGTGGCACGCGTCTATATTCGCAGTTACTTGAGAGGCTGTGGCAGGAGAATCACTTGAACCCAGGAGGCGGAGGATGCAGTGAGCCGAGATCGCACCACTGCACTCAAGCTTGGCGACAGAGCAAGACCCATCTCAGGGAAAAAAAAAAAAAAAAAAAAAAAAAAAAAAGACAATGCTTACTGGCCTGATAAAATCAATTCTGGTTTCTTATAAATAAATACTGTCGAAGCTCCAGGAAGAAGATTGGCACCTTGTCATTCATTTTCTGTCCTCCATGCTAGGAGAAAAGCTTTGTCAATAGTGGGACTGCTTTTGAGGGGCAGGAGGTCATGGAAACTGCAGTTCCCGGGGATGACGGGCATCCCTTGCTGGAGGTTTCTAGACCCTGCTGGAGTCAGACACACCTCCTTCATCTGTGCTTAGCCGCAGCGTCTGCCCTCGCTTCTTCCTAGGGGTCTGAGGACCTCTGAGGTGAGGAGGAGCTTTTTGAGGAACATGGGAGGTGTAAAGGATGGAGAATGTCACAGGATCGAGGACAGCCTGCAGCTGTGGGAAGCCAGCAGAGGTGAGGTTGTACAGCGGCTCGGTCACCTCGCGGGGCAGCACCATCTAATGGTGACTGTGTTGACAGGCAGGTCCCCAGAGGAGGCAAAGCTCCCCTCAAGCAGAGAGTCTGGGAGGACAGGCCCTTTGGAAAATACAGCTGTGGGAGATGCTCCAGCTCTCAAGTGGGAAGGAGAATAACTGATTTTGGGGCTTTTAGTGTTTTGTTTGTTTAATTAATAGATTTAATATTTGTATTGCAGTTTTAAGTTGACAACAAAATTGAGCCAGAAGTACAGAGGTTCCTATATACTGTTCCCGCTCTGTCCGTACTTACAGTGTCCCCCGTTACTGACACTGTGCCTTCGTGTGGCATGTGTGTCCTCGCTGATGGGCCAGTGTCAATCCATTATCATTCATTCACTGCGGTCCAAACTTGACATTAGGCTTCACTCTTGCTGTTGAACATTCTGTGGGTTTTGACACATGTTTCTGGACTTGCATCTACCACAACAGTATTACACAGAGTTGTGTTACCGCCCTGATCCTTCCCTGTGCTCCTCCAGTTCCTCCCTCTCTCCTCGTGAGCACCTGGCAACCCCTGATCTTTTCCCTCTGTACTTTTTAATTTTCTGTACTCTCTGACACCTGAGGCCTTGTTGACTGGGGAGCTACTTCCCCTCCCCGGGCTAGCCAATTCTTAGAGATGGCAAATGGCTCCCTGTGAGTGTACCCTTTATTTGCCAATTAACCAATCCAGAGGCCTATCCAGCCACCTCCTTCCTGCTGGTTCTGACACTCCAGGAGGCAACAGTCACCTTCAGGGCCAGGTACCCACAACCAGAGCCAACCACACCCCAGAGCCCACGGAAATGATGCAGATGAGCCAGTGCTAAACCTGCTTACCCTGCCCAGCCTCGCCTCCCCTGCCCAGCCTCGCCTCCCCTGCCCAGCCTCGCCTCCCCTGCCCAGCCTCGCCTCCCCTGCCCAGCCTCGCCTCCCCACAGAAGCGATCCTGCCCTTGTTCCCCCTCCCCCTCTCCCTCTGCCTCCAGCCCAGCCCTGGTACTTCCTTGTGGAGTGGTGGGCCCCCTCCTCTTGGGAACTGTGAGTAATAAACCCTCTTCTGAATGGCAGTGGCCTGCTGAGCTGTTGGCCGTATCATACCTGAATAAGAAATGTGCTTGTGTTAGGCCATTTGTGTTGCTATAAGTAAATACCTGAGGCTGGGTAATTTATAAAGAAAAGAGGTTTGGCCGGGCGCGGTGGCTCACGCCTGTAATCCCAGCACTTTGCGAGGCCGAGGCAGGCAGATCACAAGGTCAGGAGATCAAGACCATCCTGGCTAACAGGGTGAAACCCCGTCTCTACTAAAAATACGAAAAATTAGCTGGGCGTGGTGGCAGGCGCCTGTAGTGCCAGCTACTTGGGAGGCTGAGGCAGGAGAATGGCGTGAACCCGGGAGGCGGAGCTCGCAGTGAGCTGAGATCACGCCACTGCTCTCCAGCCTGGGCAACAAAGCAAGACTCCATCTAAAAAAAAAAAAAAAAGAAAGAAAAAAAGAAAAGAGGTTTAATTGGCTCATGGTTCTGTAGGCTCTATAAGCATGGTGAGGCCTCAGGAAGTTTTTACTCATGGCAGAAGGTGAAGTAGGAACAGGCGTGTCATGCTGCAAGAGAGAGAGCAATTGGGGGTGGGGAGGCACCACACACAAACAGCCGGATCGCCCATGGACTCTGCGTGGAAACATGCTTATTACCCAAGGAGCTGGTGCCAAACCACTCATGAGGGACCCGTCCCCGTGAACCAGTCGCCTCCCGCCAGGACCCACCCCCAACACTGGGAATCACATTTCAACAAGATTTGGAAGGGACAAATACCCAAACCATATCAGTGGTTAAAGAAAAAATACATAGAAATAATATGTTTCAAAATGGATATGCAGTTCTAAGAAGGTGGTGGTGGTGGTGGAAGCATAGTTTTTAGATCTTCTCAAACCCAAGGCCGTACATAAAGACAGCTACTTAGCAAAATCAAAAACCCACAGACAACATCTGTGGCAAAACTAGATGCCATAGTAAGTCCTAGATCCCAAAGAACAAGCAGCTGGAGACAGAACATCAGCCAGCCCCAAGGCCTGCACGCCATCGGTGTGTGTTTAGGAAGAAATGAGGAAACAATAGGGCGTCTGATGGGTGGCAGAAGAGAACCCTCAAATTGCCACTGGAAATCACAGGGAAATGGTTTGAGAAGAGCAGCTGAAATGGGTAAGGCCTAACAGGGCTGGAGCAGCTGTGCTCCAGTGACCAGTAACTGCCCCTTGAGACGGGCCATCACTCAAGAGAGACTACTGAGAGGGGAGCCCATATGGAACTGAGTTGGGACAACAGAGAGAAATGACAGAGAAGGGGAGGGCAATCGAGCCAGGGAACTTGAGAAAGCACGCTTCCATATCCTTCAACACTGTACAGAAACAATAGACAAGGAAGCTCTGGGAGCTTTGAAAAGCTACTCTGAACCATGACTTTAAACAGGTTAGGAAACAATTTTCACATAAAAATGAGTAACAAAAATGTATCAAGGTCATAATGATATTTAAAAAACAGAGACTTCAATGTGTTCTTCCTGAGACACCACGTTTGGCCTTGCCAAAGGATTCAGGTGGATCCAGCTGCCAAATTGTAGAAACTACAGGGAAGATGATCATGTTGAATAGTACTGTGAGTGTGCAGTCAGCAAAATCCAAACTCCAGGAAACCCTACAAGTCAACAGTGAGGAAAAGAAAGAGATGGAAGAGGAAGCTATAGATTAAACAATATAAACTCCTGCCCTCTACAAGTAACCTCCATGCAGAGTTTCAGAGTAACTGCATATGTTTGTAATGTTTTATTTCACCACATCGTGCATCTTTATACACCAGAGTTTAGTCTTAAGACTATAAAGACTAAGCAATTTGGGGGTGGGGGCACCACACACTTTTAACCAGATCTCCCATGAACTCTGAGTGAAAACATATTTATTACCCAAGGGGATGGTGCGAAGCCATTCATGAGTCTCAAGGCTAGAGTGGTTTAGTCTTAAGACTAAACTCTGGCGTATAAAGATGCACCATGTGGCAAAATAACACATTACAGACTTATGCAGTTACGATGAAACTCTGCATAGTGGTTACCTGTAGAGGGCGGGAGTTCAGTTTGGAAGGAGTTGACCAGCAGAGTTTGATTTCTTGACTTGGTTGATAGATACAAGGGTGTTTACCATCTAATAATTCACTAAGCTGTACATTTGCTTTGTGCAGTATTATTATTATTACTTTTTGAAACAGAGTTTCACTCTTGTTGCCCAGGCTGGAGTGGAATGGTGCAATCTCGGCTCACTGCAACCTCCGCCTCCCAGGTTCAAGTGATCCTCCTGTCTCAGCCTCCCGAGTAGCTAGGATCACAGGCATGTGCAACCATGCCCAGCTAATTTTGTATTTTTAGTAGAGATGGGGTTTCTCCATGTTGGTCAGGCTGGTCTCGAACTCCTGACCTCAGGTGATCCACCTGCCTCGGCCTCCCAAAGTGCTAGGATTATAGGCATGAGCCACCACACCCGGCCTGCTTTTTGTAGTTTTAAGCATCTGTTTATTTTAATATTAAATATTTTTTAAAGGTTGAAAAGGAAAAAGGTATACAGCAGAATAAGCAAATGATAGTTTAAAGGGTTGTATAGCATTTTATCTATAGTTAACACTGTGTTGCATGCTTAAAATTTTGAGAGGGTAGATCTCATGTTAACTCTTCTTACCACAATTTTTAAGAGTTCAATTAACCATAACACCCATGTGAAATCTTTTGAAATGAGTCATTCGAAGCTAATGAAAATTAAACAAATGATTTAAAAATAGTTTAAACTGAGTAATTGATGTTTTGCAAGGACCATGCCTGAGGTCTGCTGAATCCTGGTTAAGAAGTAAAGATTGTAGATATTAAAGCTTCCCTCCAAGTCCAGGCTCCCTGAAACCCCACACATTGCATTGTAATATTGTCTTGGTTTGATTCCAAAGCTTCCCTTCACATATATCTCTAATACCAACTCCTACTTAATGAGTTCAGTACACAAGTGCATAGGGATAGCCTGTACTACATTTGATTTTGTAGTTTGGTTTGCAGATCTGTCTTTAATTTCTTTTTCATTTAAAGCTTTTTTGGTAAATACGTAAAACCATATTCTACGATTTTCAGTTCAAATTTTATTAAACACAGATTCCCTTCACCAGATTAGTGTTGTCAAAAAGGGAAGGTAGGGAGAGGTAGTAGGATAGATGAAAAGAGACTTAGAGGACATAACCAGATATGAAACATGGTCTTGGTTTGGACGTTAGTTTTGACAGATCACCAATAAGGACGTTCTTTAGTTAATTGGAGGAATTTGAATATTGCCTGAGTATTTGATGAGAGGAAAGTTTACAAAATGGAGAGGTACAAATCTTTGAAAAAAGAAGTAGCTGATAAAACAATTTTGAAAAGAGTCTGGTAGGATTCTTATTAAACTAAATATACACTAATTTTTTTGACACAGCAGTTCTACTCCTAAGTATTTACGTAAGAGAAATGAAAGCTTATGTCCATAAAAATAAGTATAAAAATATTCTTTGCAGTTTTATTCATAACTCCAAACTGGAAATCGCACATGTGCCATCAAGAGAAGAATTGTTAAACAGACTATGGTATACTACATTATGTAGAGGGAAAGAAGTCTTAGACAAAATTATATTTTCATTTATCCAAAGTTCTTAAGCTTTAGGTAATAAGCACTTGAAACATAGCTAGTGCAAATTGAAATGTAATCTAAGTATGAAATAGGTGTGGAATTCCAAAGAGTAGCAAAGAAAGCAAAATATCTCATTAATCATGTTTTTATACTGATTACATATTTAATTGGTAATATTCTGCACAGATGGGGTTAGATAAAATATGAAACCATTTTTAAAATTTTATTTTGGTGACCAGGCAAGATGTCTCATGCCTGTAATCCTAGCGCTTTGGGTGGCTGAGGCATGTGGATCACTTGAGCTCAGGAGTGTAAGACCAGCCTGAGAAACATGGTGAAACCCCTCTACAAAAAATACAAAAACTAGCCAGGCATGGTGGCTCACACCTGTAGTCCTAGCTACTTGAGGGGGCTGAGGCAAGAGGATCACTTGAACCCAGAAGGTAGAGGTTTCATTGAGCCAAGATCGAGCCACTGTACTCCAGCCTGGGTGACAGAATAAGACCCTGTCTCAAAAAAATAAAAAATCTCATTTTGGTTTTTAAAAAGTATATGAATGTTTATATTCATACACATCACATATAATGAGAGATATGGAAATGTATGTACTAAGGCAGTGGTTCTTAAAGCATGGTCCACAGACCAACAAGCAGCATCCACATCACCTGAGAACTGGCTAGGAATGCACATTCTCAGGGCCGCATCCCAGATTAGGAACTCTGGGAACAGGGCCCAGTGGTGTACGTTTCAACAAGCCCTTACTTAGGGCAATTTTAATACATGCTCAACTTTGAGAACCACTTCCCTAAAGTGTTAATGATGATCTCCTAATGGTGAAAAACATATTTTTAAAAATTTTCCGTATTTGAATTATCTAATTTTCTAGATTACATATGTTTAAATTGTAATAGATTATTTTTAAAATTAATAGGGTTTTTTTGTGGCATCCCACAAAGGTTGATTTCTTTGTGGCATCCACAAATTGTGTTTTCATTTTCAATACTTTCCCATTTCCCCTTGGTTTCTTCTTTATTTAAAAGTATGGTATTTCATTTCTAAATCTATGGGAGATTTTTCACAAATTCTTCAATTGTTGCTTTATTATTGAATTCCATAGTGGTCAGAAATCATAGTTCATATGACATGAAGCTTTTAAAGTAATTTACTGATACTTGTTTTATGGTCCCGAATATGTCTTATGTTGGCAAGTGTTTTACATGCACTTGGAAAAGACTGTATGTTCTGTGTTGGGTAGGATATTCAATATATTTCAATGAGGTTACGTTGTTCAAATCTATTATTTATTTTCTGCCTACATACTAATATTGAGAAATAAATATTAAAAATCTCTGTAATTATAATTGTTGATTTTTCTACAGTCATGCGTCACTTAACGATGGCTATATGTTCTGAGAAATGTGTTTTTAGGCAATTTCATTGTGCGGACATCACAGAGTGTACTTACACAAACAGGTGGTGTAAGTACGGTTGTCTCTATAGCATATTACTGAACTGAATACAATAGGCAATTATAATGGTAAGTATTTGTGTTTCTAAACTAAAAAAGGTACAGTAAAAAATACAGGATTATGATATATACCACTGACGTATTATGCGCCTGTTCTTGACTGAAATGTCACTATGCGGTGCATGACTGTTTCTCCTTGCAGTCTCATCAGTTTCCTAATCATGTATTTTAAAATTGTTATTAAGTGTATAAATATTTAAGATTGTTTCGTGCTCTTGACTAAGTGACTCCATTATCATTAAGAAATTACCCTTTTAAAATTTTATTTATTTATTTATTTATTTATTTATTTATTTTTGAGACAGCCTCGCTCTGTTGCCCAGGCTAGAGTGTAGTGGCACAATCTCAGCTCACTGCAACCTCTGCCTTCCAGGTTCCAGTGATTCTCCTGCCTCAGCCTCCTAACTGGGACTATAGGTGCCCGCCACCACGCCCGGCTAATTTTTGTATTTTTAGTAGAGACAGAGTTTCACCATGTTGGCCAGGCTGGTCGCGAACTCCTGACCTCAGGTAATCCACCTGCCTCAGCCTCCCAAAGTGCTGGGATTAGGCATGAGCCACTGAGCCCGGCCAAGAAATTACCCTTTTTTAAATCCCCAGCAATATTCTTTATTCTGACATCTGCATTGCCCAACACTAATATAGCCACTTCAGTTTTTAAATTATTATTTTTTAGTATGGTGTACTTTCACCCTTTTTTGTTTAACTTATTTGTGTCTTTACATTAGCAGTGTATTTTTGTAGGCAGCATATACTTGCTTTTTTCTTTTTTAATCCAGACTAACAATCCTTGCCTTTTAATGGGGGGTGGAGGGGTTAGACCATTTACATTTAATGTGATTATTGATATAGTTTAAATTGAACACCTTGCTGTTTGTTTTCTTTTTGTCTAGCCATCATCTTTTGTTCCTTTTATCTGCCTTCCTTTCAATTGAAATTTTTTGATGACTTCATTTTATATCCTTTGTTGTTATCCTTCCTTTTGCTTATAGTAGCAGTTTTCTGAGAATGTATTGACAATGGTGAGGACTTACTGTACATTAGGCTGCTTAAAGTGTTCTACAGTTTTGTTGCTTTTTAAATTTTGTGTGTGTTTCATTTTGGATTATTTCTATTGTTAGGTCTTCAAGTTTAGTAATATTTTCTTCGGGAATGCTGATCTGCTGTTACAGTCATCCAGAGAGCATAACATTTTATATCTCACAGTATAGTTTTCACTGTAGAAGTTTAGCTTGGATCTTTTTTTATATCTTCCATATCTCAACTTTTCAAACATATGGAATATAGTTAGAATAATTATTTTCATGTCCTTCTCTATGGAGTCTGTCATTCGTGTGAGTTCTAGGTTAGTTTTTACTGATTTTTGTTGTTTCCTTGTGGGTCACATTTTCCTGCTTCTTGTACCTGATTTTTAAAAATTGGATGTCACATATGCTGCATACTTCTGTATTACTGTAAGTTTTATTGAATTTGTTCTGGGATATAGTTATTTGGAAGCGATTTGATCCTTTTGGATTTGGTTTTTAAGACTTGTTAGCCTGGACACTGTAGGGCATAGTCTGGGGTGAATTATTCCCGACTACTAAAGCGTGACTCTTCAGCACTCTGCCAAGGCCCCAGGAATCATGAGGTTTTCCAGACTGGCTGATGGGAATAGGTAGTATTCCTGGCCCTGTGAGCACTAGGCACTGTTACCTCTAATACATTTCTGTTTTTTTTTTTTTTTCCTGACCTTGACTACTTCCCACACATTCAAGGATAACCCCCTGTGGCTCTCCTAAGTTTTTTTTGGGTATCTCTCTACTCCCTGGTACTCTGTCCTGTGAACTCGCATCCCTTTGGCCCCCCTGAACTCTCCCCTCCATCTCTTGCACTCATGGATTTGGCCGCATCCTACCTGTGTTCCTCCTTCCTACACCAGAGCCTGGAAACTCACTCAAGGCAGCAGGCTGGGGCGCTCACAGGGATCACATTTTCATTTTCCTGTCTCTTGGAGATCACCGTTTCTCACTGCTTGGTGTACCATGTTTTCAGATCTGTTGTGTTATATATTTTCTCCATTTTTGGAGTTGCTTTGTATAGGAAAATAAATCCAGTCCCTGTTACTCTATTTTGACCGGAAGTGAAAATCTCTAGAAAGTGATAGGTGTTTACAAGAAAGCCACACTTAACATATCTTTTAAATATAACCAAATGTAAAATTAATAAAGTCAAATAATTTTTAAAATTACTTTGAAACAAATTATTACAAAGAATTCAAAGTAAAGTTTTTTTGTTTCTTTCTTTTTCTTTTTTTCTTTTTTCTCACTCTGTCACCCAGGCTGGAGTGCAATGGCGCGATCTTGGCTCACTGTAACCTCCGCCTCGCAGGTTCAAGTGATTCTCCTGCCTCAGCCTCTCGAGTAGTTGGGACTACAGGCACCTGCCACCACGCCCGGCTAATTTTTTTTGTATTTTTTGTAGAGACGGGGTTTCACCATGTTAGCCAGGATGGTCTCGATCTCCTGACCTTGTGATTCGCCTGCCTCAGCCTCCCAAAGTGCTGGAATTACAGACGTGAGGCACCGCGCACGGCTCTTTCTTTTTCTTTTAGGAGTCAACTGCAGAAAGACTAATTTGTTGCAATGAATTCTAGACACTGGATATTTTTCTATGACAAATATTTTCTTGGCTCCTATATGTGTTACAGTTGACAGGTTGTTTTTGTCATATGCTGTTTTGGTAGTTAAGAAGAGAACTGAACTTTTGTTGAGTCCTTTAGCTTTGGAGGGAAGCATATTAGTCTTGGATTCAGCCGGACTTGATGTCAGATTCAAGCTATGTGACATTGAGCAGCTTGAATAAGCCCTCTGAGCTTGCCTTCATTCATGTGTGAAGTGACCACATTGTTTTGAATATTAAATGAGAATGTGTGAAGCACTTACCCACTGCCTGGCACACAGTGGGTGCTCAAGAAATATTAGTCCCTTCCCTGCCCCTGCTCTCATATCAAATAACTGATTATCTTTTAATAAGACCCTTTCCAAAACACCTCAAACATTCCAGTTGCTTATGAAATCCACCTAAAACATCACCCACCAAAATAATAGGGGGAAAAAGGATGTTTTGAGAAAGAGGAGAACAGCTTTGGGGATAGTGATTCAGCTTGCCCTGCCTTTGATACGTTGGCCTTAGTATCTCCTCTCACCTCCGAGTACAGCCACAGGCCACATACTGACCTTGTGGATGACAGACTGCGTGTACGATGGTGGTCCCATGAGACTATAATCCTGGGTCTTCACTGTACCTTTTCTGTGTTTAGATGCACAGGTAGTTGCCAGTGTGTTGGAGTTGGCCTCAGTATTCAGCACAGTAAGCGGTTGTGCAGGTTTGCAGCCTGACAGCAGTAGGCTGTACCTGGCCTTGGTGGGTGGTAGGCTATGCCACCTAGGTGTGTGTAAGTTCACTGTATGATGCTCACACAATGCCAAGGTCACCTAATGATGTGCAAAGCACACATGTGTTCCAAACGGGGAAGGTAGCATTAACAGGGCATCAGAGACAAATCGGATTGGAGGAAAGAAAACAGGGCGCCTGACTGAAATGGAGCAAGATGGGCTCAAAGGCGGTATTGCAGCTGAATTATGGAAGAACAGTGCTACGGGCTGAATTTGTCCCCTCCAAAATTGTGTGTGTTGAAACCCTAACCCTGAATTCCTCAGAATGTGAGTGTATTCAGAGATTGTGTTGCTTTTTTTTTTTTTTTTTTTTTTTTGAGATGGAGTCTCCTCTGTCACACAGGCTGGAGTGCAATGGTGCTGTCTCAAATCACTGCAAGCTCCGCCTCCTGGGTTCAAGCAATTCTCCTGCCTCAGCCTCCCGAGTAGCTGGGATTACAGGCATGCGCCACCACGGCTGGCTAATTTTTATACTTTTAGTAGAGATGGGCTTTCGCCATGTTGGCCAGGCTGGTCTCAAACTCCTGACCTCAGATGATCCACCCACCTTGGCCTCCCAAAGTGCTAGGATTACAGGCGTGAGCGCTCAGCTTAAGTCTCTGAAGAGGTGATTAAGTTAAAGCGAGGCCCTTGGTGTATGTAGGCCCTACTCCTTAAAAGAGGCCACTTGGACAGACACTGGAAATGCTCGCACAGGGGAAAGACCAGGCAAGGATGCATCGAGGTGGCAGCTGTCCAGAAGCCAGGGATGGGGGCTCTAGGAGAACCCACAGCTGCTGGCACCTGCAGCCTCCAGAATGGTGGGGGAATAAACTTCTGTAGTTTAGGCCATCCAGTCTGTGGTACTTCGTTATGGCAGCCTCAGCAAACTAATAAATACAGTAGGCCTTCAAACCCTGGCAGAGGCGCCTGGATTCAGTAAGCAGGTGCATCTTTGAATCCTACTGATGGGCAATGAGATTTCTCTAGAGGTCCATTCATTTCAGCCAGATGCCTTTCCAGTCAGGCCATGTGGATGTGTGAGTGTGTTCAAGAGATCAGCGGCATAGATTTCAGTGAGAACAGGGGCTACGGTTTGGTTGAAGGGGTAGGAGTTTGGGGTTAAAGAGATCATAACAAATGTGACCCTCTAGAGAAAGCTTATGGTGTTTTTGTTACCTTTTAACTCATCGGTAACTGGTTTCTGTGTGCTTAGGATGCGGGAAAAAGTGACTAGCCCAGGATGACCTAGTCCAGCTCCGCTCGCCTCCCTGTGACCCTCGCTGCATAGCAAAGGCCAGTGCTTTCACTGCAGTTGAGTGGCAACCTCTTTTTTCTTTTTGCTGCTCCCAGCTCATCCATTTCTAATGGTTTAAGTCCAGCGTGCCCCAGACCTTCTCCCTCAGCTCTGCAATCTCGCTGGGAAACAGATAGGTCCTCACAGGCCATGCATCCTCACCCAGCCTGGTTGCGTTGGGGTGTGATCGGCTTCTTGCAGTGTTCCCGCTGCGGAGCTGCTGAACACACTGAATTACCCAGGCCCATCTTGTGCTCCCAGCCCCATGTGTTATAAAACCACATGCTCCCTTGGCTCAAATAGGTGCTTGTGTTTGATGCTTTCCACAGAAATGCCAGAAACAGAGGAGAGATGTTTAAAAACAATTCATAAAATAGGCAACTGCACTGCCAAAGTGTCATTGATTCGTCCTGGGGAGTTTGCAGAAGTTTAGGCTGGTTCTGTGGCCACCCTGGCAGTGGCAAGAGAGTTTAGTGGCTGGGACAGCAGGCTCCCAGTGCGCTCTCTGGTTAACTCACCCTCTCAGGCAGCATGACAGTTTGGAAACTTCTCCACTCTCCTGTATCCTCCAGCCCTCTGATTTTACAAGGGAAACAGAAGGCATCAGAGAGGAATTTTCTTGTTTTCCTAACACAGAAAGGTGAACCTCCTTCAATCTGTCATTAGCCTGTCCCTGTCCCTCTCACAGATCGAAGGAGGATGAACCTCCTTTGATCTGTCATTAGCCTGTCCCTATCCCTATCCCTTAGGATGTTGTTTCCATCCTAAGCCAGTGTCCTGGGTTTTAGAGCTCTGTGTTCGCATCATCTCAGGTCTCTTTGGATATCGGTCATCGCCTCTTGCCCCTATTTTTAACCCCTCCCTTTCTTAAATACATGCAGGTCATTCCAGTTAAAAACAAGTAAACGGGTTGGGCAAAGTGGCTCATGCCTATAATCCCAGCACTTTGGGAGGCCGAGGCAGGTGGATTGCTTGAGCCCAGGATTTCGAGACCAGCCTGGGCAACATGGCGAAACACTGTCTCTACAAAAAATATGAAAGTTAGCCAGGCATGGTGGCATGTGCCTGTAGTCCCAGCTACCCGGGAAGCTGAGGTGGGAGGATTGCCTGAGCCTGGGAAGTTGAGGCTGCGCCACTGCACTCCAGCCTGGGTGACAGTGAGACGCTGTCTCAAACAACAACAACAAAACAAGCAAGTGAACAATACCCTTACCTGATTCCCCAGCCAGCTACCCCCCATTCTGTTGCCTCTTGCTTCACAGCCAAGTTTCTTGACGAAGCCATTCATCCTCTTCCCCATGCACCAGACGTTCAGACCCAACCCTGGGTCAAGTGACCTGCTGAATCACTGAGTCAAGGACGGGTGTGAGTTTGAGACAGTTCTCAGTTTCTTCCTTTGCGGACACTGTCATCCCATGATGTCCATGACACAGTTCTCTCCTTCCTTTACTTCACGCCTCCTCTGCTCCTACCTGGCTGTCCATGGTGGACATATTGGCCAACGCTCATGCATTTTAATTCTTTAGACTCTACGCTGGCCGTCTTATCCTCCATGGAGTCAGGGTGGTGGCACCTTCTAAATGTGAGATGTCTTGCCCAGGCTTCTCCTCTGAGCTCCAGATGAATGTGTGTCATTGTTTGTATACTGTCTCTCCCTGTATGATCCAAGGACACCTCAGAAAATTAACTCGGCTGGAACCTCTCAGTCCCAGTCATCCTGCAGTGCTCGCTATCTCTGGAGGTGGCACCAGTGTCTGCCCAGATGCCTGCTGCAGAAATCTCAGTGTTATTCCGGTTATTGTCACCTCCTTCCCTGGGCATCGTATCCATCAGTGCATTCCACTGGTTGTTACGTCTTCAGTTGTTCTTGAATCCACCTACTTTCTCAAACTCTACTTCTGCCATTCTGGTCCAAAATACCGTCCTGTCTTGCCTGGACAATTGCCAACAGCTCAACCTGCATCCATTCTTGCTCCTTCTAACCTGTTCTCACGCTGCCAGACTCATCTTTTAAAAATACAAATCTAATCATGTCCTCCCCATGGGGTAGTTCCTTCCCATTGCTCTTAGGATAAGGACCAAGCGTCTGAATGTGGCCTTGGCGGGGCCAGGCCTCTTCCTGACCCACCAGCCCTGCTCTGCAGCCATGATGATCATCTGGGCATCAGGACTAGGGTTTTTACTGTCTGTTTTCATAGATTCTGCTTGTCTTTCTTCCCTTTGAGATCTTAGCACAGGGTCATTTTCAGGGAAGATTGCTCCCTACCTCTGCCCCTTCCGTGTGTATTGCATATATATAGAATTTTCTGCATATTGTGGTGTTTTGACATCTTAAAAGACCTTTCTGGCTAAGAAGAGACTGCGGCTTCCAGTGCTAGCCAGTCCTTAGAGCTAGCAGGGCCCAGCTGGGGGTACCCACCTTTGATATACAAAGAAACCAACCCAGGGCTGCCTCCTTTATCTGACCTGCCCATCCCTGGGAGCAGTATTCCTCTGCCTGAATCATCTCAGCGCCTGGTAACAGGCAACTCCAGACCGCTCCTATAATTAAGAGATTGCCAAAATTATTCCAACGGGCCAGTCCTAAACTGTGTACCCTGCCTTGCCCTGCCATGGAAATCTCAATAAAGGTCTAGGCTCTCCTGTGACTCCTGTCTTTTGAATTTATTTATTTCTTTCTTTTTTCAAGACAGAGTCTCGCTCTGTCCCCCAGGCTAGAGTGCAGTGGTGCGATCTTGGCTCACTGCAACCTCTGTCTCTTGGGTTCAAGTGATTCTCCTGCCTCAGCCTCCCAAGTAGCTGGGATTACAGGTGCCCGCCACTGTGCCCAGCTAATTTTTATATTTGTAGTACAGATGGGGTTTCACCACGTTGGCTAGGCTGGTCTCGAACTCCTGACCTTGTGATCCACCTGCCTTGGCCTCCCAAAGTGCTGGGATTAGAGGTGTCAGCCACCGCACCTGGCCTGTCTTTCGATTTTTAATGCCTGCATGGTAATGTGTCATAATGATGTACATTATTCTACTTAATTTAGGTTACTGTAAAAATGTTTACGATGATAAAAATGCTGCAATTAGTATTCCTTGTGTGTGCAGAAATGCATAATTTCCCAAAGTGAAATGACTGGGTAGTACTTTTTAGGGCTTAGGTCCTGATTCTCTAATAAGTCTCCAGAAAAGTTGTACTAATCCATGTATCTATCAGTAGAGTAAGATGGTGCCTGCTTCCCTGAACCCTGGCCAACTTTGGCTATTATAAAATATAAACATGCAAGCAAGTGTGTGTACAGCCATATCTAGATGGAAATTTAATGGGTGGAAATGGTATTTAATTGTTTCAATTTGCATTTCTAGTGCAGATTACTCCTGAACGTCAACAGTTTTCTGTTAGCTGTTGGCATTTTCTCTTTGTAAATTATCTGTGGTTCTCAGCATGATTTTCTAAAGGGCTGTTTCTCGTTTTCATATTTACTTATAAAACCCTCTTTCTATTAAGCACATTAACTTAGTTTTGTCATATATGCAAATATGAGCTTCTGTGGAACCCTTTCAAATGACTAGAAATTCAAGGGGGAGTTTAAAGAAAAAAACACATGAAATGGGATGGTCAACTTACATTTTATTAATAAAGGCAGCAGGTTTCTCTCTTCCTTGAAAAGTTCGCTATCCAGACTGTGTGCCAAGAAGCAGATGTGTGAAAGAGAGTCTGGACTTTGAAGTTAGACTGGATTTCAGTCCTAGCAGTGTCACTCTCTAGCTGAGGGACCTGGGGCAAATTAGCCTCTGCAAGTCTCAGATGTCACTCCTGGGTAACAAGAATCCCTCTGGCCTTGTCTGGAGAGGTCAGTAGCTTATAGGTAGTGCATGGTGCAGAGGTGGTGTTCTGTAAATATTCATTCCCTTTCCGCATCCCTCAAAGATGTGCTGTTCTAGACACTCACACATCTATGTATTCTGTTTCAATAAGGAATGTACGTATTTCACTCGGCTGATAGTCACAAATGAAATCATTCATTAATATTTTCCAAATAGGTAAATATGATAAATGTATAAATGAGAATAGAAAACTTCTTAGTTAACCATGTGTATCTGAGTCTAGGAGCAATTTTAATTTTCAAGCTCAGGGATAATATCAGCAAATTAGGATCTGTTTTATAAAAGTGGTAGACAACGTAAGATACGGCATTCTGGAGAAAAATGGAACAGGCGGCCTCATATCCTCAAAAATATTTTGATTTTAAACAGCTTTAAACAAAATCTCAAAATACTTGCACTCTTTCATTGAGAACTTAGGTCTTAATCTGTTCTTTTTTCCCTTCTAGGTGTGGCTGGATCTCCTAAAACCCATTGTGAAACAGATTAGAAGTGAGTATATACCATATGTTTAATAGTGATGTGAAATCTGAAGCCAGACAGTTTCATGTCTAGACATCTCTTGCCCTGTGGCATGAAGCACTAGAAACACAAATTCTTCTACCCCATAATTGCTTTTCATCATCGACTAATCCGTGTACTATTAAAATGTGTGTCTTCTGCAGTTTTAATGTGTAACAGTTTGGTAATCAAAACCGAGCTTGGAAAATAAAATATCATTTTGATTAACAACTGAAGCCTGCTATTATCTTAAACCCCAGAATAATTGAGCTTGTCTTGTCTATGCCATTGTTCCTTTCTGTCACTTTCGAAGGGAAGAGGTGGAGCCATTTATTCATAAAATTGTTTTTAGGTTTTTGGTCCTTCCTCTTCAAAGCCTGTGAAATCAGAATGCAGGTATTGTTTGGGAAAAAGAGTGGCCGAAAGTGTGAGTGTGTGTGTGTATGTGGTGTGTGTGTGTGTGTGTGTGTGTTTCTGAGTAGCAAGCAGAGCCCTGAAGGGAGGCTGGCATGTATGCATTTAGACTGTGTGTTGGAAAGAAAAGATTAAGGAATGTGTAGGGGAGGAACAAAGAAAAAGAATGCTTCCTTTTTCTCTCTCTTCTTGTGTCTTCCCCTCTCTATGCTTTGAGCTAAAATTCAGCATCAAGCTCTGGTCCCAATGTCATCCCAAATGGCCCTTCAATGTAGTCAGAGTCTGGACAAAAATCTGAGAATACTGTATCCTTTTAGTTGAGCATGAAGCTTACAGTACCTATGGGATCATTTGTATGTCTGATTAAGAAACCCCACTGGGCCACTTACAGCAATTGATGTGGATGTAATAAACACGCAGCACAATTTCTGTGTGGCCCGTGTGCAATTGAAATTGATGTTGATCATCTACAATTTCAATTAAGCAGTTACTTATAATAATTATACTGACAATGAAATGGCCATCATTTAATATTTGCTGGGTGTCCTGAGCATGGCTGGCAGGCAACGACTAGTGTTGGGGGCGAAGAGAAGCCCCCCAGCCTCATGGGCCCAGGTAGCATAGAGTCTAGGAGATCGACATTTGTCCCCCGCATGAAGGGAACTGCTAACAGTGGCAAGGTATATCTTTGGCGCAGACCTGAAGACAGAGTTGACTCTGGTTGGGTCAGAGCTGGAGCATTACTGTAGTTGTCTCCTCCATATGCTGTGACAGGCCATGTGTGACAAAGCTGTCACTTGGCATTGAGTGCTAGCATCTTCCTAGTTTCAAGTTTTCTAAGGATCTGAGTAGCCGCTCAGTGAAAATCGCAGAGAATAAGTGGTGCAGCCTTCTCGTCTTCCTCATTTTGCTGCTGTTATTTTGTGCTCCAGAATTGACATGTAAGAGTTTGTTAATTTTAATGCCTTGTTTTTTTCTCCCAATTTTGTACATATTGTCAACATCTTTATTGTATGTCATTTTTGCTTTTTTTAAACTTGAATATGTGATCACAGAAATTATAATACATAATTAGTATTTGTATATGATAGTGAAAAGTAAAACAGACATTTTTCTGCTTTTGTAATAGGACAGTTAAAATTTAGATTTCATTATAGTACCTTATATTTCATAGAACATAAATGTATTGCTATCATTCCAAAGGGCAGACCTTTTAAGATGGCTTATATTGTAGCTTACACATCAAAACAAAAAAACTCCAATGCAAATCACAGATGATGATGATGATGATGATGATGATGATGATGATGATTGAGATGGAGTCTTGCTCTCTCACACCAGGCTGGAGTGCAGTGGCACGATCTCTGCTCACTGCCATCTCCACTTCCTGGGTTCAAATGAGTCTCATGCCTCAGCCTCCTGAGTAGCTGGGATTATAGGCGCCCGCCACCACGCCTGACTAATTTTTAGTACAGACAGGGTTTTGCCATCTTGGCCAGGCTGGTTTCAAACTCCTGGCCACAGATGATCCGCCCACCTCAGCCTCCCAAATTGCTGGCATGACAGGTGTGAGCCACCGCGCCTGGCCACAGATTATTATTTTATAATCTGTCTGTCCTGTTTTCTTTCTTTTTTTTTTTTTAAATTCTGAAAAGTTGTTCATCTTATTCAATCTCTCCCTCCCCTCACTCCCTATCTACTTCCTGATTTTGTCTAAACTCATTGGTAAGAGGGTTTATAAGATACTGATAAAGGCCTTGGCTGGCTGAGACAAAGCCAGGGCCACATCTGGTGTATGTTTTCCCCAGAGCTCAGAAGAGCACCTAGAGGCTGAAAACATATTTGATGAACATATTAGCAACTGTACCTTATAAATAGTTAAATATAATGAATTGCATAACTGATGTATGTTTTCATTATTTGGGTAAAACCAGCCAATTAGATACATTTTTGAAGACAAATGACTTTATTTTAAAAAACCTAGATAAAATTTAAGTCTGCAGAGAAAAAATTTAATAGCTCTATGTAGTACTTTTGTCACAGTATTTTTTAAAAATGGATCTCTCTTTCCCCACAATATGGAAGTGTGAATTAGTAGCTGAACTTGGCCAGTTGTTAAGTGACTTGGAAAATGGCAGATGTGCACTTGGCAGCTTGGAATGAGATGCATTATTTGTATTTGTAAAGTCTTTTTCTTTAATGGCATTTGAAACACAAATCAGTAAATGCTTTACTTCTTTTTTTCTTCTTCTTTAGGGCCAAAGCACGTTGTTGTTAAGTTTGTGGTGAAATTCTTTCCGCCTGACCACACACAACTCCAAGAAGAACTCACAAGGTTAGTGGTTTGGAAACTGTGTATTTTTTGCTACAGAGTACAGAGGAAAAGAGAAAATGAATGTTCTCAATTGATGACACAAACATTTTCATAATGTTTACTTGACCAGCATCTGTTCTGTACTGAACAGTTTAACCTTCCTCTTTCCCAGCCCTGCTTACAAAAATGGGGGGAGAAGTACTGTTTTCCCTAAAACTTGGTTTCTTGAAGGTTGTGATATGAAGTGAATCCTGGGCTTATACTCTGTTAATAGCACATTTTCCATCTTATATGTCACATCATGGACTGTTCTGGATGTGAATCTCTTCTGTGAAACCAACATGTCAACTCAGAGTTTGTCTTTGCCGCTGCCATGGGTGGTAGATTTGGCAGGAACTGGAGGTCAATTCTTTTCAAAGTGTGACCGCGTGGAAGAAGTGCAGGCATTGAGTCAGACCTGGCTTCGGCCACCATCCTGCCACTTGCTGTGACGGGCCAGTTACTTTCTCCCTTTGTGTTGCCATTACTTCCCCTATTACAGTGTGGACTCTAATGCTTGCTTGGCCAGAGTGGTTTTGAGGATAAGCAGTATTATACTAGAGTAGCTGGGATCCAGTAGGGACACTGTAAATGGTAACTATCAACACCACCATTGTCACCATCACCATCACTGTTTTCATTGTCGTCACCATCATCATCACCATCGTCATTATCACCATCATCACATCATCACTTCTACTCATTTTATATATACCTTTTTTTTTTTTTTGCAACAGAGTCTCTCTCTGTCGCCCAGGTTGGAGTGCAGTGACGCAGTCTCAGCTCACTGCAACCTCTGCCTCCCGGATTCAAGCGATTCTCCTGCCTCAGCCTCCTGAGTAGCTGGGACTACAGGTGCCCACCACCACACCCAGCTAATTTTATATTTTTAGTAGAGACAGCATTTCACCATGTTGGCCAGACTGGTCTCGAACTCCTGACCTCAAGTGATCCACCTGCTTCAGCCTCCCAAAATGCTGGGATTATGTGCGTGAGCCACTGCGCCCAACCTCATTTTATAATTTGAGGCAAGACTGATGGTGTTCCAAAAGAGGGCAGAGCTGGCAGGAACATGTGTGGATAAAATGATTCCCTTTGAAGAGAATCCTTCAGAGGACACTAATCTAACCAGCCTAATTCTTTTTTTTTTTTTTTTTTATCATTATTATACTTTAAGTTTTAGGGTACATGTGCACAATGTGCAGGTTAGTTACATATGTATACATGTGCCATGCTGGTGTGCTGCACCCATTAACTCCTCATTTAGCATTAGGTATATCTCCTAATGCTATCCCTCCCCGCTCCCCCCACCCCACAACAGTCCCCAGAGTGTGATGTTCCCCTTCCTGTGTCCATGTGTTCTCATTGTTCAGTTCACACCTATGAGTGAGAACATGTGGTGTTTGGTTTTTTGTCCTTGCGATAGTTTACTGAGAATGATGATTTCCAGTTTCATCCATGTCCCTACAAAGGACATGAACTCATCATTTTTTATGGCTGCATAGTATTCCATGGTGTATGTGTGCCACATTTTCTTAATCCAGTCTATCATTGTTGGACATTTGGGTTTAACCAGCCTAATTCTTGTCATACATGGTGTTCAAGCAGTGACTGTTTAATACCGAGGCCATCATATCCTTCCTCATCCCTCTCAGTACAGAGCACAGTATCTTGGGTCATCATTGATCATCATTTATCAAAGGGATGAAGATACTGATGTAATCAGCAATATTTATTAAGGGTTCCCTGTGTGCAAGCATTGTTCTAGGCACTGGGAGTGCAGTGATGAAAAGACAAGAATACTCTCATGGAAACAGACAAAGCGATTAAATAAACAAGATAATATCAGATAGCGGCAAGAACTCTTTAGGTAATTGAAGTAGGAGGATGTGATAGAGGTGCCTGGGTGATGACTTCAGGCTGGTGGGTCTGGGATGCCTCTTGAGGAAGTGAGAAGGAACCATCAGTCATTTACTGAGAGAGCTTTCTAGAGAGATGGAGCAGTCAGTACTCTGCCCAAGGCGGGAATCAGCTCCAAGCATTCAAATACATAAAGGAGGGCCAGCATGGCAGGAGTGTTGGGAGCGTCGTGGTGAGGTGGGAGAGAGGCTTGACACACATAGTGTTGAAAGATTGGCTGCCATGTGGATGTTAGGGGGAGAAGGAGAGTCCCAGGGCATCCTGTGAGGAGGCGGTCACATGGTGATGGCAAAGAAGCCACCAATAGGTAGCAGTAGAAATGGAGGCAAGTAGTTGTGTTTGGAACAGGTACCGGAAGCAGGGTCCCTCTGTCTTGGTGATGAGGTGGTGGTGGACTTTGAGGGAGGGAGAGGGGGCACTTAGATTTTTGGCTTGAGTGACTGGGGGGGAGATGGTGTTGGGGGTTACTAAAATGAGAAAAGGATGGAGGGAAGTGGAGGACTGTTGGGGAGTGGAGAGTCAGGGTGTTTCTGGCCAGGTCATGTTTGAGATACCTGTTAGCTGTCCCATGACCACAGCAGCAGCAGGAAGGACATCAGATACAGGAATGTGCAGCTCCAGGGAGACAGTGACAAAGACTTCCCACTGCTTTGTGTTTTCTGAACGTTTGTGCTGCTAATCATCCACGTCCACTTAGAACCCTCAAATCAGCGAAGAAGGCAAAGGCAGCCAGGAATTGGCAGAAAGCAGCAGCCTTCTGGGAGCTACCTGCATAGGAGGGACAGCCCGAGCTGCTAAGCCGGGTCTGCACAGGACTGAGGGCTGGCTGATGACAGGAGGGCCTTTCGCTGGGGCTGCTGGGTCTTGGTTTCTCAGGCTGGTTTTCCTGTCGTTGGAAACTGCATTGCCCTGAGCTCTGCGTGCTGAAATAAATCTAAGGGCAAGTCCAGCTGTTGGAGGAATGTAGTTGTGTTTGGAATAAGTAGCATCGGTAGCGTGCCTTTTCCTCATGTGAATCACCAGGGCTCTTTCTTGCTCAGGAAGTTGGAGGCACAAATCCTGTATCCCCTCACCCCCGCCCCCCGTTTTTTTTTTTTTTTTCATTAAAAATTCTGTTTTGCCAATAGTTTTGCACCTTTTCAATTTTTGTGAATCGTCTCTAGAGGTTTGCAGTTGGCTACCATTCTGGCCCTTGCTCTGAAACTCCATACAGCTGGTTACCATCGAGCCGCATGTGCCTGGTACATTGCCAGCTCCTCTGTCAGTGCTGATAAATTCCTAAAGTTACACGAGCTCAGCTGGACGGAGCAGGTTTTTGTTGTTTTTGTTTTCTGGCACCCAGTGTGAACTGACATTTAAGAAGTCTTTTCCAAGGAGACAGTTCTTTTGGCTCATTGTTGAATAAAATTGATCTGAAATTCCTACTTTTTTTTTTATCATCTCTCCATCACTCCCCACTTGGTACAAGGCATAGAGAACCTCATGGGGCCGATGTGTTGGGACTCTCGCATCTCAAATTCCTGTAGAAGCAAAAATGGACTGACTATTGAGATTTCAGGTGCTGTTCTTTGGCAGATGGTGAATGAGGGGATGCTGGGAGAAGCTCCATGTCAGCTGTGCTTTGTGGGGAGGGACGCATACACAGAAGTGGGACAGACGGAGAAACTGGCCTGTGGTTCAGCAAAGCATAAGTGACTCTAGCTCTGTAGTTAATGCTTTGGGCCTCCAGGAATAGCTCTTTCAGCTTCCCATTGATATAGATAGGAGATTAAATTGCACTCTTTTGTTAAACAAGAAGCTGGATTCCTTTCTATTTATTGAACTGCAGGTGGAATGCCATCCTATTGACAGCAGCACCCAGACACCTAGAAGGAGAAGCGTATTGACTCCTGGGTGCAGCCTCAAAACAACGAGTGAGGGTCTTTGGAAAAGATGATCCCAGTTTTTCTTTTTTTTTTTTTTTTTTTTTTGGCGATGGAGTCTCGCTCTGTCGCCCAGGCTGGAGTGCAATGGCACGATCTTGGCTCACTGCAACCTCCGCCTCGTAGGTTCAAGCGATTCTTCTGCATCAGCCTCCCAAGTAGCTGAGACTACAGGCACGTGCCACCACACCCAGCTAATTTTTGTATTTTTAGTAGAGACGGGGTTTCACCATATTGGCCAGGCTGGTCTCGAACTCCTGACCTCATGATCTGCCTGTCTTGGCCTCCCAAAGTGCTGGCATTACAGGCCTGAGTCGCTGCACCCTGCCACATGATCTCAGTTTTTCTTATCGTGTGGCTTGGAATCACTTTCCTTGTGCCATGTTTAGCCACCCTTTGTTCTTCCCCTTCTCTCTGGGCATCCCGTCTTCAGTTGGATCCAGCTTCTACTTGCCTGTGTTCTTATAGGTGAGGGGACCCTATCAGAACATGCTGCTCTGCGCCCTGCACGCCCTACTGAAGTGTTCTCTTAGACTGCAGGAGAATTCTAAATTGCTTATATGTAATAAGAAAAGAGGGAAGATGGTGGTTTTCCAGATGAAATAAATTATTCATATTGAAAGCAAGGCATCAAATGGGTGTGACATGTGACTCTTGCAGTCCCTAGGAGTGAAGTCCCTCTGTCTGCTCCTGCCATAATCGTTGTCCTCTCCTCACATGAGAGGTGGACTCTCCTCACGTCCACTCTTCTGCTAAGGAAACTTGATTCCATTTTGAGCGCTTTATGTTTTCATTGTGTTTACCGGTTCAGTTTTATTTAGTGCTCACCAAGTAAAACTTAGCCTCTAGCTCGCGTGAGACTGATTGGAATTGCTTCAGTGGACAGTACTAAAGGTGTTGCAGAATCTCTAAAGTTAGCATCGCGGCCAGCATGCTCAGCTTACAGCTCATGGTAAGAAAAGTGGACAGAGTTAGTACCCAGGAAGCTACTTCTCATGTTACAAGGGCCTTGGATCAGGAAGAGTCCATGTAATCAGGGGGAGTCACGTTCTTCCTTCAGCCTTCAAAATAGCCTTGTGCTCTCCCAGTAAACGTGTGTGTTTTCAGAACCTGATGCCATCTCGCAGCCCATGTGTGATTGTCACCAAAGGTCCCCAGAGCCTGCCAGACTGCCCATGCGTTTGTCCCTGAAAACCTCTTTGTGAACACAGAAACTCATGTTTGAAATGATAAATGGTAAAATATTCAGAATGTAATTTTAAAACAGGTAAAATATTCAGAATGTCATTTTAAAACATGAAGCCCTCCTATTTAATGAAAAACCGATTAGAAATTTGTAGCTCTACAAAGTGTTGGGCTCAAAAGACAGTGACTATAATCCAGCACGATAGTTTGTATTCCCACCTCCCACATGAGGTTTAGATTGTTTTATATTCTCTGCTTTTCTTCCCTTTGACTTTCCAGAGACAGACAGACAGACACACACACACACACACACACACACACACACACACACACACACACACAGAAAGGGGGTTGCGGGGAGAGACAGAAGGGTAGAGCAAGAGAACAAGAATAAAATTAGGGAGGTCAGAGAAAGTCCCACTGGTAGGTCTGTAGTCTGTAGGGCACTTTTTGCTGGTTATACAATTGCTGCTGTGGTTTTTTAGTTCTTAATAATAAAATTTCCTAAATGACTTAAAATGGATTATTCTTTTATTTTTAAAAACTGCCAACTTTTATTGAATATTTTTGTTCTAATAGTGTTTTCCATGTATCTCATTTAATTCTTATGGAAACCTCTATAGCTAATACTATTAAAGGCCCTTTTGAAAATCAAAAATACCCTTTCATTATTATAATAGTAGTAAACATACATTGTAGAAAGTTAGAATAGACAAATGAATAAGACTAAGAAAGTAGAAACATTGCATTCCCATTGCCCGTCACATTAGTAAGATATCCTTTCTGAATTTTTCTATGCATACATATGTACTTTTCATCTCATCTAATACATTGGCCATATTCACATTTCCCTATTTATCCCCTAACTGTCCTTTGTATCTGTTTATTCTAAAATAAGGTTGGCTAGGCACAGTGGCTCACATCTGTAATCCCAGCACTTTGGGAGGCTGAAGCAGGAGGATGTCTTGAGCCTAGCAGTTTGAGACCAGCCTGGGCAACACAGGGAGACCTGTCTCTACAAAAAATTTTAAAAATTAGCTGGGCATGGTGGTGTGTACCTGTAATCACAGCTACTCTGGAGGCTGAGGCAGGAGGATTGCTTGAGCCCCCAGAGGTTGAGGCTGCAGTGAGCAGTGATTGTACCACTGCACTCCAGCCTGGAAAACAGAGCAAGACTCTGTCTCAATCAGTCAATTAATCAATCAATTAAAAAAAACAGATCCACTCTAGGACCACATATTGCATCTAGTTAGTATGTCATCTGGGCCTATGTAAGTTAGTCCCTCATTTTCTTTTCCTCATGATAGCATCTTGTTGAAGAAACTGGACCAGCTACACTACACAGTATCCTACTTTCTGAATTTGCCTGCTAGCTTTCTTGTGGTGCTGTTTAACTTGTTCCTCTATCCTTTGTATTTTTCCAAAACTGGAAGTCATAGTCTGTTCTATGCTGCTATAAAGGAATACCTGAGGCAGGGTAATTTATAAAGAAAAAAGGTTTATTTTGCTCATGATTCTGGATGGCTAAAAAGTTCAAGATTGGGCATTGACATCTGCTGAGGGCCTCAGGCTGCTTCCACTCGTGGTAGAAGGCAAAGGGGAGCTGGCATGTGCAGAGATCACATGGTGGGAGAGGAGGTGGGTGGAACAGGGAGGTGCTAGGCTTTTTGTAACAACCAGCTCTCACAGGAAGTAACAGAGTGAGAACTCACTCACCCCCAAGGGAGGTTATTAGTCTATTCATAAGGGATCTGCCTTGACAACCCAAACACCTTTCACTGGGCCCCACCTCCAGCACTCAGGATGAAATCTCAACATGAGGTTTGGAGAGGACAGGAAATTCATTCTAGGGCTTGACTGATACACTTAAACATTTGGGCTGGAGTCTGTCATAAGTGATGTTGTGTGCTTCATATTTCATTAATGATTAGAGATTGTTCATTGGATTCAGGTGGTGACATTCTGATTATTCTTTTGCCAGGTAAAGTCATATTTCCTTTGCCCTATGTGACTGTCCAGTCTCCTACATGGTTTTTTCACCCATTGATAATCCTGGCTGGAGTCAATAATTTCTTTAGAGTTTGTGGAATGAGGATTTTCTAATTCTATTATTCTTGCTATGTTATAAATTGGCACTTACAATTTTTTTGCCAAATACTTGAGGCAAAATTTTACTTTATGGGAGATAAACCTGTAAAACCTTTCTTCAACTACTTGGCTGTCCTGAAACACCCTTTCCTCTGGCCAGGCAGGTTACACACTCAATTCTTTGCCTTGGGTTACCAATTTTAAATAAGGAGATGCTTTGATCTGCCTGGAATCTACCATGTCTCCAAGGCCCTATCTCTCTATCCTTCCAACAGGTAATTGTTTTTTGTTGTTTTTATTGTTTTTGTTTTTGTTTTGAGACGGAGTTTCGCTCCTGTCACCCAGGCTGGAGTGCAGTGGTGCAATCTCGGCTCACTGCAACCTCCACCTCCCGGATTCAAGTGATTCTTCTGCCTCAGCCTCCCGAGTAGCTGGGATTACAGGGGCGCATCACCACACCCGGCTAATTTTTATATTTTTAGTAGAGACAGGGTTTTGCCATGTTGTCCAGGCTGGTCTTAAACTCCTGACTTCAGGTGATCCACCCGCCTCGGCCTCCCAAAGTGCTGGGAGCCACAGCGTGCGGCCCCAACAGGTAATTGTAAGAGGGACAGAATCTGATTGCAAAGGGTGCTACTGAGAGGACACTGTTCTCAGGCAGCAGGTAAACTAGATATCTAAAAATCTATGAGTTTGTATCATTATTTTCACATCCATTTTAACATTGTACAGGTTCGGTTTGGTTTTGTCTTGCTGCGGGGCAGGGGGTGGTATCTATGACCTTAAGTATTTATCCTTTGTGTTACAAACAATCCAATTATACTCTTCATTATTTTTAAAGTATAGTAAATTATTATTGACTGTAGTCACCCAGTTGTGCTATCAAATATTAGATCTTATTCATTCTATCTCATTTTTTTGGACCCATTAACTATCCCCACTCCCTCTACCTTTACCAGCCTCTGGTAACTTCATTCTGCTCTCTCTTTCCATGAGTTCAATTGTTTTAATTTTTAGCTCCCAAAAATAAGTGAGAATATGTGAAGTTTGTTTTTCTGTGCCTGGCTTATTTCACTTAACATAATGACCTCCAGTTCCAATCATGCTGTGCAAATGACAAGATCTCCTTGTTTATGGCTGAATAGTAATCCACTGTGTATACATACCCCATTTTCTTTGTCCGTTCATCTGTGGATGGACACTTAGGTTTCCTCCAAATCTTGGCTGTTGTGAATGGTGCTGCAGTAAACATGGGAGTGCAGATATCTCTTTGACATACTGTTTTCCTTTCTTTTCGGTACACACCTAGTACTGGGATTGCTGGGTCATATGGTAGCTCTATTTTTAGTTTTTTCAGGAACCTCCAAACTGTTCTCTATCGTGGTTGTACTAATTTACATTCCCGCCGATAGTACTTGAGGGTTTTTTGTGTTTTTTTTTTTTTTTTTTTTGCCACATCCAAGCATTTGTTACTGCCTATCTTTTGGATATGAGCCATTTTAACTGGGGTGAGATGATATCTCATTATAATTTTGATTGCATTTCTCTGATGATCAGTGATGTTGAGCATCTTTTCATAAGCCTGTTTGCTGTTGCACAGTTTTTACTTAATGTCTTTGATTTGCAAATGTATTTTTTATCTTACACCAAAAATGTTGACATGCTTAATACCACAATATAAAGAAAAGAAATGAATGGGTGCAGTGGGTCATGCTTGTGATCCCAGCACTTTGGGAGGCCGAGGTGGGCAGATCATGAGGTCAAGAGATCGAGACCATCCTGGCCAACATGGTGAAACCCCGTCTCTACTAAAAATACAAAAAATTAGCTGGGCGTGGTGGCGTGCACCTGTAGTCCCAGCTACTCGGGAGGCTGAGGCAGGAGAATTGCTTGAACAAGGGAGGTGGAGGTTTCAGTGAGGCGAGATCACGCCACTGCACTCCAGCCTGGCGACAGAGCGAGACTTTGTCTCAAAAAAAAAAAAAAGAAAAGAAAATGAATTTTTACAAATCTTGTAACTGGGTCCTATGGAAGTAGTTACACCACAAAAAAAAAAAAAAAAATGACGCCCCCTTGTTTTTCTCATTTCATTGGCAATCCTCTGACTCACCATAATAAACTACTGTTATTGTCTGAGCCATAGAACCATGTTAGAGTATGGATGACTGATTCTGTGAAAAAAATGTAAATATTTCCTGTACGCTACAAAAATATATAGCATGCTAGGTTATGGTCTCACATTTTTATGGCTCTCTCTCCCTATGTAAAATGAAACATATTATTCATACTGTGAAAAGATGATAGCATACATCTCTTTGTATTTTGGAGGGAGATATTTACACTGCAGTGAATGGCAGCTGGAATCCGTTCCAGCCCATGCAGACTTCGTGGTTGGGGTTTGCATCCCTCTCCTTGGCCTCTCATGGTGAGGCCAGGTTCCCGGTGACCTCCTGCCCTCTTTGCCTGACGCCCAGCTCTGTTGATCTTCGCAGGTACCTGTTCGCGCTGCAGGTGAAGCAGGACTTGGCTCAAGGCAGGTTGACGTGTAATGACACCAGCGCAGCTCTCTTGATTTCACACATTGTGCAATGTAAGTTCTATTGGTTTCCTTTGAAAATCATGTTCAAAATAACACAGTGATCTGATTGATGGGAAAAAAATCACATCCACCAAAAAAGAAAGTGTCAATGTTTTTGTGTTATTTTTGCTGTTCGTATGAAGGCCTACGGGTGGAAGAGAAAAACAATACTCCTGATGTCATTTAATATGCATATCCCCAAATGTTAACTCTTGTACTTTCTGTTCAGGTGTTTGTCTTTCTTCAAGGACTAGTACGCAGTTGATACTTCAGTTGTCTTAAAGGATAAGCTTGGATGGATGGTTGCCAAATAGACTAAACTTGTTCTGTCCTGTTCTTGGATTTAAACTTTATCATTGAATATGGCATAGTAGCCTTAAGACATAATACTGCCACCGATTTCACTTCTCTCTAGAGATTTTTGCTCTTCAGAATTCAGTAAACCAAGACTCATGCTGGATTAATGGAGCTGGACCCTAGATATTTTAATTTGCCTTAATATAGACAAAGGATGAATCAGATTATGCTCATCTCCAGGCTTGCTGACAAGCCACCTGGGTGTTTTTTCCCTCTTGACCAAGGCAGAAATTACTTGAAATAAAATATACACATTATGTTTCAGAAAGGTAATTGTGGGTATAATACTTAATGTATAATAAGCACTACTATAAAGGAAAGTTGTGCTATCATATCACCTTTTACATTTCCACTGTATATGAATTCGTCTCATATAATCAGTCCCCTCCTATCCTGATATGTGCCTAGTTCACTAGATTTACAAAGGTTTATAGGAAGTGTCTCTCTCAGTAGTCAAAAAGTTGCCTTAGTCTGATACAGTAAGGTGTTTCAGATGATGTGTATCTTCTTGTTTTTTGAATATGAGCACTTATTAGATAGATGTTTTCTTACCAATTTGAAAAAAATGACATGGGCAAGAAAAAAACAAAAAAATAGGTATCTTTATTAAGCCTGACCATGTGCCAGCACTATATATATATATATAATATATATATAATATATACAATATATAATCTATATATAATATATATATAATATATACAATATATAATCTATATATAATATATATATAATATATACAATATATAATCTATATATAATATATATAATATATACAATATGTAATCTATATATAATATATAATATATGTAATATGTAATCTATATATAATATATATATAATATATAATCTATATATAATATATATATAATATATAATCTATATATAATATATATATAATATATAATCTATATATAATATATATAATATATAATATATATATAATATATAATATATAATCTATCTATATATAATCTATATATAATCTATATATATAATCTCATTTAATTCTCCTAACAGCCCCTTGAGATCAAGTCTGTCATTATCCTTATTTTACAGGGGAGGAATCCTTAGCACAGAACTTAATGTAATTTTTATCTTTCTTGTGTTTGTTCTCCCCTCTTCATAAAATGATAGTGGAGAGGGAGAGGAGGGAGAGGAGGCTTTGAGTCTGGCAGACCTGATTTCTGTTCGTTGGTTGGTGACCCTGGCAGCTTACTAACCCCCCAGCCTCCATTTCTTTTGGAACATGAGAATAATAGAATCCTTTTCATAAGGCTGTAAAAATTAAATGGTAGCATACACAGTTGTCCTTTAATGTCCATGGGGTATTGGCTGCAGGACCTCCCAAGGACACCAAAAACTGAGGATGCTCACGTCCCTGATATAAAATGGTGTCGTATTTGCATATAACCTACATATATCCTCCCATAGACTGTAAATCATCTCTAGGTTACTTATAATAATTAATCCAATGTAAATGCTATGTAGTTACATTGTATTATTCAGGGAATAATGACAAGAAAAAATATCTTAGATGTTTGGTATAGATGCAGTATTTTTTCCTAAGTATTTTCAATGCATGGTTGGTTGAATCCATGAATATGGAACCCACAGATAGAGAGGGCCAGCTGTATACCCAGTACATGCTAGGTATTCAGTAAACATTAATTTCCTTTATCCTTATTCACCTGCAACCCTCCTTTTCCAAACAACATGAAACTTTAAAATGAAGCTTCCTTATTGAAATAGTAACTTCATAAAATGTCTCTGACCCTTGGCATTTTGTAAGCAGAAGAGAAATTGATCTTACTCAAAGATTCCTGATGCCATTGAGTCGTGTACTTCTTTCCTCCTATGTTTTTTTCTTTAAAGGTCTGTTACACTAAAGAGTAGATTTTGGCCAGGCATGGTGGCTCACGCCTGTAATCCCAGCACTTTGGGAGGCCGAGGCGGGCGGATCACTTGAGGTCAGGAGTTCGTGACCAGCCTGGCCAAGATGGTGAAACCTTGTCTCTACTAAAAATACAAAAATTAGCTGGGTGTGGTGGCGGTGGGCGCCTGTAGTCCCAGCTACTTGGGAGGCTGAGCCAGGAGAATCACTTGAAACTGGGAGAAACCCCACTGCCCTCCAGCCTGGGCGACAGAGTGAGACTCTGTCTAAAAAAAAAAAAAGAAGAAGAGTGGATTTTAAGTGTTCTCACCACAAAAATAAATAAATAAATATGGGCAGTAATACATATGTTAATTAGCTTAATTTAGCCATTTCACAATGTGTACATATATCAAAAGATGATGTTCACTATAAATATATCCCCCCCAAAATTTTTTTTTTAGACAGTCTCTGTCACCCAGATTGGAGCGTAGTCTCTCAATCATGGCTCACTGCAGCCTCGACCTCCTGGAATCAGGCAATCCTCCTGCCTCAGCCTCCTGAGTAGCTGGGACTCTAGGCACATGCCATCAGGTCTAGCTAATTTTTTCTTTTATTTTTTTGTAGAGCTGAGGTCTCACTGTGTTGCCCAGGCCAGTCTCAAACTCCTGAGCTCAAGTGATCTTCCCACCTTGGCCTCACAAAGTGCTGGGATTATAGGCATGAGCCACCATGCCTGACCAATATGTATAATTTTTATTTTGTCAATTAAAAAAGTAAATTAAAAAAAATAAAGGTCTGTTAACAATAGTGAATTTCACTTGCATATCTGGGAGTGGAGATTCGCTGACATCCAGAAAACCATGGTCTCAGTCCAGTATACCATTTTCCCCCCAGAAACCAGCAAGTGGCTCAAAATCCCCAAAGAATCTTCCCTTCTCAAAAGGCAAATAGATGGGATGAGAAGTTCCTCTGCTGTTTACATGGTATTTGACATACAGTCATGAGACACATAATATTCTTAAAATCTTCCGATATGTGTAAGGCCCCATTTCTGCATTTTTAAGTATCCCATGCACTCAGTCATGAAAGGAGGCATTTCATAGAGTCTTCTGTGGATTGTGTCGTGATTTCAATTATTGGTGATTATTGGTAAGGTATAAGGGGTCAAGTCATCTCCCTTTGGCAGAAACTATATTACCCCTAATGGAAAATTATCTCTGGTAAGCTGATGTTCATCTTGTCCGTCTCTATACACACAATCTGCTGTCGTCTTATTTTCCTCCCTTCTTTGGCTTGAATGCATAGAGTCTTTAAGATAGTCTGTATTTTTTCATTTGTTCCTCCGTCACTGGCCTTGCATCTTCCCTGCAGTATTTTGAACTTAATTTTCTCTAATTTATTTTGGATTGACTAAGAAGGACAAGCTGATGAAGAGAAGAATCAGCTACTAGTTGGCCCTGATGTAAAGAGCACACGTGGGCAGCATGGAGGCGAGGCAGGGCTGCGTTTGTGCAGGTCGTGTGGTCCTTGCTCTGAGGGTTCCGCGTGGTAAGGCAGGTTTGTCCACGCCTGTCCTCTGGGGAAGTTGCATCCATTTATTAAAATCACAGGATTTTGGTTTGCTGCTGTTTTTCCTATTAATTACTTTGCTGAGTAGACTGCTAAGGAATATAGTATATGCATAAGCTGATGTGACACTTTCAGCATAAAACATTTAAAAAATAGGAAGTCAGCTGGGTGCGGTGGCTCATGTCTGTAATCCCAGCGCTTTGGGAGACCCAGGCAGGAGGATCTCTGGAGGCCAGGAGTTCAAGACCAGCCTAGGCAACATAGTGAGACCTCGTCTGTACAAAAACAAAATTAGCTTGAGGCCAAGAGTTCAAGACTAGCCTGGGCAACATAGTGAGAGCCTGTCTCTACTCAAAATAAAAAAAAAAAATAGCCAGGTGTGGTGGTATGTGGCGGTAGCCCCAGGTACTTGGGAAGCTGAGGTGGGAGGGTCACTTGAACCCTGAAGTCAAGGCTGCAGTGAGCCGTGATCGCTCCACCGCACCCCAGCCTGAGTGACAGAGCGAGACCCTGTCTTGGAAAAAATAAAAGGAAGTCAGATTTTGAGTATGTGTCTGTTTTCAAATTCCAGAAATTTAAGGAGCAGCCTATTTCCACATTTCAAAGAGGAGAAATGTGGGGAGCGAATGAGTTTCATAGTCATGTCACTATGGCGTGACAGGAGGGCAAGAAAAGACAAGCGACCCAGAAGAAAAGAGAATTAGACGTCTCCACCCTGATGCCAAAGGAAAAACTGGACCATTCGGCTCTCTTTATATGGAATGATGGGAAAGAGTGTGTTCTAAGATTCATAGGAATTAAGAAGCCCAAACATAAAGCTCACAAGACATTTCGGATTTAAGGAATTCCTCCATAGATAGTCAGGGCTCATTATTCTCAGATTCTGTCTGAAAATTCGCTTATTTACTTGTAACCCCCAAATCAACACTCATGCGCTTTCACGGTCATTTGTGGATGGCGAAAATTTGGAGTCACCTGATGTGCATTCCCAGTGGAGGTCAAACGAGGCAAAGCTCTGCCTTCTGTTTTTTTTTTCTCGTACTGTTAATAAGTATCCTTTTCATGGTCTATTTAGTGCCACGCTTTTCGCATTTTTGTGCATGTTTTTGGTGATTTCACTGTTTAAAGCAGTCCCCAGGCGTTGTGCTGAAGCGCTGTCTGTCTTGTGTCCCCGCGTGCAGTGCTATCTGCCTGATAGAGCAAATGTGTGTTAGGTAAGCATCGTTCAGGCATGAGTTCAGCTGCTGTTGGCCATGAGCTCAATGTGAAGAAATTGGCAAAGTATATTTAAGATGGCTTTCAACAGAAACACACATAAGATACGGCCAGTTAACTAAAATGTTGTTTCAAGACTACTCTAGGAACCTCACCCCGTATTTCCCCTAGGAGAAATGATTCAGGAATGGCTAATTCAGTGTTTATGGTAACCTTGTAGATCATAACTGCCTCGAATAATGAGCATCAACTGCATTTCCTTGAGAACCAGATAGAAGGAATTGCAGAGAAGCCAGGCCCTCTATTGTCAAGGCAACATATAACGATGGCAGTATGACCAGGCGTGCCCCCATTTCTGTGCCATTTTCTGTGATGGAGCGTGGCAATTTTACTCTATTTAGGAAGGGAGAAATCAGTCCAGAAAAGGCAATTAGGAAATAGTGTTGTTGGTCTTTCGGATGATGAGGAAGCGAGGGAGGGAGGGGTTCTTCCAGTGCACCGGCTGCTGCCAGGTGAGTTGGCATGGCTTTGTGCAGAACAGATATCCTCAGTGGGTGTGATTGATGGCAACATCCAGGCCATGTCCTGCTTGATTGCTGGAGTGCATTGCCCTAAGTGTGACAAGCTGCTTCATGTGACAGAATGAAAGGTGAGTTTCATAGCAACAGTTCCCTTGGTTTTTATCAAAACAGCTGGGCTCTGGTCATTAGACTATTTTTTATGAAGCTTGTTATACAGTATATGTGATACAAAGAAAAAGGTGTGCTGTCTCAGAGGTGTAACAATTGGTGTACATTGACCTTGAACTAGTGTTGTTAAGGCGCAAGTCTGATTTTAAAGCTCTATCCTTTAACTTTCCACATTCCAGCAGTATTGAGGACTGTCTTGAGGTTATGTGAGAATCATATTTCTCACAGATAAAAACGTGTAAGACTTTGCAATCTGATCTGTTATTTCTGACAAGACTACGAAAAGTTTAATAAACTCATAATTTTTTTAAGCATTAGATTATCTACCTTTGCACCCACTGACGTTCCTCTTTTCTCTGCATGATAAAGCATTTGCGTTTTGCACTAGTCATTGCTAATATATAAGAGTTTCACTTTGATGTTTATAAAGTCCTGAAGTTTTAGGGCTTTTTAGGAGGTCATACGGTTGTCACCCACATGTGTAGAATTTACTGCCAAGAACCTCCCCAGGCGGATGGGGAGAAAAGAAAAACCGGGAGCAGGTATGGCTGAAGATGGATGATTCTGAGGCTTTTTTTTTTGTAGGGGGGCGGGGGGGAACATGGAGTCTTGCTCTGTCGCCCAGGCTAGAGTGCAGTGGCACGATCTTGGCTCACTGCAACCTCCACCTCCCGGGTTCAAGCAGTTCTCCTGCCTCAGCCTCCCAGGTCGCTGGGATTACAGGTGCCCGCCACCGTACCCAGCCAATTTTTGTATTTTTGGTAGAGACGAGGTTTCGCCATGTTGCCCAGGCTGATCTCGAACTCCTGACCTCAAGTGATCCACCCGTCCTGGACTCCCAAAGTGCTGAGATTACAGGCATGAGCTACTGTGCCTGACCTTGAAGCTTCTTTCTGACTGATAGAGATGAGGAGGGGAGAAAACTGTCTTCTCACATCACCACAATTGATAAATGTATCCTGGCATCCCGTCTCTGAGATCTGGCCCTTCTGATGTTCCCCACCAACTGGGCTCACCTTATGTTGTCTGCTAGCTTCTGTTTGGCTCACTGGGGAATATTGACAAACTGGGAAGTGTCATTCCTACGTGACCTGTTTTTCTTTCTGTTTCTTTTTAGCTGAGATTGGGGATTTTGATGAAGCCTTGGACAGAGAGCACTTAGCAAAAAATAAATACATACCTCAGCAAGACGCACTAGAGGACAAAATCGTGGAATTTCACCATAACCACATGTAAGTCTCATTCTTGGCTTCATATTCCCTCTGAGCCGGTTCTCTCTGCCTCCAACCTACATGGGTGTACATCCCTCCACCCCCCACACAAACTATTGTGGAGAACAACACAAAGCGTGAGGAAAGAAGATCACAGAGGCTCATTGGGATGTGGTGATTCATCCTGGGCTCTCAGAAGCACAGGTCACCCACTGAAGCCTGGAGTTTAAGGATGCCCATGCTTTGGAACAAAAGAGAAAGTAAGAGCAAAGGACCATCCAGTCATCAAGCTAATGACAAATTGGGAAAGGGACGTGGTCACCTAGGGACAAGGTCAGAGTATCGTGAAAATCCAGAACCTTCATAGCATCTGCATTTTTGTTTTTGTTTGGATTAATATTTTCAAAGGACTCATGGTACTTTTGGTTGTTGTTTTAAGGAAGCATTGGAGCCTGACGGCCATGTGAAAAAGTGTTCTCTTGAACTTTGCTTGCAGGTTTAGGTTATTGAAAGCAACTAAAATCTTGTTTTAACCCAGTGGTGTTTTGCTTTTATATGAGCTTAAAGGAAACTCTTTGAGATTCCAAAAAAAACAAAAAAAACAAAAACTGGCTGAGTTTGGAGACTTTTGGGGTTTTATGTTCCATGAGCAGTGGAGGTTTTGTCCTAGCTGCTAGACTTTGGGTTACAGTGAATGGGAGATTGGGTGTCATCTGATCGGGTAGCCCCAGTGTTTGTGATGAAATGCCTTTGTATTTCCCAGGAGAAGCTTCTTAATCTCAAATTAATAGATACAGGGAATTCAAATCTCCTGGCCTTTCTGTTTAATTTTTGTTTTGTCAGTGGACAAACACCAGCAGAATCAGATTTCCAGCTCCTAGAGATTGCCCGTCGGCTAGAGATGTATGGAATCCGGTTGCACCCGGCCAAGGACAGGGAAGGCACGAAGATCAATCTGGCCGTTGCCAACACGGGAATTCTAGTGTTTCAGGTGAGAGCCTTGAGAACACGGCCTGGTTCCCTTGGTGACAGAGAGAGAAGAGCTGGCCCTTCAACTCTGATTCATATTCAGTGGGCTAAGACCTCTGATGGTTATTTTTCGGCGAACAAAGAAAAATTAACCTCATCTCAGGCTTTCTGTTTCCCAGGCCCTCAGCTCCCAGATTCTATTTCACTTACCTTTGCCCTGTTTGGGGAATCCACATTACAGATTTGTTTGGTTTTATTGACTTTGTAGCATCACAGAAACATGTAGCTCTCCATGGACCTACACTTAGAACACAGTCTAATGGAATCGAGATTTTAGGTCCCCGAATAAACACCTTTTTCACACTTACAGATGATACTTTGCTGTAATGTGATCCTTTTTTTTTTTTTTTTTTTTTCAAACACAGTTTGGCTTGAGCCAGCTTATTTGGTCGGGACTTCAGATATACTTAAAGAGTGTTAGGCACACTTTTAAGATACAGCAGTTTTATAAATTCATAAAAGCCACATTCTTGCAATTTTGTAGCAAAACACATACTGCACTTGAATTCTTACTTGTATTCTACTTAAAGACATAATGATTCTCTGCACTCTAAAATGTGTGCTCTATTGATCATTCTGCTATTGGACTGTTTCATTGATCAATGCTTCTCTCTTAGTAGCCTTATTGAAGTATTGTTGACGTACAATAAAGTGCACACACTTGAAGTGCATAGTTTGATAGGTTTTTATTATATATATGTATATCCTGTAAAATTCCCCACAAAACCAACAGAATGAACGTATTCATCACCCCCAAAAGGCTGTTCAGTACATTCCTTTTCAACACAAGTGGGTAACCTGTGCTTTTAGTTTCAAAGGGATATAGAGAAAGCACCCGCCTTTCTCATGAAATAGGATCAGATTTCACCCAGTTAGGAAGTTGTAAATATGTTCAGGACCTAAAACCCTTTATTGAGCTCTTCCAGGTTTGCTTATATTTCCCCCTTATCTTTTATCAAAAGAGTTCCAGTGATTCTCTATTCATGCACCAGAAGTTTATGACAGCATAATTATTACAAATCACATCCCAAGAAGAGTTAAGTTGGCTTCCTGCCAGGTAGTAGGGAGTGACATTGTGAGAGCAGTGTGGTATTCAAGGCGGATTTTTTCTTGACAGTTTTTGACCTGCACGCATAGCCTCTGAGTATCGGATAAGAGAAACAATAGGCCGGGCGCGGTCGCTCACACCTGTAATCCCAACACTTTGGGAGGCTGAGACGGGTGGATCACCTGAGGTCAGGAGTTCGAGACTAGCCTGGTCAACATGGTGAAACCCCGTCTCTACTAAAAATACAAAAATTAGCTGGGCATGATGGCGTGTACCTGTAATCCCAGCTACTTGGAAGGCTGAGGCAGGAGAATCGCTTGAATTTGGGAAGCAGAGGTTGCAGTGAGCCAAGATCATACGACTGCCCTCCAGCCTGGGTGACAGAGCAAGACTGTCTCAAAAAGAAAAACAATAAAGCCAAGTGGAGTTTTGAGTACTATCATTAAATTTCAAATCACAATCCTGAACCATTTCTAAAAAGTATTAAGAAGGAAAAGAAGTGTCTCACAATTGAATTAATGTGCTTTGATTGTGTTTGACACAATCCCTAAGTATTGGGAATACCTGGGTAATGTAGTCACGTGCAAAGCCTGTGTCTCGGAACCCACCTTCTTGCCAGTGCCCTATTGCTTCATTCTTGCCACGTTAAATGAACAGGCCTGGTGTTCCAGTGGGCTCCAGAGGAATTCTAATTTCAGCTGAGACTGGGCAGATGGGAGTTGGTATCCGGCAGCTCCCCGTTGTTTCTCCACCTTGGATGGAGACAATGACTCCCTGGCTGCCAAAGACAATGAAGACATGTGAATCCGGCCCAGAGACTGTGCTGGCCTTGAAGACACACAGCAGGCCTGGCCTCCCATCCTCAGTTCTACCGGTGCTGTTGGAAGCTTGATGGGCCCAGGAGCCAGACCAGCGTGGATGAAGCAGGGAGTTGATTGCAAACCTGCTGAATGTTAACCATAGCTGCCAGGAAGGCGTGTGCTTGGAAGTCTCTTTCTGCCACATTAAACGTGTCATTTGCAGCAAATTAAAATAAATCCACGTTGCAGTTTCCATGTGTATAAAATGAAAATAGTAAGTCCATCTTGCTGGGTTTTATCATATCAGGGTTGTTAAGATACAGTATATAAAGCCCTCAGGATGGTACCTGGCGCTTCCTAAGTCCTGGCAGCTAATGATTGTGGTGGTTGTCATGGTTTTTATTTCTATTTATCTTTCTTTTCATCATTATCTTGGCTAGTTTCTTCTCTCCCTAGAGGCAGACTTAGTTTGTATGCCAAAATCCTATAATTAGTGAGAAATAATGATCCAGGAACAGGTATCATCCGATAGCCACAGATCCTGTGAGTTCTCTGCAAAAGTCATCTCTACTGAGCAGTCGCCTGCCAGCCCTCTTCCTTTAGCTCCCATAAGCAAAACAGACCAACTCCCAAGTTGCTTGTTATGCATTTCCTGGCTCACTGCTACTGTCTTTCTTTTTAGGGTTTCACTAAGATCAATGCCTTCAACTGGGCCAAGGTGCGGAAGCTGAGCTTCAAGAGGAAGCGCTTTCTCATCAAGCTCCGGCCAGATGCCAATGTAAGTGGTCCTGGCGGGAAAGGGGACCCGTTGAGCCATGGGATGGCGTGTGTCCTGCAAGGGGTGGAGGTCTGCTTGGCAGGGCTTCTGCTGAACCTCTGGCCAGTGCTACCCAGGTGCTTTTGTCCACATGAACGCCGAGCGTCTCTAGGACAGATGTATCCAAATGGTCGGTAACTCTACGGCTGTCATCGTTGGTAAACAGAGAGCGTAAAGGAGGTACATGAACATGTACCTGGGGAGAGGGTCATTTCCCTGCGCAGATTCAGGCAGCCCCTCCTGATAAACAACCTGAGCTGTGCTATTGCTGTGCATCCAGCCCCAGGCTACACCTGGAGACCCCATTCAGTATCCTGCCCTACCCCAGGCATAGACTGACTTCCCCAATCCCTGCTGGAGGCCCTGAGCCCCCAGTGGAACTCATTTTCATGGGCTAATTAGGTTCCCTTCCCCACTTACTTCCCACAACACGCCTAACACTGTGGCCCACGCCAGGACTGGGACGGGAAGGGAGGAGAAGCCTCTTCTTTGTCTGCCAGAAATGGCGACGGAGGAGGTGGGTGATGTGTCCTGGGCGTCTGTCCCCAACCAGCGTGTAGAGTTCTTTTTCCCATGGCAAAGAAGATGATAAATGGCAATTAGGCTTATAGTGTAGCTACAGTCTGGGTTCAGTAGGTTTTCATGGCCCGACCTGGGAAGCATATACCCATTTTAAATGGTTTTCCATGGAAAAATTCACTGGAGTTCCAAAAAGCTGCCTTATAGATAAAGAACTGCAGCACAGCTTGTTTGTAAGTTGGGTCCACCCAAAACTGTGAGATCCCCCAAAATAGTTAGAACTGCTGGGAATGCTAAGGACAGTAGTAACTTTTGTTTATATAATATGGCCACTTCAATTGGGAGCAGAAAATTTCTATATCCCCTTTCCAGAATCAAAGGGCATGATTTTTTTCAGCCAAGAGTGACACTTTGTGCTCCAGAAAAAAAAATTCATTTCCTGTGTAGTTCCTGGGGTGGCCTGGAGCCCGGAGCCGTGGGCGACTTCACAGAGAAACGACGTAAGAGCCAACATTGACACGAAGTATGAGGAAGAGGATGAACGTTGCGTTTCAGTGATTTTAAGGAGGCAGGAAGGGACTTTCAGTATCTGGGTTTTGTTTTTCAAGGAAATGTAAGCCAAATAAACATAATTTGTATATGAAATCTGTCAAAAAATGGTGTCACTTCCATTGAAGCCACGTGGCTGTTTCTGTTACCCGTCTAAGAGATTCTGTGGGGAAGAAAATGATGGACTAGGGACCACATCTTGTCCTTAAGAATAACTAGAGTTTAGTAAGTCTTTGCACTGATGGTCATGCTATAATAAAATACACAGCGAAAACTTTATCGGACAAAGCTATCTTCTGCCCCTTTTCTCCTATTTCAGTGGTGTATCTATGGGTAATGGAAAAAACCACCGTTGTATTTTCCCTTTTTAGAGTGCGTACCAGGATACCTTGGAATTCCTGATGGCCAGTCGGGATTTCTGCAAGTCCTTCTGGAAAATCTGTGTTGAACATCATGCCTTCTTTAGACTTTTTGAAGAGCCCAAACCAAAGCCCAAGCCCGTCCTCTTTAGCCGGGGGTCATCATTTCGGTTCAGGTGAGGTCGCCACTTTGTGCCTCTGTTTGCTGGGTGCACGTTTTTCCTCCCGCCTCTCACAGCCGCTGTGACACACAGCAGGTCAGGGAGGTGAACGCTCATTGGCCTCCAGGAGCTATGGCCAAGCGGGGGCGCTTGTATCTTAATCCCAGTGGGCTCTGTTTGAACAGCAGAGGCACCAGGCAAAGCCACCCAGTCATGGTAAACGCCTAGCGGGAGTCTCTAACTCAGAAAGGATTTCTCTCTCAGTAGAAGTACAGTGTCTTACTAACATTTGGTGTTGCTTCATAGAATATGTGGACTTGGATGTTATTGGTGAACTTTTCCATTCATTTTTAACAAATCATTGTCTGCCATGTGTCAAATACTGTTCCAGGCACTGAGCCCAGTGATCCCTGCCTTCACTAAAGGCACAGGCTCTTGGGATGGTTGCTTAGTAACCAAACACAGTTATCAAGTGGGCTTAGTTAATTGAACATTTTTTCTGTATATTCAAGGAAAATATCAAGAGACTGAGTGGACCCAAAAATACAGAGTCTGTCAGGATTGCTTTTAGTCCTGGCTAGCCAAGCAACCCTGCATCTCTCCCAGTTAGGGAAGGAGGGGAAGTGAAGCCCTGAAGCATCATTTGTGTGTTTAAATGAGAATGCCTTGGTATTTCTCCCCTTCCCTGTTGTGGTCTCTGTTTCAGTGGTCGGACTCAGAAGCAGGTTCTCGACTATGTTAAAGAAGGAGGACATAAGAAGGTGCAGTTTGAAAGGTAAGAGAAGCTTCAATGCTACTTCCAGTCTGAGAAGGCTCAGACTCGCCAGGTAACAGTTTGTTGCTGCTAAATATTTCTTTACCCAGACTTCAGACTTGATGTCCCTTGAGTTGTAAATGATAGTCTCAGTCATCCTCAGCAAGTCCAGTGTTAGAGAGGAAGGTTTTAGAGCCCAGGGGCACACCCTCGAGAGTGAGATGAGAACAGACAGAAAGGACTAGGGGAGGCGGGAGAGGACATACTGGGGAAGGAGAGAAGGGCTTAGGACATCACAGTGGGGGATGAAGCATGATAAAAACTAGCTCACTGGTGAGTCCTTCAATATTTTGGGATTTGTATTGAAAGCATGTCTATGAACATTTTAATTAAATCAAGTAAATCTGGATGAGCAGAAACAGGATTTTTTCTTTCTCAAAACAGGGTCTTGCTCTGTTGCCCAGGCTGGAGTGCAGTGGTGTGATCACAGCCCACTGCAGCCTCAGCCTCTGGGACTCGATCAATCCTCCCACCTCAGCCTCCTGAGTAGCTGGGACCACAGGTGCCCACCACCACTCCCAGCTAAATTTTTGTAGAGATGGGGTCTGCCTATGTTGCCAGGGCTGGTCTCAAACTCCTGGGCTCAAGCCATCTTCCCGCCTTGGCCTCCCAAAGTGCTGGGATTACAGGCAAGAGTCACCATGCCCAGCCAGAAACAGGATTTATTATTATTATTGTTGTTGGTGTTATCAAACACTTGTAGCCCTTAGTGTGTGCCAGGCTGTTCCGAGCACTGGGCCTGAGTGAACTCATTGAGTCTTCACCTCAGCTCTGTGAGGTCAGTGCTCTTTTATTCCCTTTATAAAGATGGAGATACTGAGTCCCCAGTAGGTTAAATAACTAGTCCAGGTCTCATAGCTGCTAAGCAGTTTCTGGCCAGCCAGCCAGCTCCCAAGCCCAATGCTCCAAGGAGGAGCAGCAGAACCCAAGGAGGGTAAAGGAGCGGAGGATAGGCCTCAAGAACTAGTTACTGCATGTAGCGTTTTTAAAAAACTTTTTTCATTTTCATACATTTAAAAATTACAATAAAGTACAGGGAAGTCAGCAAACACCCAGATTCCTACTACTTAGAATTAACGGCCATTAACAGTTGGACACATTTGTTTCTGGGGTTGTTTTTTCTTCTTTTATTTGCAGCTCTCGTTACAGACATGGTAAAACCCCCTTGAACCACCAGCTCTGGTAATTTCCCTTCTCCCCTCCCCAGAGGCAGCTGCCACATTTAGGCTCCTTTCTGTATGCATATTACTGCATCCCAAAAGAGTGTGTAGAATTGCTCTGGAGGCCGGGCACAATGGCACATGCCTGTAATCCCAGCACTTTGGGATGCCGAAGTGGGTGGATCACTTGAGCTCAGGAGTTTGAGACCAGCCTGGGTAACATGACGAAAGCTCATCTCTACCCAAAAAAAAAAAAAAAAAAAAAAAAAAATTAGCTGGATGTGGTGGTGCATGCCTGTGGTCCCAGCTACTTGGGAGGCTGAGGTAGGACGATTGCTTGAGCCTGGGAGGTCAAGGCTGCAGTGAGCCAAGATTGTGCCACTGCCCTCCATCTCTGGGCCACAGAGCGAGATCCTGTCCCAAAAAAAAAAAAGAGAAAAAAGAAAAACTGCTCTGAGTGTGTTCTTTTCATTCATATAAGTACTCCCATATATAATTCTGCATCTTGCTTTTTTAATACTACCTTTTTTTTGAGATCTGTTTTAAGGGCCATACAGTAGTATGAAGATACTACACTGTATTTCTCTGATTGCCTATTGAGAACCATCCAGATTATTTCAGTATTTTGTTTTGATTTTGCTGAAATAAACCTGCTTCTGTGGCCATCCCTGCATCTTCCTTCTACCACAAATCTGTGGTGCTTTCTCATGCCCTGTCTCTATAAATGTCATGTTCAGGAGGTTTTTTTCAGGAGGTTTTTTTTTTGGAGATGAATCCCATAATTTTCCTGGACAGTCAATGGTTAGTATTTGAAAACCATGTAAGAAATAGCCCAGTTCTCTCTCTGATTCAGAATGTGGATCTCTAGAGCTTTTCTGTGCTAACCTGGAGTATTTTGAAGAAGAGCTGGATGTGCCTGGGAATAGAATCTATATTTACACAGTCTCATGAATTTCAGGACCTGAGCATTTCAGTGCCTGTTTGATGGGGAAAAGGGGAATAGGCAGACTGAGAGGGAAGAGATGAAAGAGACGTGTCAAGATGCTGTTAAAGTCAGTTCCTTCTACTGTTGAGGGCAGGCCTTTTCCTCTGAACTTACCGCTTTGATAGAGTGAGCGGATGAGTGGTAATTGCCTCTGTTATAGAACTGATCCAGAAAATAATTACCTAAAGTACATGAATTGATTTCATATTGTCAGACCATAGCTTGCTATTCAGAGCATGGGAGGGCGCAGCCACATCCTCCCTCCTCTGTGACTTTCCCCTTAACTAGAAAGGTCCTGCTCAGTTGCTAAATGTTTCTTCACGAGCTGCACCGTGAGAACTACAACAAGGGCTTCTGAGAATTTCTCCGAGATTTAAGTAACCCTTGAACCATGCAAGTGCTATCAAAGGATGACTGCGTATGTTTCCAAGTAGCATTTGTAAAGGCGGCTCTGGGTACCATCATTATTGAGGAAGGCACTAATACGTCCAACAAAAGGACTTTTGTTTCATTTAAAACCAAGGAAAAAGAAACAAAAACCTCACCTAACTTTAATGATCTTGTGTGATTTTTCCCAGGAAGCACAGCAAGATTCATTCTATCCGGAGCCTTGCTTCACAGCCTACAGAACTGAATTCGGAAGTGCTGGAGCAGGTCAGTGATGGCGCTGTCCTATGATAACTCTGCTTTTCCCCACACTTCCTCCACGGAGCCCTGGGCTTCAGAGCGGGCTTTCTTGTTCTCTGTCCTTTCCTTTGGGGTTTTTAGCAGATGAGAATCTGATTATGGGCCTTGGCTTTGACCAGATATAGGCTTTGTGCCATGTGCCGGCAGCCTGGGCTCAGAGGCCGTGGAGTGTGTTGTGTTTTCAGCTGCCTTCTCATCTCCCATGCGGTGCTCTAAGCCACTGAGAACTCAGCTCAGCGGCGGAACCATCGCGGCAGTGGGCAGAGCTGAGACTGACTCTCCAGCTAAATGGGTCCACTTGGGAAGAGATGGGGACCCGCTTTGTAACCAATGGGTGTAACTCCTGCCTGGTGCCAAGGCCAGAAGCCTTTGCTGGCACAGAACTGGTCGGCGAGTTCCCAGAGCTTGTATTACAGGGCAGTGACCACAATTGGCAGTAAGAGACATTATCACTCTTGCTCTGAGGGTGGCAAAAGCTCGTTTTCCCTGGAGTTGGTCTCTGGGTAAGTTCTCAGGGCTTTCTCTAAAAGAGAAAAAGAAACTTGGGGAAGAATATAAAGGAGGTTTCATCGTGTGAATCCAAAAAAACCCCTTTCCCCGTCCAGGCTGCCCTGAGAAGTATAAGCAAACATGTCCTTTGTCGTTTTTCTGATGACTGTGTCAACTTGCCTTCAGGGGTCCCTGATGTGCCTGCCCATCCTTCCCTGGAGACCCCCTGTGGGCTGGAAGGGCCGTCTTGTTCCGTAGAAGCTTTACAAGCCCAACATGAGCAGGACGTGGTGGCTGGCGCCTGTAATCCCAGCACTTTGGGAGGCCAAGGCGGGAGGATCACTTGGCCCCAGGAGTTCAAAGCCAGCCTGGGCAACGTAGACCCCAGTCTCTATAAAAAAATTTAAAAATTAGCCGGGTGTGGTGGCACATGCCTGTGGTCCTAGCCACTTGGGAGGCTGAGGTGGGAGGATTGCTTGACCCCAGGAGTTCAAGCGCAGCCTGGACAACACAGGGAGACCCCATCTCTACAAAAAAAATTTTTTTAATTAGCCGGACATGGTGGCGCAGGACTGTGGTCCCAGCTACTTGGGAGGATTGCTTGAGCCCAAGAGGTCGAGGCCGCTGTGAGCTGTGGTTGCAGCACTGCACTCCAGCCTAGGTGACAGAGTAAGATCCTGTCTCCCCCTCCAAAAAAGAAAAGCAAAGCAAACCCCAGCATGAGTCGGCGGGTCCTGGAAAGCAGAGACCGGGCCGGGCTTGTGCTGCCGGGAACAGTGCTGTCAGCCGCCACGCCCTGAAGGAACCTTCTGGATCATGCCCAGATGTGCCTCCGTGATTGCTGCTAGGCCAGAGAGCTCCGGGGCAGTTCTCCCGCCGCAGAGGCCTCGGGTGTTCTTGCCTGGCTCTCCTTTTCTGTTTTCAGCCTTGGAATAACAGTCTCCCTCTTCTCTATCTCTCCGCACCTTTTTCCCCACCCCACCCAGTCTCAGCAGAGCACCAGCCTTACATTTGGAGAAGGTGCCGAATCTCCAGGGGGCCAGAGCTGCCGGCGAGGAAAGGAACCGAAGGTTTCCGCCGGGGAGCCGGGGTCGCACCCGAGCCCTGCGCCGAGGAGAAGCCCCGCGGGTAACAAGCAGGCGGACGGAGCCGCCTCGGCGCCCACGGAGGAAGAGGAGGAGGTCGTTAAGGATAGGACCCAGCAGAGTAAACCTCAGCCCCCGCAGCCAAGCACAGGTCCAGCATCCCGGGCTGCCAGAGGCAGCAGTACTTCCATTCCTTTCATTGACTGCAGTGACGTAGATAGCGAATACGACCTTCTTAGAGAACAAGCGTCCCGATCCCGGTCCCGATCCCGGTCCCGGTCCCAAACAAATGACAATTATGAGGGTGATCTGACCAGCGGTGTCTATCTGCTGTCCAGGGAGGAGGGGCGAAGAGAGGCTGGGCGTAGGGCTTCCCCGCACTCTGCGAAGTCCTCCCGGCCTCCTTCCGGAGAATTCCTTGATGACGATTCAGCAGACATCACCTTTGATATGAGCGGGAGCCCTCGACTCCCAAGGCATAGCTCTCTCATAGATGAAATGTTCAAGGGCTCGGCTGGTCACAGCCCCCTGGCCACCCCATTGTCTCCCAGCAGCAGCAGTTCAAGTCCAAATATGAGTTGGGACAGAACTGGGTCTCAAGGCTATGTTTCGGAAAATGGACATGACCATAGAGAGGGGAGTATGGGAGAAGACACTCTCCCGGACCAGGGTCCTCCTTATGAACGCTGGTCCCCCACCTCGCCAAGGCCATACATGCGGAATCTTCCTGGTAGATGTAATAAGTCAGAGACAGATCCACTCATCCTTAGCCAGGTAGCATTTACCCCGGAGGCCATGGATGGGCTTGGTGGCCGTGGGAAGTGGGGGCAAGCCAGCGCAGCTGCTCCCGAGGGTAGAAGCCTGGCTAATGGCACACCCCCCATGGGTGCAGCCTCTAAGGTCCCTGCTGTGCAGTCGGTGTGTGCCAGAGGCATGGCGGGGCAGCTGGCACCCCTGCAAGTGACCGAGGGCTCCACCAGCAGTGGGACTGAGTCCAGTGAGTCAGACTCTGAGATGCTGATCCCCGGGAGTCAGCCCCTCATATTTGGTAACCCCGCAGTGCTGCGTTCCCCGTCCCTGCTGAGAAGCCGGGGGTCCTTGGGTGGCCTGCGTTTGAGTGAGGAACAGGAGGAGGATGAGTGAGGAACAGGAGGAGGATGAGTGAGGAGGCCAGGAGCCAAGTCTTCAGCCCGAGCAACCTGGGGTCACGAGACCAGGGTTTCCCTAAAGATCATCTGTTCTAGTGACTCATTCATTTGTAGTCTACATTTGTTAGAGGAGATTTTGGACAGGCACATGTTTGAAAGAGTCTGCCTGACTTCTAAAATCGTTAAGAAAAACAAAACTTCACATAAGTGGCTTGCTTTCCAGAAAAGGTGGGCAAGATAAACAGCAAGTCCTAATGACAAGTTCTCAGGAGCTTGTTTATTTTGCTGGTTGAAGGCTAGGAAGAAACACTTTATTATGAATCCGATCATGTGTATAGTGTGTTATATTTATATGGCAATTTTCTGTGTATGTTCAATTATGCAGCTCACCCTCCTGTTGGTTGAGAGTTTGAACTGAAGCATCCTTGAGATTACAGAAAAGGGTTTCCCATTCTCCCCTTCTTTAAAAGGAGGGCTGCTTTGTCCATGCCTCATGAAGTGAGGAATTGGCACTATTCAAGGCCAAATGTAAATTGATAGCTAGTTGAGATTATGTTGGTGAAATCTTTCGTCAAGAATAATGAATATTTTAATGGGAAGAATTTGGGGTTATTTCTGCTTCCCAGGCTTCCTGTGAAATACTAGAAAAGTTGTCAAATCTTCATGAATTGTGATCTACTAGGGATTGCTGGTTTGGTTTAGGTTTGCATTGGTGGATCATATTGTTATGTTTTAAGAAGTACAATTCTGCCTCTCAGAATCTCTTGGTGAAACTGAAATCCTATTGAGTGTGGATGCAGGGAAGAGCAACACCTTGAAATAGGCACTGTTGTCACCAGTAGGTCAACAAACTAAATGCCTGCCTTTGAATTGTGTACAGCGCAGAGAAGGACTGTTTTCCAGCATGGTTGCTCTTGGTTGGTGTACAGACACAGTCTTACCATTCACACTCTGGTGAACAGTGTCCTCTGTTGGGAATAGTGATACTTGGATGTTTCTCTGAGCCAGAAAAAAGAAAATGTAAGGAGAGAGAGATTGACTTCTTTTTAAATCTTGCCCACCAGTGTCACTGCCTTTCACCCAGCATTCCTGCATTTTAGATTAAAGAGCCTGGTTTTCACTTGAAGTTTCTCTGCCTTAGCTGCACGTTGCAATTTTCTGAGATATTTTAAAAATTAGTGATGCCGGGACCCTGACCCTAGGGATTTTGATCTCATTGGTCTTGAGTGCTCCTTGGGCTTCCCAGCTGTTTGTACTGGGCAGCCAGGGTCACTTCTTACCCAGGCTGTCTCGAATCTAGTGGAATACAGTAAAAGTGTTAGCTAAATTTTTGGCTTGCTTGCAGAGTAAGAAAAACATCACAAACAAACTGCTTTTTCTTGATGCCTGTGATTTGTACTTTTCAGCCTTAGGTACTTTTTTTTTTGAAAAAAAAAAAAAAAAAAAGATAAATTGTAGAATAAAATTTTTAGATCCTAAGTAACTACAAAATTATTGAAAAGAGTCCTAACAAGGATAGCTCCCTGATGTGCCACCATACCAGGGCCTCACTGGGCTCATCACGCGACCCGATCACAAGGGAAGCACCAGGCGTGCTTAGGACACTGAGTAGAATTTGGCAGCAGCATAGAAAATGGAGGAGGATCGGCTCGTCTCATTGACAAATGATATCTGTCCACATGAATGTCCAGAAGTCGGTTTTAAAGAGTCTGAACACTTAATCCATTTTTATACAGACTTTTTTTGTTTTGTTTTCCTAATCATTTGATTCAGTGCCTGATTGAATCAAGCTGATTGTTGGATCGTTTGAGAGTTGTTCATTGAAGTAGTCTATTTACGCCTTGCTTTGAATTTATATATTTAACCAGAATCACAGAATTTTTAAACTGGAAGGGACCTCAGAGGTTCTTCTGGGCAAACCTTCATTTCTTCTGAAAAAGTTAAGTGACTTTGCATAACTAATACAGCTATTGCATGACAAAGCTGAAACTGTAACCTCGTCTCTAGGCTTCACTTTTTTAATCTCTGTGATATCTTGGTGCAATAGGAGCTTTTTGATTCAATATTTTAATTTTGGAGAGTCATATGAATTAATAATTCAAATCGGATGTGGAGACTAGTGATCAAGTAGACTTAGGCAATTACAGGCCATAATAGGTGGGAAGAACTACTTCTTTTTATATGGTGAGGGTTTTGCAGTTATAACACATTTTTGCATAATCTGTTCAGACATAGGAAAAATGTCAATTTGCTATGAGTGTTCAGTGAAGTGTGAGTTAAACAGAGCCAAGTGTGGAATCCTGTGGTTTATCTGTGAAAGTGGTTTGTTCAAATGAATTTTCTTTTTCCCTCTAATTATACAGCAGTCTGGTAATGAAATACGATTGAGCACTAGGTATGAACTTACACAGCGTATGACAGGAATCGTCAAATGTAAGCATCCCCGAGCAAAACACGCTTCAATCATTATTTTGTTTTGCTTTTTCCTACAGCAGTGATTTTTATCTAAGTATTTTAAGAGCAGTTGATCAATGGCAGTATACTCAGTTGTGTATTGATGAGATTTTTCACTTTAAGAGTTGCTCATAGAGTTTTTCCCTCACTGGCTTTGTACCAGGCAAGCAACTTAATTTCTGCTTCTTGGCCAGTATTCACAAAAGCAGCAATCCTGGTGTAATTAATGGTGCTTACAGTTTGTTTAAAGGCTGTTTATCATACATCCTGATGTGCTGCGAATAGTCACTACTTGCCTCAAGAGGAGCTTGTCCTATGCTAATAAAGATTCTATAACATTGGCCAAAGGGTCCGTTTATACATTCTTTGAGCCTGGTGGAGCACGTTTGCTGAGGTGATGTGGTCTCCTCAGTGTCACTGTGAAGAGCTCAGTCAGGAAAAGCCAGCAGCATCTACCCTGCCACCCTCCAAACCTTCTGACTTTGGGGAGACTCCAGTCCCCCAGGTCTTTACCCAGCCTGCAGATCTCATTCTAGCTTAACAAGGGCATGCGTGTGCATGAAGTTGAACTAAGAGTGGAGGAAGGCCAGAGGTAGGGTTGGGTGTGATACTAGGTAGCAGATATTACAGACTTCTGAATGCATTCAGATTTCCAAAGGGTTTCCTGAGACCTCTCAACCAATCTTTCTAGGACAATAGCTAGTGTAGGGGTCTCCTGACTCAATAGGGGACCCAGGCCTTCAGATACCAGCCACTCACTGGCTGCTCTGTGACGTGCTATCTTAAGACCGTGAATGGAAGACAAGCCCTATGTAAACACAAATCTTAAAGCCACTGTTGGCTACTCGAGGGCCTCCTTGTGCTAATATCTTTTGTTGGATATTATTTCAAAATATGTGAATTTTAGACCCTTTTGTGGTTGCCTTTGCTGCCGCTTGTTAAGGGCAAAATAAAAACGCAAGAAATTCTTTTAGCATGAAGAAATACATTTAATGAGCTCCAGAACTCAAAATAAATGGCTTCAGCTCCTTGAACAGTCATCTGTATGCCATTGACAATATTTTATTAGATAGGCGTTTAATTAGAGGAAGTCTGTGGGCCAGATTCTTCCCTGCATGTGTGATTCATATTTGGAAATTTCTGATTTATCTCCCCCCAATTGTGCCATGTGGCCTGCACTTAAAATGTAAGTAATTCTGATTTTATTCTCAAGAACTTATTTGAAGATTCAAGCCAAGCAATGCTGAAAAAAGCTAGGCCTGCAAAACTAAAACATAGCACGAGCCTCTCAAAATTTCCACCAAATATACAAAATCCAGTCTGCTCTGAATGTGCATCAGAAACTCAACTTTGGTTATTAGCCCTGGAATTTGGTGCCAAAAACAAAAATTTGGTTTTGTTGTCAAGCAATTTCTAAAGGAAGAAACAATGTAAATATTAATCTGTCATTTTAAATGTTGTTGAAACTGCCATGAGTGTGCACACAGCTCTCTGTTTCATACCTGTAATCAGTATTCGCATGCTTTCAGTCCACTGTTTCTACTTAAAGCATTATTCCGTATTTCAGCACAGAATGACTTTGGTGAAACTGTAGCTGTTAGTGAGTAATTGCGTTACAGGCAGACCCAGTCTTAAATTAACAAATCTGGGTTCCCTTAACTATCAGGTTTATGTTGGTTTTATTTGCTTCTATCTGGATCCCTTCTCTTTGCCTGGGACCTTATTCTGATTAGCTAGATTTTTAAGAGCTTTTAAAGTTACATTCCCCAGAAAGACTTTTTTTCTCTGGACTTTCTCTTTTATGGTCTGTAAACATTTCTCCTCTGATGGTCATGGACTTAGTTCTAAGACTGGCCTTCCTCTAGTGTGATGGTATGAGTCTATTCTATTGCTGCTAAATTTTACAAATTGAACTGCAGAAGAGTCTTTCTAGGTAATCCCTGTAACAGAGCAAGTTTCTTTGAACCCTAGCCATGTATGTGTAGTGTTCCATTATTGGAACGCTAAGCATGTGGGAGTTATTTATATCTTACTGCTCACGGTCATCATCAAGGTCTGATTACAAAAATTCAAAAAATTACAACCTCAGGCATAAATTTAAAGAGGTGGCCATTTAAAAATAATCCGTTGCTACCATTTCCACTTAAAATGGTAGCTCTCTGATGAGTTTTATATTGGCTCTCTGTTAGCCAAGCCCGTAAGAGCATATGGAGAGAAAGGTACGATTGAATGAACTTCTGTGAGCGGCATAAAGACATTTACTCTGACAACATTAAAGAATTTACTGGTACTGTTTTTTTTCCTTGTTAGTTTAATTCCATCTGTTTCTGTTTAATTGAGTGAAACTTAATAAAAATGGTGTCTCTAGTGAGCACATGTACACACCTCTCCCAGTTGTTGGGATTTAAAATGAAGCTGTGACTTTTAGGCCAAAATTAGCGTGACACTTAATATAACAGTTTTCTTTCTATTAAAAAATAATGACAAAACACACACACACACACACACACAATCTGTATGATGATTTGGCCTGGAGTTGTAGACATCACAGATCAAAAGTGGCCTGGTGCTAGCTGTTTGGGTATATCCTTGAAAAGGGCAACTTTGTCATTTCCTAGAGTAACCTAGAGAGAGATTTCCAAGCATTTCCCCATGAACAGAAGTGGTAAATGCTGATTTATTGTGCCATATGTGTGTTTGGGAGGAGGGGAGATAGCGTCTTGTTTTGAAAAAAGTTCTCACTTCATAAAATAAACTGCACACCACTCCAAAAAAAAAAAAAAAGATGAAACCTCAAGCAGGAGGAACTTTTTTATTTAACCCCTAGTGAAAGCAATTAAACGTCTTGGTAGATGCTAGGGAAGAATTAGAAAATCTTCTTTTCCTGAAAGCTTTAAACATTGAATAGACTCTGATTTATTCAGGATCATTTCGGTGTAGATTGGCCACTCGACACAGACATCACAGCATGGTAGCCTCGAAACCAAGCCTTCAGCATCTTCTCGGCGCCCGGTGTTGGAGTGTTACTTGGAGTGGAGGCAGTGCATTTGCATCTTCATGTAGTCTCCAGATCAGGTTACTCTGATTTGTCTTGGAGTGGCTTTCTGTTTGAAAGTAGGGAAGATTAAAAATCAACTTGCCACGGGATATCTGATCTCCATGAGTAGTTGAAAGCCAGTCTAAAAGGTTAACTCTACAGGGCCGGCGCCGCCAGTGCGGTCATGGAAAATCGTGCTGTGAGATACTGGAGTGTGCTGCTGGGGCCAGGTGCAGCAATTGCAGAATGTTGAGGAGTGAGGAGTAGTTAGAAATCACTGCAACATGGAAAAGCACACAGACCAAGGACGCTAAGGAGGGAGCGAGGACTACCGGGCAGGTGTGCGTGTGTGGAGTAAAATGCATCGGACAGTGATTGACTCCACTTTTGAGTGAGATGTGGAGGCGGTAGTGGTGTGGGGGTTGTGAGGGAGTGAGTCTGCTTTATTATGAATCAGGATTGATAGCTGGCCTTAAAGTGGGAAATGATAGAAGGGTCACTTAGGAGCCTGCAGTGGCATGGTGACCAGTCTGTTATTACTCATAGATGACCTTTTCTGGCTCTTGAAACCAAGCTAACGACTCCTTTTTCTTCTGGGCCTCAAAGTTTCTTTGTAGGAAGTAAAGCATTTGTCACTTTCCCTGCAGTGATTTATTGAAAGACTGAAGATAGGTCTTCCTTAGTTAAGGACGCACACTGGCTGCTCGCTCCAGAAGCACCAAGAATGGCTGATGGATAAATCCCTTACCCATACTCCTGTTTCTGCCTCCTAAGGTTGCTGTGAAAACCTAACTAACCAAACCTCACCAGCTTGGCCTATATTATTAATCAAATTCCCTTCTGTTCTCTCTGTGTGTATATTTAATACTGTAGATAATATGTTTTATTTAAAATTTCTAATACACCAAATTAATTTGAAATAGAAAAGGCTGGGGACTTCATTCTCATTTTTGTCATTTGTTTAATCAGTTTGGGAAAACATTTTCCGTTGTTCCATTGTATGCAGTGTCTTGTCAGCATGTACCTATCTAGGAGAAAACGCTTTGTTTTCAGCGTTCTGTCTTTACCCTCAAAGCATGGTGTAGCTTCTGTTCTTACACTGTTGGAGCACTGTCTGATGTCTTTTTTTTTTTTTTTAACACTGCTGAATACCAATTTGTACTTGGAATACCTCTTTCCTCTAGAATACAGTGATCCTATTCCCCAAAGTGCAAGCTTTCATGTGGAAGCATCCTAAGTGATCGTCCTGGGTGATGCCATATTTCACTAAAGTGGGAAAAGAAGAGGTGAACTTTGCTCTTCCAACAAGGCTTGCACTTTATACTTTGGGCAGTGCATGGGAGAAGGGGGGCCCTTAGAGGTGAGCAGGATCACTGTAGCTAGAGGAGAGGTCTCACTGAAACAGAACGCATCTGTGACTGTAGCTTGCATGGAGAGCCTAGACAGCCAACCATGGATTTGCCTTTATGTTTTGAATGGAAACATCTATTTCAATTGGGATAGAAACCTTTACCTATGTCATATCTGTAAGAGAATTTAGCTTATAGATATGTAGATACGTGTGTGTGTTGCTGGGTGGGGAAGTGGGTGGGAATGTAGAAAAGGCCTCACCTGACTTGGTCCCAGTTGGCTTCTGATGGCCAAGGAGCTGTTTTTCATTTTGGTGGGCACCCAACATGTAGGTTCTCACAGATGCTGTCTGGTTTCTTCTTCTCTCCATGGCGGAACAATGAAGTACGTCAATAAAGCATGGACTCATACCACTGGGAAGAATGCTGGCTTCTCCAGTAACAATGAGCTTGGTGGTTCTTTGAGCATGGAAGGCCAAGCTCATGTCACAGTGTATGCACGGTATTAATATATCTCTTGTTGATCTAAACTGAAGGGGCTTTTACTTGTCCTAACAGGTATCATGCTGTAAAAACTGTCCATTGTAACTGTTCTTTCCCACTGATGGCTGAAGCTTTGTCCTGAGTACAAGATGGTATTTTTCATTGGTACGAAGCACCATGTTCCCAACCCAAACACTGCCTCCACCACCACCACCACCACCATCACCACCACCACTGCTACTACCAACATCACCACCACCATCACCACCACCGTGTTCAAACAAAGCAGCATTCTCCTGTGTCTTTTCCTCATAAGTAAGAACAAGGTAGCACATTCATTTTTCCATTAGTGCATTTCAATTCTTTTCCTGCAAGTTGCATTGCTATTGCTTTTCTGAATTGCTTGATGATGAACTGTGAAGCTGATGCTTAGCTGCTTGTGAAACTTTTCTTAAAGGAACTGGGTCTAAGAAGCACACATACATTACCCTCAACAACCTCAGGTATCAAGAAGAGGACCACACTGCTAACATGGGTAATCCTATAACCTGGCTTTTCTTGTGGAACTTTGTAATTTCTATAAAATACCGCCAGCTTTGCGTATTCCACTGAGCCCCAACTTAGATATCAGACGCTAGTGAGTCCTGCCTATTCAGGAAGCTACGTATTATTCAGCATAATACTGCCCTTTTTTTTGATAACTGGCTTTCAAATGGGATAATCTCAAGAGAGGTTTCATTGTATCCTCTTAGAGCGTATGGATTTAAATAGAGCCTTTCAAAAAAATAGATGAAAACCTACATCTCTAATATATTTCCTACTTGGGCCTTTTGAGCATATTCTGGGCACATAGAGAGAAAATCTCCTATGTTTTAGAACAGAATAAAAGAAGACAAATTATGGTAGATAAGTGGCACCCAGAAGATTGCAAAATAAATAATTTTATGTGGGGGAATATTGAAGAAAAAGCATAGAAACTTTTTTATAATTGCACTTTAAAATTTTGGAAAAGAAAAATTGAGAATGCAATCAGTAGTCTCATTTTTGTCAGTATTCTGTCAGATATTAGCTATTCAATAAGCATATCTTGGATTACTATTTTTTTAGTTGTCAGTTTTTCTAGTTTCCCCCTTTATAGGAAAAAATAATACCTATGTGGTTAAAAACTGAGACCCATTTAAAAAACAGGACAGGTACAGTTAAGTACTAGAAATGCCGTTTTTATCACTTGAAAAATAGATTAGAAATGTTTTTCTTTTCCCAGAATTGTGTGAGTTTGTTTTGAAGCCTTGAATACCGGTACATGGTTAACAGGCAGCTTGTGCCCAATCCCAAAGCGGGAAGAAAGGCCTGGCTTTGGCTCACTGATGATAAAGTCTCCTCCCACTGCCTTTCAGCAGCTCTGCCGAAGAGCTGATCAAGATGCTGCAAACCCAGCTTCCCCAGACCGGCCAAGAGGGAAGAATGATGAGCGTGTTTTAAATTACAAAGAGAGAGCAGCGCAGGCAGTTTCTGGTCTGGGTGATAAATTGAAATCCATAAATATAGCAGTGCTAATTTGAAGTTCCGTAATTGTTTGTGCCATGAGAATGTGTACATTTGAAAGGATTTTATAAAGCAATTACTAGAAATGCCTCCCTTGAGAGCTGTATGACTGGAGGTGTTTTCAGTCTGAGGGGGGCAGCATAAACCCAAACCTCTTCTAGATGAATGGCAGGGTGGCGGGAGGGGTCATGAAATCATGGGGAAGAGGTGAAGGATTTGAGAGCTACTAACCTGACATCTAACTGAATGCCTAAGAAATTGCAGGGCAATTTCAGGAAATAGGAAAAATAATTTTGAAAACATTCAAAGCCTCCAGACTTTCGGTGTGTGACTGATCTTTTTTCTAATCTCTTTAAACTTCTTTCCACCTATTGCCTTAATAGCAGGTGCTTCCTCTTAGGGTCCCCCCAAATTATTTACCTCGAGTTCCCTAATGAAATTACTTTGCATTAATTTGTCATAAAGGGAGAAGTGCTAGAAATACCGAGGCATTGATAATTTCATGGAGTAGCAATGAATGTCAGTCACAGTTTCCTCTCCCCGTTGCCCGGGGCTGTGCCTTCAAAGCAGGTGACAGACTGCAAGGTGTAAACAAGCTTTATAATGCCATATAAATCAAACCGGGCTCATTTTACCTAACAACAGAACCATGTTTGTTTGCTTTTTTGTAAAATGGACTACTTCAGTGAAAAATTGATTCCACGTAGTTCTAATAACTCTGTGACCTTGGACATTGGCTTTTTATAGACACAGCTCTTCCCACCTGCTGGTATGGACACCAGTTTGTACAGACTGTTGTCACACACCCTGGCTCAAAGTCAAAAGAGAATTTTAATTACTCATCAAGCTGCCAAATTCTACTAATTGCCCCCTTGTCAGCATATTTCATTAATTGCTGAAAGGTAAATGAGTTACATATTTTGTTTGGACCACGTCACCTGTACATTTTCAAAGCCTCGGATTGTTTATCTTGCAAAGAGAGAAGGGGCCTCTTCTCCACAGATGCAGCTCAAATTAGCAAAACTGAACTGTAGAGTTTCAGGCCTTTCCCTTCCTTAAAATGCTGATAGATTTCTAGACCAGACTTTGATATTTATTGGCTTCTTGGTCTTGCTGTTTAAACACACCCATTGCCCTTTCTTTCTTAGGCCCTATAAGCAAAGCTGGAGTAGCGTCTTGGGAAAAGGCCAACTGACCACCCTAATTTTGTCGTTCCAAGTCTGCAGAGCGCACATATTAAGTAGTTGTTACTGACATCTTTAGGCTCCGTGAGTGAAATGCAGCAAGCCTGCCCCCAGCAGCCTGTGGGCTAATCCTGAGCTGTTCCTTCGTTTAGGTACACAGGTGACCCTGAAGTTCCCACTCGGCCCTCTGTTTTCTGAGTCCTGTCTCCTCTGTAGCACAGTGGGGATTGTTCTGAACCGTGGCACGCCTTCTTGGCGAGGCAGGCTCTCTTATGGAACCATAGTCTGTTACCTCATTTCTTCCAACTGCTCTGTCCCCTAAATGTGTGTTCCCAGGTGCAGTGCAGCAAGGGTGCTCGCTGTTGGCCTTTGAGAGTGGAGGTGGCTGTATCGGAGTGTGCTCCCCCTACTTTTTCCCTTGCCCCGAGTGGCAGTTCTTTTCCTCTCTGTTGCCGGATGCTGTCTAGGGCCTGTTAGTTGCTATTTCCTTGCCTCCGCTCCCCTTCCCACTAGCCTTCTAACTACCTTTTATTCTCGGCTCCAACTCTTTCAATGATGAGGTGAATGCTTTTTCTGTTCCACGTCACTGCAAAGTCAAGGTGTCCAGCATGCTCTCACTTATAACTGCCTCACCCGATCTCACGCACAGTGCGAGAGCTGAAGGTAAGCCCCGGATGTTGCCAGATTACGGTGGACAAATAAAAAACAACTCTCCAACAGCAACTCACAAATGCATGAAATGTTTTAACCTCTAGACAGACTGCCAGAATTTCTCTCTTCTAATTCCTACTTGTAGTGATAACATTTTTCTTTTTGTGATTTTTTTTTTTTTAAATAATAGTGTAGTACCTTGAAACAACTGCAGTTCTAACTCATTGTCACCATTTCTGTTTGACACGTTCCACTTCCTTTGCAATTATTGTATTTAGTTGTGCACTAGTGTCAATAAAATTGACATTTGTGAAGCAATTTCTGGCCTTTTTCTCCGGGGTTTTCTGGGTCTGGTGGTGTTTCGGGTGATGGGGTCTTTGTCTAACACAAGGCTTCATGTTAGTGAGGTATATTAAAAAACATGAGGATTTAAAAGCAGAGGGATTTTAAAAATGCAAGCTTACTGAATCTGCCTTTTCCTCACATTTTCTAATCTTGCTATCCAAGGATCATTGCACTAACCAGTAGTCCGTGGGCAGGACGTCTGCCTTTTGTCATTCTCCAGGTACAGTGGATCTTCCTCCACTGTGTTGGCGGTGCTGCTGACTGCTCAACCTGGCACCAAGGGTGGGGGCTGGTGGTGGTTTCTCCAGGGTTCATTTATACTGGGACCAAATTCACCGCCCTTACTTCATCAGCTCCATTCTAGGTAGGCTGTTGTATCTTGTAATTCCAAAATGCACATGCATGACTCCAGAGGGTGAGAACAGATGACAGGAAAATGGGGGTGCTCCTAGAAAACCGCCCTCCACCTTTTCCCTTAGAGATCTTCAGCGTACCAAGTAGCAGCGAGCCTGAAACTGTAGACTGGGAAATTGAGAAAGCGCTGACTTTGTCTTTCCTTATCATGGTAGTAGACAGGACTGCAGGTTATTTTAACTTTGCTTACCTCATATTAGCTCTAGCAAATCTGCTTTATTAGTATAAATATAAGTGTTAGACAAAAACACTTAGGTTAGAAGTATATTCTGAAACATCCCATGTAGCTTCATTGGGTTGAGATACAGATATTTGCAAAAGTGTATTGGCAAAGAGTGTCCTATACATATCATCTCCCTTGGCTGACTCATAGCGGGTAATATATACTTTTTTTTTTTTTTTTTTTTTTTGAGACAGAGTCTCACTTTGTCGCCCAGGCTGGAGTGCAGTGGGGCGATCTCAGTTCACCGCAACCTTACCTACCTGGTTCAAGCAATTCCCCTGCCTCAGCCTCCCAAGTAGCTGGGATTGCAGGCACCCGCCACCATGCCCAGCTAATGTTTTTGTATTTTTGGTAGAGACGGGGTTTCATCATGTTGGCTAGACTGGTCTCAAACTCCTGACCTCAGGCAATCCGCCTGCCTCGGCCTCCCAAAGTGCTGGGATTACAGGCGCGAGCCACTGCGCCTGGCCACATTTTCATATTACTATGGTATCCTTTCTCAAGGACTCATGGTACCCTGTCACTTTTATCTTATAAAGGGAAATTGTGATAATATAATGACGTCTGCTTTTGCATGTTGAAGTGATCACATATGCCTGTAATGTGATGCTAGTGTTTCTGTCCCAAACAGTGAGAGACATGGAATGACATCACCAGGTATAACAAGCTTGCTTCTGTTCTTTGTAGAATGGGGAGTTAGTTGCTTGACCTTTCTGTTAGCTGTGACCCATTGTTACGGGACGTAGTGTGTCCTAAGTACAGCAGTTGCTTAGATGCCTGTTAGTATAGTTGTATTTTCTAATCATTTCCCCATGTCTCATTGTGACATAGACACTGTGTCTTTCTTGAGTAATTCTTAGAAGTAAGCAGTAGTTGGGAGATGAAATTCCTATTTCGGGATACACTATGCTTTTAAGCTATTTTAATTGCTATCTAAGCAGAGTTCTCTATCTTATCATTAATTACGTAATGAGGCTCCATTGAATCCTTCATACTTTGGTATCTTTATTAAGGCAGCTTTGACTTAGGAAAAAAACTAGAAAATAAAGAATCGCTTTAGGTTTGCCATGGCGGGGTAGTCAAATCTTACGATTTGAAAAAGGTGAAAGTAGTGAATAGAAATCAGGTCCCAGAAAAAAATTACTTTTTTTTTCTTTAAAACTTCTCATCCCCAAACAGGCTCCCTGACTGGCAGTCCTCACCTTTCCGAGCTGTCTGTGAACTCGCAGGGGGGAGTGGCCCCTGCCAACGTGACCTTGTCTCCCAACCTGAGCCCCGACACCAAGCAGGCCTCTCCCTTGATCAGCCCGCTGCTGAATGACCAGGCCTGCCCCCGGACGGACGATGAGGATGAGGGCCGGAGGAAGGTACAGGGCCGAGGGCTCAAGCGCGTGTGTGGCTGTGTGTGCACGTGTGTTTGTGTGAATTTTAAAAATTGTACTAAAATATACATAAGAGCAAAGGTACCATGTGAGCCATTTTCAAGTGTACAGCTTGCTGGCATTAAGTACATTCATGTTGTTGTGCCACTGTCCCGACCATCCATCTCCAGAACTTATCTTCCCAAACAGAAACTACATCCATTTGTCACTAACTCCTCCTTCCCCCTCCTGCCAGCCACTGGCACCTCATTCTACTTTCTGTCTCTATGAATTTGCCTACTCTAGGTACCTCATATAAGCAGAATCACCCAGTATTTGCCATTTTGTGACTGGCTTATTTCACTTAGCATTCTGTCTTCATGGATCATCCATATGTAGCATGGGTGAGAATTGCCTGCCATTTGAGGGCTGAGTGATGTCCCGCTGTGTGTATAAACCACACTTTGTTATCCATTCTTCTGTTAATGGACAGTCATGTGGTTCCCACCTTTTGGCTGCTGTGAACATGAGTGTCCAGGTATTTGTTTGAGTCTCTGCTTTGAAGTCTGTTGTGTGTACACCCAGCAGTGGAGTCAGGTGGACTCCTATGAGAAGTGGGCAAAATGGCGGACAACAGGCGACCTCCTTGCACTTATTGTTTAAAGAGAAAGCAAGGTTGAATGGCCGGCCTCCTCCACGGTGGGGCTGGCTGCCCACCTGACTGACAGCCGCCAAGGGAGTTCAGGCCGATGATGCCACCAGCTGATCTCACCCCTGTCCCTTTAGACCCAGCTACCATGTGTTCCCACAATGTAACTTCCATGTCATGAACACCAACTCCACCAACGGACATAGGACGAGACAGTTCCTTTTTTATGTATTTCCTTTGCCTAATTTGAGTCCTTTTGCTGACGGTAATTTTTACCTGGAAGGAAACCTTCCTAGACTATATTCTCATCATGGAAATCCATTATCTTAGCCTAGCTCCTCACATGAAACGGAGAGTAATTCATATTTATTCTCTTAACACAAAAAGGAGAATACATTCTTATTTATTCTCCTAACCCAAAAAGGAGAATAAGAATTTTATTTCTTGTTGATGCCAGCTAACAAAAGATCACAAGTTAGTAACATATCACTTTAATGAGGACATTCTCCGAGACGCATACTCAAAAATGATTATTGCGCTTTGTTTCTTTTGCTGGGTTTTGCAGAGATTCCCAACTGATAAAGCGTACTTCATAGCTAAGGAAGTGTCTACCACCGAGCGAACATATCTGAAGGATCTCGAAGTTATCACTTCGGTATGTGCAGTATTTCCCCAAAAGCATTCGATTACATGATTTATCTCAGCTAATACTCAGCTATACGGGGAGGCTGGAGCTAATTAAATGTTGGATTCGCTGACTTCAGTTGAAAGGATTGTGGTCCTAGGGTATAGAAATTAAATGCTAATAGTATATTTAATTGGGAATATATGCTATAACATTTTTGATAATGATGATTTTCAAGTGCAAAAGAAGGAAGTTCCTAAGGCAGAGAAAATTAAAATTAAACATTTTACCATCTGTGTGCACCAGTCCAGAACATGTCGTGTTTTGCCCATTGCCAAGTATAACTGCTGATTTTTGTTCACGGGAGACCTCGGAGGTGAACAGGAGATTCATTTTATCTTTGATAATAAATTGAGCCTTGTCCGCAAAATCTGCCAGAAGACCGCCTTTTATTATTTTAATCAGTCCTGCTCAGTCTTGAAAACAAATTCAGGGCATTGCAGATGTCTTCCTGACCCCTGGATTCTGGGAAAGCACAAGCCAATTGGGAGGGAAATTGGGATCACTGAGTTTCTGATCCTCTGGGCTGTGGATTGTGTTAGGCCCTTGACAGGTGCTCGCTAAGCGTTGTGAACCCAGCTCACCTCAGCGACAGGAGTGACTTTGTGTGAAGGCTGTGGCTTTATTCCCAGGTTTGGCCACCTTCATGCCCAGTGTTTTAACAAAGGAACAGAGATGGAAGTTCTTAAAGGAATGAAGCACAGAATATTCAGTGGTCATAAATTAGTGGTTATCCAGTGAATCGGCCAGAATGGAGGTTTTGATTCGAGTAGTTCCCCATTTAAGAGATTTCTCCTGGCTTTAACAGTCAATGGGTAGCAAACTGCAGAAAGCAGTAATATACAGATGGGTGCTTCTTACCCCGTCTAAGGAAAGAAAGGGGAAGCAGTAAGGCCCGGGCAGCCCCGTGTTCCTGAAATGCCAAGAACCTCGCAGGAAAGCCCTGGCTCCTCCCAGTGCATTTGGCTGCATGTGACTTCTGGAGAAAACTGCAGACACTCGTCATTGATCTTTCCACCCGTAAGTGCATCGTCTTCTTCTTTCCAGTGGTTTCAGAGCACAGTGAGCAAAGAGGACGCCATGCCGGAAGCACTGAAAAGTCTCATATTCCCGAATTTTGAACCTTTGCACAAATTTCATACTAATTTTCTCAAGGAAATTGAGCAACGACTTGCCCTGTGGTGAGTACATTTCTACTTCCCAGCTACGTTCCTCCCTCCGTCTTGCTTGTGTTATTTTTATGTCGTCCCTGGGTAGGCAGCAGGCAGGAACAAAGATGAAAGGCAGGAAACTGGCTTACAACAAGTCAGCCTTCAAATGATTTTCAGTTAAATCCTACATGCGTTCAGATCTCATTTGCAGTTTCTTTCCTCTGGTTTGCAGTTCTTCAAGATGGATTTTTTTCCCTCTCTTATGATGATTATATGATTATCACAAAATAAAGACAGTCGTTACTTCTGGAGGGGCAATAGGGATTATAAAGAGTAGGGGCTTAGGAAGGCTTTGAGGGGTGCTGGTAATATTTTACTGGTGCTTGCTTTAAGTCTTTTATGAAGTACATACATGCCTTGTGCAGTTTTCTGTATTCTATTCCAGTGTTTAAAACATGCTTTGAAAAAGAGATGTATGTGGCGTGTGCATGCGCACACACACACTTTTACCTTATCTTGAATTATCATAAGGATCTGTTTTAATACATGAAATGCCATTTAAACAAAGACATCCAATGAATAATTAAAATAATAGAAATGACCTAAGTGTCCATCAATAGCAGATTGGTTAAAAATTATCTTAAGCCTGTCCATTAAATACCAAATGAAACATTAATGTGAGAGAAGAGGGAGGTACAAAAAACCAGGAAAAGCTTTATGGACTGTCACATGCAGAATCCTCTACACCTTTACCTAAAATAGAAGGTTTTGTAGACAAATCCTATGGCAGTTTTTTAAAGACAATTATATGGAGAGAGACACATGGGGAGTTGATTGTCTACTAAACATGCATTTGAAAAATGCCAGGAGAAAATAGCAAAAAGTTTTTGGCAGAAATAGAACCCGTTATGGGCTGTATCCTCACTACCAGTGAGAATTTGGTTTGGAGTGGCCTCAGGGGCCCTCAGTGACTGTAGGGCCTGAAGGAGCCCTATGTGAGGTTGTCCTGCCTCTGGTGATCCCAGACTGTGGCATTCAAGCGTCGGTTTAACAGCTAAGCAGAGCTGCTTTCTGTGTTGTGAAGCCAATATGCTGGGGCAGCGGGAGTTCTCTGATCTCCCTAAGTGATGTCCGGCTTTGTACATTTTTTATACCTGGAGGATAATTCATGTGCAATTCTCCTTCCCTTGAGAGAGGGAGGTGACAGGCATTACTGAGAGGCCCCAGTGGGGAGAGCACAGCCAGAATTGGAGAAATAATAGGTACAAAGTCAGCCTCGCTGGAAATGGGAAAAATTGAAAATGCCACGTTAGCAAGAGTCTTGGTATTATGAATATAAGAGAAATGTCACTTTTCAAAATTAAAAATAAAAATGTGGGCACAGTGGCTCATGCCTGTAAATCCCAGCACTTTGGGAGGCTGAGGCAGGAGGATCACTTGAGGCCAGGAGTTCGAGAGCAGCCTGGGCAACATAGCAAGACCCCATCTCAACAAAAAAACATTTAATTAGCCAGGCATAGTGATGCAAACATGTGGTCCCAGCTACTGGAGAGGCTGAGGCAGGAGAATCACTTCAACCCAGAAGTTCAGGGCTGCAGTGAGCTATGACTGTGCCACTGCACTCCAGCCTGGGTGACAGAACAAGACCCTGTCTCCAAAATTAAAATTAAAATTCTACCAAATGTAACTTTACCTTCCCCAGGTTGACCTAGAACCTTTCACGTGTGTTCTGCCTGTGTCTCATCATTCATACAAAGTTGAATGATGCTCTCATAATGGGGTCAAAGACCTTACAACTCTGGAGAACCCATTTGGCAGTTTGTTCTCTGGCCAGCGAGACATGTGTTAGTACCGTCTTAGGCAAATCTTCCTGGAGGCTCAGGGCATCTTGAGCTGATGTCACTATAGCAGTCTCAGTGCATGTGGCAGTTGATTTAAATAAGGTTGGAGAGGCCACACACAGGAAATGTCATCAGTTTGCAGTACCCTGAAAGCCCTTCATGGTGGCTTTGGCTGGCTCCCCATTGGAGGGCGCCACCAGAGAGAAATGCAGAGAGCTGTCTAATACGACTCATTTTAGGAGTAAATGCCGTACGCGTGGATCTTCCATGGCCATAAATCTTTACCTTATCTGTGAAAGAGTAGTGAGTTGCTTAAAAAGCAGTTGATATAATTTGATTCCCAGAGGGTTTTCAGTAGAGTATCTTTCTAAGATCCATAATGTAACCCATGTTTTACAGAAAGACATCAGAAGCATGTAAAGTTCTCAAAGCTAGAGAGAAAGCAGATAGTCAACAAGCAGCTCCATCAGTGGGACCTGCAGTAGCCTTTCAACAATAGACCTAAACCAAATACACGACACTGGTCAGGGATCATTGGAAGGGGCTGCAGTGAAGTTAAGCTAATCAATTACTCAAGAACATGATGAGGAGGACCTGGTGTGGCAGGAATTCCAAGGGAAAAAGGCTGAGTGTGAATGAGTTTAGTATGAGCCATAGACCAACACAGAGAGAAACCAGTGTCTCTCTAGATCTGCACCTCTCAGCATCGGCTCCTCGTTGAAGTTACCTCAAGCAGCCTGATATAACCCAGCCCTGTTATATCAGAGTCTCTGAGGGGTAGAACCAATGCATTCGTAGGTTCTAAACTTCCCAGGTGATTCCAAAGTGTAGCCAAGGTCAAGAACATTTGCCCTAAAATGCCTCATTAAAAAGAGCCCAGAGCCTAGAAAAGGATGGCTCCTTCAAAATTCAAGGTTCGGCACTCCTGCAGAGCACTACACCACACTCGGCTTTCACGTGTCAAATGGGATGAGAATGCATTCCATTAAAACAAAATGACTGGATGAGAAGAGACTTTCCAAAGCATGATGGCTCCCATCAGGTACCTGCAGTCTGGTCCTGTGGGAAAGGGCATACGCATCTTCTTAGTGGAACCAGAGGACAAAATTGAAACAATGGAGTGAATTTCCAAAGAAGCACAATGTCTGAACACAGAAAAGGATTTCTGAAGCCTAAGTGCAGCGTGGCAGTGAGAGTCTGCCTTGTGAGGTCAGGAGCTCCTTCATCTCAGGGGTGCTCCAGCAGAAACTGACTGTTCATGTCCAGACAGGATTTGTCTGTGGAGCAAAACCCCAAACCTGGCGGTGCCTCAGGGTCACTGGGCTTGGGAACTGGAGGGGGCTTTGAAAAAGGCAGATTGCCAGGCCCTATCCAGTTCTCTTGAATCAGAGCTTTATTAAGAGTGAGACTCAGGAATCTGTGTGTTTTAAGTACTTCTTGGGGTGATCGTGATGAATACCTTTTCTGCAACAACCGACCCTGCAGTGCCTCTGACAGTGCTAACAGTCTATGATTCCTTGGTTTGCATGCCATAGACTGGTTATAACTCTTGTTTCTTTAGTCTACAAGCAATGCATGAAGGAATATATTAATGAATGAATGAGTGAATGAATGAATGAATGAGTAGGTGAGTGTGTGCGTGGCAGGCTTTGCCCATGGGGGACTTGCACTCTCAAAGGAGGAGGCAGGCACATAGGGCACAGAGAGCCGTGTCCTCTCACAGGTGTGGGTGTCACATCCAGGGTGGTCATGGAGCGTTGCTGCCAGTTCTGTCCCTGAGGACACACATGTACCATCATTGCCTATACAGAACAGGCAACCCTTGGGCTAAATCTGTTCAGTGAGAAGAATGGATCACAGGGAAGATTATTAAGAAAGGATTCACCCTGGCTACTGACTGACAGACTGCGCATGTGTGTGTTCAGTGCATGTATGTGTACCCATGCCTTTCCTCACGTTGCCGTGATACGGAAGCGCAGGTTGGCTCCTGTCGATTGGGATGGGTAAGATCCGAATTCGAGGTCACACCCCCGCCATGGGGCTGTCTTCAGCTGTAGGTGTGGGCCTCGTTGAACCGCATTTCCTCCTGGGTGAAATGTGGATGGCATCTCCCATGCAGGGTGTTACGCAAATGGCACAGTGTCTGGAAGGGGCTTAGTATACTGCGCTGCGCAGAGAAAGCGGGGAAGCTGATCATTTTTTAAAAATTAACTTTTTATTTGGAAATAATTCCAGAGAAAAGTTGCCAAGACAATAGTGTTTCTGTATGGTCTGCACCCATCCTCTTCCCGTTAACATCTTATGTCACCATAGGAGAGTCGGCAAAACTAAGAAAACAACGTTGGTATGTTACATTAACTAAAGTCCAGATTTTATTCCATGGTAATATTTTCAATGATTATCATTAATGGAAAGAGATCTAAAGTATAATATGCAGCAAAAGTTCCCCAGAATTTGGTATATAAGTGATCTAGTGAGTGTGACCTTCCCTTCGCAGTCCTGCATGAGACTGCAATATACTTCCATCAACAGTGGGGAAATTACAGGGCAGAGAAAGTCTCAGGAAGTTTTCCGGAATGATTAGGCTGAAGCTCAGTTCAGCAAACACACCTGCCCCTATCCAAATGTCACCTTCTCCTGAGTAAACACACCTGAGAAGGAGATGGACGCCCAAGGCCTGCTTCTTGCTGGCAAAGCCACATTACCTGCTTTCTTCAAAAACAAGGAAACTGGTTTGGTGAGTTCTAATAACTTCAGGAGTTCTTTTCCTTGTGAAAGCAAGAACAGTTTACTCAGCTGTTCAAATGAGTTCAGAGAAAGCCACTTAACAACCTTTGGCGTGCAGTCAGGACTCCCAAATGCCAGCCCTGAGGTGACTGGCAGAGGCTGAGTGCAAGGTGGCCAGCTGGGTTCCCCGAGACAGGTGGAAGGCCTGCTTTGCTACAGAGTGCCTTGGTAGATTCTGCAGGGTACAAAACTCCACTTACGAGCCAGCTGGGAGCTGGGAGACAGCAAGCAGTCAGTCGTACAAAGAGGCCCTCGGAATTGGCTATGGGGTGCACGCAGTTTTCATGGAGGATCAGCTGCATGTTTTAGGAGAAACTTTGGCCAGAGTCACGTGGAAAGCATGCGGGAGACTGGCTGGGAGGACCAGACTGACTGAATGTCGAGATATCACTGAGCAGCCAAGGCTCTGTGAGACAGTGAGGAAGGAGAGGGGAGGCCACCTAGAGTTTTGAACACAGTCAGCTCAGAGGATGGTCATGAAAATGGGAGGGAAGTCAAAGAAGCCAGGAAGAAAGAAGCATACAAGTACGATAAGGGAAGATGAGCTTGCTTTGGGAATGATAATTTTGAGGGCCCTGTGATAAAGTGCTCCAAACAGTTGGAAATGTGGGTCCCAGGCTTTGGAAAGAAATGAGGCAGAAAGGTGTAGGTTTGGAAGTTATCCACAAGAAGAATCAGATCTTCAAGGAAGAGAACATTAAGAGGAAAAGAGAGCTGAGGGCAGAATCTTCTCGACTATACCTTTATGGCAGCTTGCTTTCCATAAACGTAGATCATGGCAGCATAAAAACCAGCAAAGGAAACAGAGGCCACCAGAGGTTTGAAAAAAAAAAAAAAAAAAAAAAAAAAAAAGAACACATGGGGGTGGAGGGTCCAGAAGATAGCCGGTCTTGGAGAATGGCAGCCAGGAGGGCAAGGATGGTTTGAGGAAGGTAGTTCCTGGTGTACAGGAGCAGACTCCGGGCAGGAGGAAGTCCTGCAGGGGTAAGAGATGTGAGAAGGGTGTCCTGAGGGATTGGAGATCCCTCCAGGGCAGAGAGGGGGCTCTTTCAGGGATGGGACACTCTCACAGCTGCTGTCAGGAGTTTCACAGAGGGAGCAGCATTGTGTTGCCGTGATGCTAGGTGGCTGAAATGGAGATGACTAAGGTCAGAAAATTGTTTTGCTGCCCAGAAAAATGGAGCATCTTTATAGAAGCACCAGTGAGCCATCATAGAATAAAAATGAATTAAATACTTTTCTCATCATTCTACTAGCTCTCTGAAGCTTCAAGTGTTTGTGCTAGGTATCATTAAAAGAAAAATCAGTGTTCATAGCAGCTTTATCCACAGTAGCCAAAAGGAAGAGGTAACCCAAATGTCCATTGACATGAGTGGCTAAACAAAATGTGTGATCGAATATCCTTTTATTTATTTATGTTTTTATTAGTTTTTTAGAGACAAAGTCTCGCTCTGTTGCCCAGGCTGGAATGCAGTGGTATGATCATAGATAACTTCAGCCTTGAACTTCTGGCTTCAAGCAATCCTCCCACCTCAGCTTTTCAAGGTGCTAGGATTATGGGCATGAGCCATCACACTTGGCCTTGTTTCCTTTTTAAGCATGAGTAAAATTACATGTTTATTTGTTTGTTTTGTTTTGTTTTGTTTTTTGTTTTTTTTTTGAGATGGAGTTTCCCTCTGTCACCCAGGATAGAATGCAGCAGTGTGATCTTGGCTCACTGCAACCTCCGTCTCCCAGGTTCAAGCAATTCTCCTGCCTCAGCCTCCCCAGTAGCTGGGATTACAGGCGTGCATCACCACACCTGGCTAATTTTTGTATTTTTAGTAGAGAAGGGGTTTCGTCATGTTGGCCAGGCTGGTCTTGAACTCCTGACCTCAAGTGATCCACCCGCCTTGGCCTCCCAGTGTTGGGATTACAGGCGTTGAGCTTCCACGCCTGGCTAGATTCCATGTTCTTGAGCATAGCTTTGAGCTAGTTTTTCTTGGATTTTCTGCCTTAGTCGTGACTATATAGCTCACAGTGCTTTGAGAGCAAGCTGTTTCCCTGAGACGAGTGAAACCGTTTTGCCAATTGCCAGAATTGCAGGTGGGTTTCTACTAGAAGACACTTGAGAGAAAGCCCTCTCCGGGTCACTAGACGAGTCTGACACAGCTCTTCTCTTCTACTGTATTTTAATATGTGCCCTGTTGATAACAGGAATGATACCGGGGCTCACCTGGATGCTATCAAACCTGCCTGTGACCGGGTTGTCACTTTGGATCCTCTTATTCAATTCGACCTGGTGGTAAACCTCAGGAAGGCAAGAAAGAAGCTATAGCTTTGAGCAACCTAAGAGTGTAATTGACAGACTTGAGGGTGGCTGAGAATGGGAGGGCTTCTGTCTTCTGTGTTTCCCGCAGCTGCCAAAGGCGCGGCGTTCCCGGCCCATTGAAGATGCCTCTCGCACAAATGTCATCTTGACAAGTGGGCATGTGAATTAATGCTAAGACCAATGGGACTTTAATGAAAAATCCACATATATCACATGTGGCTGATACATATGTCATACACAATATGTTAGGTCAGGCACAGTGGCTCACGCCTATAATCCCAGCACTTTGGGAGGCCGAGGTGGGTGGATCACCTGAGGTCAGGAGTTCAAGACCAGCCTTGCCAACATGGTGAAACCCCATCTCTACTAAAAATAGAAAAATTAGTTGGGCATGGTGGCAGGCACCTATAATCCCAGCTACTCGGGAGGCAGAGGCAGGAGAATCACTTGAACCCAGGAGGCAGAGGTTGCAGTGAGCCAAGATTGCACCACTGCACTCCAGCCTGGGTGACAGACGAGACTCTGTCTCCAAAAAAAAATACACACACACACACACACACACACACACACACACTCTGTTACTCTGGCTAATTTGTTTGCTTTTGGAACCCAGCCACCCTCCCCACCCGATATATTAATGTAGGATCCGTCTGTTCCCACTTACTCATTTCACACTATGCTTTTCACTTACATAGACACACAAACATACATAATTTCATACTTTTTTCCATTTAGAATCATAGAGACTGCAGGGAATAGTGAGGACAATGATGTGGTATTGGTGTTGCAAGTGAAGACTAAGAGGCTTCAAAAAAAGATCTATTTTCGGGGTGGAGCAAGCATCTAGAGATAGAGCAGGGGGACAAAAATGAACCCTCAAGCTCCAAGCTGCACCGCTGGCATGTGTGCTCTGAGGAGATGGCTCTTCATGTTGTGGCAAGGAGAGAAGGGGAGAGCTGGGTGATGAGTAAACACACTTGGGTTTACATTGGGCCCATGGGGTATGCAGTGTGCCAGTCACTGCCCTCTTTCATGGTTAAGGAATCTCCCGGGGCACTTCACCACAGCCTGGCCAAATGTTACTGCCTTCCAGAAAACACGCCCTCTCAGAGGGAGCCCGCACCCTAGGGCTCGTGATGCTTTAGAGGACAGTTGGGAGATTTTATTGCCACCAAGGTCACCAGCACACTGTGAACTGTTTATCTGATGTTCTAAATGGGCTTTATGTTGACCCTGAGGTTGGGATGGTGAATAGGAGGGCAAAGTATTGATTTATCCTGGCTGGCTTTGCCCCTGCCTGCGACGACAGCCCACAAAAGTGTTTCCTGGCAGTTGGAGACAAAACTCGTCATACAGGCTGTCCTTCTGCCTCCTCTTAGGGGGGTGATGGGCAGAATACTCACAGTCCACCCTTGGAGGCAACCTTGCTGTTGGTCAGCCGCCCACCCACAGTTGGTCATTTTCATGTCCTTTACTTCTTCCCTGTCCTCAGTCTGCTGCTGAATGACTGACCAGCTCACGTTGTGGTGAACGAAGTTTTGATACGAGGTCAGGAAGACTTGAAAATTCATGACGTGTGTGGGTGTGTGTTGCGTCCTTTGCTGAGGTGATGTGTAGTTGCTCCTGGGAGTAAGTTAATCACATTGCACAGGTCAGAATTGAGCAACCAGGCAGCTTCTTAGCAGACTTTACATGGTTTTCCTAAGTGAAATTGTCAAAAGAATTTTCATCTTGGTTGCTGTGTGGTAATTACCCAGGCAATAAATATGTGGCCCTGCCTTGCAGACAAGGACCCCTTTCTTGTGAGGTTAACATCCAGAGGACGTGGTGGAAGAGTTATAATTACTTTTTCATGTTCTTGATAATACAGTGACCTTTTAGCCGTTCATAATAGAAGGAACACTTTGGCTTTATACATTTGGAGGCAGTGACATGTAGAGGAAATAAAACCATGAGGATGTTTCTAGATGGGCAGCAGGAATTTGGATTTTGTCCCCGGTCCCTGGGGCTGTGTCCTGTGTATTTGGACCCAAGCAGGGCTGGGACTTGCTATGTGAGCTGGGGTGGGGACAGGATGGGACGAGAAAGACAGATGTGCTTGTGTTTGCAGTGACTTTAGAGGCCTCCAGCCTGTACTCACCACATCGCGTAGAGCTGACCCTCTTTACAATTAGGGATTTGCATCTTCCAACTGCACAGAGGTCTGATGGTGCCAACCCAGAGCCTTCTCTACCATGAACGATGCTGGGGACTTAGAGAGATACGGATGTGGGAAGGAAGGTTCTTTTGACTTTGAAGCTTTAACATCAGTAGATAATAAATAGTTGGCAAAAGAATAGAGAAAGTGAAATAGATGACATTTGGCTTCCATCTCATTCCCCACCGCCCTCGCCCAGCGTCCTCTTCCCAGCCCTTCATTTTCTCTTGGGTAGGGGTGTGTCTATGAGAGAGAGGATATTGCTTGTTACTGATGGAAGCCAGAATCCTCCCCATTTCTTCTCCCGCAATCCAGACTCTCACTAGAATATCTAAATGATGTCCTCTGAACTTAAGTCCTTTATTTCTGTATGTTCTCAAATGGCAGATCCATTCAAAAAATTCTGGAGCCAATTATTTAAGTTCCAGATAACAAGGCCAGGCAATGTGGCTCATACCTATAATCCCAGCACTTTGAGAGACTGAGGCAGATGGATCGCTTGAGTCCAGGAATTCAAGGCCAGCTTTGACAAAATAGTGAGACCCCATCTTTACAAAAACAAACAAATTAGCTGGGATGATGGTGCACACCTCTAGTGGCTACTCAGGAGGCTGAGGCAGGAAGATTGCTTGAGACCAGGAGTTGGAGGCTGCAGTGAGCTATGATGATACCACCACACTCCACCCTGGGTGACAAAGCAAGACCCCATATCTTTAAAAAAAAAAAATTTTTTTTAAGAAAATGGAGGAAGAGGATTTGGTGTTGGAAATAAGATCCTAAAATCTGGAACATTTTGTGTTTGAGATAGGAGATATGGGGTCATTCACATGGAGTGCTCTGGATGGTCTAAGAAATGCATTACCTGGGTCAGCCGTGGTTTGGCATCATGAACCGAAACCACGGCAAATAGGAGGGCTTGTATAGGAAGAAGTAGAGGGTGAAAAGAGAGGACAACCAAAGGATTCCCAAAACACACAGATAGCTTGGGAGCAGCCTGAAGGAGGTGGCCACGAGAATTGAAGGGCTGGCCTGAAGATTAATGAGGGAGTCTGGAGAGGAAAGCTTCCCGTAGCAGATGAGCTTGGAGGGCCACGCAGTGGGGCCGACCAGCCCGGAGAGCCCGAATATAGGAGGAGGGGAGGTGGGCTCTGGTGGTTCAGAGGTTAACAGCTATCTTCCCAGAACCTTTTCAGGGGAGCAGTGGGGAGAGATTCGTTTAATTAGCAGAGGAGCGGTGCCAATTAAAGCAGCTAAGAGAACGCAGAGGACTGAGGATGCTGTGTTGGTGGAAGAGAATGGACCAGGTTGAAGACCACCAGCACACAGGGCAGCAACGAAGACCCAGGAAGGAGCTTGGGGAGCCTGGGGGTGCTCTCTTTTCTTTGATTTTAGAGAAGCTTTAATTACCTAAAAGGTTTGGGTGCCCTCAGTCTTTCCTGTGATGTAATTTGCACTATATGCTTAGTTGGAACCAATAGAATAAATAATGCTGTTGATTGCCTGGAATGTGAAGCCAGGAGCAACCTGTTTCTACTCACGATGACTTTTCTACCTCCTGGGTTTGCTTAATTAAGCGTGTGCATCCTCCTTGCCCTCTTCTGTTCGTCAGAAGATCCTTGATGTATCGGAGATTGAGTCAACAGTCAGGAAGGCTCTGAGTGTCCCAGTGGAAGCCATTTCTCGCGTTGCCGGAGGGTTCTTAGCCACCATATCTGTGGGGTGTCTATTAGTCAGGGTTCTCTAGAGGGACAGAGCTAATAGGATAGATGTATATATGAGAGGAGTTTATTTAGGAGTATTGACTCACACGTTCACAAGGTGAGGTCCCACAATAGGCTGTCTGCAAGCTGAGGAGCAAGGAGGCCAGTCTGAGTCCCAAAGCTGAAGAACTTGGGGTCTGATGTTTGAGGGCAGGAAGCATCCAGCACAGGAGAAAGATGTAGGCTGGGCAGCTAGGCCAGTCTAGTCTTTCCATGTTCTTCTGCCTACTTTTATTCTGGCCACGCTGGCAGCCGATTAGGTTGTGCCCACCCAGATTGAGGGTGGGTCTGCCTTTCCCACTCAACTGACTCAAATGCTAATCTCTTTTGGCAACACCATCACAGACACACCCAGGATTGATACTTTACATCCTTCAATCCAATCAAGTTGACACTCGATATTAACCATCATAGGGTGTATGTAGATCCCGGGTCCCTCCTGACTTCAGTTGCCGGGTATTTTTTTCCACTTTGAAGATCTCTCACTTCCTATTAGAAGCCTAGTGCCAGTTTTGTTTGTTTGTTTGTTTGTTTGTTTAATTCGTTCCTTTCATGTAAGTTGGCTTCTGGTTTTCCTGAACAGTTGGTTTAAAGATAATTGCCAGGTTGATTGTTGAAAACCATGTTTTAATTGTCTCTGGGAAATTCCTTTCTCAGTGATGGGAAAGTCAGCAGCTATGCACTGGCACAACGGTTAGGCGTGTGGCCTGGGAAACTAGAGCTGGCTCCTGTGCGAGTTCACACCTCGTGATAACAGATATCAGAGAAGTTCGTGGTTTCTTCATGCTTCTGTCTCCTTCACTATAACATGAGGGTGATAGTGGTACCTGCCTCAGACGGTTTCTATGAGGACTAAAAGGGCTCATGACTATAATTAACTTAGCATGGTGTCTGGTACATGGACAGTACTTAGTAAATACTCACTACCATCCATGTTTTTATATTTCTCTCTGCGTTGATCCGTTGAAAGGTGTACGTGTACCCCAAACCTCACTGAAAGTGCCCACAGCTTTGCTGTCTAGCACCCAATATGTCTGGGGGACCATGGCCCTCCCCTCCACGCCTCTCTCTCTTCCTGGGCCACACACCCTACCCTATTCTATGGCATTTACGTCACTCCCACCTTAGGTACCATCTCCTGTCCTTTCTCAGTTATGCATTTCTCTTCCCAAGGGCTATGGACAGCTATTGGTCTGCTTCAGGCAAGGGCTCTTAGAAGCAGAAACCTTCCTCTGGGGCTGAGTCTTGCTTCCTGCAGGTGTCTAGCAGTACCCATCTCTAGGATGGAATCTGTTTACAAGCTACTTATTGCAAATGATCTCTGTGCTGACCTAATGATGCTAAAATCACCCAAGTGTGGATGGAAAAAAATTAATCTAAAATCAAACTCCAGTGTGCAGATGGGTAGAGTAAAATAATTAAACCAAATTAAAAGGATTGGAAATTGGTTCTCTCTTGTCTCTTTCAAAGCATAAGTGGAATTCTTTGCAGGATGAGTGGGGTAATTTCCAAGTCTCCTTCCAACGATAACATTCCATGACCCCATAAGAAGTTCAGGAGATGTCCGGGGAGGGGTGATTGGAAAGGAAGCGGTAGGCTGATATTTGTAACCCAGGGCTGTCATGTCACTACTGATGCTTTGTATTTCCAACCCTTTGCTTTTGCTCTCAGGGAAGGCCGCTCAAATGCCCAAATCAGAGATTACCAAAGAATCGGCGATGTCATGCTGAAGAACATTCAGGGCATGAAGGTGAGCTGGTTGAGATTTGGGTGGAGCAAGGTTCACCAAGGAGAATCGAGCGGGGCTGCCATGGGCATAGGCTGTAAGCCATTTCCATCAGCATGCATCACCTGATTTGACTCTCTACACCAAGCTTGTCCAACCCACCGCCGAGCAGCAGCTTACAGCCCAGGACGGCTTTGAATGTGGCCCAACACAAATTCATAAACTTTCTTAAAACATTATGAGATTTTCTTTTTGGTGATTTTGGGGTTTTTTTTTTTTCTTTGCTCATCAGCTATCGTTAGTGTTAGTGTATTTCATGTGTGACCCAAGACAATTCTTCTTCTTCCAATGTGGTCCACGGAAGCCAAAAGATTGGACACCCCGGTCTAATCTAAGGCACATCAGGAAGATGGCTGTTCGGCAAACCCTTCTCCAACCTTTCTAGATAATTTTATTTCAAAGCATGAATGAAAAGCCAATCACTTTAGCGAAAGCATTTTTAGTAGGTTTTTTTGTTTCAAAAGTTTTGCATTATACCCAAAACAAGTGTTTTCTGTGAATGGATGATTCAAAACTTCAAAAAAAAAAAAGATGTGGACAAACACTGTCTGACTGAACATTTCATTTTCAGTCAGTTGTTTTGGTTTCTTCTAATAACCATGACAAAAATGTTGGATTCAGAGCTGTGTAGGTATTTCAGTAAATTCTATGACTTTAAATCAGTGTACGAGGCAAATATAGTTTTTTTTTTTTGTTTGGTTGGTTTTGTTGTTGTTGTTGTTTTTGAGATGGAGTTTTGCTCTTGTTGCCCAGGCTGGAGTGCAATGGCGCGATCTCGGCTCACTGCAGCCTCCGCCTCCCAGGTTCAAGCCATTCTCCTGCCTCAGCTTCCCAAGTAGCTGGGACTACAGGTGCGCACCACCACACCCAGCTAATTTTTGTGTTTTTAGTAGATATGGGGTTTATGTTGGCCAGGCTGATCTCAAACTCCTGACCTCGGGTGATCTACCCACCTCAGCCTCCCAAAGTGCTGGGATTATAGGCATGAGCCATCACCCCTGGTCGCAAATATGTTTTTAATCATCCAGCAATATCTACAATCAATGACATAAAAGTGAAAGTATATCCAAAGAAGTCAATAAATATTAAATTAATACTCTACCACATTTAAAAAGTCTGCCCCATCTCTTATATCTGAAATCTTCCTTTTTTTGTTTTCATTTGAATCCATTAATAATTCCTTTAACATAAAATGTTTTAATTCACACAGCGTCTCTTTTGAATATACCTGTACTCACATTTTAAAGCAATCTTCCTGAATCTTAACTGCCCAGAGCCTGTATGACAACCTTAAAAACTAATAACTGCCCAGAGAAGCTAGCAACCCCTTAAAGAAGGTGCTCATACTGCCCCCATTTCAATCCATCCATCCACCTGTCCATCCACCCAGTGCTAACTGAGCACCTACTATACACAAGACACTCATAGAATGAAATTACCATTAGGGTTTGTCTTAATTCCCATAATCCTAGCTAAGTGGGTTAGCATTTAGTTTTTTCCCATTAAAATGATGTATCTCAGCCGGGTGTGGTGGCTCATGCCTCTGATCCTAGCAATTTGGGAGGCTAAGGTGGGAGGATTGCTTTGAGCCCAGAAGTTTGAGAGCAGCCTAGACAACATAGCAAGACTTGTCTCTATGAAAAATAAAAAAACATTAGCTAAGAGTGATGGTAAGTGCCTGTAGTTCCAGCTACTCAGGGGGCTGAGGGGAGAGGATCACTTGAGCCCAGCAGGTTGATGCTGCAGTGAGCCATGATCGCGCCACTGCACTCAAGCCTGGGCAACAGAGCAAGACCCTGTCTCAAAAATAAATAATAAATAAGCAAAGATGAATCTCGTGAGGGAGAGACAAGAGGAGGATGGTCGGTGAGTAGCACAGAAAAGACAGGATCAATTGCCACTCAAGGGATTTCCTGTCAATCTCTCTTAACAAAGACCACGGTAACATTGACTGGATCCTGAGGTATTGTTTTGTTTTTTCACTGTGTTCAAACAGCAACCCTTTGCAATTTGAGGCAATACCAGAGAGAGGCCGTGGAAGTGATCAGGGTTGCAGAATGCTATGCAAAAAAAGAAAAGCAAGAATTACCTAAGATGTTCCATAGCCACAGTATTTTGAATGGCATGAGCTATGGCTGAGGCACAACAGATAGAAGGATAACAGACATCTTTTCCACTTTCCATGGGAGTTTCTGAAGTTAACGTATTTTATCTTTCAAAGCAATTTTAGCTTTACAGAAAACTTGAGGAGAAAGTACAGAGTTCTCGTATTCTTCCGTCCACCCCTAAACACACAGTTTCCCCTGCTATTAGCGTTTTGCATTGGCGTGGTGCTCGTGTGGAAACTGATGAACCAATACTGACAAGGTTGACCATTAGGGCCCCCTCTTGGTGGTGTACATTCTCTGGGTGTTGACAAATATATAATGACAGGGATCCACAGAACAGTTTCCCTGCCCTAAAACTTCCCTGGGCTCCACCTATTCATCCCCCTTAGATGCCCCCCAAATCCCTGGCAACCACTGACCTTTTCCCATCTCCATAGTTTTATCTTTCCAGATGTCACATAGCTGGGATCAGACAGTATGTAGTCACTGCAGACCGGCTTCGTTTGCTTTTCAAAAACGTCCTTTTTCCTCTCTCATGTAACAGGACGCTGTTTCTGTTGTTCTCTCCCATCTTTTCCCTCGTTTCACATGCTCTGTACTTTTTCCAAGGCCGTTCTGGTTTCTCAGCTTTTCTCCCTGTGTTCTTCAATCTGAGATCACAGCTCCCCAGGGAGGCGCCCTCTTCAAGGAGGCTTGGACTCTGGTGTGGGCCTTTGGGGACAGCAGCAGAGACCTGCCAGGTTCATCTCCACCCGCGGGGACAGTCCCCAGTGTGGTGCTGTTCAGCAAGTGTCCTTCGTGCCTTCTCCAGGTTGTGTGCCAACTCCCACCACTGCTTTTCCTCAGAGGCTGACATCCCACCCTCCCCTACCCTAACCCAGCGCAGAAGACCACCTAAAAATACACCTGATATCCGCTCCTGGCGTTCTTTCTCCTCGGTCTGGGGAGCTGGCATTTCTGCATTCAGCCAGCTTCCCCTGCTGTGCTGGCATCTCAGGAGTGTGCTGATGCCATGAGCGTTTATAGCATGGAGCTCTGTGCAAGCAAAATAAAAATAGACGGAGAGGTTGCTGAGAGTCACTGGCAGCCTTTTTGAGAAGTTAGTTGGGGTTTTTTTTAATTGCTGTTTTTATTGTTTTAAAGAATTTCTATAAAGCATGGAGGGGCACAGCAGAAGTTTCCAGAAATGTGAGAAGCCCAGGCCAGCACTGTTGTCCAAATGCTTAGAGTGTTCTCGAGCCTGCAGTGTCTTTCCCGCTTCGCTCCCACCCCCGACCCGTGCACTCACCTGCTGTCATCAGTCTCAGCCTGATTGGCTCTTCCCAGACTCTGCACACAGGAGTGAGGTCACACAACCAAGGGAGGGTAGTCCAGGGTCTTTAACCACCTCCACAGAGTCAGAGACACCCAAATCAGGATCTCCAGCCCACGCTGTGAATGTCCACTTGCACACATCCATCCAGACGCACAAAAACGCTTGGAAATCAATGCAAAGAAAGGGCCTTTCATCCTGACCTTCACCTGCTTGGCAAGTGGGGACCTTCATTCCTTCCTGTATCGCCTGTCTCTCCAAGCTTCTACCACCTGTACCTCTTTCTGACACTTCTACCACTTTGCTTCTCCTGGCTCTCTGTTTTCTTCCTGCTAGGCGACCAGGCCAGCTTCCCAATGAGTCACCTCCCACCAACCCAGCCTTCCAACCCACTACTTATATGATGGCTGGAGTCACTGTTCATACAACACAAAACTGACAGCGCAAAGCCCTCCTGGTTTCTCTATGGTTTGGAGAATGCAGTCCAAACTCTAAACCTAGTGAAGAAAGCCTCTGCTCTAGTCCTAGGCTGTCTCTCCAGACCCTGCTCCCAACCCTTCACCTTCCACCCTGCCTTCCGGCCACCGTCAACTCATGTGTCCTCCCAAGACCTCTGCCTTGGCCTGGGTGTGTGCATTGCTTCGTTGGCTCTTTGGTATATACAGGGAAGACCTTTGGACACCCACTGTGTATGCCAGGCCCCCAAGGATGTGACGACATGCCAGGATGTTACAACATGATGATGCCCTCTCAAAATCAAATAGGGGACCACACGTGTGATAGCATCGCACAGAGCGACACACACATGCACGCACATGCACGCACACACATGCAAGAGCGTGTATAACTGGTGCAATCTGAATAAGCTCTGTGGGCTGTACCAATGTCAATTTCCTGGTGTTGATATTGTACTCTAGTTTTGCAGGATGTCACCATTGAGGGAGGCTGGGTGAGGGGTGCACAATCCCTCCCTGTATGTTTCTTTGCAACTTCCTATGAATGTCTATTTCAAAACAGAAAGTCATGAAATCAACCCAGCAGGGAGGCTGTGTGATAAGGGCGGTTGTGGAAAGACACAGCAGTGAGTGCGGGAGGATGCAGGAGTACAGAGCAGGGCAGGCCCCGGAGTAACCCCGAGGGATGGGGGGTCCTCAGCAGGGGTCACTGTGTGCAGAGTCTCTGGGTGCGAGAGTGTGCCGCATTTGGATGCAGGGCGGTCAGTGGGTGGCTCAGGGTGAGTCGCAAGCGTCAATGCCAGAGAGGTCAGAGGGATCCCGGCTTAAGGGGAGTCTGTTGAGTGGCATTGCAGAAAGTTCATTCAAGGGGCTCAACTCACAGTGAAGTGGAAGGGGCTGGAGACCACACAGCCAGAATGAGAACAGTGACCATGGGAAAGAAGACAAGGGCAGGTCCCACATTTTCTGGAGGACAAATTGATAGGACTTGGGGACGGGTTCATACAAGGAAAGAATGTGGAGTGTACCCCAGGTTTTAATGTCGTGAGTACCTGGCTGGTGGTGGTACCCATCCTGAAGTTAGAGAATAAATGCGGGGGCCCCAGCTGAGGCAGGAGGAAGTGGGCATGTGTCTGGACAGCTGTGTTTCCAGCTTTTTCCGGGGCGTGGGAGTGGAGAAGCCACTGAGGTTGGGCCATAGCCTGGATGAGAAATCTAGATCTGGTGCCGCATTTTCCTCTCTGACTTGGGCTACTCGCCTGTGCCAGATACTACCATAGGCTTTTCTACAAAAACAAGTCAATTACAAAACCTTTCATCATTTTGTGCCTTTTATATCTATAGACATGTATACAAATATACACCCACATACATGATAGAAGAATCTAGATTTCAGGCCGGGCGTGGTGCCTCATGCCTGTATTCCCAGCACTTTGGAAGGCCAAGGTGGGAGGATCACTTGAGGCCAGGAGTTTGAGACCACCAGCCTGGGCAACATAGTGAGACCCTGTCTCTAAAAATAAATAAATAATTTTTTTTTAAATTAGCTGGGTGTGGTGGCTCAAGCCTGCAGTCCCAGCTGCTCGAGGCTGAGGCAGGAGGATCCCTTGAGCCCAGGAGTTCGAGGCTGCAGTGAGCTGAGATTGCGCCACTGCACTCCAGCCTGGGCAATAGAGCGAGACCCTGTCACAAAAAATAAAAATTCAGATTTGGGAGTTACCAGCACATAGAGAGCAAGCCCACTCTGGGAGGTGATTATCAAGTGAGACTTGAAGAAAGCAAACTCGGTTTTTGTGTCCTGGGGTGTCCCCTGTCCTCTGCTCTCCCCCTATCTGCCTGGAAGTGTCCTTGCCTTGGGAGTCCTCCCTCCCACCCAGGTGAATTCATTCCTCCTTTAATGCTCTGTCATCCAAGCGCTTACTCTGTCCCCATCCCCACCATGACTCCAGGAGAGTCAGGGCGCTGTCTGACTCTCATCCATCTCCCCAGACCTAGCAGAGGAGGGGCTCACATAGCTGCTTAGCTACTGTCTGAGCAGACGGGGCGAGGGAAGCAGAACTGTGGTTTTAAAACGATGTAATGCTCACTGACGGCCCCTGGGCTGTTTGTTATCTGAAGACATTTAGAAGAAAACCACAGCCCTCCTTAAGGAGCTCCTGTTGATATATTTGTCCCCAGTTTTTCCAGGCTCAATTTTAAAGGAACATTTATACCTCTGATGTTATATACATAGCTTATATATTTTATGATCCATGTGTATTTTAAACTGCTCAGTACCTTAATAGGCCTTTTTATTTCATCCTGAGAACTTAAGTGAAATAACAAAAAGAGTGAACTATGAACAATGTGAAATTTAAGGAAATTAAACAAATCGTGAAATAGAGAGTGCAGGAGCGCTTCATTTCCCCAAGTGAAACTGGGCAGAACACAGGTGCATCCCATTCAGCTGAACAGGACCCTCCTCCTCTGTTGCCTCCCAAGCACCTGGCGGCTCACCTGTGGAAGCACAGCGAGGCCTTGGAGGCCCTGGAGAATGGAATCAAGAGCTCCCGGCGGCTGGAGAACTTCTGCAGAGACTTTGAGCTGCAGAAGGTGTGTTACCTACCGCTCAACACCTTCCTCCTGCGGCCACTGCACCGGCTCATGCACTACAAGCAGGTCCTGGAGCGGCTGTGCAAACACCACCCGCCGAGCCACGCCGACTTCAGGGACTGCCGAGGTGAGTGCTGGGAGCCTGCGCCACCTGGTGCCCATGCCACAGTTCAGGCCGGGTGCTCCCAGACTGAGCCCAGCCAGGGAGGGGCTCCCCGGGGAGAGAGGTCAGCTGATGCTGGGTCCCAGGTTTTCATCAGGGTGGGCGCCGGTTTTTATTCCTGCTCTGGTGTTTGGTTACATCTTGATTTTTTTTTTTTTTTTTTGAGACTGAGTCTCACTCTGTCGCCCAGGCTGGAGTGCAATGGTGCGATCTCGGCTCACTGCAACCTCCACCTCCCGGGTTCAAGCGATTCTCCTGCCTCAGCCTCTGGAGCAGCTAGGATTACAGGCGCCCGCCACCACGCCCGGCTAATTTTTGTATTTTTAGTAGAGACGGGGTTTCACCGTGTTGGTCAGGCTGGTCTCGAACTCCTGACCTTGTGATCCGCCCGCCTTGGCCTCCCAAAGTGCTGGGATTACAGGCGTGAGCCACGGTGCCCGGCCACATCTTGATCTTTCCGTAAAGAAGGTGCTGATGATCGTCAGGACCCCTTTCTTCCTTTGCCTCTTGCATGCATTTTCTCCTTTGGTTCCTGGGTGGTTTTGTGCAAAGATCCCTAGAGAAGCTCCGCTTACAGTTAGCCCCCACCCAGGAAGCTTGCTTCTACCCACGTGACGGAAACTCATCCCTCTACCATGGCCACAGAACATAGCTTGTAAGAAATCCTGTTGCTCATTGCTACCGGTCATTTGTAATGTGCCCATCAGCATAATGAGCATCTCTCCTGTATTAACTCTTCCCAAGCCTCAGGCACAGGTGAGTTCATCTTACATATGGGGACTACGGAGACTAGAGAGGTTAAGGAACCTGCCCAGAGTCACACAGCTTGGAGGGAAATGATTTGGAACCTAAATCTAGAACCCATGGTCACAACCGTCCTGCCCTTCTATCTCATGGACAGTCCTACCCGCTCGTACTTGCTCAGCCCCAGGCCAGGTGCTGTGTACCTGATACTGTACCAACGTTCACACCATTACTCCTTTAAGGACCCCTTTAGATCAATTGCATTATCCCATTTTACAGAGCGTGACGCTGAGACTCAGGGGAAGGGACTTGCTGGGTCACTCAGAGGTCAGAGCCGCATTCCAGACCTGCTTTTCCCACGGGGCCACGCGTGCTCTTCTGAACGGAAGTCGTTGTGTCTGGTGTCACAGTTGGTCTGTGGGTGTCTGCCCTCCCTGGCCTAGCATGCGGAGTTGGCCCTGCGTAGGTGGCTCCCGCACAGGTGGCCCGAATCCACACACCCACTAGGAGGGCAAGGCCCTTATTCCTTGCCTGAAATGTCAGAAACACCTCCCAACTCTTTAGCCAAAACTGTCATCTTTTTTAAAAATCCATCTTCTTACACCTTGGCTTAAAACCTGGGTGACGGCTGACTGCCTCAGGCTAAAATCGGAAGTCTTCATGACCTGGCCTGGCCAGCTCTCACACCCCAGCTGCGCAGCGAGCACCTGTACTGGGCGTGTGAGGGAGAAGGAACAGTGCGGCCCCTGACCTCACAGGACCCACTGGAGGGTCTGCAGGCAGGTACCTGGGTGCTGGAGGGTCTGCAGGCAGGTACCTGGGCAGTGGCAACCCTGCACTAGGGCCGTGAGAGAGAAGTGGACGGTGCAGTTGGAGCCGGGGCGTTAGGGGGTGTTGGGGGGATCTCGAAGGGAAATGGTGTCTAAGTTCAGAACTAACATGTAAATAGGAGTTTTCCTGGGTGAAAGGAGGGTGTGGAGAATAGAGTTAGAAACAGCACAAGCTCAGGTTCAGAGGGGACAGAGACCGGAACATTGCCAAAAGCGTGCAGGGCACAGGGAGAGCCACAAAGTGAGGCTGCGACAGAAAGCAGCGGCTACATCCCACTGCGCCCCATGGACCCCGCAAAGCCGTAACCTAAGAGCAGAGGCCGAACAGGAAGTGTTTTAAGGAGGGAAACAGTGATACCAGGCTTGTTCTAGAAAAACCGTTGTTAATATCTAGAATATATGGCGGACTCCTACAAATTAGTTGTTAAAAAAAGGCAACCCAATAGGTAGAAGACTTGGCAAAGTAATTGAGACAGTGACAGTTCACAGAAGGGGAACACAGGTGCCTCCTGACATGGTTTGTCATTGACCATCTGTCTTTAAAACAAACCATGCTGGCCAGGGGTGGTGGCTCACACCTGTAATCCCAGCACTTTGGGAGGCCAAGATGGGAGGATCACTGGAGGCTGGGAGTTCAAGAGCAGCCTGGGCAACACAGTGAGACCTTGTCTCTACAAAAAATTTAAAAATTACGAGCATGCACCTATAGTGCCGGCTACTCAGGAGGCTGAGGTGGGAGGATCGCATGAGCCCAGGAGTTGGAGGCTGCAGTGAGCTATGATTGCACCACAGCCCAGGCGACAGACCTAGACCCAGTCTCTAAAAACAAAACCATGCTGCCTCTTGCCTCCACACCTTGGTGCATTCCGTTCCTTCTGCTTAGAGTCCTGGCCACCACCTCCTTGGCCTTTCCTGGCCAGCTCTCTCTCGTCCTTTAAGCCTCAGCTTGTGCCTGGCACCTGATGTTGAGCTGACCTCCTGTCCGCCTTGTCCTGTCACACTGGCATTGCCTGTGTGTTGGCCGAGCCCGGAGGAAAGGACCCAGGGCCCCTCCTGGCTCTGAGGACTCCTCAGATCTGTCGCCCATGGGGGTGAGAGCGGTGTGTGGTTTTGAAGGCGCTGTTCTTGGCGGACTCATCCAGTTCCACTCTGCTATTTCTCTAAACAGTACCCAATGGAGATAGGCTATCCTTGATGATTGAGGAAGAGAGTGCTAGCTAGCTTAAAGCATGAAGTGGCAGCACTGTAGGAGCCTAGGTTTCCAGAGCTAGAGGGACACTGAATGCCAAGGGCTGTTCCCAGCACGCCCCTGCCCCTGAGCACCGGGGGCCGGGGTGCCATCATTCCATCATTTTCCTCTCAGAGCTCCCCACTACCCCCCAGCCCTGCCACTGAGCACTGGATGCCAAGTAAATGTTTATTGGACCAAACTGGGTGGTCATGTCTGAAAATCGAGCAAGGCCTGGGATTTGTCACTATGGCTGAGACCGCATTCTCTGATAAGCCTGGGAGAATTTAACTCGCATCCTTGGGGGAAAAAACAAGAAAACTAAATGCTTCCCTTCCAACACTGAAATGCTGGGGGAAAGCAGTGAAAGAGGTATTTAGAGTTCTGAAGACTGAAGTTCAGTCAACAAGTATTTCTTGCTTTTCTTGACCAAACTACCCAAGTGCTCAGCCGCTGGGGACTTGAGTGCCACCCAAACTTGTCAGCCACTGGGGACTTGCGTGCCACCCAAGCTTGTATTAATCAGGCACTAGCTTCTTTTAAATATTGGATGCCCACCAGTATAGGGGAGCCGTGCCTCTATCGAAAAATAAAGGCCTGATGTGGTGGCTCATGCCTGTAATCCCAGCACTTTGGGCGGCCAAGGCGTGTGGATCGCCTGAGGTCAGGAGTTCGAGACCAGCCTAACCAACATGGTGAAACCTTGTCTCTACTGAAAATACAAAATTAGCCGGGCGTGGTGGCACGCACCTGTAATCCCAGCTACTCGGGAGGCTGAGGCAGGACAATCACTTGAACCTGGGGGCAGAGGTTGCAGTGAGCTGAGATTATGCCATTGTACTCCAGCCTGGGCAACAAGAGCAAAACTCTGTCTCAAACAAATAAAAGAAAAGAAAAAATTTGAATTCTACAGCAATTCTTCACAACCATCTTGGTAAACAGTGTAATTTCCACACAAGACAGAACTGGGGTGTGGTGGAATGTTAGTTACCTGGAATATACTGACACTTCACAATATCAATTACACCTCCTCCCAAGGAGGTGCTGACTTTGCTCCAGATTTTTCTATGGCCTCTTTGTGCTCACTGTGCCTTGTTCTTTCCGAGTAACAGGAGGGAAAAGAAAAGTCTCTACCCAGGGACAAAATTCAAGGCAGTCTTCTTCCCCCGTGTCTTTCCCCTCTAAGCCAACAGGTCCGTCTAATTGAAGGACAGCTGTATGCCACGTCACCATGCAGGGGTCACTTAGTTTTAAGATGCTAAAGTGAAGCAAATAAATACAGAAAATACACCATCAATTTTTATTATAGAGAAATAGCACTGTTTTTGCTCAAAAGACACCTTTGAATACTGTGCAGGGACTGGAGTGATTTCCCTGCAGCGTTGAGCTGACAGCTGCTAGGGGAAGACCCCTGCCTGCCTTTCCCGCTGCAGACTGTGTATGTCTTTCCTTCACAGCCGCTTTGGCAGAGATCACGGAGATGGTGGCACAGCTCCACGGTACGATGATCAAGATGGAGAATTTCCAGAAGCTGCACGAACTCAAGAAAGATTTGATTGGCATTGACAATCTTGTGGTTCCGGGAAGGGTAAGCAGCAGTGGCCTCACTATGCACTGCGCGGGGAGCAGAAAGGAGGCATCGGAGGGACTTACATTTGAACCTTTTGAAGAGAGACCCTTGCAAAGCAAAATGTCCTCTTTCCATCCACCTGGGAGACAACTGGAAAAACACAACAGTGTCGTTAGTTCAGAATCATTGTGTTCGGAGGAGATAAAGCAATCCTCTGACCTCATATTCTGCTTTTTCTCCTTACGGGGTGATTCGCTTCTTTACCTTTTCCCCTACCATATCCCACAGAAGATTTGAGATTGCTTATTTTATTTTTTTTAAATGTACATAAATGAAAATGGAAAATTAAAAAAAAAATTAGGTAAATAGTAATAAAGCCAGAAAGGTAGTGCATTAAATTATGCTAGAAATTCCCATGCAGGTATGAAGTGTTTTTTTAAAATTCAATCTTCCATATATAATTTAATTTGAGTTCAAAATTAAAATACCAAATCTTAGCTGGAAAGCAATTCCAGGAGAGATGCAAGTTCACTGACACTGTCGCCTACCCCTCCCCAGCCCCCTGCCTGAGATGCAGGTGATTCCTACTCAACAGGGCTTCCCGCACACACTCCTTCCAGGCCAGTGACAATGTGGAGGACAGGAACAAAGCCTGCCTTCTCCACTTCCCTTCCTAGAAAGCCATCATCACCCAGGAATCAAACGTATCATTCAGTTGCTGCGTCTCATCAAATCTCTCTCTGGGATCTTTACCCTGTGGCGCCCCCATTTCAAATGCTACGTCACCCAGGTCGAGAGACAACTCACTGTAGCTGCTTTGATCTGCTGCTGCAGGATCCAGTATCTCAGGGGCTTTTAGTCTTTTTCCAACAAGCAGCTGCCCTGGAAACTTGACATCTGTAACTCAGGGCAGGGGAAGGAAGCTCTCCTTGTTTTGGAGCATTTCTGTCAGGAAGCCTAATTACAGAACTGACCAGAAGCCACGTTGTGAGAGATTGTCAGAAGAGCCATGCGGTAAGCGCTGGCAGAAATTAGAGCTGGGATGGCCTCAGCTCTGCTGGTGACAAGATCCTGCCAGGCCTCGGCACTTAATGACCTTATTTACCCATCCACACGGAACCCTCAGAAAAGCCCTGTGGAATCGATGTAATTTTCTCTCAGCTTTGAAAGTTATAAAATATTTAGCATCTCATGCTACATGGTGAACAGACCACTGATAAAGAATTCCTTTTTTTGAGGAAATGTTTTCCACTGCAATGGAAAGAACCTTGGATTGGAGGAGGTGGCCCTGGGTTCAAAGTCTCGCTCTACCAGTGCCGGGGTGGCGGGGGACCATGCACATGGAGACCATGGCCTCTCCCTCATAGGTCATTAAGATCAAATGAGATTTGCTCTGTGAAAATGACATAATACATATTAATTATCTTCGTTTTCCCCCACCTACATTTAATTGAAGAGATGAAAGGTAGCCATAGAATAGTGGCATTAACTACATTGCAGAGCACAACGGGAAGCATTTTGCTCTATCACACACTGGCCGATCAGGTGATGATGGGCAAGTTTCTTAATCATTTGCCCCTCAGTCTCCTTATCTGAAAAATGGGAATAATGATACTGAAGGTGCAGGCTCACGTCTGGAGCTCCTGTAATCGCTCCGTGTCGCAGGTGATCAGTGATTATCTGAGGCTGGTGGTGCAGGCGGTAAGAATTATTTACGAAGACAGTTATAGATAAAGAAAGGCAGGCTTATTCGAGAAGTAGGAAAATACATTGCCAGAAAGCAACAGCAAGAAAGCAACAGCAAGGGAGGAGCTGACTGCAAGGAGACAAAGGCTTGCTGGGGATTTTTACCGGGTGGTGTCTGTGCTGTGTGCCCAGGAGGGCTTCGTGCAGGGTGATAACGCCGCGGTTGCAGCGAACTCACTTGCGTTTTTCTATCAGCCAAGGCTCTGGTGATAGCTGGGCGCAGGAAGATGGTGAGTTATCTGTGCAGGAGGGCTGTGTCCTGGACCGTGAAGAAAGGCAGACCTGTATAGCTTCTCCGCTTTGTCTTTTTGCTTTCTCTCGGTCCCACCAGCCTGGCTCCTTTTCCCTTATTAGGACTCCACACTTAGGACAAGCCAGGCGCATCCCATGTGCTCCAGAGAGGAGGCCATTGTTATTAGTAAAGGTGAAGATGGAATTGGGGTACTCCTTCCTAAGCTCAGATGATCCCCTGATTCTTGGCACTCATCAGGCCGCCACACATCCACTCATTGTTTCAAATCAACCCTGAGCAGAATGGGAAGGTGGGATCGGAGGCGCCTGAGGGAGCACGTTCTGGAAGTAGATGGTGGCGATGGTGGGGCTACCTTGTGAGTCCACCAAGGCCACACATGCTCAAGTGTTTGTGGATTCTACCACAATTTAAAAATGATCATTTTTTTGTTTTTAAGTGCTTGTGCCCCTGCGATCCATGCCCTCAAGAGTGTACAGCCCCGGGGAGGATGTCACTCGGGAGGCAGAGGTGCCTTGGACACATCTGCCTCTCACTCCTTTATCCTCAACGCAGTTACTGCTCATTGAGAAGCAGGGTTTTCAATCATGGAGAAGCTTCCTCCAGCCACAGTGCTCCCATGTGGCCTCTCGGTCCTCAAGGGTCCCTTGCTGCCACTTTTTATAGCCTCTTTCTTCTTTGAGAACTGCTTGGGGTCCTTCTGATCTCCCTCACCGTGGGGAGCCCTGGGGATCCTGGGGTTACACACATGGTCCTCAGAGAGGCCCGGGCACTCTTGAACCCGACCGTCCGTATCCTTTGTTGGGGGAGCTGCTGGTGGTACCTGCCCTGTACCTTCCTGGGGAGGAGACAGATGATCCCTAGAGAGGGTTTAGCACAGCACCTGGGGCAGAGCAATGGTGCAGTGAATCGCAGCTGAGTGCTGTAACTTCCACCATGCAAGGGACCCAGGTGGGAGGAAGCCAGTAGGTTTGCACGCTCGCAGTCCGTTCTTGGGGTCTGCACGCTCGCAGTCAGCCCTCAGGGGCTACAAATTTAGCCCTCGGGGTCTGCACACTGGCCGTCAGCCCTTGGGGTCCGCACGCTCGCAGCCAGCCCTCCGGTCTGTCTCCCCTGCAGGAGTTCATCCGTCTGGGCAGCCTCAGCAAGCTCTCGGGGAAGGGGCTCCAGCAGCGCATGTTCTTCCTGGTGAGTGGAGAGAGCGGCTTGTCCTCACAAGGATTGTGTCACCTGGGCAAGCAAGGCTCCCAAGGCCGGACCTCGGCCACCCAAGTGAGGGACCTGGGGTAGAGGAAGAGCAGCCAGAGGTGCCCAGGCCCAAGTTGTTGAGGACAGTGAAGGCACAGTTGAGGACAGGGAATGCTGGAGGGAAGCCTGCTGTCCAAACGTGGTCTCACCTCCACACACTTCTGATTCCTCCAGTTCAACGACGTCCTGCTATACACGAGCCGGGGGCTGACGGCCTCCAATCAGTTTAAAGTCCACGGGCAGCTCCCGCTCTATGGCATGACGGTGAGTACAGCACAGGCTCGTGGCCAGGGCCTGTCCTCGGGGGCAGCAGGTGCGGGCGCTGCTGACCCGGCGATGAGGAGGGAAGGAGACTGGATAGGGAGGGAGAGGGTGGCTAGTGGCATCTTGGTTACAAGACATGGGCTCAAAGACCATCGAAGACCATACAACCCTTTCACCTAAAAGCTCGAGCCTTCTAGGGCTTCTCTAGTGGGGCTCTGGGGACACGGCTCCTTCTCCTGCACATGGGATGTGCAGGTCCATTCCTTATAGAATCGAGTGAAAGGGTAAGCTGACAAGGCCGCGTGGCATGAACTCGCCTCCCACAGCCTGTGCCTGGCCCCAGGGGCCCCGACAGTCCTCGCCACACACAAGGATGACAGCGCCCGCTCCCTGGAGCTGGGCCAGCCACCTCGTCCTCCCCCGAGTTGGTTTGGGGCTGCCTCCTGTCCCCCTTGGCAGGCAGGTGTAGAGGGCGCCTGGGCCTGGGATGTGGCCCTTTGGCTGGTGCCCACGCTGTCCTCCGGGATTGGAGAGAGGGAAGTTTGTGGGCTCTGCCAAAAACATTCAGTGTGCCGCGATCTTCCTGTCGCCTTTCCGATTTGGGTTTTTCCAACTCAGAGTGCCTTCTCCCTCTGTGGGGCTCTGGGTCTCCTGAGCCCTGCTCAGGGGCACCCCTCCTTTTCCAAGTTGCCTGGCTGCCAGCTCAGGGATGTTTGGAAGTGCATCACGTGCCTCATGGTGACGTTATCTTCTCTTGCCCACAGATTGAGGAGAGCGAAGACGAGTGGGGGGTGCCCCACTGCCTGACCCTCCGGGGCCAGCGGCAGTCCATCATCGTGGCCGCCAGGTAACTCGGGAGCCCGCCCCTTGCCTGTTTCCCCTTTGATGTGCTGTGGCCTGAACACCTGACGCGTCTCTGTCTCCAGTTCTCGGTCCGAGATGGAGAAGTGGGTTGAGGACATCCAGATGGCCATTGACCTGGCGGAGAAGAGCAGCAGCCCCGCCCCTGAGTTCCTGGCCAGCAGCCCCCCTGACAACAGTGAGTGTGGCCAGGGCAGCTTTCCCATGCAGGGGTCTGGTTCATGGAGGGACAGCATTTCTGCATCTAAAGCCACCCCATCGGGTAGGCCTCACATCCGTGGTGTACATTTGTGTTTAAAGCCAAAGATCAAGACAGTTCTTTTTCCTAAAAGTAAAACCCCTGAAATCGGCATGAGGGAGCTGGGAAGTCACCTTTTCTGGGCCGGCATTTACCCTTGTCCAGGGAGAGAACATCAGGCTGTTTACACACCCGGGAGGGGCTGGGGCTCTGTGACTGGAGCTGCAGGGTCCATCGAGGCCTCATTAGATTCTGGTTGGGCACCACAGGTTGTGACTGCTGTGAGCCCCCCAACCTTCCAGCACCTCAGAGTGTATCAGGAAGGGGCGCTGGGAGGAAAGATCAGAAGTGCTGCCTTTTGCCCCATCCTGTAGAGTCCCCTGATGAAGCCACCGCGGCTGACCAGGAGTCAGAGGATGACCTGAGCGCCTCGCGCACATCGCTGGAGCGCCAGGCCCCGCACCGCGGCAACACAATGGTGCACGTGTGCTGGCACCGCAACACCAGCGTCTCCATGGTGGACTTCAGCATCGCAGTGGAGGTACGCAGGGGCAGGGCAGCTCTGGTTCCCAGCTTGTGCTGGCCCAGGCAGAACCCAGGCAAACTTCTGGGCCAGGGGCTTGAGGGAGGCTGGGACTGTGGGTGGCCCCACCTACCCGCGGTGGCTGAGCAGGGAAGGATCAACACTGGGCCCCCTTTGGAGCCTGCCGGAGGTATCCCTGCAGGGGTGATGCTGAGTGGGCGCCGACCTCCCACAAATGCAGTCATATCCCTTGGTGCTCATCAGTCCTATTGCCATCCACAAGGTCGTTTTCTCTCTTTCTTCGCCTGTTTTCTTGCCTCTCATGCAGTTAGCCCAGAACACAGGGCCCAGGGCACAGCTGCTGGACAGTTCCATGGCTGTCATGTCCTGAACCGCCCCACGGGAATCTGGTGCATGGGAGGGAGGAGAGTCTGCACGATGGCAAGCAGGTGCCAGCTCCTCCCCATCATGAGGGTCACGGCAGACACTCCTGTGACAAAAGACAGGCTAACAAGGGAAAAGCATGACCAGTTTATTTCATCGTCATTTTACATGACATGGGAGCCTTCAGAATGAAGACCCAGAGGTCCGGCGAAAACCGTCTGTTTTTATGCTTCGCTTCCGTGAAGAACAGGGCGCCGTGGGGAGCTGATGGGACAGGCTGAGAGCTAGTGCCAGGAGGGCGAAAGGAGCCCCGCAGGGCCCCTCCGGGTTTTCTGGGCCTTTCTGAGCAGCGTTCCTTGCTCCGGGGTATGGTGCGGGACCCTTTCTACAGTGGGGGTCTTAGAACCTCTTCTCACACCAGGTGGGCCAGGGAGTAAGTTTATAGCCAGCTCTTACACAGAACGGTGGAGAAAGGTTAGGGTGACCGTTTTTGGTTTTGTGGCTGGCTTTGGGGGAAGGAGGTTCTGGTTTCAATGACCCGCCTTAAGGAAGGGGGAGTCCAGTTTCCGTGGCTCGCCTGGGGAGGAAAGGGGCGAGGCAGGAGGTGGGCAGGGAAGCCTGGCTTCTGAACCTTTCACTTCAGGGTATTGTTTTCTGAGCCCACCACCTGAAAGTTGGCTTTGAAGATGCATCTCTCCCAGATCTTGAATCCTTCCAGACCCTTCCAAATGCCCATTCCCTAAGCATTCTTCAGTCCAGGCCCATAGCTGTGTTTCAGAACACTTCAAGCCCGTGAAGGTGTGAAACAGGAAAGCTTTCTTCATCTCTCACTGGCAGTGGAAGCTGCCCTGAGCTGGGGCGAGGCCATTCATCATTGTGATTGTGTTTTATGTGAATGCTCACGTTTCACCGCAGAATCTCTGCCCCCGCGCCCTCTGCGGGGCTGCTGCAGTCGAGGCAGGACTCCCTTCCAAACGCAGAAAGGGCCAGTTCCCACACAGGCCTGGTCCAAAGAGTGTCACATAAGAGACTCAGGCCAGGACAGGAGTTTGCTGGCTCTTGGAACCAACAGCAGCAGGAATGAGCCAGCAGTGCTTCATGGAGGGTCTCGAGAGAGTCTCGGAATTTATTCTCGGGAAACGACCTTCCCCGTTGCTCAGACCTGCCTTTATTGAGTTTCCTGCTACAAGCCGCTTGTTTCTAAGCCCAGGCCTGCTTCTGAAGACATCCTCAAGGGGACACATCCGAGGTGCAGGCCCTGGCTCCCCCACGGGCACAGCCTTTCTTCCCAGCTGTCCCCACATACGAGGCTCTGTCCCATGGGGTTCCCCTGAGTGTGCAGGTGTGAATATTCCCTCCCCGGGCCTCCTGACAGCCCAGGTGTGAAGAGCACTAAACATTCTTCCCCAGCTTCACACCTCCACCAGGCCTGTGCGCAAAGCTTGCGGGTCTGAGACTTCTCCCAGGGGATGGGGATTATGATAGCAGGAAAGGAGACCCCCGAAGCGGAGGAGCAGGGAAGAACCCGTGATAGGCTCATGGGAAACGAGGCCTCATCAGATCTCACCTGTGGGCGTGTGTCTGAAACGAAGCCAGTCGATGTGTGGCGCCGCCACTGGGGAGGAACCGTCTTGGCCTTGCTTCGTCCTGACCTCAGCAATGTGTGAATTACGACTCTCAAGGCTGGGGTTTGTCATAGGCCTCAAAGCTTTTTACATACCTGGAGGCACCCAGGCCATTCAACGAGGCAGCAAATACCCAAGTGGGGTCCAGGTGGCCCAGAGCCACCTGCAGCCCAGCTTTTTTGGATAACAAATCTACACGGTCGCAGCCTTCCGTGTGCATGATCAGGTCAAGGCACTGAGTCAGGGGCACGCTGGCCCCCAGCCAGATCTAGCCCCGGCCTGGTGGCTTACAGCCTGCGAACCAAGAATGGGTTTCACTTTTTTTTAATGGCTGCTACATAATGTCTTCAGTTTTGCCCCTTGGCCTGCAAAGCCTGAAATATCTGCCGTCTGCCTTTTGAGGAAAAGTTTGCTGACCCTAGTAGAGAGCAGGAGAGTGAGCCACTGGCCAGTGGGGTTTGAAGGTGGCAGTGACCACCTAGTACAGTCAGGGACCTGGGCTGCTCTATCACTTTGCAGATGTCCCTCCTTGCCAGAAAGCCCCCTCCCAAGGCACGTGGCATCAATCTTGTGTCGGTGGCAGGCAGCCCTCATGTGCCAGACGCCAAATGCTCGCTGACTCGCAGATGAGCCATCCCCAGGGCCTCCTCCCTGCATGACAGGACAAAGCAGCTCCATCTCCTCCTGACTCAACAGCCTCCTCTCCCCAGTCCCGTGCCCAGCCTCTCCCAGTTCCCACTCCCGTCTGACTCGTGTAGGCACACTTGAGGAAGGGGCGTATCTGGGGACCGTGTGGCCTCACTGGCCTCTGCTAAAAGTTGTGGGCAAGCCGGCAGGCCTGGGGGCTCCCACTAGAGGTGGGGTCAGATGTTGGGATGGCCAGAGGGCTGCCCAGCCTGTGGGCACTAGAGCCAGTGAAGGGCCAGAGGCAAAGCAATGCAAGTTGTCTTTTAAGGCTGGAGTGGCGAGACGGGACAGCAGGGAAGTTGTTCAGCAGACAGAGCGCAGACAGGACTGGGAGGAGGGAAGGGACGGGGTGCAGACAGGACCGGAAGGAGGGAAGGGACAGTGAGGCCAGGGAGTGGCGGGCACGGGGGTTATATTTGTTCCCCGTGGCGTCACTCGGCACCAACCTCAGACTGGGTGAGGCCACAGAAACATCTCCCACAGTGCGGGAAGCCGGAAGTCCAAAATCAAGCTGCTGGCAGGTGGGTTCCTTTGGGAGGCCTTGAGGGAAAATGTCCCCACCTGACAGCATCTGGTGGCTGCGGCAGTCTTCTTCTCGGGGGGTCCCCGACTCCACCCATGTTGCAGGGCTCCGGTCTGCCGTGTCACCAGCTGTCCTCCCTGTATCTGCACTCTAATATCCTCTTCTAAGGACACGGCTCGTGCTGGGCTTAGGGCTCGTCCTAGTGACCTTACCTTGACTCGATCGCATCTGCAGAGACCCTGTGTCCATGTGAGGTCACCATTGTAGGCACGGAGGGTTTGGACTTGTTGGGGGTGCAATTCAACCCACAGCAGGGTCTGAGGGAATGGGATCCAAGAAGGGAGAGGAGCGGTGGCCCCAATGAAGGGCCACGAGGAGACAGGGCAGGCTGGTCTGGTTCTGAACAAGGATGTTGACCCTCTCGTGAAGGCAGTGAATGGAGACAGGTCTGGGAGCCACCAGCATGGCCTCGGCCTCCTGAGTGCAGGGCAGGAGACTCATGGCGCGCAGGGCCCGTAACACGCTGGAGGCCAGGATGGACCCGACACAGGGGAGCGGGAGGCTCGGCCCGGCCGTGGGGAGCGAGGAAGGGCCGCTGGATGTGCCTATTGATAAAGAGGTTTCCAGAGGCTATTGGAATGGCCAGGCAGAAGCTAGAGAGCGCTAAGGAAGCTGCTTTGGAAACAAATGGGCCCAGACTGTGATGGGTGACATGTATGAACCCCACTGTGGGCTGGCTGCTGTGTGAAAATTATGTGAGTCAGTATGAAAATACCTAGGAAAGGGGAGTGTGCCACCCTCCTTGCTCCATGTTGCGTGACCCAAGATGCCGCATGGGCATCAGCCCAGCCCTGGCCACCACCAGGACCTTCTGGGAACCTGGAGCCTTGCATTTTCTTGTTCCTTTCTGCCACTGGGGGAGGAGGATGGATGGCTGGAGCTGCCTGCCTGGCCTGGAATGCCCTTTCTCCCCGTCTGCGGGGTCCCCCACATCCTGCAGCCCCTCACGGACCTACTGTCAGTGTCCATGTCTCCCACTGGACCCTCCCTGAGCAACTGGAGGGCAGGGACATCAGACCATTTGATCCCAGCTCCCAGCACAGAAGCTTAGTGCCAGGGGCACCCAGAGAGATGGAATGAGGCAGACTCGGAGGTCTGTATTTTTTATTGTGGTAAAATAGCTATACCACAATATTGGCCAACTTAACGATTTTTACGGGAACAATTCAGTGGCATTAAGTGCCTTTACAAGGTGGTGCAACTGCTTTGAGTCTCTGCTGGTGATGTCACTTTGGCAAAGGGACGAAATGAGCCACCAGTGCGTCAGGCCTGCTCAGAGTTGTTTGGAGGTAGCATGGACACAGGTGCCTGTCCCTGCCCCCTAGCTGGGCTGCAGCGCATCCTAACAATGCTCCAGGGGCTGGGCCGGCCCTGAGCCTGGAGGTGGGCAGGGCTGCAACTGCCTCCTGGGCCACTAGAGGGCATGTGGGAGCCACTCACATGCACCCCAGGCCCCACTTCCTGGGTAGGGTGCCTGGCCCCTCAAAACGAGTGCTGCTCTGAGCTTGTTGGGATGGATCTTTCCCTCCTTCAGCTTCCGCCTGCTGGCAATGCATGGGGTCCTGCGCCCCCATTTCTGCCTCGGTGTCACAGGGCACACCCCTCTCCCCTCAAGGTGGCTCTTCTCCTCAGGACACCACTCCCGTTGGATTTAGGGCCCACCCTACCCCAGTGTGATCTCGTCTTCACTAGTTACCCTGCAACGAGCCTATTTCCAAATAAGCCTGTGTTCTAAGGTACTGGTAGTCAGGACCTCAACGTGTCTTTTGGGGGGACACAGGGACCCCAAGATGCCCCACAGCAAGTGACAAGGGGAAGTGATGAGATCAGGGTCCCAGGACCTGCCAAGTCTCCCCACACACGGGGGAGCGGGGGTGGGGCCCACATCCTTCAGTCACGGACATGCCCCAGCCCAGGGCCCTGGTGCAGGGAGAGCTGCTCTCTGTGCCCTCCTGGGGCAGGTGCCCGCTGTGCTTCTCACAGGCCTCCTTGCCTTTCAGAATCAGTTGTCTGGAAACCTGCTGAGGAAATTCAAAAACAGCAACGGGTGGCAGAAGCTGTGGGTGGTGTTCACAAACTTCTGCCTGTTCTTCTACAAATCACACCAGGTAAGTGTCTCGCACAGGGCAGGTGGCCCTGGGACCTTGGGGGTGGCAGCATGAGGTGAGGGGGCCGCCCTCCTCTGGAATGACTCAGGCCTCTTGGGCTCCAGGTGTCACGGGGATGACAGGGATGCTGGCGGGGGGCCCTGTCCACCCGAGGCCCTCAACTCTAGGGAAGACTGACATTATCATCCACTGAAGGACAACTTCTGCCCTAGGAAGGGCCACCTGTCTTCTGCCTGGACAAGGGACGGGGGTTGGCTTTATCTACAGCTCAGTCCTGGCGGGACTTGCCACCCGGGCCATCACGTACAGGCAAACACTGGCTGCCATGGTCCCTTCCAGGCCCACGCCCGAGGAGGGAGCTGCCTGGGCTCCCAAGTCCCTGTCTGATGCGGGGCAGCAGCCAGGCCCAGCAGCAGAAGCTGACCCCGAAAAGCCACTTTGCTTTGTTTCCCCTTTCCAGGACAATCATCCCCTTGCCAGCCTGCCTCTGCTCGGCTACTCGCTCACCATCCCCTCTGAGTCCGAGAACATCCAGAAAGACTACGTGTTCAAGCTGCACTTCAAGTCCCACGTCTACTACTTCAGGGCGGAAAGCGAGTACACGTTCGAAAGGTAGACACCCCCTTCCCACGCACAGGGCCCTGCAGAAGAGGACCCCCTCTTCCAAACATCAGGATTTCTCCCAAGTCAGCGAGTGAGATGGCCCCACCCTTCCCTGCCAACTAAGCGTTTAGACCTGGGGTCCCACTGCCCGACACCAGCAGGCGATTCTGTTCTCATGGCAGAAAGTGGGGTCCCAACTTCCCTGCGCCCTTACCCTGCACGGTGTTGGCTGAGGCCCTAGACATCTTGCTTGGAGATCTCTGACATAACGTGTCCGGGATGATGAAGCTAAGCCCCAGTGAGACTGCCTACATGGTGTAATGGCAGGGACTGCAGACTTCATTTAGCCAAGAAAGAAATGCAACAGTCAGGCCTAAGACTGTTCCTGCAATTCATATTTTGAATAGAGATCCTGGGCCTCTGCAAATTGCATCCCCAAGCCGACTACTTGTGCAGTTTGCCCTGCTGAGCCCTCCTCGCCCCGGGAGGCAGAAGGGGAGGGGTCCTCAGCAATATGCTGAGCACCTCCTAAACAACATCACCTGAAAAAGGAACCTAGAGGAGAGCCATTCTCAAATCTGATCCTGGACTGAGCTCGAGAGCTGGGTTGAGAGCTGGGTTGATCAAAGTTGGGATTTTGCTATTATTGTGACAAAGGGTCCAGCCTTGCAGTCCAGATCCTGAAAGGCCTGGGACAAGGCCAGGTAATTTGGGGAGTCCGTCCTGCATTGTGCAGGATGTTCAGCGGCATCCCTGGCCACCCACTAGATGCCCGCAGCAACCCCTCAGTTGGGACATCTAAAAATGTCTCCAGACTTTACCAAATGGGACAGCATTGCACCCATTTGAGAAGCACCGGTAGAGAGCAAATACACAAATATATAAAAAGGGAGATTTGGGCGTGGTGGTGCAAGCCTGTAGTCCCATCTCCTGGGAGGCCAAGGCTGGAGGATCGATTGAGCCCAGGAGGTAGCTACAGTGGGCGATAACTGCACCACTGAACTCCAGTATGAGTGACAGAGCCAGACCCTGTCTCAAAAAAAAAAGAAAAAGAAAAAAGGAAGGGAGAGCTTCCACTAAGCAGGATGGGACACGTCCCGCCATTCTCTGCCATGTCCATGAAAATAGGAGGTAGCGTTCTCCCCAGCAACCAGAGGCCACCTCGCTCCTAACTGCTCCAATGGAGCGGGCAGTGTCACTGCAGCAAGGTACTTCCAGCTCCACACTGAGTGAGTGCCCAGGCCAGTGGGTCTCCACTGTACCTCAGGAACGCCTGGGTGCTGGCTGTTCCCTTGCTCTTCTGCTGAAGTGGCAGATTACCAACCAGGCGGCCTGACTTCACCTTGTGTTTCTGTAAGCGATGCCCACCAAAGTGTCAGGAGTCCGTCCAAACAAAAGGTTGACTAACTGGCGTTCCCGTGTTGCAGGTGGATGGAAGTGATCCGCAGTGCCACCAGCTCTGCCTCGCGACCCCACGTGTTGAGTCACAAAGAGTCTCTTGTGTATTGATGGCCGGACACACTCGTTTCCGCAGTGGCTGCTTTCCTGGAAGACGTTTCCTTTCTTCTGTATTAATGAAGCCTGGTAAAATTAACACCTGTCTGAAAATCAAAAACATGGCTTCCCAGCAGCTCTCCTGTCTCCACAGCCGCGTTTTTTAACCCCGACCTCTCAGCGTCTGAATGAACAGCGCTCCCACCTCCAGTCCTGGCATCCGCTGGGGGCGCTGTTCTTTAGCTAGTGCCAGTATTAAAACATTGTCATTACGAGAGTGCCAAATGACATCTTCCCTCCACCCTGCCCCTGAAAAACAGTACACACACATCCGTTCAACACAAGACAGGGCAAGTGTTTTTCTTCCTAAAAAAAGTTCTTTCTTTTATTATTTTCACCTATTGGCTGCTGCATTTTACGAAGTGGACTTCCCGGTGTTTGTTTGTTTGTTTGCAATACACTCAGTGCAGCCTTAAGCAAATGAGATCATTTTCAGATTTCATTTTTTTTTTCAGTCTTTCTACTTTTGTAATAATAGGAAGTTAGTAGGACTCACTTCTCTGATTAATAAGCAATTTGCAGCACACAGCGTTCCACTGCGGGGTTTCACGCTCACCTGAAAACACCTGTTCCCAACCTACTTCTTGGTGCAAGTTGACCAAATCGTTTTAAGTGGTAACTCTTTCCAACCGTAGCAGGGTTGTTTTCTGTTAAGCAAAGCCGAGATCCAGTGCAATACCTGGACTGTCACCGTCCTGTGAGTGGTGTACACAATGGGAAGATAATAAGCCGTGGTGTTTTGCTGTCTGTCTGTGTCACAAGCATGAAAACCCGTGTGTCATTGATCAGCACCATTTGTGGTATGTTCCGTGATGAGCGTTTAGTGAGCCTGCTGGCTGCAGAGCACTATGAAATCATGGTACGTAGTCCCCGGCACCTGTCGTTATTCCTATATCCTCCTGCAACTGTGGTTTGAAACTGCGCATTCTCTAGTAGTATATATCGTGCCTGTCTTCAAAAACATTTCCCTTTTTATACTCATTCCCCCCAGGCATGGGGTAGTGTCAGTCGGACTGCACAGGGAACACGGTTTCCAGTGGCTTTGGCCCCTACTCGGGAAACGTCTGCCTGTTCTCGATGGTGATGGGGTGGCTGCCATTCCCTTGGTTTTCCTAAGCCCTTTCTAACGAGAGTCTCAAACAAGCGGAGGCGAGGGCCAATTCAACCCCATTCTTTCCAGCGCCCCGCACCATAGCACCTGCCCACCTGAGAACCAGGAACGCACCCTCTCTGTGGAGCTCTGACTGGTGTAGCTGGAAACAAACAGCAACTTGCAAACGGACGAAGAGCCTGCCGTGTGTTAATCATTTGCCTTACAAGATGTACCAGACGGTTTCCAGTACTAACAAAGGGAATAAAAATACCTCACGCCACAATCCAGCATATTGATGTTTTAAGGCAAAACAACCAACTTTGTCTGTAGTCTTCATTTTCTGTGTGGGGGGGGAGGGGGGAAGGGGACACTCCAGCAAGGGTTTCTAAAGCCCCAGTGTTCAGAGTGACACAGGGAGGGCCTGCCCCCCACTGTTCCCTATGCTCCCCCCACCTCCAGGCAGGGGCAGAGCAAACAAACAGCTCCGGGCCACACAGCAGCATCAGGCTCCCTCCAGAAGTCACCACTCACTCATTCCTGGAGACTTGGGGACAAGGCAGTCTCCTCAGCTATTTATTTCTGAATGATTGATTGATTCCAAACTACTTGCTGGACACTGGTGGTTCTGACCTGTGACCAGCACCTCTGCTTCCTGTGTGCCCTCAAGAAAATACTAGTGTGGGTAACAGTCCATCTGAGTGGAGTTTGAGACACACTACACATGAGACACACAATGATGCAGATACTCGTTTTCTTGAGCTTTATTGGCCCCTGCATGATACAGTCCCTGTGCTTAAGAACATGCCCTATTAGGTCACTCTGCCTTTGCTGACACATTTTATAGCAGAAATACACAAGCTGTTTTTAAAGGAGGGAAATATAAAAAATGTTTATAAACTGACAGTGTTTTGCCAGAGGAAAGGTACAAAATGCTACATACAGAACCAAACCAGCCACTTCACAAGAGCAATGCAGGGATAAAACTATTGGATAAGGAAGGCAGATGCACTTCCAAGAAAATCAGAACCCAGCAAGAAGTGGCCAGTGCACCCCAAACCACACTGGTGTCCACCTCATTGGCAGCAGCCAGCCAGGACACAGCTCAAAAACGCAGGAGCTACCAGCCACCCAGTCCACGGCCCTCGTCTCCCAGAGGCTGAGTACCTCCCCAGGCTGCAGGCTCTGGGCAGCTGAGCCAGGAGCAGCTCAGGGCTGGCACTGAGAGGCTACTGGTGACAGTAAACCCGTCTCAAAGGCTGGGCCTGGCTACAGACCAGCAGCAGTTGACGCTGAGGCAGGTTCCAGTGGTAGCCCTGGTGCCTGGGCTCTCTCTTAATGCAGGCCTGGAAGTGGCGACACAAAAGCCAGCTTCCTTGGCTAAGATGCCCTTAAAAACATTGGGGCTGATTTTGTGCGTCTACAGAAAGTAACAGCCCAGGAGAGAATGTACACAGAGGCGAGCTTTCTAACTCCATCAAACCCCACCTCCCCCGACAGGAAATGCTGCCAGTCAACTCTAAAAGAACCACTTGTTGCTCTACGGGGGAAGGGGCTGAGTATGATTTGTCTGGCGACTGCAGAGACTCCCCGTTCATACCAGTATTCATTAGAACCCAGTCCCTCGAGCGGCTCACCCACTGTTACTAGCATGAGACTGGCTTCAGTGCTAAAAACTGTGATGTCATTGTCCATTTGTAAATCTGAAGAACTCTGTAAATCAGAAAAGCTGCTGTCCGCCCTGGCTCACTTAAAAATCAGGTAACGGCACACCCTGGGGAACACAGACTCAATCTGTGTGATTCGCAAGGACAAAACTCATCTTTGACTTATGCCGCCGGCCTCACGTAAGGAAACAGTTCCCCACACAGAATACTCCCTGGAAACACAAAATGAAATCTTCTCCAATTTTATTATTCAACATAACATTCTTGTATGGAGTAATGAGTACAATAAGAATTAGCAACTCAGTTCTATTTCCCCAACCAAAATATATCCCTTATACAAATTAAGAGTTCAACCCAAATCCACTTCTAATAAAATACCTCAATTTTAGAGCTTAAAAACCAGACTGCACTAGCAAACCGACACAATAACCCACTCAAGCATCTGTAGCTCAGGGCTCTGTCCCCTCCCTATAGCTTAGAGGCCACTAGACCAGCAGATAGCTGAGCTACATCCCCAAGCTCACCCACTAACTTCCTTGCTTCCAAAAATCCTGTCTTAACTCCACAAGAACTGGCACACCCACGGGAGATGTCAATCATCAGCTTCAACAAACATAAAAGAATGCTTCATGTACCAGTCAACAGCTGCTGCACGAACCCTCCCACTCCAGAAACCCAGAGATTTTCCCCCTCGCCAAGCAAGGTCCCACAGCAAACCAAGAAAAACAGACACACTGGCTGCCTGCCTAGCAAGCATAGGCCCCTTCCAGAGAAGCAAAATAACTCTTAAGGTCCCCGGCAACCGCTACAGCAATCGCACAGATCAGCAACCTCCAACTGCATCATCTCGGTGAGCAAGTGCGCAAGCAGTCCAGGGCGCTGACCTGGGCACTCGGCAGCTCCAGGCCTGGGGACTTCTCCCTGGAGTCTTCCAAAGTGTCTCATCACACACACACAGCCACGAGTACACACGCACGGCCACACATACACAGCAGGTGCCCTGTCCTCTGAAGAGTCACATTTCAAGGAGTATGCAAAATAAGCGTGTTATAAAATTTATTTGTGTAAGCATTCAGACATTTTTAGGTGGGAAAGATGATATGCAGAATCCACTACAAGGTGCAACAGAAAATCGTATTGGAAAGGACGGTACATCTGGCGCAGACCAGCAGTGGCACGATTCCAAACAAATGTCAGACGAGAGCGCTTCATGGGGAGAAACTGAAAATTATAATTTAAAGCTTCATGAGGCAAGATATGTTCCAATTTAAAACACTAAGAAATAGTACCATCGATGAAAAAGGAAATCAACCTCTAGGTGTACCAAAAGGGGCGTAGGGCAAACGGGGAAAATTTGCATTTGTTGAGGTACAAATAGGAGTGTTCTGTAAGAGAGGGGCATTAATTATTAATGACAAACCCTGCAAATACAAAATAAAACCCAAATCACTGGTCACAGAATTCAAAATGTACATGTAATAAAGGCAAGGCAATAGACTCAAGTTATGGCCTGTCGAATATTTACTCCACTGACGTTATCTACAGAAGCACTTGGCCAGTTTGTACACAGTGATTCCTTATGCACGCCGAAAGGGTTTCCGTAAAAATGACATTATATACAAATCTGTACACCCATCCACCAGAGCGATTCTCCAGCTCCCAGAGGGAGTTATCAACTTAAAGCAGGATACCTGAGGTTTCATGTCTTTAGTTGCCTTATCATAATCCCAAATATACATTTCAGGGTTTGTTTTTGTTTTTAAAGACACTTTCCTGGAATATGTGCACTATGGTTAAAATTAAAAACAAAAGTAATAAAATAAAATAAAATGATCGCTGGAAGGAGCTGACCCTCCCCACCCATCTGAGAGACTTCATCTGGCTGCAGCACAGTGAAGACTGTGTGTGTCCCTGGACGGGCGCCTGGCGCTGGGGTGGCTCCCAGTGGCGCACCTCTTCGGTGGAGTCAGCGAAGGCTCTCGTTGACTTTTAAAAAAGGAGGAGGATGAAGAAGGAAAAAAGGAAAAACAAAACCCCAAATGCCAAAGGAATTTCAGTGGGATGAAGTTCCTCCACCACTTAGAGAGTATCTAGGGAAAAAGAGAGAGAGAGAAGTCAACACATGTCATTTCTCATCCCTGTGCAAAAATTCATATAGTAACCAAAATCTTAGTTTTCATAAGAAATTCCAAGTCATACAAAAATAAGTGGAGCAAATATCAATGTGTAAGTCTAATTTTAAAAGAATGCATATAAAGACTGAGAAGATCATGATTCTTACACAAAAACTCCAGAGCATGTCACCAAAAACCAAGAATGGGTTCAGCCTCCCTGGAGAGATGTGAATAAAACGGGAAATCATATCCCTTTTACTTACGATCAATTGTCAAAAAGTGAACATTGATCCATACATGATGACACAGTAAGATTCCAGGGATGCATATGCATTCCCGATGTGAGGGCAGGAAACCCATTTTGGCCATAAAAATAGTGATGCAGTCCAAGAATCTATTTCCTAGAACTGCTTCCGAAATATGGTCCAAAGCAGGAACAACGTGTCTGCACAAAGATGTCTCTCGGGATTTTCGTAATTACACTAATTTGGAAACAACTCTGATGCCCAACAGTACAGAATCAGTTAAGTAAATTATACAAACTGAAATAACAGACTAAAAATGGTAATTATCTGTATTTACATATATATATTAAAGCAATATTAAAAATATGTACAAGTTTAAAAGTACATACAAAATTACAGATTGGGCATCCCTTATCTGAAATGCTTCTGGCTTTGGATCTGGGAATATCCGCATTATACTTACCAGTGTGCAGCCCCAAATCCGAAATCTGACATGCCCCAGAGAGCAGTTCCTTTGAGCCCCATGCTGGCGCTCAAAAGTTTCAGATTGGGGATTTGGGATATTCAGCCTGTATATGTGCACTATATAAGTATATTTACATGAACAACTTCTGTATCCTAAATTAAGTACTATAGAAATTCTAAAAAATCTTCTTTGCACTATAAGGTAGATAAGAGAATTCAGTAAGTTTATGACCTGGTATGACAACAGAAGGCAATGCACCCAAAGATGCTGATGAGATTTGGGCTACAGTGGTGGGATCATGGGTAATTTCTGTGTCTTCCAAAAATTCTACAAGATTGTCTTCAGAAGACAACAAAGGGTGAGAACGGGGTCCCCTCATGACCACAATTCCCTCAACCATTTTACAACAGACTCCAAATCACAGGTCCAGGAGAGATGGCTGAGGATGTCTTTGACCAGGCTTATCTCAAACGTTCCAATCTAGAGCTCCTCTTTTCAGGCATTTGAAATACTTGGCATCTCTCCCAGAGAACAAATGGTTACATAAGGTCCTCCCAAAAGCACACATTAGCCACGGAGCCTAAGACTCAACTATCAAGAAATACAAATGACTAAATCACGGGATGAGTTGATGTCACACAAAAGAATCCAAACATTAATTCCAGCTGAGACAGAAAGGCTCTGAAAATGCTTCAGAGGAGAGGCGGCTCTCATTTTTCCTACAGCCATCCACTGAAACAACATGTTTGGAGCAAAACTGGCAGGAAGTCTAAGCCATGGCCACCGTGGTTTTGGCAGCCATCGGGGTGAACGCTCAGTGGGAGCTTCAGGAGCAGGGAAGGAAGAAGTGGGTACCACAGCCAAGCCTGCAGAGAGATGATAAGCACCTCAAGAGGCAGCTCATCTGAGGACAGAGGAGGAAAGAGGGCACTCCTCATCACAGACAAAGGAAAGAGAGCACCAACTTGGCTTCCCCCATGCATCACTGCAAAGTAAAGTTTTAAACACAACACAGACATCAGGTAGCTACAGACCCGCCCGAGGGTAAATAGGGTCAACCCCAGCCACGATGCCCAGTGAGCACGTAAAATGTGCTGCGTCTGAATGGAGATGTGCTAAGTGTAAAACACACACCAACTCCAAAGACGGTCCCTCCAAAAATGTAAAATACCTTATTGATGATTGTTGTTATTAATGTTGAAATAATACTTTGGATCTGGCAGGTTAAAAAATGTATTGTTGAAACTAATTTCACTTCTTTTTGCTTTTTAAAAATATGGCTACTAGAAAATGTAAAATTCTCTTTTTGTTTGGTTTTTAGAGACAGGTTCTCACTCTGTTGCCCAGCCTGGAGTGCAAACGTGATCACAGCCATAGCCGCGAACTCCTCAGCTCGAACAATTCTGCAGCCTCAGCCTCCCAAGTAGCTAGGGCCACAGGTACAAGCCACCATGCCTAGCTAAATTTTTTTTTTTTGGTAGAGACAGGGTCTTGCTATTTTGCCCAGGCTGGTCTCAAACTCTTGGCCTCAAGCGATCCTCCTGCCTGGGCCTCCCAAAGCATTGGGATTACAGGCATGAGCCACCACATCCAGCAGAAAACATAAAATTCTGTGTGTGGCCCACGCTGTACTTCTACTGGCCAGCACTGGTACAGATCAACTTGCCTTAACAACTAAAAGAAGAGGAACAGAGAGATAGGGGCCTGGGAATGGGAAACGTGGATCAGTTCAACACATACAAGCCACACACTCTGTGCCCTGGAGCTGCCCTGGGGAAATCAAGTCACGTATATAAACAAACAGTTCATAACAATTTCAGGCAATTCTGGACAGTGTGGAAAGTATTGGTTTTAAAAGTAATACTACAAAAGCAGAGAGCAAAATGCCCAACAAGACAGTAACAATCCTACCCGTTTCTGGTTTTGTTCTATTTGTTTTATTATAAAGCTCTTTCTAATGGGAAATAAATGCCTCTAGAATGAGGTATGTGATGCTAAGTTTGAGAAATCAAAAAGTTTGTGTTCAGGCAAAAGATGGGTGACTTTTTAATTCTATTTTCCTTTATTCCTATATTGTTTTTAGTATCAAAGGAGGGAGGGATCGTCCTTCAATTGCCTCAAAATTGAAGGCAGCCAAGTAGATCATTTTTATTTTCTAGCAACTTAAAAAGTTGAAATGTCTTACTAAGAAACCCGAGTTCAGAAGCATAAACGTGAAGTATCAGAACTGTGGTTTTCTCCTGCTGTCCCCACGTAGAGGGGCTCTTCACAGGACAGTAGGCAGCCCCTTCAATCACTTCCAAATAGCAAAAGGGACCTCACGTGTGCAAAACTTCTTTATGTACTGTCAGGTGGGACGCAGTCTCAGGAAAGACCCAGAAATCCCCCTCATGATCACAGAGTCTCAGCCAGCTTTGGGAGGTGTCAGCCTGGACACCTGAAGATGAACTGTCAAGGCAGCAGCACGCCTGGTCCTCCTGGGGGTGTGGAGGACAGCCCAGTGACAAATCACCCTCAGGTCACACAGAGCGGCTTCCCAGCACACATCCACTGCCTCCAAACGCCTGCACTTGTGCCAGATGGCAGTCAGGAGGGGCTTGGTTCCCATGGATACTCCTACAACAAGTTGGGAGGGGGCAGGGAGGGCAAAACTGTCACCCCACTGAGTCCTCACCCATAGTGCATTCAACAGGTGGGGCCACTGGGCAGGGACAAAAGCTCCCTACAGGCTGGCACAGATGAACCCCTACCAAGGAGGCTTCCAGACATGACACACACAGCTAACACAGGGAACACACCTGCGCCCGCTCCCGCTGAGTTGACCACACCAAAGCTGCTGTCATTTCTCACACTTGACTTTAAAGCCGAAAACCAGATAGATAGTTACACACATCTGGCTAAGAACGATCATTCTCTGGCCAATAATTAAGCTGCATAATTAAGAGGAAACAGGTATTTCACCACCACCCTGTATTTATGTGGCAAAAGCTACAAATGCACTAAGTCCTGTGGGCTTTCCAGTAGTTTCCAGATTCAGATCCTTCATTCACATTGATTTCTAGAATTCAGAACAAAGTCTCCTCTAATTCAACTCTGTCTACCCTGAGGCCTGCAAGATAACAGGAACAGACAGGCCAAGAATCAAGTACCAAACTCATCAACTAAGTCCCAGCCCAAGTGCAGGTCTCTCCTTCCCCAGCCCAGAGGGGCCCTGGGTAGTTACCTCTGGAGCCGCTGCACGAGCTGGGCCACCATGGTGTCGGAGATGCCAGGGCACGCCTCCTCCGCTAGGTAGATGGCCCCTCGCAGCTCTTCAATGGACCCCAAGTTCCCTCCGCACGCCTGGCTCTTCTCCTTCAACTGAAAACACACGAACAGGAAGAATGGCATGAAGCACACCAGCTGCAAAACTGGGAAGCATGCTGTTCAAGGAACAACACGGCGTGTGGACCACGACACTACCCCAGCCCCAGGGTGTCCGGGAAAAGCTTTGGCTAGGGCTCCAGGCCACTTCAAATTGCTTTTTTTTTTTTTTTTTTTTGTGAGACGGAGTCTGGCTTTGTTGCTCAGGCTGGAGTACAGTGGCGTGATCTCAGCTCACTGCAACCTCCGCCTCCTGGGTTCCAGCGATTCTCCTGCCTCAGCCTCCCGAGTAGCTGGGATTACAGGCCCCTGCCTCCATGCCCAGCTAGTTTTTGTATTTTTAATAGAGACAGGATTTCACCATGTTGGCCAGGCTGGTCTTGAACTCCTGACCTCAAGTGATCCGCCCGCCTCGGCCTCTCAAAGTGTTGGGATTACAGGCGTGAGCCACTGTGCCCGGCCCGGGTTCCTTTTGAAGAAAGGTGATTCAAATGCTCTGAGAGCAGTTATGTATACACAGGGCAATCATCAGACCATAATCATTACTGTTCGAGGCCAGAACAGAGACGACTAGCTCTCTGTGTGCCTTTCCCAAGTCTCACCGTGATGGACTGTCCTCTCTGTGCTGTTTTCCTATTTCAACCATAACCTTGTACCAGAAAAGCAATTTCAAAGCCTATCCTAAGTTATTCTGATCTCAACACTGCTTACTTCCTAATGTTAATGGGTTGGTTCTTAAACTCCAGCAAACTGCCTTTGTGATCCAGAGTAGAGTCAAAATATTTGATTTCATGTAAATAAGTGGCAGCCTTAAATTCTGGGAATCTCCAGTGTTCTTCCTGGCACCTCTACTCCCAAGAGAAATCACAACAGTGCCTTCAGACACTTCCCTCAGTTGAAGGTCAACTCCAAGTCTCTCTCTGGAGGCCCAAAAACGTGAACTGTGAAAATAAGAGCTGTTCAAGTCAAGATACAGCATGGCTCAGAACTCAACAGAAGAGGCTCTTTGTGATGGACACCGCCTCCTCTTCAGGGAAGAAAGAAACATCTCAGGCGACATTCAGCTTGGTTTTCAGGTTGTTGAACACATGCTGTCATTTCCAAACCCAGCCCTGCCCTAAGAGCAACGGCTTCTCTCTTCGCTACTGAAGGGGCAGGCAGGAACTAGAAGGGTCTGACCTTGGAGGGCCAGTGGGTGTAGAGAGCATTTGTTCCTGAAGTTCTTGCTGTCACAGGGCCACGCCGCCGGCCCCGAGGCGGCCACTCGTGTTTGTCTAGGACTCCCAATCACTTGACAGTATTTACAAGTCCCGAGAGGGTCAGCTACAATCCAGCACTCTCCCTCCTGCCCATGCCCCGCCCCTAAGTCTCAAAGAAGGAGCAAAGGCGGCAGAAGGGCCGCCCTGGGAGAGGGCCTGTCCCCTTGCCGTGTGGAACGTGCTGGACCCATCACTGACTTCAGGGAGCAACCTGACCTGTGCTCCCTGAAGGAAAGCAGGGACGCCAACACCCGTCTCCTCAATGTCCTCATCTGTAAGCATGGGGATATAATCCTTCTACTGGGCTTCTACAAGTATTGTATGAAATAATACACAATAAACACTCTGAACTCTAGGGTAGCAAATATCATTCTTAAAAATACATTGGGAAAGATGCCTGTGAGTTTAGCAATTGGTTACCTGGAAAATCCAGGATATGACGGCGTTTAGGATATGTCCTGAATAATTATGTCAAAGTTGCTTCATGGGCCCAGTAAAAAAATAAACAGCCTCAGGAGAATGAAAAAGTCCATGCACTTTCCCTAACTGCCTGACTGACCCTATTCCAGCGGCCAATGGCAGGGCCGCAGGAGCACAGCCTGGAAATCCCACGGGGCCAACTCCCATGGGACAAAATGAAGCGCAGGATGGCGCTCAACCCGGACATCCTAGTTAGGAAGAACACAGGTGCCCAGAACCATGAGCCAGGGCTGAAGCCAGACATCATCCAGCAGGGCCTCCGCGTGCCCTGTGGCTTCCCCGACACCAGCGGGCTCGGCTACTTCCCACTTGAAGCTGCAGGTGAGGCCTCGGGCTCTGGCCACAGCCCTGCTCCCACCGGGCCCTGAACTTGCCAGGTCAGAGGCCCTCAGACAAACCCTCCAGGGCACCTGCTGGGCAGGGCAACAGGTGAAGGCTTATTGGAGGGCTGGGAAGAGGCACTGGCAGGACCGTGGCTGGCCAGGCACGGCCCATGGCCGGGGGTCCCCCGCTGCGTGACGCAGGCACAGGGGAGGAGAATGAGCTCCTATGACACTTCCTCTCCTGAGCACCTCCCCTTCAAGGACCAGGACCCCTAAACACAGCCGCAGTGGAAAACTGCCCAAAGAGGGAAGATCCCCACGCAAACAGATGCGTGTGTGGCCCACAGTGAGTACCTCAAAGGCAGCCTCAGCCAGGAAGGGGCACAACAAGAAAAGAGGGGACTTCCAACTTATTTTCAAATCCGCTACTAACCAGATGCAGAACAATCTTCATTCTTATAAAGCCTACTTTTGAAAATCTCTCAAAACACGGCCACGGGAGCACTTTCCTCTGGGAGGGAGAGGCTGAGCAGGGAGTGGGCGTGGGGAGGCCCAGCTGGGAGCACAGCACTGCTGAGCAGAGGAGGGACTTCAGTGAAACATGTGGCTCAGGGGAAACCGGAGGACTCCAGGGCATCCAACGTCTCCTTAGAAGAAAGAATCTACTTTTCACATGGCCAGAAATTGGTCTGAGGCAAAGAGAGCAGGCTGTACACAATGAGATTTGCTAAAAAGCAGGGCAACGGGTGACACAGGGTCTCGGGCTGGGTCACTGTCATCCAGTCTACACATTCCAGGCTGCGGCGGAGTGGGCATCACCCAGGACAGGGGAGGCGCAAGGTGGTGCTGACAGCCTTTGGGAAGGCACCATGCAGGCTTTCCGAGCCTTTGCCAGCTTGTCTTAATGTCCCCAACTCTTAACTGGCAACATCACCACTGAAGTGTGTCCAGCTTCTCCTTCCCCCTCCCCTCCCACTCCGAAAAGGCCAGCCAGGTACCTACCTCTGCAAACAGAGGAGAAATAATTGTAGATAAACACTGAGAGAAAGGCCTCTTCGGGATGTCTTTCATCTTGGGGGAGAGGGAAAAAAAGGTCATCAGAAACAGTTGACGTTCACATTGGCAATAATTTAATAAACCTCCCACCTGGACTATGGAAGCGCAGGAGTTGCCTCTACACTTCACGCTGAGGAAACACCCTCTGCGCACCATAACATCTGAAGGAGACTATCGGCTGCCTCTCACTAGACTTCAAAGTTTCATCTGCAGTGACATGCAAAACCCACGCACCGGGGAAACCAGCATCTGGGTTCCATGTGGAAGGGGACTCTGTGTGGGCACAGGCGGTGAACTGCCTCGTCTTGCTATCTACGCAGAAGTGCTTTACTGGTTGGGCGTGGTGGCTCATGCCTGTCATTCCAACACTTTGGGAAGCCGAAGCAGGAGGATCACTTGAGCCCAAGAGTTCGAGACCAGCTTGGGCAACATAGTGAGACCATGTTTCTATTAAAAAAAAAAAAAGTTTTAAATAAACTGGGCGTGATGTCACATGCCTGCAATCCCAGTTACTCAGGAGGCTGAGGTGGGAGGATCACTTGAGCCCAGGAGTTTGAGGCTACAGTGAGCTCTGATGGCACCACTGCACTCCAGCCTGGGCAACAGAGACCCCGTCTCAAAAAAAAAAAAGAGAGAGAGAGAGAGAGAGAGAAAAGTACTTTACTAATGAAACCCTGGAAATAGAAATCAGGTCAAGATTGGCCATTCCAATGGCTGTCTAGGACAGAGACCGAGTTTCTACTTTTGCAACCTCTATTTGGACATTTAACACCTGTTCACTTATCAAAGCGGGACTTGTAGGATCAACAGGGGACAGCCACTGGCCCACCCTGCCTGAAAGAAACTACACCACTATGCTTTACAAGACCCTAAATATATGGCCTTTCATAAATTTAACAGGCATAAAACCAATTAATCAAAATTGTTTTACATAAATATCAAAAGCAATGCATTTACTTATAAGGTCCTTAAAACTCAGTCACAAAATTATGATATGTATGTAAGTAACCGCAACATGCACAACAGTCCCTCAGAGCTATGAAGTCATTTCACGGGTCACCCCCAAACCCCATGACATTGCCACATCGGGACATCCTAACTCAACAGCAGGGCTGCAGAGAGCAGAATAGAGTGGCACAAAACAGACCAGAGGCCAGACTCCCTGGTGTGAACACCTGGATCATCAGACAGAACTAAAGCTCTTCATCTGCCCATCCCCTAGCAACAAAATTCCAGGACAGCTGCCACAAAGGACCCCAGCCGCACCCACAGCAAGCTTCACACACAAGTGCCTCCAAAACACTGCAGACTGAGGTCAGCGTGGCCATTCTGGAGTGAGCAGACGTACCTTATTTCTGTCCAAGTCCGATGGCTGAAGAGCTCCATTCTCGAGATTCTTGGGATCTTTTTCTCGGATTGTGAAGATCCAGTCCCCAGAATCACTGCCCCCCGAGGCTTGGCCATCTGTTTCCCTTAACACAGAAATGCAGGAAATCCCATCAGTGCTCGCACACCTGCTCTGGGGGCGCTGGGACGTTCAGGGGGAGGCCGCCTGGGGACCTCTAAACCCACACCCACCAGCCCCAAGTCCCCACCCATCACACCCTTGTCCAGTCCCTCTGGGATTTCCCAAAGACCCCCCCGCCTCCTCCCTCACAGAGAAGAGACCATCGGGAGGTGGTTCCACAACTCCCTGGCGTGCCAGTGTGTGCATGCCCACCCTCCTCCTCCTCCCGGAGAACACCTCCCCCACCTCCCTGGGAGCCCATCTCTGGGACATCAGCTTCTCTCTGCTGGGCTCCTCCTCTCACCAGGGAAGCAGATGTCCCTGTGTTGGGTGTGGTGGCTCATGCCTGTCATTCCAACACTTTGGCCTCACCTTGGCCATCTCTCAGCCCTGGTTCTGGGATTCACACTCACTGCCTCTATTTGGTACCCTCCACTCGCTCCAAAGCCCACCCGTGTCCCTCCGAGCGCTCCCTCCCCCATCATGAGATGATGGTGTGCTGATCACTCCCTGTCCTGTATGGGCCTCAGAGGCAATGAGCCCCAGGCCCTGCTGATCATCCCCTGATGCCTGTGGCCCCATTAAGCCTGCACCTCCTCCCGCCCCTCGGCCATACCTCTCCCCTCTCACTCACAGGCGGAGCCTCACCCTCACACCTAGGGGCCAGCCTCACTCCCCCACATGCCCCAACTGACACCCTTTTTTCTCTCGGCTCAAGTGACCTCCACAGAGCAGTGGCCCCTAAGCCCGCTTCACCTGCCCAGCTTTCTCACCTGAACTCCACACCTCGGTGCCACTTCACACTGGACGTCTCTCCTGGACAACTCAGACTCACACACGGTTCACCCCACACTCGGCTTCCCGCACCACACATCACAACACCTGGTGCCACGCTGCCCCAGCCTGGAACATTGGCTTCCCTCCTTCACCCAAATCCACCGCCGCGTCCTGGCTCTCCAAACCTCTCTCCAGTCTCTTTCTCTTGTCATCCCTGTTGCTACCCCAGCAATCTCCCAATGGCAGTACCTCAAGAACTTCCGGGGGCAGTGGTCTCAACCTTGGCTTTAAACTGGAATCACCTAGAGACCCTGAAAAACCACTTAGGGTCTCATCCCCGGAAATCCTCATTCAACTGGCCTGGCACATGGACCTGCACTGTGGGCCAACTTTAACTTCTGCCAAGGCATGCACGAGAACAGACGAGTCCCACGCTCGGACTTCCAGACACAAGTCTGCCCGACCACCTCCCCCAGCCCTCCCCACACAAATGGCTCCAGCCCCACTCCGCCTCTTAAGCCAAGGGAATTCCTAGATGCCAAACTTGACAGCAATTCTCAGTAAGCCACTCCTGGTACAGAAGCTTCTACCAGACACAATACAGAATCACAAACACATGCATTTCTGGCCTTTCAGACATCCATGTAAAGCAGTTTCACCTGATCAGGGTTTTACAAACAGGAAGTTTAATGGAAAACAGAACAGAACAGAACGAAACAAAACAGAATGAAACAGCCAGGTCCAGTTCCCCATGCACAGCTCTACCACAAGAGTTCACTCGCAGAAACTCCACCAGCAACGTCAAGAGGCTAAACAACTCCCAAACAGGCCCAGGCTGTGTCTAACACAACAATTGCCACCAACCTGGATTGTCTAAAAAAAAAAAAAAACTCAACAGAAAACGAAACCCACACCAAACAGTGACAAAGACCAGCGGATCCCTCCCACACACATGCTTGGGTCACTCAGGGGCCGACTTACGCGTCGGAATCCTCGGAGCTCGAGTCGTCATGGCTCTGCTCGGCCTTCCATCTCTTGTACCTGTCGATGAGCTCGGTCAAGTAGGAAGTTTTCTTTGCATTGCGTAGTATAAACTTGTGCTTCAATAACTCCTTAGCAGTGGGTCTCTGGAAAAACACACCCAACAATTAAAGTATGAGATGAAGTTCTTGGTCCTACCCCAAAGGACAGACTTCTGCCTCAAAATGTCAACCGCCACACTGACACCTGATGGCTGGACTCTCTACTCCACAGCGCTTCTCACTGCAACTCACCCAAAGACGAGTCGCTCAGGACCTACGCCTGGGCTCTGGGTGCTATGGTGGGCAGGGCACTGTCTTTCCAAGGATGTCCCTAATAAATACATTTTCACAGAAAACTCTGCACAGAGCTTCACAGGGATCATTTAAGAGAGCTTAAATGATCTGGTCGGGCGCAGTGGCTCACGCCTGTAATCCCAGCACTTTCGGAGGCCGAGGCGGGCAGATCACGAGGTCAGGAGATCGAGACCACCCTGGCTAACATGGTGAAACCCCGTCTTTACTAAAAATACAAAAAAATTTAGCCGGGCGTGGTGGTGGGCGCCTGTAGTCCCAGCTACTCAGGAGGCTGAGGCAGGAGAATGGCGTGAACCCAGGAGGCGGAGCTTGCAGGGAGCCGAGATCGCGCCACTGCACTCCAGCCTGGGCGACAGAGCAAGACTCTGTCTCAAAAAAAAGCTTATCTCCTAGTTTATAAAATACTTTATGACAAATGCTGACAAAATATATGTTCTGTGTTGTTTAACTTTTTTTTTTTTTTTTTTTTGAGACAGTTTTGCTCTTGTTGCCCAGGCTGGAGTGCAGTGGCACGATTTCGGCTCACTACAACCTCGCCTCCCCAGTTCAAACGATTCTCCTGCCTCAGCCTCCTGGGTAGCTGGGATTACAGGCCTGCACCACCACACCAGGCTAATTTTTTGTATTTTTAGTAGAAACGGGATTTCACCATGTTAGCCAGGCTGGTCTTGAACTCCTGACCTCAGGTGATGCACCTGCCTCGGCCTCCCAAAGTGCTGGGATTACAGATGTGAGCCACCATGCTGGGCTGCTTTGTTAACTTTCTGTATTAACGTTTGGCCACATCCAACCATATAATAGAAATGTCAATTTGGAATTATCTCAGAGAAACTGGAAAGGAGCCAGGAGATCCCCTTTTTCCTGTCTGCTGAAAGAGCAACTGGATGCGCTTCACCACCAACTTTCCCGGTTTAGAAGGGCTATTTCCCAGGTCCCTCCCTCCCTTCCCTTGTGATTGGGCTGAGGACTTCACCCATGCCCTGGGCTCAGCATGGCCACCGCAAGCAGCACCTGGTCAGCTGCCTGCCTTGAGGATGGCGATAGTGACAGGGAATGTGCTTCCCAAGGAAACCAGCATGGCCCAAATGGGAACAGACAGCAGGAACACCCAAACACCGAGTCGAACCAAGTTCCCACTCACTCCAAATTACAAAAGCTTGATTACAAGAGCCAAGCATGTTTTCAGATTCAAACTCATGAGAAACGTGGATCACCTCAAGTATTCTCCCTCCCTGTCCATCCAAGGGTGAAACCCCAACTACCCCGGAGGTGCTCATATTCTCGCCTCTCAGCCAGCTCCTCGGTAGCTGTGGGGTGGAGCTCTGTGTGCTGGGGCATAAGCCCATACAGGACACATGCTTTGTATGGGAAGACATGCCTGCACACATCTCCACTGGTGCTGGTGCATGATGGCTGCAAGAAACATCATCGTGTAATAAAATGCAGAGCATCGTGGCATGCAGGACAAGCCCCACCACCACCCGATGCTGATGTAGTCATCAAACACTGGTGTGGTGGTCTCAGCCTGCATCTCCTTAGACGTACTTAGAAAATGTTGCATTACCCATTTAATTCCTTTACCAGAACTGGCATATTAGGAAACCATGGTGCTCTTGTAAAAGTAACCACCCATTTTTACATAAGAGTTAAGAAAAGGGGGGCTCAGCTTAGCCTTCAGCTAACTCTGCTGGAAAACTCAGAAACAAAACAAGGACATATGGTGCTACCTCCAACACCAACACACACACACTACTTTCAAAGAAATGTCCTAATTCAGACAGAAAATGAGGCAAAGCCACACAGTCGTTACTGCTGTATGGCTCTGCCAGAGTCTATTAAACCTAAAAAGAGAAAGTAGGCAGGAAGGGGAGGGGAAGAAGCACAGAGGGTGGCTTGGTTATATTTTCTAATCTTTTGTTTCCTAACACATGCCACCTGGAAAGTGAAAACATTTACTTTAAAGACATATTTAGCCATTTGTTTCCAGCTAACCTTTGCCATTATTAAAAACAGTGTAACAGTTTATGGCCTGATCTTCTATAAATATTAAACATTTATGATTCCACATTTAATATTAAGGAGAATATTCTTCAGATTCAATGAAGTATGAGATGGCAGAAATCTAAAAGAAAATAAGGAGATTTTTAATACTTAAAAATTAAAATGTATTTGCAAACCAAAGAAGTCAATCATACTTACTTAGAAAAAGAAAAATGAATAATACCAGGAAGACAGCTGAAAAGAGTGATTAAAGCAATCCCAACAGGATGTATCTCAACCAAGTCAAGCCGCACATGAAGAGGTACGCTGTGATCCCTGGGAAACTTACAAAGCTCGGCTCCTTATTCAAACAGGCCTCCACAAACTCCTTGAGGGGTTTACTGTAGTTTCCTTCCAACGTCGGTGGGTTGTTCTTTGGAATGAGGAATAAAACTTTCATGGGGTGCAGCTCGGAATGAGGTGGTTCCCCTCTTGCAAGTTCAATAGCTGTTATGCCCAGGGACCAGATGTCTGCCTGCAACAAGAAAAGCATCTTTACAAACACCAAGCAGGAATCTATTCCAATACACAGTATTTAGGGGGAAAATGGTAACATGTCTCAATACTTCTGAGGTTTTGAAAAAGGTATTTTTAACTGATATTTAAAAACATAAGCCCTCGCTGTAATTTCAAAAGAGACAACAGGAGAAACTGTAATATGCCAAATGTTTTCTGCCTCTACATGGAGATGGCTTATCAATTCACTCCTACTACGCCTCCTGCTGGATGCATTCGGCATTCCCCGTGGAGTCCCGGGGGCCAGCAGGACCAGTAAGAGAGGTGAGCAGAGAGGAGGAGTCCGGAGTGGGTGTACGCTCGCGAGTCACCCCCTCCAGCAGTGCTTAGAACTTAGGGCACAGCTCTGAGGTCGAGAGTGGGCACCTTGGTCTCAAGATACCTGGGTTGAAATGCCAGTTCTACAGTCAAAGTCCTGTGACGTTAGATGAAAGAGCTAACCTCTGAGCCCTGTTTCTCTCATCTGTAGAATGGAGGTGGAAGAGGAGGAGGTGGCCATGTAAGGTGCCTTACCAGGGGCCCAGAACTTAAAAAAGTTTATTATGAAAATGTTCAAACATACAAAGAACTGAGAAATATTAATATAATGCATCCTCATCTACCTATTGCATGAATTTACTAATTAACATTTTGCCATACGAGCTTTGTCCATGTGTTCCCCGAGTATATTTTAAAATCAATCAGTCATCATGACATTTTCCCCCGAGTATTTCCGTGTGCCAATATACAGACTTTTTACTACCTATCAGTGCCTGAAATTAACACGAATTCCTTAATGTCATGTATAATTAAATGTTCTCAGCTGTTCAAAAACTGTCATTCCATGGTTGGTTTATCTGAATCAGGATCCAAAGTCCACGGGGTACAACTGACTGCCAGGTCGCTAAGGCTCTTTCAACCTACAACAGTCCTGTCCCCAGTCTCCCCAGGGACATCAACTTAAAGAAACAGGTCCCAAATTCGGGATTTGTCTGGTGGTTTCTTGCTGATGTCATTTACTGTGTCTCTCTAGTGTCTGCATTTTCTGCCGAATGTCCCAGAGGAGACATCTGCAGAAGCCGTGTGGCCCCACTAGGACATCTCAGGTCCAGCTGCCCCACCTCCTTCTGCCCAGCACAGGCCTGTGGCACAACCAAGCAGTTAGGCAAAGGAATGAATTCCTTGAATGTGTCATGTCAATGAGAAGAGCCAGGCCATCCTAAGAGGAACTTGACAGCTGATGAGACATTGACAGCATGTGACACCAATCCCCAAACAGGACAGAGGCCGACAATGAGGCAGGACATAGTCCTATATGGGCTGGCGAAAGACGAATGGGGACTGGGGTAGAGAACACGCCTGAGTCTGGTACAGCTTTCCTGCTGTTCTCACTGTGCACTGGAATCCATCATTATTCCAAGAACTTCAGTGAGAATCGAATACATCTCTCACACTCACTCTACAGCAAGGAAATGCATAGGCGGAAGCATCGTTGTGGCTGCAGGGTGCTTTAACTATCCAGAGGATACACTTACCATGTTCCTGCAGCCTTAGTGAGTACCAGAAATCCCTACTGGAAGCCCCCAAGCCCAGCAGTCCATGGGAATGATGCCTACGGCATATTCTATTTCCTTATTCTCAGTGAAGATGAAAAGCTGCCAGCAAGTCTTGTTCTAAATTCTTTCTACTAAATCTTGTACTGAAGGGGTCAGTCTAGAAGAGCTGACGTTGGAAGTAATACTATTTTCCTTCCCTCTACAACTTGGACTCTGCTTTATCTTGCATTGCATTATCTTAAAAATCAGCAGAAATGCAACTGATCCCAGTCTCTTGCCCCTAGGAGCAGGGAAGCAGGTGCATGGGAGCACAGGGTGGGCAAGCACCCAGAACTGTGGCAGCGACAGGAGGACAGGAGTGAGCAGGCACAAGGAGGGAGGACCGAGGAGGGGAGAGGCAAGAACAGAGGTGGCAATTGTGACTCTTGTGTGGCAGCGGTTCTCCACACCAACAGGTGGCTCTCAAGTTTGTGTGATTCCACATCTGTCTGCTTCCCCCAGGCCTCTCAGATTTCATTACAGCTACTGCTGTTTTCAAAGCATGCTGTCTCCTGGCCACACAGACCCAGAGCCTTCTCATTTGTAAGGGTACATAATAGTTATATGAATTTTTTCTGGTACAAGTATACAGTGTGTAACAATCAAATCCGGGTAGCTGGGATCCCCCTCACCTCAAACACGGCTCATTCCTTTGTGCTGGGATATTCCAAATCTTCTCTTCTGGCTATTTGAAACACAACAAATTATTAACTACGGTCACCCTATTGTGCTACTGAACATGATCTCTGACGGATGCACCTCCAGACCTCCAAGCACCTCTCAACCAGCTAAACACACTCGGTGACTGGCAGGCAGGCCCTGGCAGAAGCCGATCTCTGCTGAGAGTACGTCGGTGATGCGCTTGCCTTGATTTTACTCAGAGGCCCGAGGACTTGCTTTCAGGTTCAGGGACAGATAATAAGCAGGCGGCCGAACGCCTGCTTGCGAACGCCTGCTTCTGCACGCAGTGTGCACCACGGGAAGTTCACTGAGAAAACCCCTGCTGGCCCCATCTGAACGCAACCCACGTATCAGTCTCCTGGCTTCCAAGGAGGGCAGCCAGTACAGCACCATCAAGAACAAACATGGGGGCCAGGCGCGGTGGCTCACGCCTGTAATCCCACCACTTTGGGAGGCCGACGCAGGCAGATCACTTGAAGCCAGGAGTTCGAGACCAGCCCGGCCAACATGGCGAAACCCCATCTCTACTAAAAATACAAAAATCAGCCGGGCATGGTGGGCTGCACCTGTAGTTCCAGCTACTTGGGAGGCTGAGGCAGGAGAATCATTTGAACCTGGGAGGAAGAAGTTGCAGTGAGCGAGATCATAAGTCTGGGTGACAGAGCAAGACCCTGCATCCCCCCCCCCAAAAAAAAAAGGCGGCGGGGGGAGGACATCCTACTAGGTAGCCATGCCAGGGACACGAGGGTCACCCAGCTCCTTAGGATCCCCTCTTTGGACCCTCCTAAATCCAGCTGCAACCCAGGGTGTATGGTTCCTGGGCTCTCAGCACCCTGCGTCCCCTCTACCCCTCCTAACTTTGGATTAGTCTAAAGGGATCTCTTCTCCCCAGGACTTCTGTAGGGGGCTCCCAAGTGGTCTTCCTGCCTGCTGGCTCTCCCACCAGACATCTAACTATGAGTAATTTGGAATCCTGGACTGGCATGTGAATCAATGGCAAGCAATTTGGCATACAAATCGAAAGCCACAAAAATATCCAAACTTGTTAAAACCAATTACTTCGATTCCTAGGCATCTCTACTACATTTTAAATTTGGAAAATGGTATGGGCTGCCCAAAATATTCAACAGCAGCATTACTTATGTTCAACCTCAGAAGAATGATTAAGTTGCTATGGCACATTAACTTAATGAAGTAGGATGTACTCAACAATGTGTTGATAGGGAAACTCATAAATATAATTGAGTTTGTCTATTACTGCTTCTAGGAAAAATGACAGCAGATCAAGAACTTGTGTCTGAGGTTTTTTTGTGTCTTTTGGCAGGGAGGGGACTCACTCTGTCACCCAGGTTCAAGCCATCCTCCCACCTCAGCCTCCTGGATAGCTGGGACTATAGGGCATATCACCATGCCCAGCTAATTTTTAAATTCTTTGTAGAGGTGGGAGTCGGGGGGGCAAGGGGGGGTCTTGCTTTGTTGCCCAGGTTGGTCTTGAACTCCTGGCCTCAAGCTGTCCTCCCGCCAGGGACTCCCAAAGTGCTGGGATTATAGGCGTGAGCCACTGTGCCTGGCCTATGTCTGAGTTTTAAAGTAAACTTTATGTGGGGAGCAGGCAGTCATCTTCCAAAGCAATTAAAATGAGGTGGAAGGAGAGACCCATTTGGGAAAGATATGAAATTAGACATTAAGACACTGCTCACAGAGAAAACAAACAGTGGTTTCTAATATAAGCTCCAGTCAAAAGCTGCAAATGCACACATTAACTGCGAACGAATCTTCTCCTGGGGCATGCTCCTGAGTGACCACCCTGAGTTCTCTGTTACTGATGGTTCTGGACTCTCCTCAACATTGGGAGATGTGGGGATCTATGCAACAGCATCCTACATCTTCACAATATCATGTCAAATAAAGTACGCTAGCTACACATCTGAAGATACAATTTAAGTGATTTTAATTATATAGAGAAAATAATTCTAGAAGAAACCAACTCTATAATCAAGAAGAAAACCAGGGATAACCCTAAATCACAGCTGTAATCAATCAAAACAAAATCTCATTTGATATAAGCTTATTACTTAAGCAGATGCGATCATTAGGAACACACTTGTAACTGGCATCTAGAGGCGTATGTGATGTTTATGACCATTAAGAGCAACACAAGGTTGACCAAAGTGGCCCAACATTACTCATGCAAAAATAAAGCCTGCTGTCTCCTGGTTCACATTCTTCCCTGGCCCTCAGGGCTCATCCTCCCAGCCAGGCCTGTGGACAATTCCTGAGCCGTAGGCAGGAGCAGGGAGTCCATGGGCTCAGTGACCAGTGACAGGAAGGGCTGGTACGCAGTGCAGTAGACAGGCTGGCTGCCTGGGTTCTGGCAGCCCATCGGCTCATCCCACCACGCTTTCACTCATCTTCAACAATGCTATTTTTTTCCATCAATGCATCACCAGTTTCCACTTTTCACCATGGTTACACTTCAAACCAAGCACAATCCATTCGCTAACATACCATCGTAATGATCTTACAAGGAAAAAGGGAGATGAGAGTTCTTCAGCCCAAGACCTTTCTCTAGTGTTGAAACCGGAGGCTTCTTCGCAGTGAGCAGAGGTATCTCCCTTAGCACCATCTCCAAAGGATGGGGACTCCTTCAAACAAACCAAACTTCCCCAAATCACCTTAAAACAGTAGTAGTGAAGGTTCTTACGACATATGGGCAATCAGGACTTAGTAATGTCATGCTTAGGTTAAGACTGACATAAGATTCTCTTTGTATGCAAAGACATTCAGCAACACCTGAGCAGCCCAGACAAGATAAGGGGGCACAGCTACTGCCAGAGGTGACAATGCTCAAAAAGGTTCCAAACATATACAGGAAATGGAGGTTTGTATTCCCTTTAGTTCAGTGAGATGAAGAAGCTAGTGAGGCAGGTGAAGTCCATCACTTCTCCCAACCCACCCTTCCTTTGACAATCTGCGTGTGAACCTAGGTGTGACTTGGGCACGTGCCTTCATAACTACCATACAGAACCCTGTCCCCAATAGCTGGAAGGTCTTTCCTTACCTGCAGTGCACAGACTAGGAGGGGAAATGTCTACAAGTCATGCAAGAGAGAATGGAGGGAAAGCTGGGAAGCAGCTGAGTGAGCCATGAGACCAGAGCGGCCTCCAGTGTACCCTGAAGAGCACTGGCTGCCTGGCAGGCAAGCCAGCCACTGGAGGGACACACACAGGGCAGCCAGGAAGAGCGCCCTTATCAGGCCCTGCTTGCGACAAGAGCTGCCAGTCCAGAGCCACGCCCAGTGGGAAACAAAGGAAATCTCAGCCCTAAGGCCCCAGCGTGAAACCCCACTTCTGAGAACTTTGAGACGCAGACACAGACGTGACCCTCATCGGCCCTCACCACACGCCTCCCGGGTCCACAAACCTGGAAAGTCAATTTCACATCAACATAAGAGTTTGCTCATGATTTCCAGTTCAGAGTTGGAACTGGAACTCTGAAGGGAGGACTTGCCCTTCAAGGAAGGTGGGTGCGGATGGCTCAGGCAGACAGGACAGCTCTCGAATAAAGGTTCTCATGTGAGCAGTGATGGTGCAACCAAGAGCGGAAGATCTTCACATGGCCCTGTCTCCTTTTTTCCACGGCACTTTGCATGATCTGAAACTGCTTATTTATTGTTTCTTCTACTTCAGGAGAGGAGGGAGTGTGCTGTCGTGATCACAGTTGTATTCACAGTGCAGTTGCTCAGTACAAATTTGTGAATGAATGGCACCAGCTTGATTTTCTTCCTTTGAAGGCACTTAATTTTTTAATAAGTTTGTAATACAACTTTTTTCCTCTGGAAAAGGTTCTGACATATGTAATCATCTCTATTCATTCATTTTGCTTGGTACCAGGCAACCTCTTTGACTTATGGGTTCACATCATTCTTGACCTTGGGTAAGTTTTAAATCTTTAAACATTCTTCTATTTATTCTGGAGTTTTCTTTCAAAACACCAATTAAAGCTGTGCACTGATGCTTTCAAAACTCTTTTAAACCTCTCTCAGCTTGCATCTCAACTAGAACGCCATCCTGCCAGGGCCCAACCCTGAAATGGCCGCACACTGAGGTGCCCATGCCTTCTGCCCCGCCACTCTCTAGGGATATTTGTCACCTAAGGCAGGTAACTCACTGAAAATGGTGACTACAACACAGCACGCTTGCTCCTAAAGTGCTGTTAATTCTTCCTGTTTACTGTCAGTCTCCCCCATATGAATTTAAGACATACAGGAGAAGAGACTTTTGTTCTTGTCTACTCCAGTATTACTGGAATCCAGAAAAATGTGCCTACACAGAATGGGTTAAATGAAAGAATCAATATGAAATAAATACAATAATGAAAGAGAGAGAAAGAGAGAAGGAAGGGGAGGAAGGAAAGGGGAAAGGAAGGAGGGAGAGAGGGAAATCTAAAATCAGAGTCCTCAGTCACATGGTAGATCAGCTAATTTACTACAAAGAATGAGAAGAGAATAATCGAGGTGGTGTCATCCAATGAGTTAAGAAACATGGGTTCTAGTCTCAGCCTTGCCAAAATCTACACAGATGAACTTTGATAAATGGGGTCAGCTTAAAATAAAGAGAATGGACTAAACATGTAAGTTCCTGGTCGAGTCCCAAAATTACATGACCCCAGGAAAAGGGTCAACAGCCAAAGTGACTGCAGATGAGAAGCAGCCAAGGCAGTGTCCCTCCCACGTGGGGTAGAGACACTCCCAGGCAAGGGCACACACCCAAGACCAGCCAGGTCTGCTGTGTGGGTATGTGGGGGGTGGGGGAACCCATCAGTCACTCACCAGCCAGAGGCTGTCAAGGCCATCATAGTGCTCAGAAAAGTCACAGCCACCGCTACCACTCAACAGTGAGACGGGCTCACTCCTCCCAAGGTGGAACCAGGTACGCCTGCAACTTGAGCTACAACCTGGACGCTTTCTAACAGTCTATAGCTTGCAACGGTGACCTGGGTCTGCAGGGAAAGTCACCTGGTGCTTCCTGTACTATGTTTAACAAGGTGGGAAGTTTACTGGGTACTGGGAAGATTTCTGTTTAAAAGCAGCAGCAAGGTTCGGCCTATATGCATATCTGAGTTAGGTATTTGTTTGCTCAGAAACTTGGAGCCCAGGAAAGCCAATTCTCCGTGGATCATGTGGCCTTTTAACTGTGTACAGGGTCCTAAGAAGAGCAGACTGTGCGAACTGAAGTTAAACCAGAGCCCTAGGAGGCAAAGTCCCGGGATTTTTTGTCCCATCTAACAGAGTTCACAAAAGTGGAGGGCAACAGAGAAAAAGAATATGAGAAAAATTAGGAGAGTGTCCCTAACACAGGACAAGTAAAAAACAGTGGGAAGAAAGGGTTAGGGTTTCATCACATGTTGACAAGGACAGGCTGGGAACGAGAATCCTCAGAACTAAAAATAATAGGAAGACCCTGCAGCAGTCACTCAAAGCACTGTTCTTCCTCCATTCTCACGCTTCCGTGGACTCCCTTTCTCTTGTGGGAGCCCCTTTCTCTACAGGCCCCTTCAAGGTTGCCGATTCCACGCACTTGCACTTCGACCCCCAGCTGTGCCCAGACAGCAGGTGGAGCCCCTCTGCAACCGCACACGCCTCCACCCCTCACCACCATGGCCCTTCAGTTCCTCCCACCCCCCTCCAAACCCGCTCCATCCTGTGTCCCCGCTGCCACCAAACAAACATAGCCTGAGTTAAAAACCTCGATCATGGTGGGCTGGATCAGCACAGGGTATTAAATGATACAGCAGGAGACAGAGGAGAAAACTGTTCATAACCAAGGTTGAAGAATTACCTTTATGACCTACCTCAAGGTACCAGCTTCGTTCCAACTTAGAAAAGCTACCAGGCTAAAGAACAAAAGGCGGGAGCCCTCCAGGCCTCGTGAGGCACGGCGCCGCCCTCACCCTCCCCTCACCTTCGAGTCATAGGCCGACTGTTTGATGACCTCGGGTGCCATCCAGAATGGGGTGCCCACGAAGGTGTTCCTTTTGATCTGGGTGTCTGTCAGCTGGCCAGCCACGCCAAAGTCCGCCAGCTTCACCTCGCCATGCTCAGACAGCAGGACGTTGGCCGCTGCAAAAGAAAGCCAAGGCGGCCCTGGGCGGTGCGGACTTACAACTCCGTGCACTGCCACAAGCGCGTCTTCTCCCTGGCTGGGTGGCGAACCCACCGAGCACAGGCACCGGGGCTACACTTTTTGTCAGACCCCCTCAAAGCCAGCCCAGCCCAGGCAAGGCAAACGTGCAGGACAAATGGGCGCCAGCACCTTCCCTTGAGAAGTCTTCAGGGCAACCCCACCACCACCTTCAGTATTTCAAAGGAATGAAAACGGATGTCCTCTTACCTTTAATGTCTCTGTGGATTTTCTTCTCCGAATGGAGATAATCGAGTCCTTTCAGTATTTCTCTTAATATAGTAGCGATCTGGGTTTCATCTAATGGGCCAGGTTCTAACTAAGAAGAGAAAAAAATTCTTAAAGTTACTTAAATGATTATCTTATGAAAAGTTTGAGATAAAACAGAAACACTATCCATGTTAATGGACAAGGGTAATTAAAACCTGAAATCTTCTTCACTTAAAACACATGATTTTGCCCTAACAATTACAGTCCACTGAGGGACCCTTAAAAAAACAAAGGGCCCGAGAAAATGGCTTTGCTCAATGAAGCCAAGCCAGCAGAGAAGCAAAGAGGAGCCAATGAGGAAGCCCGCAGCCCCGCCTGCGCCTGCAGCTGACCACAGGGCGACCCCCTGGCCATGGCAGGGGCGGGGCGCAGGCTGAGCCAATGAGGAAGCCCACGACCCGGCCTGCGCCTGCAGCTGACCTCAGGGTGCCCCTCTGGCCATGGCAGGGGCGGGGTACAGGCTGGGGATTTCACTCCAGGAAACGAACAGCCAAGAGACAGAGCAGCCAGGATCTGTCCTAACATATGTGGTTCCCTTACCAGAAGGCTCACCCCTGGTACCCAAAAACACCCAGGAAAGAAGGCCTAGGAGCCAGGCGCCTCTGAGGATATCCTTGTATTAGAATTTTTTAAATCTGCAGTTAAAGCTCCCCAACTTGGGGGAATGCAGCTGAAAGAGCTTAAATCCTAATAGTTTGGGATTTGTTATATAATAGATATTATATAATAATAATAACTATTATATTATCCCTAAGATAATAATTACCTCTGAAAGCTTTTATTCTCAGAAACTCAAAATAATTGTTCCTATTGACTCCTTTATATCCACAACTATATCAGATGAAAGGAAGAAATGTCAGGTATCCACATCTCCATTTAAAAGGAAAGGAAAACCAGGCTAACAAAGGCTCACTTCAAACCAGACGGGAAGCCCCCCCCCGCCCCCTGCAGAGTGGGGCAGTCAGTCACAAACAGTAATTCCACAGATGACAGCAGCAAAGCCACCAGTGCTCCCCGGAACCACAGAAACGGAGCCAGACAGAGGGCAGATGTCTAATCGATGCAGGTAGGGTTCCCCCAAATCATGGTCCCCCATTCTTGGTTTTCAGACTTGACAGTGAATGTCTTCACAGCCCACACCCACACATTTTAGCCAACAGGAAGATACAATCTGGGGCCTTTCACTTAGTTTTAAAAAGATAAGAAATGTGCTTTAAGCCAAAGGGGATGAAAACTAGGGCGCTCCTCCACAGGAAGCATCCGACTCAGGCGTGCACATCTCTGGGACAGAGCCCGACAGTCCTTGCGTGCCTCAGCTCCTTCACATCCTGTTCCACATCCGGAAGTACTTGTGGGGTGCAGTGTGGGGGCAACCGAGACAGCCCTTGTCACCGAAACCACAGCCTGACTCATACCTGGCCCTGCTTTCCGGCCCATGGGTGAGCTGTGCTGCCTTGGCTCGCAGGCCTGCCCTGGTCTACACAGCAATCCCAGGGTCAGGGCCACTCTCAGAGGTGGCCTCTCCTCACACACTGGCCTCGCTGGGACTCTGGCCTGCCTGGCAGCAGACACACCTGGAATCCAGCCACCCCTGGCCTTCTCCACCCAGGACCCAGGTGCAGAGAATGCACTTGTCGCTTTTAGTTTGACCGCACACATATGCTCAGAGAAGGTCAAAATGCCCATCTCCATCGCCTGCCAGAAATTGTCCCAAATTCCAATTAAGATATTGTCCAAAAGTTACCTCAGACTAAGGCATTACGCCACAGACTCTGTTCCCCAGAAAGTAGTTTTTTCCCAGTTACCTGAACAAAAGTCTTATTTATAAGAAATGCATATCAAAACTACTATTCTAAAGAACACAATCAGGAAAACTATGCCTTAAGTCAGCTTTCTCCACATCTATTTTTCAGTGTTCATAGAATGTAGAAATTTTAATTTTCAAAATGAGGAACACAGACTTTTCTCATCACCTGGGTGGACAGTGGGGAGGAGGATAGAGATGCCGGAGTGTTTGCTTTTGTTCATAATGCTGGAGTGCAGGAGAATCCAGTCGACCAAAGATCAAAGTCATGTTAGAGGCCAGGCGCGGTGGCTCATGCCTGTAATCCCAGCACTTTGGGAGGCCGAGGCGGGTGGATCACCTTGAGGTCGGGAGTTCGAGACCAGCCTGGCCAACATGGTGAAACCCCATCTCTACTAAAAACACAGAAAAATTAGCCGGGCATGATGGCACATGCTTGTAATCCCAGCTACTTGGGAGGCTGAGGCAGGAGAATCGCTTGAACCCAGGAGGCAGAGGTTGCAATGAGCCAAGATCGCACCATTGCACTCCAGCCTGGGTGACAGAGCAAGATTCCGTCTCAAAAAAAAAAAAAAAAAGTCACATTAGAGTCGGGTCCCATCTCCCATCTCCTCCTTCACCAAGTCTGTGCCCAAGCCGACGATCAATACCTGTGGTTAGATCTGGACTTAACCACCTCCCTTCCATTACCAAGTCTCCCAAAAGCAACGGCAGAGCGGCCTGCTGTCATTCCCAAAGGGCGCTAAGAGGAAGAGGTGAGGAACACTCATGGAAAATCCTCCCCTGGATAATTAAGGGCTGGCTCTGTGATGACTGTCTGCATGGTTCTGCCCTTTTAAATCTGCCCTGAACACCATCCATCATTGACTTATATGCCCATGGGGAACGAGGAGGAAGGGGAGAAAAAGAGATAAAACTCTCCTTACTTGGGGGGAAATCCTTTCTGCGTCAAAATTCACTATAAAGGGTATTCGGCTGCTGTCTACCCCCCAGAGTGCCTCATGAGCAGCTCGGACCAGGCCAAGCTCTCCAAGTCAGCAGCTGGTGTTCGCCATTGCGACCATGCTCTCCATCATTCAGGCACTTGCAGACTCTTCAAATAGGACCCAGGAAAAAAACCTAGACCACATCCCACCTCTGTGTGACTTCTAACTCCCCCTCCCCGAGCCTGTCCTCCCCTGCTTCGAAGCTCTGTAACAGGGACTATTGGCCGGGGCACTCAGCCACAACAAGAAACCACATTTCCCAGACTCTGAGCAGCAGCCTGTGGTCAGGTGACTAAGACCTCGCCAGTGGGTCAGACAGGAGCAAATGTGCCCCATGCCCCTGCTTGGTCTTGGCCCTGAAGCACTGGCAGTGGGAGAGGACAATGGCTGAAGACCAAGGGAAGCCTGGGGCTCCAGATGCTGAAGCCACCCACCAGCACAGACCGTGACGGTATGGACCAGAGCCACTGACCCCATGTGCAGGGGGAGAAATAAATTTCTATCTTTTGTGAGACACTGTTTTAGAGCTGCTATGATGGCAACTTGGCCTAAACATTAATGAATATGCCATCTCATTTCTTAAAACCCATGTCGTGTACTCATTTTTTAAGTCCGTCAAACATCTCTGCCTGATTAAGTGACTGGTTTATGTAGCATTGTCCCTTTGTAATTAGATTCCAAGGTTGTCCCTCGGATTCTCTGGCAACACTGGCTGATCTTTTAATCAGCTAAAACCTTCTGGTCTCAGGCCCTCTGTGGCTCATCCTCACTCCAGCTCCCCCATTCACCTCCCTCGCCTGCATTGTTTTCCTTGTAAGGAAGGAACCTTCTAACAAACGGTGTAATTGACAGACCTCCCCACCAGAACTCCCCAAGAGCAGGACTTTCCGCTGCTGTGTCCAACGGCAATAATCCCCAATGGCCAGAGCAGCCCCTGACACGCGGGAGGCACACAACTCTATGCTGAATGAAAAATGGTTTCCCTCCCCGGGCTACAAAGACAGACTGCATTTAAGTTAGGGTGTCTTGGACTGTGTGATACTTCTTATGCTCTTCTAAGTCAGGGCACCCTACAGGCAAGGCGGCTGGAACTTGAGAGATGACTGACTTGAGTAGTTTTCAAGCTATATTCCAAGAGCCCAGCGGCCTTGGGATCATATAGACACTTAATTTCCATTTACCATTTTATTTTAAATTTTTTTAAATCAACGGACTGAGCACACACTCAAATATGTGCATTCAAAATAAAATGTGTACCTATTTTCTATTTTATATTCATGGCTCTTAATAATACTGTCTCTAGTCTCCACCTGAAATCCCAAATTTGCATTTTTTAAAAGTTAAAAAGCACCTGGAGAGCGGAAAAGGTGGCTGCTAAGGGATGCACCCCTGCCAGCTGAGGGATGCCCATGCCCAACAGCAGACCTGGGCTCATCCCAGCCTTCAAGTCCTAAAGCCTCTCTGCTTCGTCCTTCGCTCTGATACGTGGGGCCCGAGATTTATGTATATGCCATGTTGTCTGCCACCCAATTTTTAACTTGGGGCAAAGTCACTTCCCCTCTCTAGGGTGCCCCAGGCATCTGTAAATTTCCAGATGGACTTCCAGTTCCCCTCAGCTCCGGGAGACCCTTGCACCTCGAGGGGGCCCGGTGCTGTGGATGTGGGAAAGAAGCAAAGACTGCAACAGCTCCCAGCCTACCTCCAAAACACCCCTTCCCAAGAAAGTGTGGCCTCTTTGAGGGGCTGAGAGCAGGCCAACAGAAAAGGGTAAAGATGGAGAAAGACAACAACATCAGAGGTTGGTAGAGGACACTGCGGGGTCAAGGGAGGCCACAGGCTCTGAGCTGGCAGAGCAAGGGTCAAGGCCCAGCCCTATCTGCTAGCTGGGACCCTTCAACCCTGAAGGTCTCCTAGCTGAGACCCCTCACCCGTGAGGGTCTCCATTCCTGCACCAATTAAATGAGACGATTAGGGGCATTCAAAAAGGAATGTCTGTCCCTTGTCACCAGCACTCCTTAAGCAGAAGTGAAAAACAGTTTGCTGGAAGTCTCACACTATGTGGGATTTTTTAAGTGGAGAGTTTTACCCTTCCTTCCAACTGTAATATCTAAAATTTCACAGACTGCAATTCAAAGAAATCTGAAGGTTATCACCAAATAAATTATTATATCATTAAATATGAACACGCTAAAGCATTCCTGGAATTGCTCTTCTGAAGGACTTAATGTTGGAAAAAGAATCCCTGTAAACAACTTCGTATATGCTACAAATGAAATTCACTTAGATAATAGTAAATCTAATTACATAAAATGAGGTAATTTTCTACATTTCTGTAGTATTTCCCAACAGGGTGAAAAAATGAAAAGCTCTTTATGTGTACATTTATGGAAAGGAACCAAAATAAGTTGTAAAAGTAATCCCACTACATTGCTGTTTTTCCCTTTTTAATATAATTTTATACCATATTAATTTTTCTTGAAATCTCCCTTTTTAATACCATTTTTATCAATTATTTTTATGGTTTATAATAATATTTGATTATGTAAATTGGGTACGTTAGCCTTCTGCAGATACATATAGTTTCAGAAGTTTATCTTCCCAAAACAAACTATCAATTGCTATTATTACTGTGAGAAAAAAGTTTCATTTTATTCTAGAATTAAATTTTTTACAGAGATAGGATTTTGCTATGTGGCCCAGGCCAGTCCTGAACTTCTGGGCTCAAGTGATCCTCCCACTTCAGTCTCCCAAAAGTGAACAGACTGTAAGCGTGAACCACTGTACCAGGCCTAAGAAGTTTCCTCTCAAAGGGGTTTCCTTTCCTTAATGAGTAATACCCGTGTAGACTATGCTAAAGTAACACAGCTAACTTCAGCTCTCCCTGCAACCACAGCCCTGTCATCCTGATGGCCGCCTATCATCCAGGACCCAACCTCTAACACTGCAATGACAGATCTGGCCTATCTTGAAAATCACCACTCACCTAAATGACCTGCACTTACAGAAGGGGTGGGGAAAGAGTGATCACAGTGACTTCGCTGCACAGCCACAGCGGGGATGAGACAGCAAGTGCTAAACAGCTGCACGAATTCGTTTGCATTTACTATGTTTCAAGGATGACTTCAGCTGTGCTCATGACATATGCTGGTTATCTGTAAGCACTGCATCAAAACCCAATAGGAAGCCATGTTTTACACAAGCAAATCACAGACCAGGACGGTACAGCCACCCTCCACCTGGCTTCCACTACCTTACATGTGGACTGGAGGCCACAGAAGGCACTTGAGGGAGAGTTCAGAGGAGACATCTGGTGCGGGCCAGCCCCACCTCCACACCCTGGGAGCGCTGGCAAGCAGGGAAGTGTGTGTTCCCCTTAGGCATGACCACTGCTCCCACATCCGACATCCGACCTTCATAATCACACCCTGCCCCTTACTTCCAAAATTACAATATTACATGCTTATTTTGGAAACTAAGTTGTCATGTGAAATATGAAACGATGAGATAACAGCCCTACAAAAGTAAATAGAACCTGTTTCAGAAAATAAGCTACCCAGCTGTTCTCAGTTGAGATAATTCCAGGCATGATCCTTCCTTGCTTCCTTCTATGAATACATTTATTGGTTTCCCATGAAACAAAACAGCTGGTTTCAAAAGCAGACAGACAGGCATGAGCCACCGCACCTGGCCTATAATCCCAGCACTTTGGGAGGCTGAGAGCGGGGATCACTCGAGGTCAGGAGTTTGAGACCAGCTTGGCCAACATGGCAAAACCCTATTTCTACCCAAAAACAACAACAACAACAACAACCACAAAATTGGCCAGGTGTGGTGGCATGCACCTGTAGTCCCAGTTACTTGGAAGGCTGAGGCACAAAAATCGCTTGTACCCAGGAAGTAGAGGTAGCAGTGAGCTGAGATTGCGCCACTGCACTTCAGCCTGGGTAACAGGGCAAGACTCTATCTCAAAAAAAAAAAAAAAGGTAAACCAATAATTTTTAGTGATATATAAGAAGCAAAAAAACACGTAAGGAATAGTTTGGTTCCTTTTTTAATGCAACTTGAAAGAAAGAAAAAGAAATGGATACATGCAATGGATTCTTTAAAACCCAGGTTTCCTGAGAAAAAGCTTTGATACGTATTCTGCATCCAACATAATACTTACTAGATCTAGTGCGGAGCCTCCACCAAGATATTCCATTATTATCCATAATTTTGTATCCTATAAAACAAAAAAAAGAAGAGAATCATTTTCAAAATGAATCCAGGAAAATTTTTTTTAATAATCAAAGGGTATTTTTCACAATTATATTGGAACTAGAAAGTTTTACAAACATGTACCAGCACGGGAAGTGTGTCAAAGTGAGAGCTGTGCAGGGACCTCCAGAGTGCAGGGACACCCCCATCATGCTCTGGGAGGGAGCTGTGGGGTGTGCTCGGGGGCCCGCACCTGACTCCCCAGGGCTCCAGGGCATGCGTTCCACCGACTGCCCCAGGATCTCAGAAAGCAGACTGGGTGTTTCCATTTTTAGGCCACTTCACTGGGGGATCCTCAGGCACAGTGAGAGCTGAGAACTTGCAGCCACTTGAGGCAGTGGTGTCACACACATCGGGAGAGCAGTGCCAAGGCAAGACCCTCTCCTCTTCCTCCCTCCTGCAGCACTGAGCCTCCCCTGCGCCCCCCACCCCCTACCGTGTGTCTCCAGGTCCCTGTGAGTGGAGGGGCCGCCTAGCGTGGCCTCCGACTCACTTGCCTGTTTGGCAGAAGGGCAGCCAATTCTAGCACCTCCCAAAGCTGCCACAGTCTCCCCTCAGGGAGCTTTCCAGAAAAGCAGGTCTGTCCTAACATGCATGTCTGTGTCCTCTCAAGGCCCCGGCTCTCACAGTCCCCAGCTCTGCGCCTGCCTTCCCTGTGGTCTCTCTTCAAGCTACTCAGCCCTCATGACTTGCAGAGTTCTCTTTTTAAAACCACAAATCCCAAAGTGCTACTCCCTGGAAAACAAGCCCGCAAACCTGTCCGCCCTCCTTGGGGAGCCAGGCAGTGCAGGGCACGGGGCAGCCTGGGCAGGGTCTGGATCCCGACTCCCACTTCACGACCTAGGGGCCCGGGCAGCTGTCTCCTGAGCTTCTGCACGAGGCCTTGGCCAAGAGCCTGGCCACGGCGAGCAGCCAAGAACCCATGGCTGGCACGGGACGCCACCGCCAGAGTTTGGGTTCACAGTGGGTTCACGGGGTTCAGACGTCAGCCTGCTCCGCTGCTGACTCAGGACTCGGTGGTGGCTTTTGCACACATGGAGGAAAAAAAAAGAAGAAACCTTTTTTAAGGCTCTTTGGTCCCTTTGGGAGAGCACTGAGTCCGGCTCTTAGAACACCCAAGGAAGACCCCTCAGTTCGCCCCTGACTCCAGGTCTCACTGCGCTGACTCCAAGTGAGCTCACCCTTTGAGAACACGCCCCAACTTCCCAGGCCTTTTTGCTTTTGGAGGTTCCGCAAGTCAGGAAAATGCTTCACTTGTCTTCCCTCCCCACGCCCTGGGCAAACTTTACTTTTATTATCTATTGCTCTGATTTTCATTTCAGGTTTACTTCTCTGCATTTTCCACTTAACAGCAAACTCAAGTGCTCAGGGACAGCGCTGGTGTGCTCGAGCTCAGTAAATGTTAACTGTGGACCCTGTGACCAAGGAAGAGTAACTCGTGTTGACTCTAGGGAGGCGCTAACGGTAAGATGCACTGCATTTATAAAATACATTCCTCTCACAATTCAAACTAAATCCTGCCATCTGGAGTTGATTCTAAGACAGTCCAAATAAACAGCCCAAGTTTTAATGTATGTTGAATGCTTTTCAAGCGTTTAAATGCCCTTGACTGCTAAGATAATAAAGACAACTTCAGTCTTGACCGGACAAGTGCGGAAACCTCGAATGATGTGTCTGACACCCAACTCAGAGGGACAGGCATGTCGCTCATTCAATAACCATCCAGTCACGGGCACCTGCCTTGAGGAGGCTTGGTGATCCCAGGTTCTGATTTCAGGGAAGCTTCCATCATCAAGAGTGTCCTTCAGCACACCTTCATCTCACACACACGCTCGCCTGCAGGCTTCCACAATGCTTGCTCCTGGGGAATGGGTATGCCACAGTAAGCTCTTCCAGGAAAACACCAGTATCTTTCTAGATGGCAAAGGAAATCTAAATCGCTTTTCCCTAAGAGAGCTGGGAACTCTGACGTTTCTACTCCCACTCCCTTTTTAACAGCTGCTGTTTAACTGGTTTCACTGGCTCCCATCCCTTCTATTTTCTGGGCATTAAGTCTGCTCACAGCAAGGGGAGCTCCCAGCAGGGAGGTAATCTCCCCGCCTCTTCTCCCACTGTAGCCAGCTGTGCAATATGACACCCTGGGAAACAATCTTTTGCTGACTTAGGGGACTGAGGGTCACCAGGCAGCTTCCTGGAGCAGCAAGGCACAAGTGACCACCCCCTCGTCCTTCTGCACTTCCAAAGCTCCGCCCTCCTCAGTTCGCTGCTCTCTCAATCTGACCACGAAGGTACGTCACCACTTGCCAAGCAAACAAGATAAGTTTCACCTGGCTACCTTCTCCTTTTAAGGAGCCCTAGCAAGACACCTCAACCAAGTTTTCTGTGTCGCCCTGATCCTTCTGGGGACGTGCAAGCAACAACAGAACATCCAGAGCTCTCTACCCAGAGCAAACCCCGCCTCAGGACCAAGGCCGCCTCCTTCCTGGAGAGGAAGATGGAGAAATAACACAGCCTTCCCGCTTCCCTCCAACTCATTCCTGGTAGCAGACGCGCTGGGTGGCAAGGCTACCCAGACACAAGGCTCACCAGAGGGCACTCAGGAAACCAGCTCAAGTCCTTATTGAGGTCACTGCGTCTCAAATACCCGGGCTGGGCCTGTGACTCACACACCAGCACCAACAACCAGGGGGTGGGATATTGCATCAGGAAAAGCTCCACTCTGGGTGGAACCTGCTTTTCAACCTCATTGGGTGTGTCACCGCCCAGTGGGTTCACCTTGCCCGCTGCCTAGACAGAGCCGACTCATCAAGACAGGGGAACTGCAGTTGAGAAAGAGTAATTCACGCAGAGCCAGCTGTGCAGGAGACCAGAGTTTTATTATTACTGAAATCAGTCTCTCCGAGCATTCGGGGAGAATTTTTAAGGATAAGCTGGTGGGGTAGGGGAAGCCAGTGAGCCAGAAGTGCTGATTGGTAAGAGATGAAATCACGGGGAATCAAAGCTGTCTTCTTGTGCTCAGTCAGTTCCTGGGTGGGGGCCACAAGATCAGATGAACCAGTTTATTGATCTGAGTGGGGCCAGCTGATCCATCAAGTGCAGGGCCTGCAAAATATCTCAGGCACTGATCTTAGGAGCAGTTTAGAGAGGCTCAGAATCTTGTAGCCCCAAGCTGCCTGACTCCTAAGCCATAATTTCTAATCTTGTGGCTAATGTTAGTCCTACAAAAGCAATCTAGTCCCCAGGCAAGAAGGAGGTCTGCTTTGGCAAAGGGCTGTTACCGCCTTTGTTTAAACTGTAAGTTTCTCCCAAAGTTAAGTCAGCCTGTGCCCAGGAATGAACAAGGACAGCTTGGAGGTTAGAAAGATGGAGTCAGTTAAGTTCGATCTCTTTAGTCTCAGTCATCATTTTGCGAAGGCGGTTTCAGGTTTGCAAGCATTCCAGCCGCTGAAGGTCGGCCCGGGGGACCGGATGGAGCCCGCTAGACACAGGCAGCAGCTGCACCACCGCCTGGCACTTCTGGGGCTCTCTTCCTGTGCTCTATGCACCAGCCATTAATGGAGGAGGACCCTAACACCCAACGCCAGCCACTAAGACAGCAGCTTTCCCCTCCTTCCCACAGAAATGGGAGGAAGCGGAAGAGGAGCAGGGACAGGAACACATGGACTCGGGGAGGGGAACATCACACACTGGGGCCTGTCGGAGGGTGGTGGGCTAGGGGAGGGACAGCATTAGGAGAAATACCCAATGTAGATGACGGTTTGATGGGTGCGGCAAACCACCATGGCACATCTATACCTATGTAATAAACCTGCACGTTCTGCACATGTACCCCAGAACTTAAAAGTATTAAAAAAAAAAAAAAGAAAGAAAAAGGGGACAGAGTGAAGGCCGGGTCTCAGTCTTCTGGTGCCCATACATGTGGGCCGCACTCGCGCCACACCCCTGCAGCACTGCACTGGGAAGGTAGGACAACAGACAGTCAACATGGGCGCCAGAAGAGGGCCCTGAAATGTGCCTCCAATGAGATCCCAAAGAATCGTTTCTACCACTACCAATCCTAAGGAAGAAACCTTCAAAGGTGAACACACGGATAAGCTTGGGAAAGCAAGAGACAAGCTTTGGGGGCTGCAGGCAAGGCTCTCCTTCACAGCCACACCAGGGATCCTCCACCCCAGCACTGACTTTTGGAGCTGCTCAGCTCTGCTGCAGGCCTCCCCCATGCACTGCAGGGTGTTCAGCAGCACCCCTGGCTCTGTCCACTAGATGCCGGTGACACACCCCAGGTTCTGATAACTGAAAATGTCTCCAAACATCGTCAGTGTCCCCCAGAGGGCAAAATCACCCAACAGAGAACCGCTGAACTACACCCACGATGGACGCTGACAAATCTGACATGGTTCCTGACCAGAAGCACCGTTCAGCCATTCTTCCTCGTCTTGGCTTACACACTGAAACTCCTGCAGCAGGAAGACCAGCTCTTACCAGGAGACATCAGGCAAGTCATTTAAACCCTCTAAATTCTTCATCCACAACAAGATGGGAATCAGATCGGTGCTTCCAACCTCACAGTTCCAAGTGACAATTAAATGAGATCATGAGTGGGAAAGCACTTGGCAAAATTCATGGTGCTCAACAGATGCAAAGTGCTATCAGCTTTATCAACATCATCACCCAGAAATGCCTCTGAATAACCTGGTAAAACCAAAAGGGCCCAATTAACAATTCTAAGTAGTTTCTAAGCAAAATGAAGCCTGGTACAATGATTCACGTATTCTGCACCAGAGGCCTCATGGCAGGAGCGTCTGAGTGGCAGCCTGTTCTCCGGGAAGGACCCAGCTCTGTCCTGCAGATGTGGAACCACTGTCCTCATAAAACCTTCCAAACCATGACTTCTGAGGCACTCATTCCCCAAGAAAAATAAACCAGCAGGCTTCTCAACACAATGATGACTTTAATCGAAATAATTTCATGTTTTTTCAACAACCTCAAATAACCTAAGTTATGAATGACCTCGTGATACAATTTTCTCATCAGGGAAATAAAAGTATTCATTTAATTAATAAATTCTGGAGTGAAAATTTAAAAGGTGCCAAAGTATATACAGTGAGAAGTCTCCCTCCCACCCTGGGCCCCCATTACCCAGCAAACCAACCGTCCCTGCCCCAGCAAGTCATCACGACATCTAATGTAACCTCAGAGAAAAATAGTTATGCACATACGAGCAAATACCTACAAAACTTTACCCCCCTTTTACCCAAACGGTGGCATTCTACACACACTGTTGTTTACCTTGCTTTTTACCTAAAGTTTCTTAAAGAGCAGTCCATATGTAAAGGACTTCCTCATTTTTTTAACCATAATTAGCCCATGCCTTATTGAGCTCACATTGTTTCCATTTTTCGCTCTGACGGCCCAGGTGTCAAGGAAGAGCTGTACATTTGTCAGTTTTGCTGGGTCCTGGAAGCAGACCTGCTGGGTGAAGGGACTCCATCTGAATTTTTAACAGATACTGACAAGTGACCCTCCAAAGAGGCTGTCCCATATATGGCCTCAGCAGTGTCTGAGGGTGCTAATTTCCCCCTTTCCCATGCCACAGTGTCATCAAGTTTTATTTTATTATTATTTTTTGGTCATTTTTATGGACTGAATTGTGCTTCCCTCTCCCACACACCCACGATTCACATGTTGGAGTCCCAATTCCCAACACTGCAGAATGTGACTCTTTAAAGAGGTGACTGAGTTGCAATGAGCTCATTAGGGTGGGCCCTGATCCAATACGGCTGGTGTCATAAAAAGAGATGAAGACACACACACACACACACACACACACACACACACACACACACACACGGGAAGACCACATGAGCACACAGGGAGAAGACGGTCATCCACAAGCCAAGGGGAGAGGCCTCCCAAGAAACCACCCTACCAACATCTTTCCAGGTTTATTAGCAAACGAATTCCTGCTGAAGGCTCCCAGTCTGCGCTACTTCGTTCTGGCAGCCCCAGCAAATTAAGCCAGTTATTCATTCATACACAAAGGATGCTTCAGGGGAGTTTTATTTATCTTTCTCCTATTGTAAGGCTGAACATCTTTATATATTGAAGAGTCATGCATATTTTCTTTCCTGTGAGCTGTGTATATCCTTTGTCCATTTTTCTATTGGGTTACTGACCTTTTTTTTAAAGTAGGAGTTTTTAACATATTGGGAAAGTTCGCCTTCTGTAATAGGAGCTGCAAACACTAGCTTTTGCTTCTGGTAATTTTTGCTTACAGAAATTAATTTAATATAGACATACTATCAATAACCATAGCACTTCCAGGCAAACTTGCCCCAAAGTATTTGGAAGTGCCTCCTAAGAACCCGGAATCATTGACCGGAACCAGGGCCCCCACATTAACAACTCTCACAGGAGCTTGGCAGAGGTCACACGAACCCACCAAGGTTAAAAAAAAAGACAAACGAGAAAGGGCAGATGCTACACAGCTAACAGTGAAGATTTTAAAACAGGAATTCGAAACTGCAACTCTGCTCTGCACCTGAAATGCCCTTGGCAGCCTCCACATTTCACCAGCTGTAACCAAAGGCCAAGACCAAGAGGTATAAACAATGCAGCGGGCTTTATTAAAATCACACGGGGTCACAGACTTCCTTAAGAGCGTGAGTTTTTGTAAAAGGTACCTTTCCGCGCAGATGACGCATGTGGCCTCAAAGCCTTAAGGCCTGGTTTGCATCCAGGCTCAGGCCAGCTCTGATGGCAACTACAACAAGGCCTCGCCTATGAGCCTCCACTTCCCATTGCCCCCGGGACTAATGTGCATGCTCCTCAGAGGGGCTTCGATGATGATGAAGTGAGGCCGTGTACACAGCAAGACTCATCAACTTGAACCACTATTACTGTGTTAACTCCACAGTGTCCTCTGTCTGAACTGCAGGCTTGCGAACCCGGAAGAAATCCAAGCCTGTTGCCTATTTTACCTTCAGAGCAGCCCCTGACCATCTTCAAAGTGCAGGAACCATTCCTGAGCTGGAAAAGCTTATGTGGTTGTTCCTCAGGCTCACAGACGCTAGGATTTCTTAACTGATTCATCTAACACATAACATACCTACTAGGTACCCAGGGTGGCTGAGGGGGAACGCAGAGTGAGTAACACCCTGGCTCTGGCTTTCAGGAACTTCTAATGACAGAAAAGTGGGCAAATAATTAGCATCAGACAGCCAGTGGCAGATGCCACAAAAGACAGGGAACACCTGGTTGCTCACGAAGGTCCGTCTAACCTCCAGGAGGGAGGCGGCACCTGAGCTGCTCCCTGAAGGGCTGTGACCTGCCAGCCTGGGGCAGGGGGTGTGTTTCTCACAGGCTCAGGTGGAGAAGAGGAGGAAAAATCCTGTTCGCAGAGGGCAGCTAGGAATGAGAGGGACACCCTTGAAGCCAGCTGATGGTGTTCAAAGTTAATTTAATAAGCAATGGGAAGTCAGCGAAACTTGTGCTAATAGAACAAATGACCAGCCACTGCCTACAACAACAAATACATGAGGAGAAAAGGAAAGTAAGAGCGAGGAGAAAAGCAAAGTAAAAGCAATGAGAAAATCAAAGCAGAAGGTCAGGGAAAGGCCCAAAACGGTTCTAGAAGTGGCACTGATGAGCACCCACAGTGGACAGGCATGGAAAGAAGAGAAGCCAGAAGCCAAGATGGTGTCCTCCTCTGCACCCAAGACAGCCAGCTCTGCCAGGACAAACAGCAACAGCAGGTAGGTAGGGGAGGGAGTGGAGATGGGTGCCTGCATTTCTGTGACATTGAGGAAACACTCTGGTGGGATATTCAGCAAGCCAGCTGCTTCCTTTGCTGGCTCCTGTGTGCACAGATATAAACCTTTTTCTCTCATTAATATGTCACTTATCAGTTTAATCTGCAGGCCCCAAATGCTGAACCTAACCTAGAGAAAAAGAGTTTTTCCTTCCTGACAAGTGAACTATTGCCAAATTTTTAACTCAAAGGGCATGTTGATCATATGCAAGCCACCCTAGGTAAATAAAGTCCAGCCCTATCACTTATTATCTTTAGTTAATAAGAGGACCCTATATTCACCGGAAAACATTACATCCTGTGGGTCACTCTTCCCATGTACTACCCTAGTTCCAAACTGCATTTTGAACTCTTACATTATCTCAGCAACACAATTAAAGGGGTGGGGGCAGGACATACAATACTAAGTTGGACTAACGTCCAGGGTCAAAGCTTCCACGTGATGAATGTGGAGTAAAGGCGCCGGCCTTCCATTCTCCCAGGTGATCATTATTAGAAAAGAACCAGCCAGCAGTGACAGCTTCCAGTGTTGGAGAAAACCCGGATTGGACAATGTGGAAGGAAGGCCTCATCCTCCCTTGTGTTCGCAAACAAAAACGTCCAACTTAGGCACACAGCAGCTCAACGTCTCCAACCCACTCCCATAGGGAAGGCAGCCTACATTAAAAAAAAAAAAAAAACAGAACACTGGAGTTTCTGTAGCAAATCATGTCACTACTGATTGCCTACTAACCTGAGGAGGCTTCCCACAGTGAAGGAGAGGCTAGATGGAGAATGAGAAGTGTTCTCTGGAGAAAACGAGAGAGAGCTGCAAAGATGCATGGGGACCAGCCCAGCACAGAAAGCCGGGGGAGCTGTCAGGCTAGGGTGGAGAGGGAAGCACTGGTTGTCCTTCCCTTTCAGATGCCAGGCACTGCGCTGGGTTTCTGGCGTACATCATGTCACCAGTCCTCACCACGTTCCCGTGAGCTGGGGGTACAGCTAGCCCCCTTACAGAAGAATGCAGAAGCCCACCGGACCTACACCCCTTCTCATCTCCCTGCGAGCAATGCCTTCTCTGCTGACCCTAAACTAATGTCCAAGTTCCCAACAGGTGGCTTAGTCACTATTTTTAGGTATGAGCATGGGGTAGGGGGAGATCACTGCTGATTAGGAAAAGGAGCGGGGAGGGAGACCCCAGGCTTCGCTCTTCCAGAGGGCCCCAAATGCAGGAAGAAGTGCTTCAAAGCAAGGAACGTTTTCTTGTGCTGGCAACAAACGTTCACTGGGAGAAAGGCCGCTGTAACATCAACATCAACTTAAACATAGGGGTGCACGATAAAACCTGAAATAACACAAAGAGGAACAAAACGAAGCAACTGAAAATTACTGGATCACATCCTCACATCAAAGAAAAAAATCTAAACCATCACTACAAGTTAGCTACAAATAATACTGGAAACACTGCAACACCAAAAGCTATACAATCCAGCCAAAGATTTATTTCAAGGAAACCCACAGCATTACAAACATTCATTACTAAGCCAAAAAAAAAAAAAAAATACTAAGTGTTCAATCCAAAAGTCTAAGAAGGAAAGCAAAGAATAGAATAAAGATACATGCATAAATAATCAAAAATATTGGGATGAGAAATGAATCCAATCATTTTTAAAATAGATAACTTCCAGTTACTATAACCAAGGAAAAAATAGATCACATATCCATTTGCAATAGAGCAATAAAAGGACAGGAAAAAATTTTTAATGCAAATAAAACACATGGCAAAATTTTACAATAGTAAATTTGAACATACAGAATTAGACAATTTCAATAATTTATTAATAAAATTTACTCAAGAAAGAATAAAAACTATAGGCAGAAAAGGGTGGGTGAAGAAATAGATCAATTCACCTCCTTTAAAGTGCGTGCGCGTGTGTGTGTGTGTGTGTGTGTGTGTGTGTGTGTAAACAAATCAACAGATCGCAAGAGGCTCAAATGGTTTTGCCCTTGAATAATTCCAAAACGTGAAGGAACTGGTAATTTTAGCAACTCCTTCAGGGCACAGTATTTTTTAAGGGCATCACAACATAATGCCAAAATCAAGGAGGAAGAGGAGGAGGAAGAGGTTCCTATTAAGGAAGGATGAGAACTCCTAGAAAGTGGGAGGGTGCAGTTCTATGTGTGAAGAGCGAAGCCCTTTCTGCGATAGGAAGCTGTAGTCTAGTGAGAGGGGCTGGCCCAAAGAGGGCCCTTTCTAGGGGAGGAAAAAAGGGTGCTTTTGGAAATGAGTATGTGATGTATGAGAGTCTCCGGGTATTTAAATCTTTTTCAGCTCTTTTTCTCGAATACCACCGGCCCACCCCTAGCAATCCTCAGGATTTGCTCCGCACAGCCCACCCCCAGGTGGGCAGGATGCAGGCTTTTCAAGAGGCTTGAGCTGGGAAAGCAGGAAAGCCTCATTCTCCTTCACACAGGGTGGCCACAGGCTTCCTTAGGAAGAAAACAACCCCACAATTTTTCTCTCCCTGGTCAAGAAGGGAGGATCCATACCACCATCTTATATTAGTACCATGGGGCAGCAACTCATACTGTACTAAATACTTCATGAAGAGAACTCCACTGGATTCTCCCAATCATCCTGTCTCCCCTTAGGTAATCAGCCTCTTCCCATTTTACAGATTAAGATGCCTGCACATGGCAAGGAAGGAGAGAAACTGGGACTCAAATCCAGATTTCCTGACATTGCATCAGATGCCTAAATAAGAACCACAAGAAAAAAAAATTCACAGACTATTAATTTCTAAAGGATTCCAGTAAGAAAAATACTTTGACTGTTCTTAACATTTAATTTTTAACTGATTTCCTTTTAGAAGCCAATGAACTCTAATCTGACTGTCCAAAAAGTACATCAATTTATGAAAACAATTGCCTGTAATTTGAAAGGTTTACGTGCCTCATTCCATCATGCAAGGTTTAAGAACTCCTGATCCCCTTTAATAAACTGGAAAGAACACTGGGCATTCCCTAAAACATTCTTCTTGGGATTTATGTCACAGACCATCTCTTTTGGAAAGGGTTGCGTGTGTGCGTGTGCTCGCGTCCAATATGTACAGAGATGTTCCTCTTTTCCATAAACACAAACTTGACACATTAAATCTGCTAATGGGAAGTTTCTGTGCTTAAATTCTAGCAGATACTAAGAGGAATAAAAACATTCTGCTTAAACTTAAGGATGCTTACAAAGCAATCAGGGAAATACAACTACAAATAACCTAAATCTGAGGGAAAAGAAAAGAAACAACAAAGAGAAGCAGGAAAAAGTACCCTGGGAGGCAAGAGAGAGATTTTTTCTTTCCTCCCCATCCATCTTCATTAAAGAGCAAACATCACAGTAAATGATCATCAACTGCCAAGTCAGATAAGTTCCATGCCATCATCTTGCTATGAAGCTAGTAACACGTGTTCTTTCTGCAAAAGTGGAGTATTTCTAATAATTACAATATTGTTCTGCTAGATGACAATCTTAATGTCAATATGTAACATGTTACAAATATCAATGAAAACCAAAAAAAGTGATTTTTTATGACTTAGCATTAATTCTTTCAAGACCCAGCCGAAAGAGACCAAACAAGACCAAGTCAGAAAGTATGTCTGAGAAAGAATAAAGACTTAACGGTATTCTGCAAAAAAAAAATTTTTTTTTTTTTTTTGAGAGGGAGTCTCACTGTGTTGCCCAGGCTGGAGTGGAGTGCAGTGGTGCGATCTTGGCTCACTGCAAGCTCCGCCTCCCGGGTTCACACCATTATCCTGCCTCAGCCTCCTGAGTAGCTGGGAATACAGGTGCCCGCCACCATGCCCGGGTAATTTTTTGTATTTTTAGTACAGACGGGGCTTCACCGTGTTAGCCAGGATGGTCTCGATCTCCTGACCTCGTGATCCGCCCGCCTCGGCCTCCCAAAGTGTAAAATTTTTAAGAAGTGCCTCGGCCGGGCACGGTGGCTCAAGCCTGTAATCCTAGCACTTTGGGAGGCCGAGGCGGGTGGATCACGAGGTCAGGAGATCGAGACCATCCTGGCTAACACGGTGAAACCCCGTCTCTACTAAAAATACAAAAATTAGCCGGGCGTAGTGGCGGGCACCTGTAGTCCCAGCTACTCAGGAGGCTGAGTGAGGCAGGAGAATGGCGTGGACCCGGGAGGCAGAGCTTGCAGTGAGCCGAGATTGCACCACTGCACTCCAGCCTGGGTGACAGAGCCAGACTCGTCTCAAAAAAAAAAAAAAAAGTGCCTCTAACAGTATTATAAGGAAAAATTATGGAATGAGCTGGTTCACAAACAGCAAATGCTGTATTTCAAATGCATGGGTGACAAATTCATATTTATATTTCCACTGCCATGTATGGGGTTTAACCCCAAGCTAAACAGCTTCCAAAGGAAGGGACTGTTCACTGTGGTTGTCTGTTCAACGCTTGATTGTCCTGAGGCATTTTTTTTCTAGTGTTGGAACCCTCTGGTTCTCTTCCCTCCTACCTTTTGCTACTTCATTTTTATTTTCTGCACAATTCTATTCCAGAAGGAACTGTCAGTTATGTAAATCAATGTGTTCTTGATTTATAATAAGTTTGTTAGCCGAGAGCTACTGAAACAGTCACACTGCACTAGGGTCAGACATGCAAATCCAAGGGCACCCGCACTGAGGCACCCCGGGGCACAAACACCCAGCTAAAGGCCCAGGAGAAGGGTCTGCGACCCATGGAGGGATGCAGAGACAGCTGCTCCTCGCCGCATCCAGCACAGAAGGAACCACCACCAACGCCTCGGTGAAGATGACCCTGTGGCAGCACATAAAACCCAGGCAACAGGATGGCGGGCTCCAAGAAACAGCCTCCCAGCTCCGTCTAGCACCCAGCAAACCAGGTCCGATGTCAGCAACAACCACGACAACTTGTTACTACCAGACAAGATTCAAGAAAGGGGCCTGGTTCCCGCAGCCCACTTTCCTTATTTTGAAGCAGGTGTCTTTACTTACTCAAATGCCTGGAAGTCATGCTGTCCTACAAGAACTGCTGAAGGAGAATTGATTTGCCTCCCTGGAAATAAGTCTCCTTTTATTACTTACCTGCAGTCCTTTATTCCATAATCTAATTAACATTTGTGATCTCTTGTATCATGCCACATTGTAGAAATTTACTCAGGAATATAGAAGTTTTAGAAAAGAAAGCATATGGCATAATTATTTTATTGAAATATATCAGATGTGTTTAGATACCCCAGACAAGAGGTTTAAATTTGCAGAATGTGCATATTGAGACAAAAAGAACTAAAAATGCCATTAATACTTATTTTAAATTATAGGTAACATTAGCCAGAAAACAGAGCTGAATTTCTTTTTGGAGAAGTAAAATATTTAGCCTAATTGGAATTTTAATTCCATTCAACTTTCTGGACAGAGAAAAACATAAAATGAAGCTGCCAAATGTCTTCGGGGGCTTTCTTCAGTTACACTAGGACAGTGTGTTCAGCAGAGAGAAAGGGATCATAGTCCTTGTCCTCGGACACATTTCAAAGCAGATCTTTTATATTATCTTCGGCACTAAGCCTACAATTTTTACCCCATAATTGATTGCGAAATGAAATGTACGCCCTTGTGATTTCACAGCAAGATTTCCTTGCTGATTTGTTTCGTCGTTGCTGATGTGTTTAGTCCACCCAAAAGCAAACAGCTTTGCTTTTACCCACTACAGTCTGATACCACGGGCTCCATGGACCATTTCAATATTCCACAAAAGCTCAAGGGCAGATCCCTGCACACTAAAGATTTTTCTCAGAGAAAACAGATGTGCTTCTCCCTCTCCCAGAAGTTGCAGCTGTGCCAGACTGATCAGGGAGGCAGCCGATGACTTCCAAATGGCAAAGGAAGCCTTGGTGCATGGCTGCCCTACACTCATGCGGGAGGGGACAAAGGTCTCCAGCTTCCCTGTGGGGAGCCATGGGTGGGATGATTTAAGCAGATGAGCAGACACTGATGCAGGGAAGTGAGGACTGTGTCAAGAGGTGGCAAGCATGCTCGTAAGAACCAGAGAATCCTCATGTTTGGAATAAACAAGTCAGATTTCCAACCCTTGGCGAGGCAGCAAAAGTGGAAGGGAGAATTGCCACAATCCAAACTGAAGTCACAAGGATAAAGATTTTGTTTATTGCTTAGAGGAAGGGAATTCTCATGGAAAAAAGAAGTCAACTCTGACTGCCCTACCACATCAAAGGAGGGCGTGAGGCTACTGAGCAAAGAAACAGAAGTCCCCAGCGTCACTGGGCCCCGGTGGGCTGTGGCTGCGCAACCAGAAACCAATGACTAGGGTAACTCAATGGCCACCAGACAAAAACCCTCCATGTCCCAGTAAGGGCTCCTCTGGGTGTGTCCCCACACGAGATCAACGATTTGGCTGTTCTCAAAGAACACTGTGCCCCCTCTTCAATGCAATAAAAATCCAACTTACAAACCTCTGGGGAAATTGCCACTAAAATGAGCTGCACATGTGATCCTGTTTATAAAATGTTGCAGACTCTGCTTATTATATTTGCACCACTTAAAGAGAATCACAAACCCAAAACCCATTCCTTTAGAGGGCAGAGTTGATTAATCGGAGCCAACAAATGGTGAAAACAGAAGTGGCACAGAAACAGGACAGACATTTGCAAGTAACTCTTAAATCAATTTTGTTTAAAATCACCAGCCAAAAACCTAAGAAAACAACGCAGAGAAGTCACAAAACAGACAGTGAAATGCGCAAGCCACATCATCTGCGGGTACACATCCTACTCTCCCCCTCCAAGTTTTAACATGCTGAGATTAGAGTAGGACAGTGTTGGGACCCGCATTTCTAGGAGCAAGAAACCCATTTCCGATTCTGGCAGAGGCTAGGTGCCCAGCAGCCCCAGGGACAGGCACCCCTCAGCTGCCAGGCCCACTCTTCGGCACACCTCTTCTCTGGCCACCTCCCTGCCCGCGGCACAGTCCTGCTTTCCTCACCGCCTTCCTCTGGGGTCTGCCTCAAAGCCACCCTCCCTGTGAGCTGCTCCCTGACCCCTCCACTGAGGGCTCCAGAAGCCCCACCCAAGCCTCCCTGTGCCCCAGTTTTCTCCGCAGCACTTATGAAGGTAGGACTAACCACGTATGTTAGGAATTGGTTTATGGTCTCTCACCACAAACTCCAGGCAGACTATGAACAAAATTTATAAGGCACATTTCTTTTTCCCTGCCTGCCAGATCAAAAAGAGTAAGACACCAATGTTTCTGTTCCCTTGTTTTGCCTTCCATGTCACAGATACAGTGACGATGCCCTAGTGAAAACCAGGACGCCATGAAAGAGAGGTCAGAACCTCTTGTCCCAATCTCACACTGCTTACCTCAAATGACCTGTCATGCTCTTTGAGGAATTCAAGAGCTCCCAAAACAGAGGTGGCTCAGGAGACCTGGGCCCTGCTGGCAAAGCTCAGGAGGGCAGCTCCAGCCACTAACACAAATTCTGTGGACCACCCACACCCTGGCTCTGGACTTGCCCATTGGCTTGTCTCTCATTTAGATAAAAGAAGACGGCACCTTCCTCCCATCCCTGGCGCAGAGCTGGGTGGATACCAGGATGTACAGAGAAAACTGGCACAGCAATGGAAAAACAACAGGGTACAGCGTCCTGGGGACAGATGCTGTGAACTGTAACACTAACTCTCTAAAGGAATCTACCCTCAATTCACCAAGAAAGACCAAGTGGGACTGGCTGCACTCAGCAACTGAGCCACCAACTCACTTCAGGGAGTCCCAAGCCCACACCCCACTACACCTATTTTGGTACCAAGAGTGGTTCTAGAGGAACAAAGTCTTATGGATGCATTTTCTGAATTGGTTTTGGAGTTTCTGGAATTGGCTCTCTCATCTGATTGGATCTTAAGATGCTAATGATGTTGTGTCCAGTTAGCTGAGCACTGATGGTCTATTGTTTGAACTGTTGATAGAGATATGATAGACGTCTGCACTGGATACTCGAAAGACTTACAAGAAGGGTCTAAGTTAACTCTGTGTATGATCCCTTCCAACATCTTTGAAAAACTGAGAATATGATGTTGGTTGGTTGCTCCTAATGTCACTGGACAAAGTGGTGAAAGACTAGGATGAACTAAGGAATTCAAATGCTCAGCTCAAGCACTGCATCAAATCATCTAAGAGCAGCTAGGTGTGGCTGGAGGGAAAGTCTCTCCTCCTACAGTCACTGGGCTGAGATTGCTGAAAAGCAAAGCCAGGACCTCATCCTGTGATTGGTTGAATGACAAGTTACAAGTTGACCTCCCAGACTCATGGGGTGTCTGCTGGTAAAATGAGGGCATTGGTTGGGAAAGAATGGGATCCTGTAACTTGGGATGAGCCCCTAAATTCTGGTGAGTCTTCTCTGCAAGTGAAAGAGTGGTGTGTGAGGACCTCTAGGGCTGGACCTGGCTGCCCAAGGCCTGGAACTGAACACCTGGCTATCAGGTTAGATGGACATGAGAGAATGGTTTCTTTGTCCCTCCTCCCCTGCCGTCTCCCCACTGTACACCCTGCACAAGAATCCAGGAGGCATTACCTGCCCATGTCCTCCTGTCTGCAGACCCATGGCAGACACAGCAGGAGCCAGTGGGACAGAAAGGGAAGGGAAAACAGGACAGAGCCAGGCTGAGGCATCCCAGACCGCCACTGGGGAAAAATGTTCTGGTAACTCTGTCTCCAGATTTTCTGTCTCCAAGAAACCATTCATGATTCCATCCTCAACGGTTCCTTTGAAAACAGCTTCAGGCAGGCACGGTGGCTCATGCCTATAATCAGCACTTTGGGAGGCTGAAGCGGGTGGATCACTTGAGGTCAGGCGCTTGAGACCAGCCTGGCCAACATGGCGAATCCCTGTCTTTACTAAAAATACAAAAATTAGCCAGCATAGTGGTGCAATCCCAGCTACTCGGGAGGCTGGGGCAGCAGAATCACTTGAACCCAGGAGGCGGACGTTGCAGGGAGCCGAGATTTTACCACTGCACTCCAACCTGGGCAACAAAGCAAGACTCTATCTCAAAAAAAAAAACCAGCTTCAAGTAAGGGCCTAATGTTCTCCACACATTCACACTTGCAAGGCATGAACACATTTCCCAGACGCACGGCAGAGGGAATCCCGCACCTTGGGAATTTAAATCAGGTCAGTCGGGTGGGGATGCGGCACCTGCATTTTCACACCCTCCTGGTGTGTTCCCACTTGGAGTGATTGCGTATGGAAAGAAGCACCCTCTCATCAATCCCTTGGAAAAGGTAACTTCTGACTAATTCACTGAGTCCTGGCTCATCAGCTGAAAGAACTCACTGATGGGGCAGGTGGAATGTCATGTTTCCATGGGGCATTTCAGGGGTGGGGTGCGTCATCGCTTCCCTGTGTGGATCTGAGAAGGAGAGGGGGCAGGCCAGGTGCAGAGACTGGAAACCCAGGCTTGGACTAGAAGAGTGTTCCAAGAGTAAGCAGGGAGCAGTGATCAGTAGCCGAGGTAAGGAAGGACCAGCGGAAGCACTGGAAGCCCTGATCAGCAAAGACAAGGTCTTGCTGCCCAAAGCTGAGGGCAGAGGTCACTAGCCTGCCCACAGCTGCATTCCACACTCCCAACGGTGACTGACTTCTTAACTGAAAGGACTAAATGCAGGAGCGTGAGCCATACCCACCTGAGGCAGAGAACACGAAAAATTGAGACAAAAAGATTTCAGGATAACACAGTGTTAATCAGAACCCTTTAATCCCCTCAATCTCTCAATCTGTTGCTGAAGATTTTAACCTACTGCAGGGTTCAGCTCCTGTGATGTGCGTGCTAGTGTTACTTTGTGTTTCCTAAGGAACAGGACATTCACAAATACCTTGCAGCTTCTTTTCTCTCAAATCCCACTGCATCACTCAGAGAGCTATTTACTGGAAAACAAAACCATTTAAAACATTAATATGCTATTTCAGGAATTGCCTTTTATTTAATGCTTCATGGTCCTTTGTCACTTCATCTAGTTTTAAAAACAAACATTTTAAGAAATGCATTTCAACCACAGCAAATGAGCAGGAGGCCCACAGAAAGCTATTACTGACTGCACTTAGCATCTCTGGACTTAGTTCTTCACCACGTTTCCTAAGGCCTCATCTTCCCAAGTGTGTTGGCTGGAGAAGCTATTTAAGAAGGCTCTGCCATGTCTTGATATGGAATTGAAATTTACCATTCAGAGAGGGGAGGGGTGTCCCACAATTAAATACTGTCAGGAAATGCTGCATATTAAACCTCCCTTAGAGAGTCCCAAAAGCTCTGAGAATACTGTAACAGAAACCTGCTAAACCTGATGCGTCCAAACTCATGAGACCAGGTGGCACCTACTAACATCTCAAAGAATGGGACTCCTATGGAAACGCTACCTTAGGTCAAACCTTCCCACCCCCACCCCCCACCACTCCCGTGACCATCGGCTCGCCAGTCAGTCTGAGACCCTTCTGCCATGCCTCCTCCCACACCTCGCCCCTTCCTTCCCCTCCCATCCTCCCCCAACCCGTCCACAAGCCCAACTATGACAATAATTAGATTTAGCACACAGGCAAGTGCTGGGTAGGCCCAACTTAATAAAATACAGTGTAAGTGATGTTAGTGGCAAATTTCATGATTCCAGAGACCCAGGAGAACACTGGGATGCTCACACTTTTTAATGACACACCTAGACTTTTAAAGTCACACACCTCAATGTTCTTAAGTAGCCACATCTTTTCTTACTACATCTGATGAGTAAAACATGCGCGTCCATGTCACACTGGCCAATACACATTCAAGTTACTGTTTAAAACTTTGAAATGAAATGAGAATATAAGGGGGAAAAAAAGGGAAACCACAACAGAGGGTTCCAACAATATTTATATCACATTATTTACACCTCTTATGTGTAGTTTCAAACTCTTTAGTCTATAATTAAGCAAAGTGACTAAAAACAATTCAGTTTTCAGGAACTGAAGTCGGGTTCGCTTGCACAGCCTCACCGCGGAGTCACAGAAGTGGCCTGTGGAGCTGAGAAACCCCAGGAGGGGAATCGCCCTGAACCTGCACACTCCCTCCTCACAGAGCTGTGGTGTGCTCCAGACAGGCACTGTGCAACTGTGCAAGGCCCAATCCTCCTCTTCCTCGGCTAGCCAGGGGTGGGGCGGGGGCCAGGAGGGCAGGGGCAGCGAGAGAGACTCCAGAAGAGAGCCCCAGGAACTGAGGAGGCTGCAACCTACCTATGTCAAAGTTTTAGAACATGAATTTTTCAAGTGAAAATTCTTATTTCCCCAGCCCCCCCAGTTTAAGAGCAGAAAACCACCTTATCTGAATAATAAACTACAAAAATTAGGTACATGATAGAATCGATTGGCAGAATACAATTCAAGATAGGTTATCTGTATCAAAACAGCTCATGTATCCCATAAATATATACACCTACTGTGTACCCACAAAAATTAAAAATAAAGCTTAAGTAAAAAATTTAAAAACAATAAAAAATTTTACAAAATAAAGTCAGTTATCTGACACTGGCCAATCCTCATGTATCATCTCTACGGTGAGATAAGCACGATAAGCTGCTCCCCTAGCCCTGTCTGCTCTCCGACACGGCCCAAGGTCCCCATTTGGCTTTCCCCTGTTGCCCTATCAGTTTGGTGCCTTTATTAAGAAGTTTTCCTAATATCTCCTTCTTAAATTTCCCCCAATTCCTCGCCCTCTGACCCAGAGTGCTGCTGCCGGAGGTTCTTGCAGAGTCCCCTATGCCATTGGAGGGTCCCCTCTTTAAGCTGCTGCCCCAGCTCTCCAACCCTAAGCCAGCAGAAAACTCTAAAAACTAATCCAGGAAGCTATTGCCCCGTCTTACTCTGCCCCAACCCTGGCCTCTTGGCCTCTTGTCCTGAATGGTTCCCTGTCCTGTGTTCCCAAAGGACAACCCTGCCCTGATCATCCAAGCACTTACTCAGGGTGACATCTGCCTGGTTATTTGTCTCTCTCCCTCACTACACCAAAGAAGTTCTGGGTGCAGGGCCACATCTGCTATGTTCCTATCTGCGTTCCTGGCCCGAAGCAGAGCAGCTGGGTCCAGTAAACATAGGAATCAATGAGTTGATAAAAGATGGGGCAGGAGGAAAAGACTGACACCTTACTCTAGGTCTTAAAGCCCTAGAAACAGGGTCTTAGGATCAAGTGGGAACAAAGACCTTTAGAAACAAAATGACTTCCACAGTCATAATGCTACGATTTGAATGTGTCCCCCAAAATTCATGGGTTGGAAACTTAATCTCCAATGCCACAGGGTTAGGAGGTGGGGCCTTATAAGAGGTACTTGGGTCATAAGGACGGAGCCCTCATGAATGTATTAATGTGGTGACTTCAGGAACAGGTTTGTTATCGTGAGAGTGGGTCGTTATACAGCAAGTCCTGTCCCTGGTGCCTTTCTCCTTCGCACGAGCTTGCTTGCTCTTCCCACCACGTCATGACACAGCAAGAAAGCCCTCGCCAGATGCCAGTACCATGTTCTTGGCCTTTTCAGCCTCCAGAACTGTGAAAAATACATTTCCTTATAAATCACCCAGTCTATGGTAACTACCCAGTCTTTCTGTTATAACAACAGAAAGCTAAGACACAAAATATGCTACTAGAGGGAGAAGACAGCACTGGGAATCCTAATTTCTTTGGATATGTGAAATTCCATTTACAATTTTAAAAAGGAAACACCTGAGAGGACTACTACCTGTGAGGAAAGACAATTCAGATTTTCAGGTAATTAAGGGCTCACACATCCCATAATGAATATATTAGAAATACTTTCCATGTGTTTTTTTTTTTTTTTTTCAGTATGGTACAACTGACCACCAACCAGTTAAATGTGCTCTAGGGGCTCCAGGCATAAACTCAACTGCCAAACAAATACAGTTTTCAACAGGAGATCCCAATTTACCAAGAGAGTGTTTTTTAAAAAAAACAAGTTAAAGATGAACACAACTCCGCACACTTGTAGCACATTCAGTAGACTGTTACCCAACACTTATATGCACTCAAAGATGGCTGCAGAAAGTCAGAGACTAAGAATGTGCCTGCCGCTCAGTCACCAGCCATGCCAACAGACCAGTTTTAATTTCCCAAATAGAAGATGAGGGCAGAAACCTGATTAAAACAAACAAAAAGTAATACCAAACTTGGTACATTACTAAACCAAGAGCTGAAGCTAGAATTCATTTGGTGACCTTGAGTTTATGACCTCCTGGCAGCAAGTGAAAGTTCATTGTTTATATGGCTGCCTCACATTAAAGTGGCTGCTGCTCATTCACACAGTCTCCAAAAGAAAGGGCAAGGGCAAGGACTGCGGACAGCTTCACGTTCCCCTTGGAAAGTCAGCACGCCAGTGGGAGACGTGGAAAGGAGAAGCACATGTAAGAACCAGGAATGACCTTTCTAATACAGCCACACTAGGCAGAGCCTTACAAGGGCACTGCTTCCAAGTGTGACTGTGAGCTTAAAATATCCTTAGAAGTCATAAAGATAATCTTAAAGGGTAGAAATAAGAGACAGAAAAAAGGTTAACATTGAAGATTTTTCCTTTTTTAAAACTGCACTAACTGTCATAAAGGAAATGTTCAGAGATGTGACTGCCCCCAGGAACATGCCACGACTCCCACTGACCACAGCAACCAGCCAGAACCACTGCAGCTGCCCTGCACAGTCCAGCGTCTGTTGACAGAAGCCACCCACGCAGAATCTGCCTCCACCTCCTACACCTGCGATGGCCAAACACTCTCTCCTCATTACTGTCCCAGAGGGAGATGTGAAGTCTATGGAGAAGACAGAAAGATCACATTTGGGTTAAAATCGACTTCTCCCAGCAGCCATTCCTCAGCTTCCAAAGATATTTTTACTTTTAAACAGTAAAAGTGAAAGTTCATTCCTAGTTGATTTTCCCAAGCACACAAATGAAAATTTCTCTTCTCTCAACCCTGCAGCCTAACTTAACTGAAGACAAAAAAAAAACAAACTTTAAAACAACAAACACACACTTGTTCTGATATATCCATCCCTTTAATAATAAGAGAACAGAGCAGGAGAAAGTAGAGCTTCTGTCAACAACAGTCAAGCCTGTGCAAGGTTGCAATCCATTTTCCAGTCTGTAGCTTTGCTCTGGGAAAATGCAGATTTCTGGTCCACCATGCCTCTTCCCTGGGTCAGGATCTGGAATAATACCTTCTAGAAAAGTCAGAGCTTAGTCTCTCAAACACTAGCACGAGACTCAGGTCGTGGTGACCACCACAGTGGTTAACAGCAATCCCGCTGACAGTTTCTCCTTTAATGCAAGAAGGGAAATAGACTCTTTCAACTTGTCCCCAAATGACAACAGTGGTTCATGGTGAGAATGAAGCCTACTGTGTGGTGAGGGGCAGACACAAAGCTGTGGAGTCGTCGGTGACTATCTACACAGCACTATCTCAGGGGAACTCCCTGTCCTCAACCAGGAGGAAGCTGCTAGAGCTTGCTTTCTCTCCATTCATTTCTAAGCCCAGGAGAGGAAGGGCTATTTTTCACCTGAGGTCGCTGATCCCTACCCTTGGCTGGAAGCAGAGAAACAACAGCCTCCAGTACTCCATCCACATGTGCACAAGGTGTGGATGGAGGCAGGTTCGGGCTGATGAGGAAGGTGCACGTCTGTCTGGGCGACGCTGACAGAGCAGCTTACCTCCGTGGGAGTCTGTCGATGTCAGGGTCATGTGCCCACTGTCCACTGGGCTGCCATCCCTTTGAGGAGAGGGAGACACTGATGGGAACCAAAGGATCTTCTAAAGGCAAGTTCTTACCGCAAGCTGGCCCCAAGGTCCCTGTAATCAAAGAAATCATTGTGGTTTTGCATTTGGCATATTTATGCCCCCTTTCTTCTAGGGACAAGTCTGTCAGCCTCTGAACGGGATCTCAACTTTCAAAAGGAAAAGTGTCCGGAAACACAGATCCACCAAGGTATAAAGGAGACGAGAGAAAGGCTTCATGCCACACCTCAGTGTAGACAGCAAACATAATAGCAATTCATTCTCAAAAAAGAGCTGTAGATCCACTGCTACTTTTAACGAACCAATGTTTTCCACTAAACATTTCAACTTAAGCCAACTCCACCTCATCACACTTGTTGGAAATATATGATCAATAATGACTCCAAAATTCATGTACTATACTACACCAGCCTTGGCTGGAAGCCAACAGCAGAAGCATGTATGTAAATGAAGACTGCAGATGATTAGCTTCTGTAAGCCCTGGTCTATAATCAACCTTGTCATTGACCTATCTCCACTGATTCCATTTACAATGACAGGGAAGAGTCATTAGACCCAATTGAAGCATATAATCGAAAGCCAATCTCATACCAAGCCAACCAAAAATAATCAAAATTCTGTAAACTAACTTGAGTACCTAATCTAGTGCAACAATGATTGGTCTCTTAACAGGTTATGTAAATTTCTTTCAGCAATTCCATCTGCAGTGACCAACAGCCACCCAATGTCAAAACATCAACACTTTCTAACTAACTGCACAGCTAGCAAAAGTATTTATGTATGTTCTATTATATATCAACACATCATTTCCTTGAAAAAATCTGCTTTTCCCGGGACAAAGAAATGCCTGCAGATACTTGATCCTTGTCACTACAGAAATGTGAATAATGGAAATCAGAATACTGTTAACAGTTATCTGTATATCAAACATACAAAGAAAGGAAGACAAAAAAATCTTTTCATGAAGAGTTTTCTGTATCTCTGTTTTAAAAGTTTGATTCAAATATATGTTTTAGATAGCCAATCAAAAAAGGAGAAAAAGCTTACCTACAAATTAATTTACTTCTCTAAAGATGAACTGCCACAGACAAAAGGACTCGCCAAAACACCAATTAAGTTTTACGTCTAGTAGCTTTTCAAAAGGCAAAAATCTAAACCAGTCACCACTCCAGAAACGACTAGGAACTAACTCCAAACACATCAGTCAATTCTCTAGAGCCCGACGGGTCTGAACTGTCAGACAAAAAGAGCAACGTTCTCACGGACCCTGTGCTAGGATGCAAAGGTGACAAGGAAATAAAATACAGGTCGTCAGGAAGGATACAGCTTTTCAGACAGCTGGATTCCTAATAACTGGAACGGCTGCAATGAGAACAAATGGAATCACCGCCCAGATTCATAGGCAACCGTGAACATCCACAGGTGAGGAACACAGCAGTGCTAACGAAGGAAGGTGCAGGACCACAAAACCAAAACGAGGCTCCTGGCAGCAGCTGATGCGAGCACAGGAGGGGAGGACAAGGACTGCCCTGCCGAGCTCACAGGGCAATGTCTCCCGTAGCCGAAGCAGCTCCTCCGTTATCAATCACACAGTGCAATTTCCCACTCAAACACAAAGGACAGACTTGTGGACCCTGGCTAAGCTTCCGGATCTATGTCAAAGTGGGGCACAGCTACCGGCACCAATTCAAATTCAATCATTTAATACATATGAGTACAGAGGTGAGCATCGGCGAAGCACTAAAAATGCACTAAAACCACGGACACGTGTTAGGCAAGAATTTCTCCTGCTGAACTACCCAATAAATACGGTGGCCGTGAGTAAGAATTCAATGCTAGGACAAATACAGTCTTTTGAAGATGTGACCTAATACTCTCAGATTCCAGGCAAGTGTGAAACGGTGACCCTGGGCCAGGAGCCCGCAGGCCCGTCTTGCTAATTTGCTCAGGCTTTCAGGGGAACCTCACTGGACACATGCAAAGGGCGTGCTGACCTGTGAGCAGAGGCCTGAGTGCAAAGGACGGTGCTGGCCGACACTAGGCCTCTGTAAATGTGCAGCTGGGCGGGAGAGCCAGCGAGGATGCCTCCAGCAAGGCAGTGCCACTGTGTCTGCTCCACCCGATTCTCCCTCCTCAACTTTGTAAAATGGCTGAACTATTGAATAAATATCTGAAATACCCTCTGTAGAAGGAGAACACACCACTGGAGAGAGGGAATCCGGTAAGAAAATGGGGGAGAAGTACTTAAGAGGACAACCGTCAGGTGCAGGGAAGCTAACGGTAGACCAGGAATGAGGAAACTCTGGCCCTAAATCCCAGCTCAACAGCCAAAGGGCTGCAAAAGCTTTGAAAGCCTGAGCAAATTAGCAAGACAGGCCTGCGGGCTCCTGGCACAGGGCCAACGCTTCACACTTGCCTGGAATCTGAGTATTTGTCCTAGTGTTGATAGTAGAAGAAAAGGAAATCACTCAGCTTCTCTGGGCCATGGTTTTCTAGCCTAGAGAAAGAAAGATAAGGGCTAGCCACCTCTGAAGGCCTTTCCAGCTCTAATTATCTTTGGCTCTGATTTCTCTGACTTTACACAAGGAATACCGTATCTTAGGGCCAGCTGAGCCAAATCAATTACAGACTGCAAATAACTTAAAAGACAAGTATGCCCAGTGTCTGCAGATGAGGAAACAGAGCCCAAAATTAGACTACCACACTCCCTGGCTTCATTCCCAGCCAGGACGGGATATCCTGAGGCAGGTCTCCAGGTCTCCAGATCTCCAGAGCACAGAGTCAGGAAGGCGGGAGACAAACAGAAATGTGATGGTAAAGGCAGCCTCCCCTCTAACTAGGTCTTGTCTCTAGCTTCTTTTATGACACTTCCCAAAAGCCCATTGCAGATCTCTTCCCCCAACCCTAAAACCTCTATTCCACCAAGTCAAGCTCAAGTGGTGTTATCCCATAAACCCACATGGCCCAAAATGCAACAGGGAAAGTACCAAAGGAGAATTCAAACACCAATGCATAACAAGTGTTTGACATTACAATAAACTCAAAAATATAAAGAAACACGTAGCCTGCAATGACGGTCCCAGCTACCCAGAATTCTTCCTGCTCCCCACCGCTTCTTGCTACTTCAAATACTAAAATATGAAAGGCTAATTATAAAGCTAATAGAAGAAAAAAAATAAATATATTTGTAACCTATGAGAAGCTGATGTATTTCGTATACAGGATCCCAAAAGCAGAAATCATATAAGGTGAAAAACTGATGGATTAACTACATTAAAATCAAGGATTTTTTTCCCCAACAGAGGACGCTTCAAAGTTAAAACTAGTGTGATAAAGTCAGAGAACACACCTGTGGTATCAAAAACCAACACTAAGAGACAAGAAACATAGTAGGAAATTTCACAGAAGAATGTATGTTAATAAACAGCAAGAGTATTTGCCTACAAGTAAACCACTAGCCTTTCAGGGTCAGCAGAAAAGAATGCCAATTTAAATGCAACTTACACCACAAGCCCCACTGGAGAGCAGAAATGCTACTTAGAATTTCTGTTGGGACAGAAGATGAGATCTTTCTTGGTAAACTTATTGCTATTGTCCGGGAAAGTGAGGGTGGGAGGAACAGGGGGTATTTTAAAGGGGCCAGGGGCATGTCTGTGTACACAGTGTCTGGTTCCATGCCATACGAGCTATGGCAGAGAGAAAAAGCACTTTCCCCTAACTCTCAGAAAAGGTGGTCTTAAATCAGAATGAGTTAACTTTGTAACATACCACAAACTAACCTTCAGGGCCACGCCTCATATTTTATTCCCATGAAGCTCCCACTTAAAACAATTCACACCTTCTCTGCTTTGAAGTCCATTCTTCAGCTTTGCCAATTTCAAAGCTGTTTCATCAGTTCTCAAAGGGATGGTCAAGCTTGAGGAATGTGACTAGCGCTGGTGAGACTCACAAGAGCTCCTGTTCACAGACTAGAAATAATTTGTAATGAATTAATTTGTAATGTGGCTACCAGGCCAAAACATATAGTTTTGGGCACCCTTTTTTAGTTTCACAATACTTCATAAGCCTAATTATCAGACAATTATTTCCTGACTAGAAAATTGAAAGGGAATTTGATAATCACATGTAATAAACACATTAAACTATAGAAAACTTCCTAGGAGATATGAATTCAACAGAATAATCCTAATGGTTAAGAACATACATAGATGCTCAAAGTTATGATTAATAGAAATGGAAATAAACATAAAATACTGTTATAGCTAAGAGATTGGTGAAAGAAAGTTTTATAGTATCAATGTTGCCAAGAACGTAGACAAACCATGCTCAACACAATTAGCCATGATTAGTCATGAGGGAAATGCATGTGAAAACCATGAGATACTGCTTAACACAATTTTAAAAAAACAAACAAGGGGAAATTGAAACCTTCATTCACTACCATGAGAACATAAGCCACTACTGAAAACAGTCTCAACAGTTCCTCAAAAACAAAAAAAAAAACCAGTTCCTCAAAAGGTTAAACATAAAATTTGTATATTACAGTAAACTCTTCAAATTTTATGTTGCCTTGGCATCCATTTTGAATACAAGTTTAACTTTCTCATACCAGAAGCAGGGCTTAGTCACCCTTGACACGGTCTCCAGTTCTAGACCACACCCAAAAGGCCCAGCTCGCTGGCCAAGATAAGAACTTAGAGGCATCTCCTACACCCAGCAGACTGAGCTCCCCATGTTCCATCTGCTTCCTTTAAACAGAACACTCAGGCCTGCCCGAGAACTTACAGAGCCCCACGCCCTGTTCCCTCTTATATAATGTATACTGCCAGTTGTGCACACTCTCTCTGTCGCTCTCTCTCTCTGCCTGACTCTTCATTCTTGCCTTGTGTAACCCAGGACAGAGGACTGCCTCCTGCCCAGGATATGTAAGTAATAAGTCTTTGAACTTGGATTTGACCACGACATATTATATGTAATATCAAAATATCACATGTACCTCAGATATCTGTACAATCATTATGTAGCCATTTTTCAAAAGCATCTTCTAAAATATATGTTTGAACTTGCTTCCTGTTGTGATGGTGTACGGACTCTGTACCCTCCATCCGAAGAACCAACCACATTACCCCAGGACGTGTGGGAGCAAACAAGGTTGGACTCCCAGCACCAGAATGATGGCCAGGTAGTCAGACAAGACCCACAGGGGTGTCCGTCAGTATAAACAAGTTTCCCGAGTCGGGGCTCAGACCATTATGCGTGAGCCCATCCACCAGGTAAAAGAAGCATCCTGTGAAAGGCACACGGTCATCACCCACATCCAGCTGCCTTTCAGTTCCCCTTAGGGAAGGGTCGCTAGCTACTCTGATACTGGAACCCAATTCAGATGGGGGCTCCCAAAACACATTTGACCCAATAACCCCACTCCCAAGTAATACATCCAAAAGAAAGGAAAACATATCCACACAAAAACTTGTACACGAATGTTCATGGGAACAGTATTCACAACAGCCAAAAAATAAAAACCCAAATATCCACCAACTGATAAATAGATAACAAAGTGTGGTCTATCCACAGAATGGAACATTATTCAGCAATAAAAAGAGCTATTGACACATGCTGCAACAGAGCCCTTGAAAACATGCCGCGTGAAACAAACCAGACACAACAGGACACATGTTCTATAATTACACTTATATGAGGTGTCCAGAATACGCAAATCTATAGAGACAGAAAGGAGACTCGGGAATCTGGGAAGAAATGGGAAGTGAATGATGATGGGTAGAGTATCTTTCGAGGGGATGAAATGTTCTAAAATTGTGGTGATGGCTGCACCGCTCTGTGATATACCAGAAACTCTTGAATTGTATATTTTAAGTGGGTGAATTGTAGATCGGTAAAGGTTTTTATTTTTTTACTTAAACACAGAAACAAAAACCCACAGCTAAACCAGGCATTTAGCTGGTAAGGCTATTCCGAACAACCACACGGTAGTATTTTTTCCTTACTAATAAAAGAGATAGACAGTGTCTCACTCTGTTACCCAGGCTGGGGTACAATGGCACAATCATAGCTCACTGCAGCCTCGAACACCTGGGCTCAAGTGATCCTCCCACCTCGGCTTTCCAAAGTGTTGGAATTACAGGGTGAGCCACTGTGCCCGGCCCCATATTCCCACATGGTAGCATTTACCTAAAATGAATATCCTACTCCAAACTCTAGAGTACTGACGGGAAATAGTAAGCGTCTTAGGACAAGATACTCAAAAATCATAAGTCATTAGGGAAATGCAAATTAAAACTACAATGAAATACCATTCCACACCTACTAAAATGGCAAACATGAAAATTACTGACAGTACCCCAAATGCTGGTGGGGATGCAAAATTATACAGGCACTCTGGAAAATTAAACAGACATTAAATAGAAATTAAATACCTATCCTACTCATAAGTATTTGCTCTAGAAAAATGAAAAACTTATGTTCATACCAAAAAAGTGCATCAATATTCATAGCAACACTGTTCATAATCACCAAATTCTGGAAACACCCACATGTCCTTCGATAGGTAAACCTGGTTATACACACCCTGGTGCCCTACTTAACAGTAAAAAGGAACAAACAAGTGACACATGCATGAACACGGAAGGATTCCTCAGGCATGACAATAACTGAAAAACGCCACTAACAAAAGCCACTAACAACAGATGTGTGATTCCATCTACGGTGCTCCGGAAAAGCCAAAATGCTAAGGACTGATCAGTGACTGCCATGGGCGGGGGATGGTTCAGGAATTCTTTGGAACGTTGGCATTGTTCTGGTCCCATGTGTGGTGGTACTTATAAGAATCTATACATATGTTACAACACATAGGACTATACATCCAAGAGTGAGTTTTACAGTAATTTTTTTTTTTTTTTTTGAGACAGAGTCTCGCTGTGTCACCCAGGCTGGAGTGCAGTGGTGTGATCTCAGCCTCCCAGGTTCAAGCGATTCTCGTGCCTCGGCCTCCCAATTAGCTGTGACTACAGGTGCGTGCCACCATGCCTGGCTAATTATTTTTGTATTTTTAGTAGAGACAGGGTTTCCCCATGTTGGCCAGGCTGGTTTCGAACTTCTGACCTCAAGTGATCCAATCGCCTCAGCCTCACAAAGTGCTGGGATTACAGGCGTGAGCCACTGTGCCCAGCCTACAGTACATAAATTTTTAAAAATGTTATGGGGAAAAACAAACCCATACATACACCATACACAAAACCATGTTTTCTCTATTGAAGACACACAGATTAAAACAGAAAAGGATCTTACATAGGTCGATGATGATGGTGCCATGAACTGCAAAATATGAAAAACTCAACTCTTACCTGAGGTCCATAAATAGAACAGAGAGAAAGAAATGCAACCAGAAAATGAGCAGCAATTGACTTAGAGCGAAACAGGTCATTTTATTGGCTAGAAAGGAGTCCAAAGCTCAAAGAGGCTACTGGGAAGAGCCCTGCTTTAGCACTAAAAATACACATCATGTCTACCGAGAAACAAAAACAAAACAAAAACCCTAAACACACACAAAGTAAGTTTTTTTTTTTTTTTTTTAAAAAGGGAAAGCAAGGTACCAGCCCCTAACTTGCTTTCTCCTTCATTAACACTACTCTAATGAACAAGGTCAAAATATAAAGCCAGATAATTCTGACATTGGTCATTATCAGTTTGCTACAAAACATGCAAAAAACATGGGCAGGTGAGGACCTCCAGTCACACAGCCCCATTCCGGATGTAAATAATGTCTCAGGGAATATTAACTTTTGTAGAAAGAGTACAAGTGTCCAAGGGAGAGTCACAAACGTCCCATTAAGACTCCACTCAGTGAGGGAGGGGCTCCCTCTCATCTGTGGTGTCTTCTGCTCAACTGTGGAAAGCAGGGTTTATAAGGAACACCAGACTTACCGGGGTCACTGCCAACACTTATGTAATCAGTCCCTGCTGCGAACCGGCTTCTGCAGCCCATCGGGGTCCACTTGCTGCCCTCTCTTACCTCAGAACAAAAGTAACCCAGAAAAGCATCTCTGAGTTATCCGCCTTCCCAGGCGCTGTGTGAGCATTCACAGCCTCGAGAACAGAGGCTGGCCAGCCCACGCAGGGTGGACACACTGCCCCGAGTATGGACACGCCCTTCTCATGATGCTGGCAAAGCCTGCACTGGGTCCTGCCACGGACATCATGGTGGGCACAGCCATGGGCTCCGAGACCCTCCATCCAAAATGCCCTTTGGGATATTCCAAGAGTCCCAAATGTCAGCCCTAGAAACACCATTACTTAAACCTATTTTCTGGGACAAAAGGTTCATTCCACGCAGCAGTTTTTCAACAGTGGCACTGTGGACATTCGGGCTGGGTGAGTCCCTGTGTGGAGCCATCCTGTGGACGTGATAAGCATCCCTGGCCTCCACCCACACCCCCAAGTAGTGGCAGCCGAAACATCTGCAGACACTGTCACCTGTGCCTTCAGTGAGGAAAGGTCCATATGGGGCAGTGGCAGGAGGAACAGAGAGGTACACAGTGCCAGATCTAGGTGGCTCGGTTCTCTTCTCTGTTAAGATCACAGAAGCCCTTCAGACTGCACAAGAGTTTCTCCATATGGTGGAGTCTCAACTTTCTTCTGGGCCCTTTCAATTTCATTTGTTATCTAATTCAAATAAACTGCAAATCATCTCTCCATATGTACTAAAATAGTATCTCATTTTCACCATCTCAATGAAAGCGCGGCTGGGACTCTGCCTTTGAAGGAGCAAAGACATGAATGAGAAAGACACTGTGTGCTTTGATGAGAATTTCTGAGGCATAGGAGAGTTCACCCACACCAAGCATATATCTGAACTAAAATGCTTTCAGAAACTAACATAATAACCCATCTGAATTCCTAAGTATGCCTGAAGCCAAGGGCCAATACAAGAGCATGATTTGCTATGAACTAGCTTAAAGAAAGGTGTGAGTAAAGATAAAATTCACAGGTGTCCTAACAGGATACATTCATCATCATGTAGCTAGACTGGTATTTCTTCTCTGCAATGTGAAGTTATCATACAATATGGGCAAGGCTGAGAATCACGGTGTTTTTCTGCAGATAGGCATAGTAAGTAGGCTGATTATTTTCTATTGTCCAAACTAGGGTGCATCTGAAAGTCAATAGGCCAGTTATTAGTTATGCGGGGGAGAAGCATCCAAGACTGCAGATGGACACTGACCTGCACAGCAGCCTCGTTCATGGAGACGCTGGCCACTTCTATCAGTATTTTTTACTCTTTTCCCCAAGGATAAAATGACTGGTTTTTCTGTTTCATCAGAAACTATTTCCCCTTTGGGGACCACAGAAAAAACAATAGAAGTCCCAAGAATATAACTTGGAAAGATGACTGTGAAGTGAGATTATGAACCTGTAACTACCCACAATCAATCCTTTCCCAGAATAACCTGTACTTTCATAGAGTACTTAGTTTTCTAAAACTCACCAAGGGACTTTCCCATATTAGTCTTCTGGTGAATCTGATGGGTCAAACTACTCAGAAAAGTTTTTAGGAACTGATGAAAACTTGTAAGTCAGGGATCTGAATCCGCAATGAGACAACAGGGCATGTTTCTTTAATAATGACACTACAACAAAAACTACTATGGCAAGGAAGAAATTTGAAAAGCACAGCTTTTAAGACCTCGCACCTGATTTGCTTTGGTTAAACTGGCTTGATGTTTGAGAGGAATAAATAATTTATCATAAAAGAAAATGATAAACCTTATTTTTAGCATGCTAACAATCTATTTTAAGACTTGTGAATTTTGAGTCTGTTTGGCGCAGATAACTTAAAATTTTTTTAATAAGGGAAAATCATCATTTACTAAAAATCTACTACATGCCAGCACTTTACATACATGATCTCATCTTTATAGTAATCATGGAAGTATATCTGCGTTTCCTCAAGAAAATCAGCAGCCCAAACAGCGACCAGTTGAGTACCTGTACTAGAATCTGAGACTAAAATCTTGGCTATAACTAAAAGTGAATCTCAATATGGACACTCTGATAGAATAGCAAGCTCCTCAAAACAAACCCCCTGAAAAAAAAAAAAAAAAGATTTGTAAGTGCTGAAGGGAATGCACATTTGCAAATGGTGCACAGAGAAAAAACAGGTCAGCATCCCGTACTACACCATCCTGTTCTCGTTACAATTATATGTCTTCACTGCCTAATTAAAATACAAAACCAAAAAATTCTCTCTCCCCTCCTGCACACTACCCCATATCCCCTACCCAACCCCACACACAGGCAGTTTCATTTTGACTTCGTGGATGGTACCTCAGTGGCAGAAAACTCCAGGGGTATAATGGCTGGGACATGGAGGATTCTGGTTAAGTATCCTAGCTGGTTTAATTTCCCAAAAAGTAAACACTGAAACTACAACGGGTGAAGTTTTTTCCATGGTCTGTGATCATCCTCAAGACCTTTCCAGGCCTCAGATCCATAAATATTGGGGGGGTGGGGGGATTCACTGTTGTATTGTTCCTTCTCCTCCCTAAATTCTAGCCCTTGTTTTCAATCTTTAGGGGAAAAAAAATGCTACAAAGCAATTTTGTGACTTCATCACTGCTACTGTCAAAATTAACACCACTCACCAGATCCTTAGTAACATTCAGAATATTTAGACCACTTCTCTATTGTTTTAAATCCTTTTTTCTAGACTAAAAGAATGAACCAAAACATAATTATGAGACCTGTGAATGCTAGCTACCCCAACAATGAAGAAACCCATTTCTGGTAATCTCTTCTTTGTCCTGGCCTGCTATATAAAAGTCCCTTAACACAGGGTGAAATCCTAAGGCCCTCTCTCCAATCACCCTTAAAGAACTAAGAACAGTAGCTCTGAACGCTACAGGGAGTGTTTTAAAATGACAGTGAAAACCACATAGAGCACTATTTCCAGCTCTGTGCCAAAGACCCATTTGTCTTACAAATCCATTTAATCTGTATCCTCCTTGACATTAGGACCACACTTTCTAAACCTACCAAGATGATGGAAGAATGGCCTCTGACTCAGGAGGGTCCCCTTCTGGGCCAAAGAATTTCATGACACTCCATTACACAAGAATGGGCAGACAGAATTACAGGTCTGGATTCTTCTCCTGCTCAATTATAATAGTTAATTATTGTTTTAGAAGAGCAGTTCATGATGTATGTAGCCAAATAAGACAATTGTCCTTCACATGGCTTTAAAATCCGGGCCAACTTTCCACAATGGCCACGTTCTTCCAGGCATTCTTGTGGCAGATACTCCCTAAAGGACAATCTGCTTAGTAAAATACAGAGAGCGCACTGGATAAAGTATCAACACTTTTCAACCTGCCTGGAGGCCATCAGCACCTGAAGACCACTCCCTGAGCTATTCCACTTCCTACAGAGATGAAGTGACTTTGAAAAGGCCAGCCTACTGTGCACACAGCCTGTGTCCTCTTCCCACGAAGCACACTATTCAATGACATTTCTTAGCCTCTCCTGGGTCAGGTGTGGGTCATGTGGCTGAGTTCTGACCAGGAGAACATGAACAGAAACAATGTGCCCTACGTCCAGGCCTGGGCACATAAAAACTTCCCACACGTGAGCCTCCATTTCTCCCCCAACGCTGACTTATGGCAGCTGAGCACAGCCACTTGTCAAGATGAAGGAACAATAAGATAAAAGGAACTCAGGTTCCTGAATCAGTGTCTGAAGGAAAACAGCCCACGGATCAGGGCAACCAGTGAGGAAGAGATACATTTCTAACATGTATGAGTCGTTACACATTTAAGGAGTTTACTACGGCAGTTGACGTTACAATAACTAAACAAAATACCGGGGCAACCTTAGATCAAGGTTAGGCTGATCTGAAACCTAACGTTCTAGCATTAGCAGCTCAGGCAAGAACAGGACCTGTTTGGATGGAATCTCTAGATACATGCAGATATGTACTGTGGCCGCTATATTTGGCCACAATAAAGCAGCCCATTCCAGCATGCAGTAAAGATCGTGCTAAGGAGCTGAGGTTGAACAAGATGTTTTGAACCACTGATCCTTAATTTCCATAGTTAAATATTAGCTGGTATAAATCACCAAATATTTGTCAGGATCCTCCACACTTCCTTTGCCAAAACCATCATAATAATTCATATTAAAATACAACATCAGCAAACCACACGAAATCCAACTCTGAATTTACTAGAACACTACTGCTGAAGTAATTTCACAGGGAATAGTACGCAGTACAGTGGACAGAATCCAAACTGAGTTTCTTTAGCTGTTTGTTTTCAATCGAAATTTAACATCGAGGCCAGGCACAGTGGCTCATGCCTATAATCCCAGCACTTTGGCAGGCTGAGGCAGGTGGATCACCTGAGGTCAGAAGTTCGAGACCAGCCTGGACAACATGGTGAAACCCCATCTCTACTAAAAATACAAAAATTAGCCGGGCACGGTGGTTGGTGAGCGACTGTAATCCCAGCTACTCAGGAGGCTGAGGCAGGAAAATCGCTTGAACCCGGGAGGCGGAGGGGGCAGTGAACTGAGATCGCCCCACTACACTCCAGTCTGGGTTACACAGCACGACTCCATCTCATTAAAAAAAAGAAATTTAACATCAAGATGCTGGCATTCCCCCACGGAAGTCACATGTGTAGTGCTTTCGTTTTTGCTGTGTCAAGACCCAAACTGGGTGCACCACACAGCAACATTTGCTCTTCTTGTTGGCATTCTTCCTCCATTCTTTAACCCTGGTTTCCTTGGTTTGACCTCAATGGATACCTTAACTGCAAACTACCTTCATTGCATATTCATTGCAGGGTAATTTAAGAGATGAGGTATGAATAAATGCTACCAAGGAAGGAAAATACGCATTAAGTACCTACTACATGTCAAGTACTTTCACATACTTAATTCCATTTAATCTTTGTAACATATGATATATACCATAATTTTCCATTTTGCAAATGAGAAAGTGGAGAAGTTATAAAAAATAATGAAAACTCACTCAAGGCCACACATCAAAGTAAATGACAAGATTCAAGTCCTGTGACACCTGACTCCAAAACTCACTCTTTCCATTTCAAAATGCTACATTTGACCTATGACACACTGCTGTCCTTTACACAAGGGATAAAAAAGGGATCACTGCTCAATTTTGATTTCCTTTAAATATCCATTTTAGTTAATCAATGGTTCTCAAAATGTCCATCCTCTGACTTACACCTTACTGTATTTCTACAAAAGCAAAACCTACACGCTCCCTTCTCACATCAGAGCAGCTTACAAGTTGTAACTTAGAGACTTTAGAGGGTAAGGCCAGGGGAGGAAGAGGCCTGGCCCAAATTATCCAGGTTTATCGCTGCCTCCCCTGGAAAATCATCATTTCTTTCTTCATAGTTCTGTATTCCACAATAATTATTTCAGAGCGTTTTTTTCCCCACCAATTCTTATGATTTCTAAAACCCCATTTTAAAGGTTACAACATTTTTAAGTTCAGTGAAACAGGTATATTTTGAGGAACTTGAAACACAAGAACGGTCATAAGCCTTCTTAGTGTTGTAACAGGATTGTTCTACGATGTCTAAAATGGTAAAATGGTTCCATGCAGGATCAGAAAAACATTTTTAATACTATTCTTTCCCACTTAAAGAACAGAGTGGCAGTGCAGGACAATTTTTGTGTCATATTATTATAACTACCGTTTTATTTAAGTAATTACCAATTTGCCTAGCATTCTTAAAAGTCAAGCGTAGATAAGCTAGCTAACTAACCAACATTATCAATTCTCATCAGCAGTTTTTAACAGCATTAAATTAAACCACAGCTGGTAAGTGAGAATATCAAAAGATTAACATTCTTAAGTTGGTATGAGTTTTTAATACTAATCATAAGCAGTCCTAAAATTAGGTGAATAACTGTTATAATAACTTAATAAGAAACAGTTTTAATGACAAAGTCCCACCAGAAATACTCTTCCTTATTCAAAAGAGAATTAGAACATCAAACACTTTCACCACAAATATTTCTATAGGAGACATTTGAGATGATGGAACTATCAAAGCCAGGTTCTTTTGATCACGAAGGTCAAAACATCTCTCCTTGCTCTGAAACCTGCTGTGCTTTGTCCTATCAGAGTCCTTCCCATTCCCTGCTGGCACCTCAGCCAAGTGCTGCAGAACGGAGAAGCACGTTATTTTAAGCCTTACCTTCAGATAGGATCCATAATATTTGGTTACATATGGACTGTCACACTGACTCAGCACTGTGATTTCTTGTTGAATGTCCTCTATCTCATCTTCAGCTTCTTCCAGATCAATGATCTTTATGGCAACCACTTTCTGAGTCCGATTGTCAATGCCTTTGAACACCTCTCCAAAGGAGCCCTTCCCAATTTTCTCTAGTTTTGTAAAAAGCTCTTCTGGGTCTGCCTTTAGGTTCTGTAGAGAGAAGGAAGAGAAAAGGGAAACTTTAGTCCCTCATAGCACCACAACTCCTTTGTCAATTTTATGTGTAATGTTATAGACCACACTGTCTTCCAGGGACTCATCTATTTTCTGTGTCCAGCATCAGGCTGGTGGTGACCACAGCTCTGCAGGTTCAGGACATAAGATTCCTAGGTCTCACCTACACATGCGCATCAGACTATGAAAGGCAGCAAGCGTACAATAAGAACAATCACCCAGCTAGATTAGAAAACATGGAAAAAATGCCAACTTTTGTATAATGAGGGTAAATTAAAATCTAAGCACTTATTGGAATGTTAGGATACACAGACTTATCGAAAAATCACTTTTGTCTAAGCAAAAATTCACTTTTCTCCATACCCAATCCCCAAAAGTTCCTGAATTCAAATGAATTTTTACTAAAATGTTAACCAGCTATATCACAGAACAGAAAAAAAAACGTATACCGTAACTATGCATCTTCATGAATAGTACTGCCTTCACCAAAACAATAACAATCTAACCAGATTCCAGAAAACAATAAGCAGCCTGTTTTGTCACATACATGCTGTACCCTGGAAATAGCCTCTAAAAGCTCTTAACCACCTGATTAGTTACACATACATATATAGTATACATTTCTAAGAAGGCTAGCTGTCAGAGCTCAAGCTCTCATCCTAACAGCTACACAGTACAGAGTCGTGTGAACAGCTGAGTTCTCAAAGGGGGCAGTAACCTGTCATCCACAGGGCCTGTTTGTCAGGAAACTGAGAAGCAATCCCGATGTTTAGCAAGGCAAGACAGGGACGCTGCATATCTCCCCACAAATAACTGCCCAGCTCAAAATGCCAATGGCACCCCGGTGACAAGCACTAGCCTGGAACCCCACAGAGCAAGGAAGGACTCTAAGAGACACCACTGCTGCAGACACATCTTCCCTCAGAAATGGTCCATAGAAGGAACAGAACGCCAGGCCAACCCTCCAAATCTATGAGTCCTTTGAAGAAGCTGAACTACTAGGAAAAGGAACAAGCACAGGGAGGAGAGGGAGGCCTGAAAAGGAGGTAAAGAAAGAGAATGAGGAGAAGAAAGATGACACAGAAGAGGGTATCCAGAGTGGTGCATGTGAGGTGGGTCACACACACAACACTGCAGCAACGGCGGTGCCTCATGAGTGACGTGAGCCTCAGGGCCCATCAGGGGCCACCCAGCCACAGCTCTCCAAGGTGAGACACACTGAGTTCCGAGCAGCTGCTCTCCAAGAGAACTGTTGAAAGCCAGTCAGCCCATTTCTGGTTTGCAGGCCTTACAGTGCTACAGCGTGTCCACCATGGCAACAACGCACATATCGCCACAATGACACACGAGCAGATAGCCACAGTGACCTCCTGCACACAGGGGCGCAGAGCCCCTGCCCCATGTTTGTTTGAGGCTGCACATCAAACAATGCAAAAGCTCACAAAACCCACCAACCATCTTAGTACAAAATGAACCAAGGCTTGCGTGGTGGACATATACCCAACGGGAAATGCGTCCTGGGGTTACCAAGAGAGCAGGACAGGCCAGAGGCCAGACACTGAGTGCTCAGCCCACACCGGAAGGTCATGGCCAGCGTAATCCGAGGTCTAACGAGCGGCCAGGGATTACAAGGACTACAGTTTTAGCCATGATCCCCCTTGGCTCCTAAAACGCTACACAAACATCCACTGTGTTAAAAATCAACCTATCTATCCAACTTCCACTTAAAGTACTGCACTAAACATATCAATTGGGTGATTAATCGAGAGGCATTTAATTTTTTTCCTGAACAATTGCTCAATTGTTTTCAGTCACGGCACTACATTTCAAATGTCTTATGACGGTCATACTTAGGAGGAAGCCTGGCTGTGTGTTTACAGGTTTTAAAAAACACAGTCCAAGACTCCTGGGTTTACCAAGATAGTCAATGACCCACAATCAAAGCCCAGGATAATTTTTTCAAGTGAAGACTGTTTTTGGAGCTCGTGAGCAGCCCTACAACATCCTCCTCTTCCTATTTTCAAGCTTATCAATACCCCAGGCTGAGTATCACCAGTCACTTTTGGGAATGCCACAGAATGCCCGGGTGGGTACCTCCCACCTGACTCCCCCTACACGCGGCCTTGAACCTGCACCTCCACCTCCTCTAACACAAGCTGCTAGGATGAGCAGCTTTCGGGGATGCGGGGGAAGCAGCGCATCCTTTTTTAGCTATAATGAAACATACCCCGTTTTCAGCAGCTACTATCCTCGCTGCTTTCATGCCCTCTCCCTTACCGTGCTCCCTCCAGGATGAGGTAGAGTGGCCCTCCTTTTATTCAAGGCCAGTCCCCAAAGCTGGGCTCTGGAGTCCATCCTTCTCTCCTCCAGGATAAGGCTTCGTCAGTAACCCCCTTCTCGCTCCTTCTTCCATTCACCCCTCTCTGCTGGCTCTCTGCCCTTGGCAACATGCTCCAGTTTCTCCCATTTAAAACAAACGAAAGCACTCTCCCTAACCCAAAGCCCTCCTCCTCCACTCTCTCCTTCCTCTGGAGTCCCTTCAAAGTCATCTGGACCTGCCCGGTCCTCCCCACCACTGCAGCCTGGCTCCGCTCTGGATCCGGTCACCAGTGCTGCAATGTCGTGTCTGAGCCTTGTCAACCACGCCCTCCCCCTCCTCTGGGTAACTTTCCAGTCCTTTAGCATCCACAGCCCCACTCCCGCTGGCTTCTTCCAGTCCCTCTAGTTCCAGAAGGATCTTCACGCAGACTCCACCTTGGCTGGCCCTTACTCTAGGTCCCAGCCTGGGCCTCTACTCCTTCTCCCCAGGGGTGCCCGGTAGTTTCAGGGTCTGGGGCCCTTGTTTCCCAAACCTGCCCGAACAGAACCACCTAGGACATCTGACATTCTTGCAGAAATATATGGGAGTTCAGAAGAGGAGGTGAATAATCCATGTTTTTAAAACACCCCAATGGATTCTGATCAATTGCCACCTTGAAGGAAAGGCTGTGTTAAAGACTCACGTACATGACAGCTTTCAAAGCGCTAGCTCAGGCCTTCCTTCTGAACAGGAACCCCCCAGACCAGCTGCTTCCCAAGCATTCTCTCTTTCTACCCAGACATCTCTAGCTCAACATGTGTGCACGGAATTTGCCACTTCCCCTGCTGGACTGTCCTCCCACAGTAGCCCTCTGCTCTGCGCTGTCTCCTTTGCTCAGCTGCAAGCTGAAGAGTCAGGGGCTGTGTCTCACGCACCTCTACACCCCTGTGCCCAGGTATGATAAGTGGCATGGGACTGTGGTCAGTAAACATCCCCTGAGCAATAAGAAAACCCCAGACTCACCCTGGCTCGAACAGGACCCAGGTCAGACACCTCAAAGCCTATCCTACACACAGACAGGGGGTCCTGGAGGGAAGGGGAAAGCCCTTCCTGCTGACAAGGGCGAGAGGGGTGCTAACAGCCTGCCTTCCTGAGGTCAGGAGAGCCGGTTAGCACTGTCATTCCCGGGAGCAGTGATTCTCAGACCTGGGTGAGCCTCACACTCCCCTGGAAGGCTTGTTAGGCCACAGAGCCCCATCCTACGAAGAATTTCTGATTCAGTCAACCGGGGGTGGGCCCAAGAATTGGAATCCCGGGGTGAGGGAGATGCTGCTGGTCCAGGGACCACACCTGGAGAACCACCACTCGGCACAGGCTGGGACAGGAGGCCAAGCAGCCCCAACATGCCACTAAAACACCATCATGTTAGGTCAACTCATCACCCCCTCCAGTAAACTGTCCCGCTCCCATACTAAGAGTGGCCTTTCCTTTCTGAGACTTAATTTTAAAAACAGGCGACAAGAATTTATCCAAACCCTTACCACATTGTTGAGGACCCTGTGGGAGACTGTTACAAAAATAACCACCCATAAATCCCACCTCTCTGGGTCCACACCCCTATGAATGTGACTTGGGCACTCCTCCCAGCAAGAGACAGTGGCTGCCGCCCTGGCCCTTGAACCTGGGCTAGTCTTGCTCTGTGTTCTGATGAACATAATCTAAGCAAGGCCCCAAGAGGACTTGCAGAGCTCCCTCCAGAGGGACGTGACCATGAGGCAGTGGAGAGCTGGCAATCGAAAATGGTGTGGTCAGAAAGACAATGACATCCGCCCACTTCCTCGACGCCAGCTGAGCTCCCAGGATGTGCCTCAAGTCATCCTGGGCCACCTGGCCTCAACCATGCCATTAGCTGACTGCAGAGAGCCCAGAAAAGGCCAGCAAAACTGCTCAATCCACAGAATCACGAGAAATCGTGAGCCTGCTGTTTTGGCCACTCGGTTTTGGTTGGCTTGCTACTCAACAATAGGCAACTAATACAGAAACTGATGCTAGAAGCTGGGCACTGCCCCAGCGGAGGCCCCGACGGCCCATGCTTGACTCTAGGTCAGAACTGCTGCAGCCCATCTGTTGTGAGATGCCTCCATCCCTGCCCTCTTTGAAGAGGAGTCTCTGTGGCCGCCCCACTCTTCCTGTCCCACAATTCTTGTTGAGCTGAGGCTCTCTGAATCAAGAGCTGGCAGCCCGTCCACACCCAGCCCCAAAGCAGGCAGGGCACGCAGACCCTTGAGTCAGACGCTGTGCCAGGAGGGAAGTGAGGAGATGCTGGATGGAAGAGCATCTCTTGCATGTGTGAGGGGCATGAACCCTGGGGACCGGAAGGCAACCCTGTGGATTGTTACAATAATGGCACTAATAACCCATCCCTTGTGTCTACACCCCCACCCCCCGAGACTTTGCCTGCTGCTCCCATAAGAGCAGCCCACACCTTGAACCACCTGGCCTGTGGTTCCTGTGCTGGTGTACCCTCTCCAAGGTCAAGCCTCAAGGGACCCCGCAGTGTTCGCTCTGCCTCCTGGAAGGCCTCCATCAGCAGCATGTGGAGAGGCCTGTTCTAGACACTGGAGAGGCCACGTGGAAGAGAGCACGGCACCGGATAAACATGCAGCCAACTGCTAGACCTGGGGCGAGACACGCAGCCTTCCTCGCTGCCTCTGCTGAACCCAGGCCCCAGACACTCTCCAGCTGGCCACAGCCACACGAATGCACCTCAGCCAGGCGGGTGGAAAAACCACCCATTCACCCCAAGGAATGGTGAGAAATGCTAAATCGTTATTGTTTTAGGTTGCTAAGTGATATAGCGGTTTCTTGGTTTCTTATACAACAACAGATAATAGAATTCAACAGAAACCACTGCGGGAGAAAAGTGTCTATGGGGTGTCAGGGGTAGACAGATGTTCCAGATTCTGGAATGTTTTAGTAACCTGCCTGTTTTCCTTTTGCCTGGACCAAGACGGCTTAGAAAACAGCAATTTTCACTCTTTTACTATTGTCCCAAAAGACGTTTCCAGGCGTACGGCACCTGTACAATAAAGGGTCACTGCATTGTCTCAATCTGCTCAAGCACGGCGACTTTCAGAACCCCTGGCCTCTGTGTCAGCAGCTGTAGGCCAGGCTAAAAATTACCCCTGGCAAGAAGGCAGCCATCTGCTGAGGCCGGGGCAATGGGGCACTCAATAAAGCAGGGTTCCCTGCGCGGGCAGCCCTGCCCTTTGGCAATTCTTGCACGGGTTCATTACCATACTGTGTCCCCCATGGCCAGAAGAAAAATCAATGCCAAAGAGGCCCTCTTTCAAATAAGAACCTTGAGATTCTGCTGCCAGAATTTGCTCACCGAGGAAAGTAGATTTCCTTGGCAAAAAAGGCACAATTCTGCCAGCCTTCTTGATAATTTCCTTTTTAGAAGGGTTTGGGCTGAACTAAGCACCGGCTATGGCCTCAGATTGGAAAGGCCTGGGGCCCCTCAACCCCACAGCCCGTGCCTGAAAGGAAGCAAAGCCTAAGCCAGGGCAAGGCAGGAGAATCAGGACGCCCAAGGGCTCCGCCTTTTCTGAAGCAGTGGGAGGTCAGGACACATGGACAACCCCCGCTCCCCAACATTCCCCTCCAAAGTCACCTCCCCTAGGGCAAGAAGACTAGGGGATGGGGGCGGGGATGGGAGCAGCCTGCACACAGCACCCCCTCCCCAGGCCCTGGACTCAGCACTCAAAAATATCAATTAGATGCCTTGTCCCTACAGTGGAGCCGGGCTCGCCACCCCGGTATAGGCAGGAGGATCGGCTTCTCTATGACCAAGGGAAGCACAAGGGAGTGACTTCCCCTTCCCGAGCTCACCGAGCCTCGAGCCCCACAAGCCGCCTCACACTGATGAGCCCTGGGGCTTGCTCCTCTGAGGAAAGGGTTCAGGGATAAAAAGACAATGATAAATAATAGTATCTATCTCTGCATTAAGGGCAACTGAGAGTGAGGATCCAGCACCTGTGGAGGTGTCTGACACATCCCATGCAGGGTCTGAATAGAAGGCACTCGAATACTGATTTCTCTACTCACAACTTTCCAATTCCCTAAAATCCCCCCAAGAATTTTAACAGCCCAACTTCCCCTTCTGGGGGACCTCGGGGTTAAGAGCCACCACGCCCGCCCGACCTGAAGGACAGGCTTTGGTTGGGTAAGTCAGGGTTGGTCAGCTGGAAAGCTGAGCGGGTGAGGGATGGTGGCTGGAGTGCGGTGGAGGGAGGAGCATTGGCAGTATGCTGGGGTGAAAGGGGCTTTCGAAACAGGTCCGTCTTTGCTTTTTCTGGTTTTTAAACAATTTTTGTCCTGTTTTCTCTCAGTCTTCTTTCTGTGAACAGATGCTTTGTCCTTTGTCAAGCTGTATGTATAATTTTTTTCGTGGATGCAAAATTGTTGTCTCAGTGTCCCAATATGACTCAGGCATTTTCCCCCTGCAGTGCACACAGCGTGTAGCCAGCCTAATAGGAGTGGATTTATTGAGGGTGTACTTGTTCCAGGCTCTGGGTCAGGAGCTTTACATGAACTGTCTCAGCACATTCTCATGACAAAGCTAAGAGGAAAGTACTTCTGTCTACCTCATTTTACAGATGAGCAAACTGAGCAGAAGAGATATTGAGTATCTTGCCCTTGGTCCCAGAGCTGGCAGAGGGCGGTGGAGGGGTTTGAACCTAGCCAGCAAGCTCCTGTCTCCTCACTGTACTAGGCTTGGGACCATGTCATTAGAAACAAAAAAGCAAATATTCCATTACATGGCTGCATTCAAGTTTATTTAACTGTCTTCTGCTGCTTAATTAGGTAGCCTTTACTTCTTTTTAAATTTTATTCTGTTTTTCAAGAAACTTGGGTTGTGCATTTCTGCTGTGGGGAGGAGTGAGTGAGTGACCGCTTGTCAGCTCCTGGCCAAGACTTGGGAAACGTGATTGGAAAGGACCACAAATGGCTTCCTGGAATTTGCTCATCAGCTTCATGGCCCATCCCAGTAGTGCGGGTGTAGAACACGTTATTCAGATATGCAGGACCACTGTCCACAGGCGCGTTTTCATGAGACGCTTGCCAGGTGGAAATCGGCCTGCTGATACCGACCCCATGTGAGGATAACACGCCCATATGGTCACTCTGTGTATGTGTCAGATTCCCTGAGAAGAGGCAGTGACATATATCGATACACACTCGGAAGTAGAAATTTGTTTTGTAATTCTCATCGGCATCCTTTTGGAGTTTATTTCCATTTTGTGTAGATGTGGGCCTATCACTCTTCACAGGGAATGGCCAGCCACTGAGAATAACTGAAAAATCAGAGGGCCCATGTATGTGTGCACACAGCAGAGCTGGGCGTGGTGGCTCACACCTGTAATCCCAGCACCTTGGGAGGCCCACAGATCACTTGAGATAAGGAGTTTGGGACCAGCCTAGGCAACAAAGTGAGACCTCAGCTATACCAAAAAAAAGTCTGCCCTTCTCCCTCCACTTCATCTAAAAAGCCCAGAGATGGAGATGACATCTGATTCCAGTGGCCAAGACCCCACCCCAATTAGAGCGGTGGGAACATGTGGCCTGCAAAGGGGCAAGGTGCCGGGAATCATGCTCCGCGGGCCACCAGTGAGGACGAAAGTTAAGACCTCAAAGGCCAGATCAGAGTCAAGAGCATCCGAGGGAGCCCTGACACAGAGGCTGTGCCCACACCTGGGCAACTCTCCCACGGGCCACCGGCACCCCCTTCCCCACTCTTCTCTGAACCCACCTCCATGTGCCCCTGTGCCTTGAACGACTGGGGAGGGCACACAGGCCCCGCAGGCAAACCTGAGCGGGGAGGCTCCTGGATGCAGAGGACACGGGACCAGGACCGGGTGAGCCACAAGGGAGGTGGGGGGCCCAGCACTGCCTCACCAGCACCACCCAGCCACAGACGCAGAGCCAGCGGCCACGGGAGACCAGAGGGGTTCAGAGGCACACCGTCGAAAATCCCAAAACAAGGGGAGGGACAGTCATCACCTGCTTTATTGGAACAAATGTCCCCTGCTGTGACTGCAGCCCCAGTTCATGCTGGCGTCTTGCAGCCCCGCCAGCTCCTGTACCTCTCTGGGCCTGACTCAACGGCAGAAAGCAAAAGGAGAGCTCTGGGGGCGATGGTCTCCTCAGCCACAGCTCCCTAGGCTAATAATCAGGCCTCCGCAAAGCTGGAGAGAGCCGTCTCCATCAGGCTGACCCCTGGGTTCCCACTGGGCCACCGGACTCTCATTCATGAGGATATGCAGGTTGGCCCAGGGCGGGAGGTCCAGGACAGACCCGGGCCCATCAGTCTCGGGCTCCCTTCACAGACTACACAGAACGGCCATGACCTGGGGGTTTGCCTGGCCAATGTCATGACCACACCTACCTTGCAAGGCGAAAACCTAAATGAATGAGAAAGACAGATGGAGGTATCTTCTGATTTACAGACTGATTCTGCGCTCAATGAGAACGCCAGAAGGTGGGTGTTTTCCTGCTCCCTCTCATCTCACAAAACATGGTCCCCTCAGCCCAGTCTAGGTGGGGGGCAAAACCAGCAACTCCAGCCAGGCCTCCAGGGTTCCGGCTCCTTTGAGGAGAAAACCCAAGTGCGAAGTATCCTATTACCCACCCAAGAGTTACAAAGACAATTCCGAAGCTCTGCCCTTCTGCAGCTCAGAAGCAGGGCCATTCCACAATACAACACAACACTTTATTATATTCCATAATCCCTTGAAAGAATTCTTTAAAATTGTTCTATGATGACTGAAGTATTTTATATTTTTAAACCTGAATAGCTGTCATCATCTTCTTTTGATCATTTCTGGCAATGAAAAATGCATGTGGCATTACCAATCAACTTTCAGTGTTACTCAGCTCCAAATGTACCACTTGCACAGTCAAACCACACTCAACTACTCTGGTTGAAACCAAGCTTCTCTACGCTTTTCCATGAAAACAAAAAGAAACTGAGGGTGACGTGCTCTAATACCCGGTACTTCTCACACCACTATCCCTACTGGAGCGGGCGGGAGGATGCTGGAAGGAAGCTGAGCCTGGAGCAGGGAAGGGGAGTTGGCTGCAGGCACGGACTCTCACCACTCTGGCCTTGGCAAGCATCTCTAATGAATCACAAACACTCTCCTAGAGCTGAACCGAGCCTCAGAATCTACTCACCCCAGCCAGTCACCACCGATTTGGCCAACTGGGCACGCAGGTGGAAACCTACCTGTTGGCCTGTCTGGCGCTACCACCCACAGACCCATGCTGGTGGCTACCATTCCAGCTCACCCTTCCATACCCGCCGTCTCCCTCTCCCCAGGCCCCCCACCACGTGTTTCATCGTTAACAGTGTTGCTACCTACCATTTCTAAAGCTGGAAACCTCTGCACCCCCATTCCTCTCTCACCCCAACATGCAAACCGCGTCATGGTTCTTCCGAAGCGTCTCTCCATCCAGCCCCTTCCAGGTCACTGCCTGGCCCTCCCTCCCCCACAGCAGCAGCCTCCAACTGATCCACTTCAAGACCTGCCTGTGACCTGCTGTCAGAGTTGATCTTCCTAAAAGCTCACGGTTTCCTTCACTGCTTAAAACAACTGGGGACGACCCACTGCCCTTCACACTGAGGTCACACTCAGCTTGTGAATCTAAACCCCAAAGCTCCTTTCTAATCCCCTCACTTACCCTCTTGTCATCCAACTTCTTAATACTGTCTACAAGCGCCAAAGGTCATATACAGTATGAGTCCCTTTATAGAAAATTCTCAAGGTGACAAAATTTGACTGGTGGAGAATAGATCCTTGGTTGCTGAGGCTGGGGTGAGGAAAAGACAAACAAACCACCAAACAGGGGGGTCCAGAGGCCCCTGTAGGTCCAGGGATGGGTGTGGTTGGGGTCCTAACACGAGGCTTCCAGAACGAGCATTCAGCCATCAAATGCAATGACTCTACCCAACTTAAAAGGCTCCTAGGTCTAAGAAATGATGCTGGGAACTACAGAGGCAAGATCATGGCTACCAGAATTTGCAGAAATCCACGGACCTTTAAAATTGCCTTATAAAGGTAACCATTAAACCTCTTAAAATAGAAAGGGTCTACCTGCAGGGCCCAGGAAAGAAGGCTCTACTCCACTGGCACTGCTGGAGAAGGAAGCCGATGTTAGACAAAAGGCCAATTGCAGGAAAAATGACGGCAAAGAAAGAAGGCAAAAGGCACTGGCCCTGTATGTGGGTGCAAACACACACAGATATACACACACACACGCACACACACACACAGAGCTGTCAAGAGGACCAGACATGACAGTTTCTGTCTGTGGCCCCCAGACAGAAACACACACAAATACTTCCAGAAAGTTTGTGTAAAGAGAACTCCTAACAATTTCTGAGGAGAAACTTAATTGAATCTAAGAGAATGTCTTGTAAAACACCTGGAATACTTAAGGCAGCTCCGTTTTTACCCCCATAAAGGAACTAGATTGCCAGAGCTCCTGGCCTTCTCAGTGTCACAGATTAGGTGACAGCTGCAGTCAGAGGTAATGACACTCTTCTCTTGGATATGGTCTTGGATGTGGTCTGGGCAGAATGACACCATAAGCAAAGCTACTGTCATGCCCGGGTGCCCTCTACGGAGGAGGCACGAGCTCCATTTTCTGACGATTATGTGACTTGTCTTCAGGCACAGAGCCTGAACAGGAACCTATGGCCATCCGACTCCAAACACTGAGCAGGTCCATCACTGTCTCCGGAGCTCTGACAGCAACATACAACACAAGGGCACAAAAGAAGAACCCAAAGCCCTGGAATGAAAAGCTGTGGTGCGCTGCTGCAAGACCTCCAGCAAGTTCTTAGCTTCTCAGTCAAATGGACAATGAGCTCACAGGTCTGTTCCGGGATCAAACCTGCCGGCAACGTGGTGAACTGCCACCACCTTCACCAGAGTTGGCATAGAATCTTCAGCAAGCACACTGAAGAACATGGGAAGCCATCTTTAAAACAGCACTCAATTTTGGAGACATTTTTGGAAATCACTAACTCGCTGGCCATAACTCTTAACTGAGAATATACGAGGTACAACACAATGCGACAGGGTCTCCAAAGAGTAAAAATGAGAGTAGATTTTTAGTATGGCTGAACTTTAGGCCAATCTCCTATTTTTTAATACAGATTATTCTTCCCCTAAGTAAGAAATCCTAAAGCTGACTGCAAACAAATAAAATACCCTGGAAAGCCATGTCATCTAATTAAACTGGCCATTAAATGTGAAGAGGCATTCTGTGCTGGAAGGAATAGTGAACAATTTGTCTAAAGCAAGCCTATTCATCCATAAAGGTCTTCTTTCATTCTAATAAGTTTAAAGCTCACTCTTTATCAGTCTTTCCAATACGCCCTCCCAAAATCTGAAAATCAAGCTGTCCTTTTTATAAAATATCTACACATGCAGGGATATGTACAGAAAAGGCCAATGGAAAGTTTATAAACCAAATGAAAAAGACCAAATAAAAACCAAGTGCTCTTTTGTGGGCAGTTTTCCCGCCAGAAGTTGTCATCAAAAACCTGTCATGGTCGAAACCCAATCTGGGACTGCATATCCCTGGCCTCCTCCATTGCCCTGGGAAGCGCCCAGGGCATTTCCACTATCAGGACAGCATCACACCTTAGGGACTCCCCCAGTCAGATCCTGGGGCTCCACACACCAGCCAACCCTAGACACCTTTTGATATGAACAGAACCGGAGAAACATCAAGCTCCTGATTTTGACTTAATAAGAAGTTTAAGGTCAGGACTAGCCTTCATACCAGTGCTGACTCAGGACATCAGGGCTCCTCTTGAAGCCAAGGAACAAATTTGAATCCCTGTTCTCCCCCTCACTCGACCTTCACCCTTTGAAGGTGCAGATGGTATTAATGGGTTTTTGGCTAGACATCACTAACTACCCAACGATGCCTATCGTCCCCACAATGGCCTCTGCTCTGTTAGAGGTGAGCTGGAACTGCATAGACGCAGGACAGTGCATCAGGAGAAAGACGCTCGTGGGAACTATTTGCTCTGTGATCCTGAGGTCAGCACCCTCCCAGGGCCGACCCTCCCTGCTGCATGTGGCTAGGGATTCTCAACCTGGGCTGCATGTGGGTAGCTCCCTAAACAGCTCGATGTCCCAGCTTCAGCCTGGACCGATTAAACCAGAATCTTTGGGGAAGGGCCCCACCCCCCATCAGCTTAGTTAAGCTAACCAGAAACTCTCACACGCGGCCAAGGTTGAGGACCACCGGTCTAGTCTAGGAGATTGCCCCAGGCTCTGCAGAAGTCACAATGCCAGTAGTGATGCCTGGAAAACTCTTTTTATCCTGGGTCACACTCACCTTTCTACACCTGGGAAAAAATCACATCAGTGCAGGGGAGGAGGCACCTCCCGGCACCTCACCTTTTTCATCTTTTACCTCTCCCACCTCTCTTCTCCATGAGAGAAGGAGAGGGCAACCCCTCCCCACCACCTTGCCAGATGACTTCAGTGACTAGTAATTGATGGTGCATGCCCATCCCACATCCACCAAAGACCCATCCCACACCCACCACACACCCATCCCACACACATCCCATCCCACACCCACCACACACCCATCCCACACACACACATCCCATACCCACCACACACCCATCCCACACACACATCCCATACCCATTCTAACCTCTCTGGAGGTGAGCCCCAAAGGGTGCTTCGTGTACGGTGAACTAGTTGGTTAATCTAAGGTCTCCAAAATAAAAATCAGTATTTATCAAATACCTATCTTTAGCAAATGGCTCCAAGAAGCTCAAAGAATTGACAGATTTTTCTAGTCCTCAAATATTCTTTCGAAGAAAAGTGTTATTTCTAGCCTACTGATAACAAATCATTTTTATACAGTAACATGCTTTTCTACACATTACAATAAATCTACTAATTACTACAATGTAAGTTCTTCCTAGTCTGTGTCCATGAACAGATAATTTACTTCTGTAAGTGGCACTACTCAGTTTATCTACCTGAGCTGTATTAATGCGTTACAAATGCCCCCACCATCTGGTTTAGTAAACTCATTTCTCCCATAGTATACACTTTATTTTATCCCTACAATAATCACATCATCTAGAGGACAAGCTGAATAAATATCCTACAGTATTTGACAAAACAGAAAATTGGCACAAAGAGAAATTAAATTCTATGAATTGCAAAGTCTAGGTCTACACAATCAATTAGTTTTCAGGCCGGGTGTGGTGGCTCACGCCTATAATCCCAGCACTTTGGGAGGCTGAGGTGGGTGGATCACTTGAGGCCAGGAGTTCAAGACTAACCTAGCCAACATGGTGAAACCCCATCTCTACAAAAAATATAAAAATTAGCCAGGCTACCAGCTACTCAGGAGACTAAAGCATGAGAATCACTTGAACCTGGGAGGTGGAGGTTGCAGTGAGCTGAAATTGCACCACTGCACTCCAGCCTGGGTGACAGAGCGAGACTATCTCAGTTTTCCTAAATTCCTTAATATTTCCTAAATCTCCTAAAGATTAAGGAATACTTAATATTTTAATTAAGGAAAACCCTAGTGCTAGCATCTACTATCTATAAAAAAATACTTAAGATAGAAATGCTCTAGCTAAGTTAAAAATATAGCAGGGCTTCGTGACTCAAGCCTGTAATCCCAGCTACTTGGAAGGCTGAGGTGGGAGAATCACTTGAGCCCAGGAGTTTGAGGCTGCAATGAGTTATGATTGAGCCACTGCACTCCAGCCTGGGTGACAAAATGAGAACCCCCATCTCTAAAAATAAAAAAGAAAAATATAAATTCGATTTTTGAAAAGTATTAAAAATGAGAAAAACACTACTATACCACCTAGATCAGTTTATCGCCTGTGGCCTCAGTACCCAACACACACACACACACGCACACGCACCACACCACCACCTGCTCTGTTACCTTAGGAAACCACTGTTTGAAGCTCCGCAAGGTCACAGTGCAGGGGAAGGTGACCCTAGAGAGAATAATGCTCAGACACCATGGGGTCCAGTCTGGACACAGCATAGTGTGTGCCAAGGTGAGGCTCTCCACCCAACTCTCCTGGAGTCACACTCCTTCTCAGCACAAGTTAAACAAAGGCTCTGAGGCTCTCCTAGTCTGCCGACGCCTACCCACCACCTGGTGCTAGCGGGCACCCCGCTTGGTCATCTCATCCACATCCTCCTCCAACCGCATGAGGCTTCATAGCAGAGGCAGCCGAGGAGGCAAGGCCCATGGTCACAAAGCTCCAGCACCCCCGGAGTCCCCACCAGGGAACCTCAGCCCTGCCCCAGGATCTCTCAGTGGTTGTGTGGGGTACTTTTCTTCAACAGAAGGCTCCCTGGCTCAAAGACGAGGCCTGCGGTTTGAGATGACAATGAAACTGCCTCTGCAAAAATTCTAACAGTGAGAAAATGATGACAGTGAAAGAGATCTGACCTAACCGACTCCATCTTGCTTCTACCCTCCAAGCTGTCCTTTTCATTCCTGGGCATGGGCTGAACTAACTTCGGGAGGAACTTAGTTTATAGTTTAACTTTGAAACAAAAATGGTAATAGCCCTTTCCCAAAACAAACCCCCTTCTTGCCTGGGGACTATACTACCTTTGTAAGGCTAACAAATTAGCTACAAGATTAGAAATTATGGTTTAGGGGTCACGCAGGCCGGAGGCTACAAGATTCTGAACCTCCCAAAACTGCTCCTGGGGATAAGATCACTGTTGTAAAAACTAAGATCAGTGCTTGGAATATTTTGCAGACCCAGTGTTCTGATGCACCAGCTAGTGCCACCCAGACCGGTAATCTGGCTCAACCAGTTCTGGGATCCCACCCAGGAACCGAAAACAGCAAAAAACCCACTTCAATCTCCTATGATTCCATCTCCGACCCAACCAATCAGCATTCCCCACTTCCTGAACCCCTACCCACCAAATTATCCTTAAAAATCCCAATCTCCAAATTTTCAGAGAGGCTGATTTGAGTAACAATAAAACTCTGGTCTCCTGTATAGCCAGCACTATGTGAATTAAACTCTTTGTCTATTGCAATTCCCCTGTCTTGATAAATCAGCTGTTTGGGCAGCAGGCAAGGAGAACCCACTGGGCAGTCCCAACAAACAGGCCCTGACAGCATAACCAGGAGTTTCATCAGGCAAGAATTTGATAAAAAATATGCAACGGGCCAGGCGTGGTGGCTCACGCCTGTAATCCCAACATTTTGAGAGGCTGGGGCAGGCGGATCACCTGAGGTCAGGAGTTCAAGACCAGCCTGACCAGCGTGTATTTACTAAAAATACAAAATTAGCTGGGCGTGGTGGCACGTGTCTGTAATCCCAACTACCTGGGAGGCTGAGGCAGGAGAATCACTTGAATCTGGGAGACGGAGGCTGCAGTGAGCCAAGATCACGCCATTGCACTCCAGCCTGGGCAACAAGAGCGAAACTCTGTCTCAAACAAACAAACAAACAAACAAACAAAAAAAAAATATATATATATATATATATGTGTGTATACACACACACACACACACACACACACACACACACACACGCAATGCATTCCAAATAAAGTATATAGTTCCTTGGAAAGTGAAACTGGCACCTCCTTTATTAAAATCAAAATGCAAACAAAAGCCATGGAAAACATACCCAGTGTACAAATAAACAGTAACAAACAGTGGCAGCTCCCACTGCTGAAGCTCCTCCCACGGGAAGGCCTTGTGCTGGGCAGCGTTCACAAATACGGTTTCTAGACCTCACAACCACCCCATGAGAAAGAGAACACTGTCCTCATTACACAGCTGAGACAATTCGGGCACAGATCTTACACAAGATCCCCCACAGCTCGGAAGCGGGGTTTAAGGATCATGGGTCATTCTCTGGACTGCAAAGTGCTCATGAGCTGCAAGCTTCACAGGGTGCCTGACTCCAGAGGCACCTAAGTGGCAAGGCTCATCCTGTCATCACACTAGAATGCCAGGAGTAAAATGTGATACCACTTCCCATTCCCTACAGGTGAACTCACCTTCCTGTATTTTACAAGAACTGATGGAAGCAATGATGAGTATCAGGAAACTGACTATTCTAGAAGCCAGACCAAATCGTTTTGGTGTATGCAGATTTCAATTAATAACGCATTTCCTTTACCTGAAAATCTTTTAGCTTTTAGAGGCCTCGAAGGGGAAATTCCTGGAATGGAGGTGCGAAGGTCATAGACAAGGTTGATTTGTCACAAATAGGAACACACGTATCCTGCCCACCGGGGGGAAAAATGTCACTGAGTGTTCTTTTCTCCCTAGGTGGGGCAGCAAGGGCAAGAGGGAACGTGAGCAATCAAGATACAATCTGTGAGCCAAATCCTACATCTCACAGAAACCCTGCAAGCTCCAGGCCAACACACTTCAGTAGGGGCCAGAAAACAAATGCCTTAGGCTTTGGGGACTAAATTGTCTCTGTTGCATATTCTTCTTCTATCTTTTTTTTTTTTTCTCTTCCAAGAGAAGGGATCTCTCCCTGTCACCCAGACAGGAGTGCAGTGGCACAATCATGGCTCATTGCAGCCTCAAACTCCTGGGTTCAAGTGATCCTCTCACCTCAGCCTCCCAAGTAGCTGAGACTACAGATGTGTGCCACCATGCCTGGCTGACTGTTATTTTACTTTTTGTAGAGACGGGGTCTATGTTGCCCAGGATGGTCTCTAACTCCAGGGCTCAAATGATCCTCTCACCCCGACCTCCCAAAGTGCTGGGATTATAGGGATGAGCCACCACACCTGCCCTTCTCTCCATTTTTAAAAGCTCATGAGCTGATAAAAGCCGGCCTCCTAGTCCCCTGCAGGAGCCCAGTGCTCTGGGGTCCCGGGAGCTGCCCTGACCTCTCAGAACGATCTTCCAAGCATCACTCAACAGAACCAGAAACACATACCCTGCCAGCCACCACACTCCTCCGCCTGTCCTCCAGCTGTCCGGCTGCCACACTCCTCCGCCTGTCCTCCAGCCGCCCAGCCACACTCCTCCGCCTGTCCTCCAGTCGCCCAGTGAAAGGGAGGGGGAAGCAGGCCCTTGTGTGCCCCCGACACTGGCCGGAGCCCGCCCCTCCCGGCTCATCTCCTTACCTCCCCCAAACCCCTTGAAGCAGCCGCCTCCAAAGATGAGAAGGGGAGGCTTGGCAAGTAAGTCACTCACCCAGGGAGAGAGCCAGGATGGTGGCCTTCAGCTCCTTGAGTCCTCAAGCCAGCGTTCTTCAGCCTACACTGTGACCCCCTCAAGACCTACCTCTGAAGGAGCAGGCTACCTGTGCAGTGCCACCTCTCTAGACAGTGGCCCTCAGAGGGCTCCCATCAGGCAGTCCTCCTGGGTGAGGCTGCTGGGATGGCTAAGGACACCTGTCTTCGTGGGGCCTCTCACAAACACACACACCTCATCTGGAGTGGGGCCTTCCCCCTGGATGGCGTTACCCTATGGCCGCTGTGATGTCTGCTTTGAACAGCAGCGGGCTCATTCACAACAGCACAGTGCCCGGCACACGGGAGACCTCAACCCCATCAGCTGAATAAACAAGTGAGGCGAGTGCAGCTGAGGAGCTGAGGCCCCAGCCGCCAGCTGTGGCACGAGAGGCAGACAGACCTTCCAGACTAAGGACCGGGCCACGCACTGGCCAGGGTGCCGGCCTCACTACCCACAGCAGGACAGGGGCCCCAGCTCCACCCAGGTGCATGCCAACAGCCCAGGAAGCAGCAAGCAGGTGGAGACGTGCACCCGTAAGTACAGAATGTGAGACAGAAGCAAGAGGAGGTGGCGATCTTTATAGTCTTCACCTGGGTTCCTTTCTGCTGCCCCCTCAGTGTAGTGCAGGGGCTGAGGGCTCAGCTCCTGGAGCCAGGCTGCCTGAATCGAATCCCCAGCTCTGATGAGGGATTCGATTTAAGTGACTGACAAAGTCACTTAAACGCCCTGTGCCTCAGCTGCCTCTTCTATAGATGGGGATAACAAGAGTACCCACAACACAGGGCTGTGGGATGAACCTGCTGAGGGGCTCAGGGCTCCGCTGCATGGCCCAACCACTTCCATGATGCCCCAGCTGCTCCGCTCGGGGTGCAGCTGGAGGTCAGAGTGGGCAGGGCCTACCTTGTAGATGTCACTTGTAGCTTCCACCCTGGTTTTCTGTCACAACAGACACCTGCTTTCTGGTGCCCATCAATGTCACTAATCCACAGGGATGTCAACAAATCCTCATCACTTCCAGAACTTCCTTCCCAAGAACCATGCTAAGCTTCAGGTTTTAGTGAAGGAAAGGGTATTCTCCATCGGCTAGGTCAATCACTGCTTTGGTGCTTGCTTTTTTTTTTTTTTTTTTTTTGAGATGGAGTCTCGCTCTGTTGACCAGGCTTGAGTACGGTGGCATGATCTCGATCACTGAAACCTCCGCCTCCCAGGTTCAAGCAATTCTCCTGCCTCAGCTTCCCTGGTAGCTGGGGTTACAGGTGCCCACCACCACACACAGCTAATTTCTGTATTTTTAGTAGAGATGGGGTTTCACCATGTTGGTCAAGCCGGTCTCAAACTCCTGACCTCAGGTGATCCTCCCGCCTTGGCCTCCCAAAGTGCTGGGATTACAGGCATGAGCCACCGCGGCTTGGTGCCTATTTTTAATCCCTTCCTCAAGCAGTAGCTTACTGCACCTTCAACTGATCTTCTGCTCCAAGGGGAGTTTGTGAGCTCATCTTATTCATTCTCTGCCCAGTCTCTTGCCACTTCTTTCTCCTAGTCCTCTATTCTGGTACACACATACACATTCACACACATGCATGCACACACCTGCCTACAAAACCATGCCTTGTGCTAAACCCTACCTCCTGGAGGGAGCTTCCAGAGCAGCCCACCTGCCGCCTGACCTCCTAGGTTCATCACTGCCACTGCCTCCTTCCCACACTCAGGCCCTGGTGTCCCTTCTTTCTTGCTCCTCGGTGAGGCCCAAACAGGTGAAAATTTCATAATTACTGAGAAAACCACAGAAAAGATAATACTTTGTTCTGCCCTCGCCACCTGTCACAATTTCTGGAAGGCATTCGAAGGAGACACAGGAGTCAGGGCTGGTGGGGAGGGGGACACAGAAAGGAAAGGGCGACAGCCAAGACTCACACACAGTCACTCCCCAGACCTGACATCCAGCTGTACACAGCAGAGCACCCGCTGTTTCCATCAAAGGCTCAGCCTGCTGCGCACTTTGTACACAATTTTCCATTTCCATTCGGCTCACTCCAGCTGTGCCGCCCTGAAGCACACACCTCTTCCATGGGTGGGTTCAGCCTGCTACAATACTAACATCCTCCAAGAGAGCAAATACTATAATGCAACTCTTTTTGTGATTCGGCTGCTTTTCTCCATTTTGCCATATTTATATAACAATATTAATGTTGCAATGGAAGTAGGAGTACATCTATTGGCACCATAATCTGTCGTCCCCTTCCTATATTAAAATGATTCTTGATGATGAACCATCCTTGGATGCCTGAAAAAAAGAATCAAATCCTTTATCTTCAGTGCTCTCACAGCATTTGAAAATAATGCTAGATTTTAAAACATCACAAGTCAGCAAAGCAAAGTGCTTAAGAGAGTAGGCTTTGGAGTCAGGCTGGCCCAGTGTTCTTCTCTCGACTTGATCTCTGCAAAGCTCCATTTAAAAACAAAAAAAAAAGGAAACTTACATTACCAGCACAGTAATGACGGCTGCATCATTATTTCTCTCTTATGTTACCTCAGAATTTACTAGGTCCATAATGGCAACTTTTTACTGCTTTGTATTAAAATTACACATAGGAGAAATGGGAACATTACAAACGGCTGGAGGGAGCAAAATGACGTGGCCACTTCAGAAAGCCATTTGGCAATTTCTCAAAAGGTTAAGCATAAAACTACCATATGTGGAAACCAGAGAGTCTCCAAGGGGAAACAAAAAACCTACCCTCTAACCCAGCAACTCCATTCCCAAGAGAACAGGACACACAAGTCCACGCAGACACACACACAGATGTTCACAGCGACATGATTCACAGTAACCGCCAGTGCAAACGGCCTAAATGTCCACCAGCTGGAGAGTAAACAGACAACAAACAGGTGGCCCATCCAAACAACAGAATACGATTCTGCTGCAAAAGGAATGAACAACAGACACAAGCTGCGTTGCGAGCCCCAAGAACGTCATGCTAAGCAAAAGCAGCCAGTCACAAAGGAACACATACTGTGTGATCGACTTACATGAAATGTCCAGAAAAGGCAAATTTATAGAGCTACAAAGTAGATGCAGAATTGTCCAAGGCTAGGGTGGGAACAGAGATCACCTGTGAATGACGATGAGGAATCTTACTGGGGATGAAATGTTCTGCTCTGATTGATGCTAGCTGCACCATTCAGTAAAATTACTAAAACTCACTGCATTTTACACCTGAAATGAATTTTATGGTATGTAAAATATGTATCAATAAAGCTGTTTCAAAGAAAAACTACACATTACATACCTTTAGACTTCTGTCTCTCACAAATGACTGTGAGATCCTTAAGGGCAAAGACTTCCTTCAGTTCATCTTGCCCCAGCATCTAGTAAAATGCCTGGCACAAGTGAGAGCTGAAATGCCCAGTGGATGAAGGACTTTTGAAAACAAAACCAAAAAAAGCTAAGTATTGTTCACAGTTTCATGATTTACCTAAACTTCACATTCCTGTCTACTCCTCCACCTAACTGATCCCCAAAACCAATGACCAGTGCAGGCCACAAAGCTGACAACGTGTCCATGAAGCTTGGTGGCAGGCCAAGTCTCTCTCACACAGGCCTCTATAACAACTGTTTCAGTACTGAGTGGTTAAGCTAAATATTAAAAGCAAAAAAAAAAAAAAAAAAAAGCCATTGCCCTTATACAAAGCTGGAATATAACAAAAGCCCACCAAGAGTTTTGCCTAGGCCTTTCCTGGGCCTTAAAGCATGACAAAATAACCAAAGAATTCTTAACAGGACCCATTTAAGATTAAATAAGTTTTACTAGGAGTCTGAAGAAGCTCCCCAGGCCTCCACAGACAAGGTTATTGGGCATCTGAAGGAACTCCCCAAACCTCTGTGATTTAGCAGGAGACAAAATAAGGGTTATCTACCCCAGCACCTGGACGCATTTAGATTAAGTAAATCTACTGAGGCTCCAGAGGAAGGTCTTCAGGACTCAGACCTTAGTTATAGACTAAGAGAAGTTGCTCACTAATGTCTTTAGCTGCACACTTACATACAAGAATATATAGCTTAGAAGGTATATAAGCTCTGGAAAACTTTGTAATTTTGAGTTGGTCCGGGGATAATTTCCAGGCCTTCTCCCTGTAACCGGCTGCAGGAAATAAAAACGCTCTTCCTCTCCAGTTCATCTGCATCTCATTATTGGGCCCGAGAAATAGCAGCCTGACCCTCAGTTTGGTCTGGGAACAGCTTCAAGCTGATCAAAATCAGGACCCAACACTTTCAGCTGCATCCCGACCAACTATGAAGGGCAGTTTGTTCAGATGTTCAAAGGAAACAGTGTTTTCCTAATGGCAGTATTATGAAAACTTTTGAGGTTGTGAGCAAAGAGACCATGATGTCAGCATCAGAGCCAGAAAGTGGGAGGGTTCAGGAAAATTATAACCTAATTTACAATAAACTTTTAAATTCTTTCAAGAGATATTTCTTATTTTTGACTTAGAAGCTGCCAATGTAATAAATGTACCAGATGCTGTCCCTACAGAATTAAATCATGTAATCCCCATCTCTTCAAAGATAAGGAAACCAGAACACAAAGGTGAGATGAACTGTAGGAAAGATTTGAACCAGTTTGTCTCAACAGCCTGTGCCCTCATCCATGACACTTTACCCTTTTACCATGAGGAAGTGTATTTTATCTGCACATCTAAACAGCACGCACTGGTATTACTGAAGCCCGGGGGTTAGCAGGGTGTATCACATAAATTCCGGGAAATGTGGAATAGAGTGAGCAATACTTTTCCACTCACTACTCCATTACTGCTGCTACAATATTTAGTTGAGAAAATAAAATCGTGCATTTCAAAGCAATCTCTTCCTTGGCACAGATCAAAGGACACAGAACACAAGTGAGTCAAAGCTCGTTCCATCTCCACCCGCTGTTCTCCAAGGGTCCACTAGGACTTTAACCATGGGCCGTTTATAACTCATTTCTTATCCCGACCTGAAGACAAAGGTTATTTACAAGACTGCGTTATTTTCTGGACATGGTAATCAGCTCTCATGATTTAATACTTTCTTGACATCACACTCCACCGACCCTAGCGCTGACTGATATGTCAGCCATTTTAAAGCATTGTAAATGGGACTTAAATAAGCAACGTTTTGGAAGGTGTGCAAACCTAAATAAATATTGCTGAGTAGGGACCATTCCAGCCAACTCTCTCGTCTGTTAAGGTAAAAAGGACTGACAAAAACAATACATTCATCCTATGCACAAACAACAACAACAACAACAAAAAAAACGGCCAATTGGTAGGTTCCAACTTCCTCCCAGCTCTGCCTTTTACTGATGGTAACCAGAACAGGGCCAGCCTCAAACTCCAGGGTCAACTCAAGTGACAACACAGTAACCCCTCATACTCACAGAGCACTCTGTGTTTTTCAGGAAACCAGCATATAAATATAAATGGCTTCCTAGACCCAAGAAACAGCCTACAAGGTAGTTCATGCACTTCAGATAAAGAAACACACATTAAAAATCATACAGCTGAGCCTAATAAATGCTCGGGTTTCCCGGTTCCTAGGTTCCTTTCCATATTAGTCCCTTGTTCCTGGAGTGAAAGTGACGGGAAGCAAAGCAGCCCACAGCCCTAGAAAGGCTGATGGTGCAATCTACTTTCTATGCGTTTGTCTTTTACTCTACTTTCTCCATCTACACGTCCAAGTACCAACGCTTACCCTGTATGTCCGTAAGAGGTCAGTTGAAATCTAGACCCCCTCATTTCCAAACAACACCAGAACACGCGGCCTGACAGGAACGGGTGTATTTGTGGAGACGATGGGACGGAGTACCAAGTCTCAGATCCACCACTTCCTGTAGCAGAAAACAGCAGCCAGCTAGCGTGGACCTGGAAGGCCCAAAGACTGAAGCCTCCGGGGGCTTACAGGTGCCAGCAAAGGCCAAGGGAGGGGGGAGAGGCCGCAGCTCCGCTCCGGCTGGGAGGAGACCAGTCATGCCATCCTCCAAAGTTTACAGCTTCGGGAAAATCCTCTCTATCCAAGTGTCCCCACAGAGTTGTTTTTTTCCCCAAAAAAAGAGAACTAAACACTTGAAGGGCAAACCAAATGAATAATTCAACCAATGTGCTCCCGCGGCTGGACCTGACAGGAAGTCTGCATACATTTACTTAACTGCGGCTCTCTCAGTACAACTCAACTTTGATTCGGCACTCAGATTTGAGAAACCTCGACCCTCCAGAAGCACCAAGCAAAAAAGGTCTCCAAGCACAAACACAGCTGCCCCAAATTCCCGGTCTGCCCAAACTGCACCTCTCAGAGTGGGGCCTCAGTCCTGCTCTCAGAACATTCTGGTGCGTAATAAAGGCACACACTACGAAAGGTCAAACAGCTGGTCTCCATCAACAGCAGCTGAGAAGCAGCAGGTGAGGCCAGGGTGGGCGCGGACCCGAAGACGCGGGTCTGATCGCTGCAGAGAGACAGAGAATACAGAGAGAGGGGAGGCAGCAACAGGAGACCCCGCACTGGGGCCCGGAAGCCCTCTACTCCCAAGTGGCCCCCAAGGATGGTGCTGAACTATGGTAGGACGCAGGACACCCCTCGACTGCAAGAGAGGAGCTGCCAGCCGCCCCGAGGGTGAAGCCTGCAGATGCGGTGCCGGTCATCAATGGCTTCTATTGAACGGATCACCGCCAGAAGCTGCCATCCACGACTCAGTATCCGGCAGACTCGGTCACCCACACGCATAAACCACATGCTATACAAAAGAAACTTGATTTTACTTCTGGGTCTTTTTTGATCCTAGGCTTCATAAGAACAGCACACAATGTAAATTGGCAAGTGTGAGTATCCTGGCTCTAATTTGGAGTCATGTTAGTGGACCTCAGGTTTAAAAATAGCTATGAAGAGGCTTCTAGTAAAAGCCATTAAATGAAAGGTGCATTTACGTTAGGCTGCTGTGGCCCACGCTGAAGTTAATAAAGGAAGGAGAGTGAGAAGAAAAGTCCATCTGCAATAAAACTAGGAACTACTCTCACCTGAACCCACAGATGACAAAGACTACCTGCCGGGCACAATGACCTCTGCCCCAGGCTGAGGCGACAACTGAGAACACAGCAGGACCTTAGGCCAGCACAGGGGCAGGAGGCTCTGAAACTGAGGTGGCAGGTACGTTCCCGTGGCCCAACTGCAGACACAGAAGTCCCCAGCAGGCCTGGCCCACGAGGGCATCTCCACTTCCCTAACCAGGAAGGTTTCCTGGAAGAGAGGCCAGCTTTGCACTGTGGGCCCCAGGCAACTGGGCCCTGACCCTGCATCTGGGAAGCAAGGGCCCTACTGGGAGTGGCGCAGCCCCCCTGGAGTATCTCATCCCGCCGGGTAGAGCAGGCAGAGGCACAGCCAGCCGGCAGAAGGCAGGGCAGGCCGGAGAGGAGAGGACAGAGCCGCCCGCCCCAGGAGGCAATGCTCCCCACCCTCCAAGCCGACCTGAGGCCAGGGTACATGGCAGGTCCCCTCCTAAGCCAAAGAATCCACACCGAGGCATGCGGAGACGCCTCTACAAGGAAAGACAGTGGTGAAAAAGAAAACAAGCAAAAGGAAAATATTTCCGAATTCCCAAGGGAGAGGGGAAACATTTCAGAAAAATACTCTCAACTCTCAAAGAAATTACAGACAATTCGGAGCACCTTTTAAGTCTCCAAAAAGCATTAACACAGCTAGAGATGAAGGTAATAAAAATCATTATCAAAATAAACATCACATTAAAAGCAGCAAAAAGTAGAAAACAATGACAAAAAAGCATATCATCTGAAGAATGGAAGCGCTAAAAAGATGGAAAAGTGATCAGAAAAGATGTTCCATACCTGAAAATGAAAATAAGCAAAAGGCAAAAACCCCACTTCCAGTTAGTTTATCCTAGGGAAATAGACAAGTGAAAAGATTCATATGTCCAAAGTTTTCCAAAAATGTTTTTAAAGCTGCAAACTACCTAGGTAGACATCAATGTAAAATTAATGACAGGAATTGGTGCCCTTTTGGTTGAGGGACAGGCGTACTCCTGCACACATTCAAAGAAAACATGTGGAATGAGGTACACTGAGATGTTAACAGTATGTTCTCTCTGTTTTTCTGCACTGTCCCAGTTGTTAGCAATGAGCCTATTTCACACAGGCATATTTCGGGAAAAGCAGGGCAACATCTCAATTTTTAACGTACACACGTGCAGATCAAAAAGTGCCAGACTAGGCCGGGCGCAGTGGCTCATGCCTGTAATCCCGGCACTTTGGGAGGCCGAGGCGGGTGGATCACGAGGTCAGGAGATCCAGATCACGGTGAAACCCCGTCTCCACTAAAAATACAAAAAATTAGCCAGGCTTGGTGGCGGGCGCCTGTAGTTCCAGCTACTCGGGAGGCTGAGGCAGGAGAATGGCGTGAACCCGGGAGGCAGAGCTTGCAGTGAGCCGAGATTACGCCACTGCACTCCAGCCTGGGTGACAGAGCAAAACTCCATCTCAAAAAAAAAAAAAAAAAAAGTGCCAGACTTGGCTTCAGGAAGAAGATTTTAAGTTTATTCCTGGCTGCTCAGTCAGTGATTAGACAACTCAAATCCATTACCCTAAATCAATATGGATAATAATAAAGAAGCTAAAAGCGGCAAATGTCTTTCTATATTAGATGAAACATCCTGAATTATATTACACCAAACACTGTAATTACTGCATGACTTTTAAACAATTCTTTCCATAGGGAAAACCGACAAAATGAAAATACAAAAAAAGAGAAATCATTCAAGAAAAAAATGTTACCTTAAAACTCTTCTTCTGAAGCTAAAAAAAACATGAAAGTTTAAAGAAATTGGGAGATCACAGGAATTGCTTAAGATCTGAATATAATTCAACACCAGTCTTAAAGTCCTTGTCATTCTGGGTTTCACTGATGAAGGCTAAGAGTACAGGATTAACTTCTGATACATGAAATTGTTCAGTTTAAAAGACAATGCACAGATGACCGCTGCGGCAAAGGCTGGGCAGGGTGCTGGGGTCCACCTGATGCCTAGTGCCACCCCCACTGTCCCCCAACCCCTGTTCACAAGAGACAGCTGTGAAAGGGCCACTAGCACACAGCATGGCACCTTATCCCAAAGGCAGTGCTATCCCAGATGATCTGGTGAGCAGTTCAGGCAGATCTCAAATGGCCTGGTCCATCTGAGAAAGCCCTTACTTTCAAAAGCCTTCTATCTACCAACTCTTACAAAAACACACACGAGTAAATCACTTTAAAAGCCTTTTTTATAATTTTGCTTTAAAAAAAAAATGAAATCCCCAGACCTGTCAAAAGCTGAATCTATGCCAGAAGGAGACCAGATTTTGCCAAGAATATGGTGAACAGGGACTTCCTTCAGTCCCCTGGCCACAAGTGGCCTCACTCACCACCAGATGGGCTGCGTGTCCTTCCACCTGGTCTCGCAGTCAACCAACCCAGAGATAAGCAGGCCAGCTTATCCTCCAAACATCGCCCACAACAGGCCTGAGCTTCAACCCTACAAACGCAGGTGGGGCAGCCCCTATCACGGAAAGTCAAATTCCCATTTTCAGTTTCCAATGAGATGTCAAGAACCAAGCAACAGGCTCAGGAAGAGCCAAGAAAATTGACTTTCTCAACTAAAAAAAGGCCAGAACACATGAACTCCTTGTGTTTGTCATGTGGACTCCAGTTACTCACACCTGAATCTCTGAGGCCCTGAACATCTGTGTTCCCCCTTCCTTCCATATCTAATTGTTGTTTTTTTTTGTTTGTTTGTTTGTTTTTGAGATGGAGTTTCACTCTTGTTGCCCAGGATGGAGTGCAATGGCACCATCTCGGCTCACCGCAACCTCCGCTTCCCAGGTTCAAGCAATTCTCCTGCCTCAGCCTCCCGAGTAGCTGGGATTACAGGCATGTGCCACCACACTCAGCTAATTTTTTTGTATTTTTAGTAGAGACAGGGTTTCACCATGTTAGCCAGGATGGTCTCGATCTCCTGACCTCGTGATCCACCCGCCTCGGCCTCCCAAAGTGCTGGGATTACAGGCGTGAGCCACCGCGCCCAGCTATCTAATTGTTTTAAGGGGTAACTTTTATGTTAAAATTTATATTAAAATTGTGGCCAGGCCCAGTGGCTCACACCTGTCAACCTAAGCACTTTGGGAGGCCAAGGTGGGAGAATCGTTTGAGGCCAGGAGTTAGAGACCAGTCTGGGAAACATAATGAGACCCCATCTCCACCAAAAATTTAAACAATGAGCCGGGCACGGTGGCACACGCCTATAGTCCCAGCTACTCGGGAGGCTGTGGCGTGAGGACTGCTTGAGCCCACCAGTTCGAGGCTATAGTTAGCCATTACCACATCGCTGCACTCCAGCCTAAGCGACAGAATGAGACCCTATTTCTTTAAAACAAAATTAATGACCAACTATGATAAAAAGTCAATAGGTTGTTTGCAGTCAGCTGGTTTTCCAGTATTTGTACTGAGACACCTCTTGTCCAGGATTCCTGTAATGACACGCCATGGGCTGGGGAGGCAAGATTAAGAGTAAAATCAATAGCTGTGAAATGGTTTTCTCTGCAAGGCTCCCAGTTGTATTCAGCCATCAATTTAGTAAACTTCGCCTTATTACCAACTCTTTGTGACCAAAGGAGCAAACTGAGAAAATACATGATGTGCAAGCACCTTTCCTATACTTCAATATCACAGCCTCATTCACCTTCTCATCTCCAGTAAACTGATCCCACACTGTAGTTCTTATCCACACAGAGCAAACTACTGCTAAACCCTCATGGTAGATGAGGCTATTTATGCAGCTGGGCCACCAAGCCCTCCCCTCTCTCCCTTAAGAACTCAGAGAGACTCTAACTTCCCGCTCCAGCAGCAAATCTACTGGAGGAGCTGACACCACATGAAGAGAAGAACGTGGAGTCTACGGCCAGGTGCATGTGGCTTCAAATCCACCTCCACCTCTTACAAGTTATTTGCCTCTCTAGGCCTTAGTTTACTCACCTGTAAAAAATACAGAAAAATGCATACATATTATAGTTCCTGGGGCTAAAAATAAGATGTTTTCTTATTCTCCTGGGGCTAAAATAAGACAATTTTTTATTTTCCTGGGGCAAAAACAAAGTTTTTTTTAAAACTGGACATAGTAAGTGCTCCCCTGTTCCCATTATGGTGTGACCTGCAGCCTCAGCTGTGTTGTCCTTTCTAAGCCACAACTGCCAATGCTACATAAAGAAGCAGCTGAATCACAAGTGACAGGCACACCCAGTAAATTCCAACTAAAGGCTGAGATAGGAAAATAAATCATCAAGTGACAAGAAACTGTCTCATCTCAAGGGTTTACCCTCAAATCACACAGCTGATGATGCGTACACTTCACTATTATTCTCCCTCGTGTCACATCTTTCTACATGAAAATAGAACAAATGGCTGGGCACGGTGGCTCACACCTGTAATCCCAGCACTGTGGGAGGCTGAGGTGGGTGGATTACCTGAGGTCAGGAGTTCGAGACCACCCTGGCCAACATGGCGAAACTTTGTCTCTACTAAAATTACAAAAATTAGCCAGGCATGGTGGCAGGCACCTGTAATCCCAGCTACTCGGGAGGCTGAGGCAGGAGAATCACTTGAACTTGAGAGGTGGAGGTTGCAGTGACCCAAGATCATACCACTGCACTCCAGCCCAGGCGACAGAGTGAGACTCTGTCTCAAAAAAAAAAAAAAAAAAAAAAAAATAGAGTAAATGACTAGATCTACCATATGACCTTCAATACACATGTGGCTCTCCCAAGGTATGCCCTTTAGTAATAACAAATAGAGAAGACCCCGATCAGTGCCCCGGGGTAGGACAATGGTCATGAGGCCTCCTGCAATTAGGCTGTTGCTAATACAAGCCCCAATGGAGACACTATCCTGAGACCATGTAGATAACACATGCTGTGAAACACAATTTCAGTGAAGAGAATTTTTTTCTTCTGACCATCTGAAACATATGCAGCTAACCACCAACAATGCTTGTGCAACTTCCTCCATTAGCCTAAATACTTCTGTCTTAGTCAGCTCAGACTGTGCAACTTTTATAAACAACATCGATTCATTGCTTACAGTTCTGGAGGTTGGGAAGTCCAAGGTCAAGGCACTGGCAGATTCGGTGTGTACTGAGTGCCATTCCTCATGGATGGCACCTCCTAGCTCTGTCCTCACATAGCAGAAGGGACAAAGAAGCTCCCTCGGACCTCTTTTGTGAGGGCACTGATATGGTTGGAGGTCCCCTTCAAACTGCATGATGAAATGCAATCCCCAGTGTTGGAGGTGGGGCCTGCTGGGAGGTGTTTGGATCATGGGGGTGGATCCCTCGCGGCTTGGTGCTGTCCTCATAATAGTGAGTTCCAGCAAGATCTGGTTGTTTAAAAGTGTGTGGCACCTTCCATCTCTCTCCACTGCTCCCACTCTCGCCATGTGACTGCCTGTTCCCACTTCACCTTCGGCCATGAGTCAAAGCTCCCTGAGGCCTCCCCAGCAGCCAAAGAGAAGCCTGTACCATGCTTCCTGTACAGCCTGCAGAACCATAAGCCAACTAAACCTCTTTCCTTTATAAATTGCTTTATAGCAACAGAAGAACAGCCTGAGACAGGCACTAATTCCATTCATGAAGGCAGAACCCTCATCAGCTAATCACCTAATCACCTCCTAAAGGCCCCACCTCGAAACACAATTGCACTAAGATTCACAACATGACTGTGGAGAGCCATAAGCATTCAGACCACAGTAGCTACCTATTTCCTTGCCTCCTGACTATGCCTGGTGTAACCTCACAGTTAGGTGGTCTCACATCTCTTCAATGATCTTGACTTTTCCACAAGAATCTCACTTCCACAGGTGGGTCGTCTGCAGCATACTACTAGCTCATTAATACACTTTATTTATAGTGGCTAGGGTTGTAACACTGCAGGCTTCCCTTTGATGACTCAATTCAATACTCCACAAAGATTTTCATCCTAGTTCATGAAACGTCATTAACACTGTTAGTCATTTACAACTGAGGGAATTCTCTAGAAGCAGTAAAAGCTTTCTTGTTTCTTCTTTTTCATTTTACATAGGAACAGGCCAAGCACAGTGGCTCATGCCCATAATCCCAGCACTTTGGGAGGTCAAGGGGGGAAGATCGCGTGAGCCCAGGAGTTTGAGACCAGCCTGAGCAACATAGGGGGAACCTGTCCCTACAAAAAATAGTTGGGCATGGTGGTGCACACCTGTAGTCCCTGCTACTTCGAAGGTGAGGCAGGAGGATCGCCTGCGCCTGGGAGGTAGAGGCTACAGTGAGCCATGATCACACCACTGCACTCCAGCCTGGGTGAGGAAGCGAGACCCTCTCTCCAAAAACAACAACAACAAAAAGGAATGGCCTCTTTCTTGTAGTTTTGTCTTCTCTCTCTAAAGACAAACCATCAGTATTTATCACTCAAGTCCAGTTGTCCTTTCTAATACTTATACTGGTGGTCCCATGAAAGCTCAGGGACACAGCATCCTTTTCCCAGCAGGGTAGAAGCCTAAAGCTCTGGGCTCAAAGGTAAAAAAATACTCATTTGCATGTAATTTTGCATAAACTCTCTTGTTTAGTTCCAGATGCCCAATTCTAAGTATGCAAAATAAAATGAAATCATTTATACAGCTTACTGCTTCCAGTGTTTTCAATTCAATGCTTTAACAATAAAAGCAAAAAGAAAACCTTCTGAATCAATTTCTGAATTAAGTTCCTTAATCAACTTCTGAATTAAGTTGAAGATTAAGTTCAACTTAAAAAAAAAAATACATGCATATATATTGTGACCAGCCTATAAAAATCAACACTTGGCCGGGCGTGGTGGCTCACGCCTGTAATCCCAGCACTTTGGGAGGCCGAGGTGGGTGGATCACAAGGTCAGGAGATCGAGACCATCCTGGCTAACATGGTGAAACCCCGTCTTTACTAAAAATACAAAAAATTAGCCGGGCATGGTGGCGGGCGCCTGTAGTCCCAGCTACTCGGGAGGCTGAGGCAGGAGAATGGCGTGAACCCGGGAGGCGGAGCTTGCAGTGAGCCGAGATCTTGCCACTGCACTCTAGCCTGGGCGACAGAGTGAGACTCTGTCTCAAAAAAAAAAAAAAATCAAGACTTATCTACGTTTCCCATTTCTCCTTGTTTTCTGTCCCTCAAGCAAAATCAGAAATAAGCTACGAGGCCACCAAGCCTTCTTCAAGGCTATTCTGAGTTATCTAATCCATTAAGGAGACTTGGAACCCCCGTCATACTTTCTCTTTTTTTTTTTTTCTTAGCACCTTTATCCTACTCCAAACTAAATCTTTCTATCACGGCTTCTTTCCCATTATTTCATGCAGGAGGGAGGAAGGAAAAACCTAACCCTTCTCATCTTTGTCAGGCAACCCAAACTGCAGTCCACTCTGTGAAGAGACCCACCTGCCTGGAATGCCCTCTACCCACCAGCACCTTCAGGAACTGCTCAAATGCTGACTCCTCCAGGAAGGGTTCCTTTCTTTCACCCAGTTTGTACCTCTCTCTGGTTACTATTAGCCTGGACTCCAATGCTTGCTGGAATGTCTGCCCGAAGCTGGCCTGTGAGTTCATTAAGGACAGCAGGTATGGCGTAGGCATCTTCCCCAGGCTCCACCATGGTGCATTAAACATAGCAGACATTCAATAAATCTTTGTTGAGAAATGAGCATCATGTCTCATCAGGAGTATGAAAAGCACTTAAGTGCTGCAGAAATTGGATTGCTTGAGGGGTCTTGGTTAGAGGTTCGTGACATTGCTGATGGACCTGCTGCGATAAGGAAGGAAAAAAAAGTCAAATGGCCTTCGCAAGCCTTCTCTTCAGCTCTAAATGTACGATAGTGAACAATCCTTTGCAGTTAAGGGAACCACAGAATCCTTCCTCTCCACATTAGTTACCCCTGGGGAATAAAATCATGCTTCTGTATTGTCTAATTTTTAAACAATTAGTCATGTATTGATTCTATATTTTGAATAAATTAAACTTTATAATAGCTTGATTTTTATTAAAAGGAATCTTTACATCAGTAGGGAGAGGCACTATGGGGTATTTTCCCCTCCCTACAACGACCACCCACAGGAACAAGGATGATGGGAAGGGACGCAGACCCTGGACGCTGGGTACCAAATTGATCAGAAACATGGGAGAAGGTGTGGTCAGCAAGGTGGGGACAGGCCAGCTGGGGACACAAGTGGCTACGGGACAGCAGAGAGGCAAACCATCTGCAGCTAAGCCGGCGGAGGTCTTCTTCCACTCAACCCAGCTGGGAAAAGACTAAGGGAAATTTGAGGCAGAGAAAACAAAGCAGGAGGTCCTCCTTAGAGAAGGACATGCACTCAGCTTTTAAACCTGGCCTCGAAGTGAATTGGGGAGCAGAGCACCAAAAAGAGCTATGAGAACTGCCCATTAGAATCTGACCTTGTGGAGGTCCAGGGTGGCTACCGAGGGCGCCTTGAGAACCCCAAGGGCAGGCAGCTTTCTGAGTGGCAGACCAGCCACGGGGACCCAGGATCTGCCACTCCAGAGAAACTGCCTTCGGTCTAGTCAGAAACCGAAGACGCCAACAAGGGGAAGATGGCATCTGCAGAAAACCACTTGAGTAGGGCCAAAAGGACACGTTTTCAGGATACCCTCACTGATTTCCAGGCAGTGGAACTATCCTGTAGGACGCTCCAGTGGTGGATGCATGTCACTATACGTTTGTCAAAACCCACTGAACATACACCACCAAGAGTGAGCTCCACCGTCAGCGATGGATTCAGGTGATGACAACATGTCAACGCAGGCTCATCAGCTGTGACAAACGTACCACTCTGGCACAGGATGCTGACACCAGGGGAGACCCCGTGGGTGTGGGAGCCAAGGGGATGGGAAATCTCTGCACCTTACACTCAATTTTGTTGTGCTCCAAAACTGCTCTAAAAAAAAATTTATTTAAAAAATAATGACAGCCACCACGGTAGGCTAAGCTCCAGAGTCCCTGTGGGGTGCGTGAGAGCCGGACGGGCACTCAGCAACTCTGGGCCTTGCTGAGGAAAGGGTGAAGGAGGTCCCCAGAAGCCGAGGGGCCAATGTCATCACATGCGTTAGTGTGCAAACCTGCCGGTGGGGAGCACAAGCAGCAGTGCCCAGAGGCTTCGGGAGCTCCTCCGAGTTTTCTCAGAGGTGCTGGCAGAGGTGGAAGGCCACATCCGCCAAAGAGAAAGGAAAGGTGAAGACGCAGACAAGGCGGGCCAGGCCTGTCAGGAAGAGAAATGAAACCTACATCCCTCCACCAAGGAACGAAAAAGTAGCTCAAGGATTCCAGGCACCCAAGAGGCCTCCTTTGGCCTTTTTCCAGTTCTGTTCTGAGCATCACCCAAAATTCAAAGAAAACATCCCGGCCTATCCGTGGGTGATGCTGCACAGAGACTGGGAGGGATGGGAGAGACAACACTGCTGCAGATGCCCAGTAGCCTAGGAAAAGGAGGCGCAGCATGAGAAGGATCCTGCTGCAGGCTGGGCTGAAGGAATGCCCGATGAAGTACAAAGAGAGTTGCTCAGGCTGAAAAAAAGCAAGAAAAAGGAGGAACAGGAGGCTTGGCGCAGTGGCTCACACCTGTAATCCCAGCACTTTAGGAGGCCAAAGTGGGGGGATCGTCTGAGGTCAGGAATTCGAGACCAACCTGGCCAACATGGTAAAACCTCACCTCTACTAAAAATACAAAAATTAGCCAGGTGTGGTGGCAGGTGCCTGTTATCTCAGCTACTCCAGAGGCTGAGGCAGGAGAACTGCTTGAACCCAGGAGGTGGAGGCTGCAGTGAGCCGAGATCACGCCACTGCACTCCAGCCTGGGTGATGGGCGATGGAGCAAGACTCAGTCTCAAAAAAAAAAAAAAAGGAAGGAAAGAAGGGGGAGGAAGCTGATGATGATGATGAATTGGTCCTGGTGCAGTTTTTTTTCTTGTCAATAAAGCATTTAAGCCCCCCATATGCAACTTACTCCCTTTAAAGAAAAAAACTGAAATACAAGGCTGTGAAAAAATAACAACAAACGTCCTCATTATTCCAGGAAACCCCCCAAAGAGTCCATACTTCCCAAAGACATTTAATACCTACTGCTCTTTACAGAACAGAACTTCCTTTAAAACAGGACATTTCACTTTAATTACTAAAATTACCTCTGACTAAAACAGCAACAACACAGGCGCTCCAATGTAACCTGCCAAGTTGTACTCATGGTCATTCCAGACCTCCAGGTTATCTAAAACACTGCACCTCTCACAGATTAAATCAACTAAAAGCAAATCACCTAGATAAAACTCCAAAATCCCTTTCCCCATTAAACCTGGCATTTTAGGCCAGCTGCCAGTGGCTCATCCTTGTTATCTGAGCACTCTGGGAGCCAAGGTGGGAAGATTGCTTGAGGCCAAAAGGTGAAGACCAGCCTGAGCAAGGTAAGACTCCACCTCTACAAAAATAAAAAACAAACTAAAAACCTGGCATTTTTAGAATGCTTAAGTCATTCAAATATTAAAGAAAATTGTTAGGCCAGGCGCGGTGGCTCACACCTATAATCCCAGCACTTTGGGAGGCCAAGGCAGGCAGATCACCTGAGGTCAGGAGTTCGAGACTAGCTTGACCAACATGGTGAAACCCAGTCTGTACTAAAAATGCAAAAATTAGCCAGGCATGGTGGCACACACCTGTAATCTCAGCTACTCAGGAGGCTGAGGCACGAGAATCACTTGAACCAGGGAGATGGAGGTTGCAGTGAGCTGAGATAGTGCTACTGCACTCCAGCCTGGGAGGCAGAGCGAGACTCCAACTCAAAAAAAAAAAAAAAAAAAAGAAAGAAAAAATAGTTTAAGAACATGATCACCCAAAATATCCTAACACTGCTTTTATCTTTTCTTATTACACTTGATTGGTCTAGTGTGTATCTTATAACCTAGCCACCATCATAGCTGACTATAATCATGACCTGCTCTTTACAGAGTGAACGCTGAGCTCATGCCATCCCTTTTCCCCTCATGTATAACTGGCACAATATGCCCTGCCTTCCAGGCAGCACACACAACCCTATTGTTGGATAACCATGTTTAAACTCACTCTCGGCCAGGCACAGTGGCTCACGCCTGTAATCCCAGCTCTTTGGGAGGCCGAGGCAGGCAGATCACGAGGTCAGGAGACTGAGACCATCCTGGCTAATACGGTGAAACCCCATCTCTACTAAAAACAAAAAATTAGCCAGGCATGGTGGCGGGCGCCTGTAGTCCCAGCTACTCGGGAGGCTGAGGCAGCAGAACGGCATGAACCCGGGAGGCGGAGCTTGCAGTGAGCCGAGATCGCACCACTGCACTCCAGCCTGGGCGACAGAGTGAGACTCCGTCTCAATAAAAAAAATATATAAATAAATAAAAACCTCACTCTCAACAGAAAACTCCTGATTGGTTTTAACCAATTAAAAACGTCCTACACATATCAGCCTCCCTGTCTTTTTTTTTTTTTTTTTGAGATGGAGTCTTGCTCAGTCACCCAGACTGGAGTGCAGTGGCGCAATCTCCGCTCACTGCAAGCTCCGCCTCCTGGGTTCACGCCATTCTCCTGCCTCAGCCTCCCGAGTAGCTGGGACTACAGGTGCCCGCCACCACACCCGGTTAATTTTTTTTGTATTTTTAGTAAAGATGGGGTTTCACCATGTTAGCCAGGATGGTCTCAATCTCCTGACCTTGTGATCCACCCGCCTCGGCCTCTCAAAGTGCTGGGATTACAGGCGTGAGCCACCGTGCGGGCTACCAGCCTCCCTGTCTTATGTAAATGTCTTCCTTTCTCTAGATAAGGTCTTTTATCAGCATATACCTGACGAAATGCCCGGATAAGAAATTCGGTCCCATACTCAGGACCCACTTCAGGAAGAACTCTATCTTTCCTGACTTCTCCTCCTTCCCCGGGGAATTGTCAGTCGCATGGCCTGGATTCCCCAACAGGGCTGGCAGGGGGCATGGATTGGCCAGAGCCCCACTCCTCTTGCCACAGGGATCAGTCCAGGGTTAAGGACTATGCTAGGACGCTCAGCATTGCCTAAGAACTTGTGCTAGAGCTACTGAAAAAGAGGTGCTCTTTGTCCCCCAGGATCACATCATTAAGGCTGGGTGCTGCGGGCAGCCGCCTTTATCATCGGCTGGGGCACACCTGCCTAAGAAGTAAGCCCTCACGTTCCACTGTACTGGAAGTCAAGCCCACTGCAGCCCTTTCAGTGCTGTGAGCAGATGAATCTCCCCTTCTTCTTTTTGCTTAAACTAGTTGAGGTTGTTGTTCTTTTGCCTACAACTGAAAAACAACAACAACAAAAAAATCACTGTAACACAATGAGTATGTGCCCCAATGGTGAGTAACAACACCAGCCAGGGTCATGCCAGCCACCCTGGGCCACATCAAACCAGGGATGGTAAAAGCAGCACCACTGGAAGCCCAGAATCACCCACCTGGGTTAAAATGAAAGTCTGCTGGGTTTAACTCACCTAGAGGCTTCTACCCGATTTTTGCAGGTGCAACCAAGACTGAGGCTGTTTAAACAGCCTTAAATTCTGCTATGCAACTCACTGGAAAACTACTTTAGGACCCACTTCGGAAGTGACCACCACTAAACTGGACAAGAGATGCAGGGTCAAAATGATGTATATATTAGGTATGTGGAGCTCAGACACATGATTTGTCTAATAAATTTGTTAAAAGGAACTCCTGTCGTCTAAGAAATTACAAGCTACTCTTGACTTACGACCAGCTGACACACTGTTCCCACTGGTGATCAGCCACCCACAGCACCTCGCACCCCATCCATCCACCTGAGCCAATGCTGCTGCCGTGTGGACACTCTGGGGCTCACATTCAGAGCAGAACCTGCTTTGCCTAGCAGGTAAAGCTAGGTGGAGTAGCCAAGTGTGATGAAGTCTGGGATCTGAAACACAGGCTACTCCCTCTTCAATCACCCTCTGTATAGTGATAACAGCCGTCCCATGTTGCTAGCACAAATGACCTAATTAATCAGTCACCAGACTCAGTCTCTAGCCTGAACTCTTCCACCAGCTCCAGACCCATATTTCTAACTGCCTGTTCATTTCCTCTGCCCACAATCCACTCATCTGAAACAGAATTCCTTATCTACATAGGATCTTCATCTTCCATGCTAGTCATCAGCCCCAAGGACTTGGGTGCGTGGGTGCGTTCATTCGCCCCAGGGCACCTCCCTCCCTCCATCACCATCATCACTGAAGCCTGCCCCGCTCACCCCCACAGCTCCCTCCCTCAAATCCCTCCTCCTCCCCACCCACTGGTGGCACAGTTCGATCTGGCATCAGCTTTTACCTGGGAAACCGCAATGAGACCTAGCTGGGGGACCAGCCTCCTTCCTTTCCAGTCTAACCACCAAACTGTCAACGCCCAAAATGGGTCTCATTCTGCCAATTCAAATTTCCCAGAAATGTCACATCACCTAATAGGCTAAAGCCCAAACCACTCAGCATGGTCCCATGGGTGATAATGACAAGGTAGTCTGGGAGCACTTATTTTAGGACCTGATATGATCTGGTCCTGGACTACCTTCTTCAACATATGTGTCTTGTTCTCTTTCCTTTCCCCTTAAGTCCGGCAGAATTGGATTCCTTGTATTTTTCCAAACACTCTGTGCCATTTAAAGACACCATGCTTTTGAACATTCTAATCTGTCTGGATGCCCTCTGCCTTTAAAAGAAATTCTTCTAGAACAGAGCTCAGCCATTGTTTCCTTTATTAATCTTCAGCCGGCTAGGTCTAGATACTTAATTACCCCCTCCTCTGCGCTACTTCTGAGCCTTATACTTCCATAAATGCATTTTTTCCCATTGAAATGTATGCGACACATGTGCCTCTGCTACTGGGCCATAAGCTCCTTGAAGACGGAGCTGTTAGTCATCTAATCCCAATGCCAGCACTGCACCAGACGTATGACAGATCCCTCTTCAACTCTAAACACCATCTCCTATGCCTTACACATTGGCTGATATACCACCTATTAGATATCTATTCAGATCAACACACATCTTTCTTCCCATAATTAAGAAGGCCTACCGGTTTTATGAACTATTAGGAATACTTTCCCAGCATCCAGCTGAGCAATTTTGACAGGAGGAATCCTGTTTTCATGGGAACTACTGAACCCACTAGAGGGGGTGCAGCAAAGAGGAATGCAGTAAACACCAGAGCGGTACAACACCAGGAGGGCACTACAATGGAGAAGGGGGTACTGCAGGGCACAGCCAGGCCTGGCACAGCCCCAAAGACCAACCTAAACTAACTCAGAAACCTGCACCCAGAAACATAAAGAAAACTCCTCCTCCTCCTCCAACTCTCTTATGCCAACTAGCTTCCTGCCTTCAGAACCAGGAACTTAACTCTTAAGATTATAGTTTACATAGACTTTGGAGTAAAAGGCTTTTCTAGCCTAGCCTCACAACTTAACTGCTATTTCCAAACTCCTTTCTATACGAAAATATGCAGGCGACTAACCAACAAAGTTACAAGTGAAATCGGGAATGTATTTGGGAACAGTCCACATATTTTAAACTTTATTTCTTACAATTGAAAAACTGTGCTTCTTTTTGCATCAAACAATGGTGACCACAGAAGTAAATTACAATAAAAATATTAATATATCCCTAGGCTGGGCACGGTGGCTCACGCCTGTAATCCCAGCACTTTAGGAGGCTGAGGCAGGCGGATCACCTGAGGTTGGGGGTTCGAGACCAGCCTGACCAACGTGGAGAAACCCTGTCTCTACTAAAAAAAAAAAAAAAAAAAAAAAAAAAAAATACAAAATTAGCCAGGCATGGAGGCACATGCCTATAATCCCAGCTATTCAGGAGGCTGAGGGCAGAACAATCTCTTGAACTCAGGAGGTGGAGGTTGCACCATTGCACTCCAGCCTGGGCAACAAGAGCGAACTCCGTCTCAAAAAAAAAGAAAAAAGTGTATTAATATATCCCTGATATGGTTTGGCTGTGTCCCCACCCAAACCTCATCCTGAATTGTAGCTCCCATAATCCCTATGCATTGTGGGAGGGACCCAGTGGGAGGTAACCGAATCACAGGAGGGTTTTTCCCATCCTCTTCGCATGACACTAAGTCTCACAAGATCTGATGGTTTTATAAAGGGCAGTTCCCCTGCACACGCTCTCTTGCCTGCCGACATGTGAGACGTGACTTTGCTCTTCTTTTGCCTTCCGCCATGACTGTGAGGCCTCCCCAACCATGTGGAACTATGAGTCCATTAAATCTTTTTCTTTATAAATACCCAGTCTCGGGTATTTCTTCATAGCAGTATGAAAATGGACTCATACAATCCCTTCCTAGTTTTTGTCATGCGATTAAATGGCCACAAAGTCTACACTTACGTACCATTTTTCGTAAAATAGCAAAGATCTTTACAACAAAGCCTGACAACACTCCCTCTTTTTCTTAAAGTGTACTTCTATCCAAATAGTTTCCATTTCTCACAAAAGTTAAATCACTAAAGACAACCAATCATACCAAAACAAAAATTTGAAAATCTGAACAAAGAGAAAAAGCAAATGAGTTCCAGCAAAATTCAGGAGCACTAACTTCTCATATCTCATATCACTGAAAGGAAAAAAAAAAAAGCCAGGCACTGTGGCATGCACCTGTAGTCCCTGCTTTTGCAGCCACTCGAGGCTGAGGCAGGAGAGATCACTTGACCCAGGAGTTCAAGTCCAGACTGGGCAACATAGTGAACTCCCATCTCTTAAAAAAACAGTAATAATAGAAGTGTAGTAGTAAAGGTCCAGGTCCCTTATCCAAACTTTCAAAATCCAAAAGTCTCCGAAAACCAGCAGTTTTTCCAACTCCTCTGGAGGTGAGATCTAAACTGATCTGAAGCCGGTTGACAGCAAACCCTGAAATGATGTGCAGCTACTCACAGTCTCAGTGCCAACAGGCAGACACCTCCCCTCGACGCTCCAGTCCTCGTGGGTCACTGGGCACAGCCAAGCATCCACTCAACGCTGCTCAACGCTATGGCTCAATATTGCCCCTGACCCACTTATGCACCTTGTACGGGATGAAAACTTTATACAAGGAATGTATTATTTCAATGACTACTGCCCTGCCACTCAAAATGCATACAGTATGATTATGCTGAAAAGCAGACTGGTCCTATTTTGGGGTGAATGTTCATTCAGAGCAGTAATTTTAAGTCATAATATTGGCACTTATCCTGCAAATCTCCTTCTCATCTGAGACTTTTAACTAAATCAACAGGCTGAAAAGAAACACAAGATATAAGAGCTATTTTAAACCAGACTATTTACCATATATTTATAAAAGATTCATCTAAAAGACAATCAAAAACATAATTCTGGCCAGGCGCGGTGGCTCACACCTGTAATCCCAGCACTTTGGAAAGCCGACGTGGGTGGATCATTTGAGGTCAGGAGTTCGAGACCAGCCTAACCAACATGGTGAAACCCCGTCTCTAGTAAAAATACAAAAAAATTAGGTGGGCATGGTGGCACATGCCTGTAGTCCCAGCCACTCAGGAGGCTGAGGCACGAAAACTGCTTGAACCCAGGAGACAGAGGTTGCAGTGAGCCGAGATCACGCCACTGCACTCCACTCCACTGCACTCCAGCCTGGGAGACAGGGCAAGACTCCGTCTCAAAAAAAAGAAAAAAAAAAAAAACCATAATTCAGTCAGGCAGAATTCTAACTGTTTGTCCTCCTCAGGCTCCCACAGCCACTTCAAAGTTAGCCAGAGCCTAGACACAGCCAGGACAGTGGTTCTGCTGTCTTGAGTGAATGCTCACACTCTCAAGGAGTATATGTGTGGACCCCAGTCTGCAGGCAGTGATCCTTGTTTCGAATACAACTGGGCAAGGGGTAAGGTGCCCAGCAGGAGTGTAAGTGTAACACCACCGTGTGGGTATTCTCACTTAGCAACCTAGGCAAAGCAATTAACTACATAAAACTCATTAAATAACACACTGCTTTCCAACAGCACTGCCAGGGATGAGAGGAGGAGAGTCATTTTTTCTTTCTCCAAAGGCAAAAGAAAGCAGCAAGGAGGTCGGGCACGGTGGCTCATGCCTGTAATCCCAACACTTTGGGAGGCTGAGGCAGGCAGATCACTTGAGGTCAGGAGTTCAAGACCAGCCTGGCCAACACGGTGAAACTCCCTCTCTACCAAAAATACAAGCATTAGCCGGTCGTGAGGCACACACCTGTAATCCTAGCTACTGGGGAGGCTGAGGCGCGAGAATCACTTGAAGCCGGGAGGCAGAGGTTGCAATGAGCGAAGATCACGTCACTGTACTCCAGCTAGGGCAACAGAGTGAGACTGTCTCAAAAAGAAAGAAAGAAAGAAAGCAGCAAGGTTATTCTTTCTAACTTGTTTGGCCAGAGCCAAACAAGTATGTATCTCTGGCTGGTACTCCTCTGTCCTAAAGATGGGGCAGGGCTGGTCGGGTGCAGTGGCTCTTGCCACTAATCCTAGCACTTTGGGGGAGGCAGGCAGATCACCTGAGGTCAAGAGTTCAGGACCAACCAGCCCGGCCAACATGCTGAAACCCCATCTCTACTAAAAATACAAAAATTAGCTAGGTGTGGTGGCACGTGCCTGTAATCCCAGCTGCTCCAGAGGCTGAGGCATGGGAATCGCTTGAACCCGGGAGGTGGAGGTTGCAGTGAGCCGAGATCCCACCATTGCACTCCAGCCTGGGTCAACAGAGTGAGACTCCGTCTCAAAAAAAAAAAAAAAAAAAAAAAAAGATGTGACACGCCTTGTATTAAAGGAGGCACAGAAGTCAGTTAAGACAGTAAAACAATCATCATGAAAACCATATGGAAATGTGGGATGATATTTATGACACAATGCTGAATGAGGAACAATATCAACGTGTACCTACATTATGACTGCAATTACTTAAGGAAATGTGTGTACGCAGACAACTGGCAAATAAAATAGGAAGAACTACATACTCAAGTACTGGGATTCTAGATGCTTTTGCTTTAAAAATACTTTAACGGAGATGGAGTGAAGATATTTTTCTGGGTGAAGGTTCCCATTTCTGTACAATCCTCAACCCCCCACTTCACATGATTCTTTTATAGACCATGTACGCATAACGGGGCCAGGGTAGGAAACGGGACTCGCACACCACAGCCGATAAGCAACTGGCTGTTCTGCTGGTTTCCAAAGGCCCTTACTATCACAAGTCCTCCAGCAGAAAGGAACGGAATTACTACTACTCTGACATAAAATGACAAACTCAAGAAGAATTATTTTCGGGGAATTTCAAAAACACTCTCATTTGATTGCTATAGCTAATATTAAGAAATCATCTATGCAACAGGCCATGTAAAAAGTACTGAGGTGTTTATCACTTTAAAAGGGTTCCAGGCTGGGTGCAGTGGCTCACGCCTGTAGTCCCAGCACTTTGGGAGGCCAAGGTGGGCAGATCACGAGGTCAAGAGATCCAGACCATCCTGGCTAGCGCGGTGAAACCCCGTCTCTACTAAAAATACAAAAAAATTAGCCGGACGTGGTGGCGGGCGCCTGCAGTCCCAGCTACTCGGGAGGCTGAGGCAGGAGAACCACATGAACCCAGGAGGCAGAAGTTGCAGTGAGCCAAGATCACACCACTACACTCCAGTCTGGGCAACAGAGTGAGACTCCCTCTCTTAAAAAAAAAAAAAAAAAAAGGTAAAAAAAATTAAAAATAGAAAATAACATATTTTATATGAACGTACCTGCATGCACAGAAACGTCTGTATATTTGGGGGTTGGGAAGCTTCTCAAGCCTTCTCAGGCCTCCCAAGAAACGATTTGCTCCACAACATACACAGTAATGCATCCCAGAGGAAGGAACCAGGGATGCCACTTGGAGAACTAGTTTTCAACTGAAGTTGTTTAAACTATGTGATCACTTTATGCCTCCAGGGAAATGAAATCCCATCCCACAACATCCAAGGCTAGCACCGATGGCCCCAGGTCAATTTTGGGAGTGTGTACCCAGAATACCGATGCTATTAGATGGCACACTTCAATCGCATCCTCTGCCTTTATTCTTCAGAGATAAACACAGGCAGTTGGGGGACCGAGGCCAGGAAATGCAAGTAGTTTCACTTCACAGAAGCTCGTCTTTTCTTGCAGAAGACAAAGCAGGGGAAGGCATTCTGAATGACACAAGTTGTTTTAGAAAGACTTCAGATTCTTCGATAACAAAGGGAAAAAAGAGCGCAAATCTCTGTAACTCCTCTTCCTGATGTGGTCAATCCCCTAAGTCTGTATAATGTGCTGTTTACCCTTGTATTTTAAAATGCCGTATAAAACACATTTCCAGGCTGGGCGTGGTGGCTCACGCCTGTAATCCCAACATTTTGGGAGGCTGAGGTGGGCGGATCACGAGGTCAGGAGATCGAGACCATCCTGGCTAACATGGTGAAACCCCATCTCTACTAAAAATAAAAAAAAAATTAGCCGGGCGTGGTGGCGGGTGCCTATAGTCCCAGCTACTCGGGAGGCTGAGGCAGGAGAATGGCATGAACCTGGGAGGCGGAGCTTGTAGTGAGCTGAGATCGCGCCACTGCACTCCAGCCTGGGTGAAGGAGCGAGACTCCGTCTCAAAAAAAAAAAAAAAAGTTTCCAATTCCTCATGTAATGAATTGTAACAAGCCTCAGAAAAACTACAATGCACTTAAAACCAAAAGCAAAGCCAACAACCCCAAAACCCTCAAATAAGAAAGCCTGGTAAAATCAAAGTGTAACTAAATCCAGTACACCCTAATAACAGACGACATTATTAAAATAAATGGGGGGGAGAGATAACAGAGAAATAGAGATCACTTCTGAATCAAAAGTCAAATCAACTATACATAAAAGCCAACATCCCAAACATTGAAAACTCTACTGATATGAAATACTTTTTCCCATTCTGAAATATATGTATAGTATTACATTTAGTTAAGTGTTAAATACAACAGCTACCGAGAAAAGAAAATCAATTCTAACCAAAGACGGTCATTTCATCAGTGGGAAAAACACCGGCGGGTATGCCCTTCTCTCCCCTGCGGCATCCCAGCACCTGGAGCTAAGAGGAGCTGGACAGATGATACAGAGCTTGCTCGGGGGCTTCCCCTTACGAGGGCTCCCTAGGCAGAGGAAGGCAAGCGGTACTGAGTCTGAGAATCCTGCAGTGGCTGAGCATGGGGAGGGGTAGGTTCAAAGGCCCAGGAACAGGCACTGAGCTTTGGAGGAGCACAGGGAGCTGAGCCCACCCAGGGCAGAGGAGCTGAAGAGCAGAGAGGAGGAAGCTGGGTACTAAAAAAGGCCCTGAGTTTTAGGCTGGCGTCTACATCTGATCAGGAAGTCAGGAGCAGCAGGCAATACCACAGTTAAGAAAAGTTATCCTGACAAATTTGAGAATTATCAGGTTCAGAGCATTTGTTCTAGTTCGGGGTTTTCCAAAAAGACTACTGCACCCTAGATCTTGAGAGATGCACTCCTTATGAAATAAGGTTCCAAGTGGCACGCAGTAGCATAAGCCTGTAATCTCAGCTACTTAAGAGGCAGAAGCAGGAGGACTGCTTGAGGCCAAGAGTTCAAGTCCAGCCTTGGCAACATAGCGAGATTCCCATTTCTAAAAATAAAAATAAGGTTCCAAGGTCAAAAAGACATGGAACACACATCCTCTGCCCCCAACAGGTTTATAAATACATGCTAAAATCGCAAAGGCTCTAATGAGTCTTATAATTACAGGCCTATTCAATTCCCAAAGTTAGGTCAGCGGTTCCAAAGTCAGTCTTTGGAAATACAAGCCATAGGCTGCAAGCACTGATTGTAGCTTGCTCTGCTTTTCAAATGGGCAAGGCTACTGTGTGCTTCACTAGAGTGGGGAGCAATGAGGATTCAGGATTCTTTTTTGATTCTCCAGCGCAGTGGTTCTCAAAGTGTCATCCTCGAGGCGGCAATACACCAGGACACTTGCTCAGAACACAAACTCCCTCCGAGACGCCCAGAATCAGAAACTCCAGGGCAGCAGGGCAGAGCCTGTAGTCTGCATTTTACCAACCCCTCCAGGTGACACTGAGTGGCCTTATATTCTATTAGAGGGCTGGGCGCGGTGGCTCACACCTGTAACCCCAGCACTCTGGAAGGCGAAGGCGAGAGGATCACTTGAGGTCAGGAGCTTGAGACCAGCCTGGCCAACAGGGCAAACAAAACCTTGTCTCTACTAAAAATACAAAAATTAGCCTGGTGTGGTCGCGGGTGCCTGTAATCCCAGCTACTTGGGAGGCTGAGGCAGGAGAATTGCTTGAACCCGGGAGGCAGAGGTTGCAGTGAGCCGAGATCGTGCCATTGCACTCCAGTCTGGGCACGAGAATGAGACTCCATCTCAAAAAAAAAAAAAAAAAATTATATTCGATTAGAGGGTACTTTTTCAGTTATTTCTTCACCATCCAAAACAACACAGTCTGGGCAACACCTGAAAGGCAATGAACAGGAGCCAGTCAGCAGCTCCATGCCCACCCTAAGGAGGTGGGGCTCAGAGCTCACTACAGAGAATGGAGATAAAGGAACAAGGAAAACATCTGAAAGTCCAAGTCACCGCCCCCCACACCCACAATCCTAAATTCCAGGAAGCCAGTTAAAAATAATCCAGGAACAAGTTTCCCGATCAGGAGGAGTGCACAGACAGCGCAGTGCCAGCCCGGTGGGCTGAAGGCCCAGGGCTCCCTCTGCTCCAGCACCAGGCGGTAGGCATGGGGGTGGCAGCCAAGGTCAGCTACCTCCTCTCACGCAGACAACCGCCACCAAGAAGGCCCAGCCCCTCCGGCACAGGACCACAAGGACCCACACCGCCAGCTGCCCACCTTGCTGTGCCAGGCACGCTGCCAGCCAGAAGCACGCCAGGCTATGGGGGAAGGACCTGCCCTCAATGAAATGGAGATTTTTCTTTTCCTCAAAAAAAATGAATAACAATGAAACATGAACACACTCTTCTTTAAAGGTTAAAAACAAGGAAATAAAAACGCCCAAAACACCCTCTGTTCACAGCCCTGAACTCAGCTGTTTCATGGAGGCTGGAGGGACAATGTGACGGTCAGGAGGGCAGAGCTGTGTTGGGGATGTGGTGCAGGGAATCTGACACGCCAGGGAGCAGGCAGTCGGGAGGAAGGAAAAGAACACACATGCTGGCCTCCCAGTCAGGGCTTCCGCCCCAGTGATGCTGTTTTCTAGCCGAGGCCTTGGGCAGGTTTCATAAGCCTCGGTTTTCTCATCTGTAAAATTAGTCTGACAGCCATTCCCTCAGCAGAGACCCTGAGGGTTCACCAAGAGGCCTGGCCCTCACTGAAGAAAACTCAATCAAAGCAGTCCCCTTCCGACAAGGCTTCCCATGAAGGGCAACAAATTCCAAAGATGTTTATTTTCTAGACTGACATAAATCCAGCCATGCCACAGGCTCAGTCCTTCCACCTACCCACAGCAAGCAACAGGGAAGCAGGTGGGAGAAGAAAGCTCTGCTGCAGAACTGCTGAAGAAGTGAGGCTTTGTGCTACCAGCTTTTTCTGTGTGAATTACCTCTCAAGAAATATTTGGTACCAGGAAACTGCATCCATCACACATACCACAGGAACGCTCCTCAAGCAATACCTTTCTTCATCTGGAGTTCAAGTGGCAGTTTAATAACTTTGAAGTCACCACATTGAACACGCTTCCAAAGTTCGACGAAACTATACCTAAAATAACTGCGGGCTAAGGCTCAGTCCCAAGTTCCAGACTGTTTTTCATTTCTACTCAATGGTTCGTTGCTGTAAAATTCTACCCAAGAAAGTACTCTGTCCTTAAGCAAGAAATCACTTGAAGGCCATACCCCAAAGAAGAGCTTTCGCTGTTTAGATACGCACCCTTCAAGTCCTCCATCCATTAACATGCTATGGATTTATGGCCAGCGCTGTGCAGTGCCCCCAGCGCGCAGACACCACTGACTCTGCAACATGCAATCTGCTAACACATGGCCACTGGGACAGCCACATAACACCCAGGCCCTCTGACGGGCTATTCGGCATCTGTGGCACACGTGTGCCCCAGTCCTGCACCGACCACCACGGAACATACGACCAGACTGATGCCACCTCCGCCCTGCCAAGAAGCACATACTCAATTCTGGACCAGGGGGTTGGAACCCCAAAGCATCATAAACTTAAGCAAGCGTTTCTCCAGAGAGATCCTATGAGGCTCCCGGACATCGTTCTGTGTCCACAGGATCTTGGGACCAAAAAAATGAGAGAAGCAAGAAGAGCAGGTTCTCAGTTCAAGTTGGGGAGGTGGAGGCCACCGACCAGTAGAGAGATGGAAAAATAAGCAGACATGTATACTGCTGTTTATTTACAGGGAGAAAATAAGAGGCACAATCTCATGATGAAGAGAACGGAGGCTCCGAGTTCTTGCCCGCCGCCCTGGCCCAGCAGTCAGTCCTAGCTCTTGGAATTTCCTCACCTGCCTGGCCCTGTCTTTATTCACCTATAAACTGAAGAATAGCAACTTGGAGGTAGAGGGGTCACACAGACAGCAGCATCTAATTGGGTCAATCCTGAAATCCCACTAAAATCATAAATCTAAAAACCACCACATACCTGAAACAGAGAGAAGACAACTGCAATGAAATCTCAGAAGCTGGAAAGTAGGTAGTGGTTTAAAAAAAAAAAGGGGGGGGGTGGGGAGTAGAGGAAGACAACGCTAAACCGGAGGTGCAGAAAACAGAGAACTTTTTTTTTTTTTGGAGGCACAGTCTCGCTCTGTCGCCCAGGCTGGAGTGCAATGGCGCGATCTCGGCTCCCTGCAACTTCCGTCTCCTGGGTTCAAGCAATTCTGCCTCAGCCTGCCAAGTAGCTGGGATTACAGGCGTGTATCATCACGCCTGGCTAATTTTTGTGTTTTTGGTAGAGAAGGGGTTTCACCATGTTGGTCAGGCTGGTCTCGAAATCCTGACCTCAAATGATCCACCCGCTTCGGCCTCCCAAAGTGCTGAGATTACAGGCATGAGCCATCGCGCCGGGCCAGCAGAGAACTAACTTAACTCACAGTGCTGGACCCCCGGCTCTCAGGAACTGACGGCACCAGTCCCTCTGCCGGGGGAATGAGTGAACCAGGCAGAGCCTCAAAGTCAGCCACAGAAGTGGGTAGACAGCCAGACAGCTTGCCCCACATCTCACAGCCAGGCTCCCAAAGTCAAGGAAATGATGAAAATATATTATCTGCAAAGGAAGGAAAAATTGAGGATATATGGACCAGGCTGCAGCAGACACAGCCGGAAGCAGAGGCAGCATACTTAAAAATGGGGAATGAAGGCCGGGGATGGTGGCTCACACCTGTAATCCCACCACTTTGGGAGGCCGAGGCATGTGGATCACCTGAGGTCAGGAGTTCGAGACCTGCCTGCTCCACATGGTGAAACCTCATCTCTACTAAAAAATACAAAAATTAGCCAGGCATGGTGGTGGGCGCCTGTAATCCCAGCTACTCGGGAGGCTGAGGCAGGAGAATCACTGGAACCTGGGGGGGCAGATGTTGCAGTGAATGAAGATCACGCCATTGCACTCCAGCCTGGGTGACAGAGCGAGACTCCATCTCGAAAAACAAAAAAGATAAAAGAATATTTGAGGGCCGATGCAGAAGGTTCACCATCCAAGTAATAAAGTTTCAGAAAGAAAGAACACAGAAAATGGAAGGGGGGAGGGGAATCAAAGAAAAAAGTCAATGAAAAGATCTGAGTCGCTTCACAGAAAAGGCCTAACCAAGTATCTGTCACGAGAAACGAAAACAGCCCCACTCCAAGCCACATCATTGTGAAACTTCAGAACTCAAGGAAAAAGTTCAGATCCCATTAGGTCCAGGAAGAACAGCACAGCCTGCACACACAGAAGCCGGTGCTGGCAGGGCCTCCATCTTCAACAGCAACACTGGAAGCTAAAACACAGTGGAGAAACACCTTTAAAATTCTGGAGGAAATGAATGTCCACCCTGCAATTTTACACCATGCTAAAATATCAACTGAGGGAGAAGAAAAAAAATTTTTGAAAAGCCTGTCTCCCACGCTGCCTATTCACAGAAAATGGCGCACTATATGCCCAACCAACATCATGGCATAAACCAAGAAAGAAAATGACAGCAGAGACAAAAAAAAAAAAACAAAAAAAAACAAAACAGATATTCAACACAAGAGAGCAGCAGAAGGAACCCAGAGGATGAGAGCAAAGGAAGACCAGAGGATGGGGGTGGCACAAGAAGCATAGAAGATACGCAGGTGACGAAAGGCACAGGTGCCACCCGAACTTCCTAAGACAAGGTTGCAACAACTACAGAGTGCTGGGATGAATGAGAAGCATTACCAAAAGAAAAGAAATCTGATCAGTAACTATGGTTGAGTAATAATGGCTGGGCTGCAGATCCGTCTGCAGTCCATTAATGTACACACCGCATTCTGACCTCACTGACATTACAACATCTCTCTGCTGGGGGAGAGCGGGGAGCCCATGTGAGGAAAAGAGGCAAGCGGAAGAGAAGTAAATCCTCATCCGCAGGGTCCAAAGTCTATAGACAATGCCTGAAACCAGGAAAAAAAAAAAAACACAGGCAGAAATTTTTTTTTTTTTTTTTGAGATGGAGTTTCACTCTGTCACCTAGGCTGGAGTGCAGTGGCACCATCTCAGCTCACTGCAACCTCCGCCTCCCAGGTTCAAAGAATTCTCCTGCCTCAGCCTCCCAAGTAGCTGGGAATACATGCGCCCACCACCACGCCCAGCTGTTTTTTTTGTATTTTTAGTAGAGACAGAGTTTCACCATGTTGGCCAGGCTGGTCTTGAACTCCTGACTTCAAGTGATCCACCTGCCTCAGCCTCCCAACGTGCTGGGATTACAGGCGTGAGCCACCGCCCCCGGTCAATTTTTTAATGTTCCTCATAAACTAAGGAGTAACAAAAACAAAAATCAACCAGGAGAGATCAAAGGGGCTGCCCTCGGGGAATAAGAAATGGCGGGAGGTGGAAGCAGCTGCTATCTTTCCCAACCAACCTTACAAAACTACCCATTAGACATTTCTAAATAGAAACTAAACAAAATCCTAAGTAATTACAAATAAAACAAAGGATGTGGACCTGTAACAGTTCTTTCAAACCTTACGGCCTAAAATTCTCTTAAAAAACAGGAAGAGACTTAAAATAATAGGAAGATAAACCCCAGCTACGTACTTGGTAAGCATTAATTTAAAACTTGAAATGTTCCCACAATGTATTCAGATACCAACAGAGCGCAGAACAGAAAAGGTTTCTTTTGCTGACGAAGAACCCTCAAGAAACACAATGGAAGGTCTCTAGAGTCAACAATGTTGTTCCCTGGGTGCGCATAAAGTGACTGGTAACCACCAATTTGGGATGTTTCACAGTTTGTACCAAGCAAAGGCATATCTCAGTTTATTTCCCCTAATTTAAACCTTGCAAACCAGGGAGCCATTTAGGATTAAGAAACTCCATAGTCACCCTCAGGAGGCAGGTTATTTTTCCCAAAGCATTTGGCACTTATATTTTTTATAATTTCCACTGCAAAAACATGAATTATGGGAAATGACTGCTACAAACTACTCCGACGACAGTGGCTGATTCTACGCGATGAGACATGGATAATAGAGTGCAACTTCTATTTCCTGCACTCACACCACCCACAAGATTCCATTAATGATAATCAGCTGAGCTAAGGCATTAAAAGGCACAGAAAGGTGGCTTGGGTGTGGTCCACTTCCTGCAGGTAAGGAGCTTCCACAAGGGCAGCTCTGAATCATCGGGAGTAATCGCCCAAATAAAGAGCTAAGGGGCCCGTTTCTCAGGAGACCATCGGACGCCTGGACTGCGGCTTTAGAGTGTGTGTAACCGCACAAGCACAGCAGAAAGTAGCAGTGACCATCGACAGGCTCCTCCCTTCAGTAACTGCTCACCCTGCATCTTGCACCAGGGTCCTGGAAAAATACTGAACTGAAAATGAAACTCAACCTGCACCACATTAGGCAGCTCAGCTCTACGCATCAGACCGTAGCTCCAAGAAGAGCATCAAAGTCAGAAAGAGGGTGGGAAAGCAATGATGCCAGCCGCCACCTGCCCATAACTGCTCAGCACAGTTAGCAAGCTAGAAAATCTCATCTGACCAATTCCTACTTGAAGGTCACTTGCTTTTATGTGACATGCTATCAAGAATACTCCCAGATCTGAGACTGGACTCCTCCAAAAGTTTGGGTTTTTCTAATTTAAAAAAACCTTGTGACCATCCTCCCCCTCAAAAAAGAACACTTTCAAGCAAAACAAATTCTTACCATTGTTACATTTTGGAACACGGAGTATTCAAAATAGGTTTTTTGTTTTTTTGACACTTACATAGGCAACTAACTAACAAAACAGTAACTAACAGTAACTGAGTACTTATTACTCTTTAGCACTGATCAGCAAAAAGGATCATAAAGCAAGAGGAGTAATGAGATACTATAAAATGTTCACTGAGAGTTCAAGCCACGAAGCTGAGTGAATGCTAAAAAAATCCACTTAGGCTGTCCTACTGACACCTGGGCTCCCCACTCGCATCCCTGGGCTTCCTCTTCCCTGAAGTGCTGCAATGCCTTCTAAAGGGGCACCCAGCACTCCCCACACCTGAGAAAGCAGGAGCCCCAAAGAACAGGAGATCATCTGCTCAAAAATGTGCCATACTTCCGGCTGTCTACAGATGCAAGGCCTCCCCCAGGCCCACAGGCACCCCACTGCCTCTTCAGCTCCAGGACCGATCTAGATCTAGCCCACCAGAAGCTGTGTCACCGCTTTCCAACCATGTGCCTTTGCTCACTGTGTCCTCAGTCACTGCAACCTTCTTAGAGCACATGCCCCAAAGCAGGCAGCCGACCTCTTGAGGACAGGATGGACTGAGGCTCTGAACTCTGCCTCCAACGACTCCGGGCACTATACTCTGCAGGCTCCCCTGTGCAGTCCAATGCTGTCAGTCACCAGAGCACACTCCACAGTTCAGCAAGTCCCCAAGGTGCTCTCCGAACCCACGTCTCGGATGTCCTGACTGTCCACACCCAGTGACACACCAACCTTCCCCCAGGGTGCAGATGGTAACAGGGTAACTGGGCAGGCACCTCCCAAGGAAGGAACGGAAAAGAACCCGTGGAAATGTGACACTAACAAGAAAAAAAAGTACAAGAGCACTTAAGCCACAATTAAATGCAGCTGTCCTGTGTTTGCCTTCATTTCCCAGACTCCCAGAGTGCACAGGCTTCCCTAGGGTGGAGCAGAGCACTTGAGAAAAGCTCCCCATGTTCCCAGACTGGCCATTAGACACCAGTCTCACTATCCTGATGCAAGGGGCATTCTCAGCAAAGGTCTATTTATCCAAGCAGCAAGAAAAACAGAAGGGGAACGAGGGGGACAGGATGATGTTAACAAGACAAACTTCAGGTTTTTAAGCTATTCCTCTAAATTATCTGTATTTTCAAATATGAAACTATGTTAAACTTACAACTTCAAAACATGGTAAATTAACCAGGCCCTGCAATATGCAATACATGTGACGTATATAATTCAGTATTTTTCAAACTGTGGGTCAGGAATCAGTGGGCTGTGAAATCAATCTAGTGTTGCAACCAGCTCCTTTTTTAAATATACCACAACAGCACATCACAAGCACAGGCTGAGCATCCCTGATCCAAAATGCTCCAAAATATGAAACTTTTCAGCGCCAACATGACACTCAAAGGAAATGCTCATTGGGAGCACTTCTGATTTCGGATGTTCAACAAGCATATAATGCAAATATTCCAAAATTCGAAACACTTGTGGTCCCAAGCATTTTGGATGAGGGATACTCAACCCGTAGTAAGGATTAGTACGGTCTCCTGAAACTTGTTTTTGATCCTGATGTAAAATATATTTCTTACATGGGTCACGGTTCAGAAAAGTTGAAAAGTGACTGATAAAATTTTGTAACAGAAATGTGCAAACCAAAATCTCATTTTTAAATCACATTTCTGCAAACTCAAAGCCGATTGGTGTTCCTGCCTCCATCTGAAGCTTTTCTTTTAATCTCAATTGAGTGAAACAACAAATGCTCAATGAAAGACGGAGTACTTATAGCCACAGATCAGCCTGATTTCTTTATGTTTATTCGTCACTATATTCATTCAGTTTCTGATGTCTATTTTTTTCCCCTACTGAAATATAAAACTGGGGTTTAAGAGAAAAAAAGCAAAGGCTTCAGCAACTTTCATTAAACATTTACTTTAAATGGTAACCTCATTCAGATCTACCACTTTCAACCCCTCCCCTAGGACCTGGCACATGAAAGTTCAATAAGGGTTGCTGATTGAATAAATTAAAAAATCAGCCTCCTATTTCTAATTTCTTTAGCCAATCTAACTAGCAATGAGATAAACTTTAATGTTTGCAAAAGTAACCATAAAACAGTAACACTGCATGATGAGTGGGAGTAGGAGGAGTAGTAGTTTCCAATCACAAATTTGCCACATAATATATGATCTCACCTTGGTCAGTTAAGTCTTCCTTGGTCTCCACATCTACAAAATGGTATAATATCATCTACATCTCAAACGGTACCGGTAAGAATCAAGAGGCATAAAAATGATTTGCAAAACATTGAAAAATGGTGTTTATACTAACATGGTTGTTATTTTTCAAGCATCCTTGCCTAGGCCACCTGAATTCACTCTGCTTTATTTTTTTATTTTATTTTTTTTTTTGAGACGGAGTCTGCCTCTGTCGCCCAGGCTGGGGTGCAACGGCACAATCTCAGCTCAACGCAACCTCCGCCTCCCGGGTTCAAGTGATTCTCCTGCCTCAGCCTCCCGAGTAGCTGGGATTACAGGCGTGTGCCACCACGCCCAGCTAATTTTTTGGATTTTTAGTAGAAACAGGGTTTCACCATGTTAGCCAGGATGGTCTCGATCTCCTGACCTCATGATCCGCCCACTTCGGCCTCTCAAACTGCTGAGATTACAGACTCTGCTGTCTTTCTAAGCCAACTCCTTATAAGCCCTGGTCAGGAGACAAGAAAAAGGGAGGGCTATGAGGCCTATCAGAGCAAGCCATAGAAGAGATACGGACTTCTCTCCTCCCATTTAGCAGACAACAGTCGAAAGCAGGTGTGTTTTTAATTGAATCTTCAGCAACAACTCTTAGGGAAGCCTCCCAGGGCAGTAGCAACTGCTAATTTGAAGTAGAAAATAAATGTGCTGTTGTTTTTCTTTTGTGGGGTGGGGGAGGAGAAAAGAATGTTCTTCCCCAAATGATACACTGTTACCATACAGTCTGTAGATGTACTTAGGTACAGGAATGACTGGCAGAAGCCAACTTACCTACCTCTAAAACTGTAAAACTGTAACAGCTGAAAATCTGATCATCTTTTCCACTGAGAAACACTTAAGATCTTTCATACTGAGAAAACAAAATAAAAACAGTTCCCATGTAACACAACCTAACAGATACATAATAGTTGAGAGGCAAAGTTATTAAGGAAATGTATCTTCTTTTCCCAAGGTTTAAGAATTCTGACCCACTCAAAAAAAAAAGTGAGGATAAAAATGAAAAGGTGAGATACTAGATATCACCTGGTAACCATCTGATACTGACTTCACGGCACCAGCCAAAGGGGCTTTAGTACCTTTTCAAACTGATTCGCTATCCACAAAGGCCAATTAACCTAGTAAGTGAGGCATTTGTGCTAGATTCCAACCTGATGAACACGGTATAAATATCAACCTAAAGGAAATATTGATAAAACTTTTTTTTTAAATCATTACAAGAGTCCTTTCTTGCTCGACTAGTAAGAAATTACTTTTTTCACCCAGTTCACTCTGACCTACACACCTCTAAATTCATACCAAAGCGGCTTTAGAAAATACCAAGAAACCACATCTGATTGTTACCCAGCAGTCAGCAGAAGTTTAGGTTTTGAATGCATGCTAAATTCAACGCTCCTTAAATGAGAGTCGACAAAAGAATATTCTTCAAGCATCTTCCCAGTCACTCTTAAGATAATAACTTAACTGTTGCTGCTTAAATGTATATTTATTTACTGCTTAAACATATATACACACATATATATACTGCTTATATATACACACACACACACACACACACATATACACACACACACACTTGGACTAAAATTCTAGCTGCCATTAAAGTGGTAACTTTGAGTTCCTATTTTTCCAGAATTCAAACCTGAACAGTGAAATCCAGTTTTCTTTTTACGGTTTCAAAAAAAGAAGGGAGAGGGATGATCTCACTGGAAGAGGCGAGCAGACCCCAGAGGCAGTCCCAGGTCTGGGCTCTGTGCTTCTCAGCCCTCAAGACACAGGGAAGGAGCCTGTTGGTACCTGTAAATCAACCAGTAATCTACTTGGATGCTTTTGGTTTTCTTCAAACACTTAACGTTCACTCAGCTAAACTGGCAGAGCAAACTTTCATGACATATCCTAACTGCATCCTAAGATTTCCATCCTAAGCATTTTGCCACCATTTCTGCGCCTACAAAGTTTACAAGAGTTAGCCAAGGACGGTAGCTTTGTTTTTCAAAGGGCTAAAAGCAACGACAACGAAAACAACAACAACAAAAAACCTTTAACTTATACATGTAAATTTGAAATTCAACTCCTCTCCCACTCCCCAAAAAGTCACTGGTAGGCCAAGGTGTCACCAAGTACCGAAAGAGAGGTTTACTGGGCGAAGAATTCCTGTAAATGCAACCAAGTCTCAAAGTGAAAGTCCAGGGTCCCGGGGCCGGGCCCGGGACCCTGGTGCGCGGCTGTCCGAGGGATTCCTCCTTCCAGAAGGTTTGCAACTCGCACTTTCCCCCGGTCCGCAGGTGCACGGGGGCTCCGGGCAAAGCCACTGCAAGTGGAACTCGCGGTTACCTTCCTCCACTCCACCCTGCCTACTCCGCTCGGGCCCGGACGAGTCCAGGCGCGCTCCCCGTCCCCGCCCTGCCCAGGTCTCCCGCCCGCCTGCCCGGGGGTGGGGGACGAGCCTGGGGGACGCGTCCTGGGGCCCTCCGCCAACCCGGCCACCACGCAGGGCCCCGGGACCCGGCGGGGGCCTCCAAGGGCATCACTCCACCTCACTTCTCCCGGGGACAGGGCCACCCAGGGCCTGCAGCTCCGGAAGAGTGTTGGGGCGAGGGGAGCGCGGAGGACTAGGCGCCCGCACCCCCACATCCGGACCCAGGCCGCGGTTCCTACGGCTCCTGCACGCACACGCCGGAGACCTCGGCCGCCGGAGCCGGCAGGGACGCCCAGGGACTCGGACTCGGACCCCCGGCCGAGCCGGGCGCGCGGGGAGCCAGGCTCCGGCGCGACCCCGGCCGGCTGAGCGTAGGGGGACGCCGTGTGGATACCGCCAAGTTGCTGCTTCCGCCCCGGTCGCGCATCCCGGCCCCGCGGCCCGCGCCCGCCTACCTGCATGCCGGGCAGGCCCGACTGCACCGGGGAGTGAGCCATGGCGCTCAGGACGGCCACTTCCTGGGACGGGACGGCCGGGCCGCGACGATCCGCGCGGGGCGGCGAGGCCCGCGGGCCGCGCGCAGCCCTCGGGCGGCGGGGCCGGCCGGAGCCCGAGGCCACCCCAGCCCTGGCGGGTCCCGGCCGGGCGGCGGGGGCTCAGCGGCGGGTGGCGGGCCGCGTCTCCATGCACGGCGCCAGGGAGGAGCTGCTGGGGGCGCAGGGCCTCGCGCGCACTGCCGCCGCCGCCGCTGCTGCCGCTACTGCTGGGCTGGAGCCGGGCGGCCTGGGCCCGCGCGCGCTGGCCGCTGGAGCCGGAGTGGGCGCGCACAGCCCGCCGAGCCCGCGAGCGCCGAGCGCGTCCCGCCCCGGCCCGGCCCCCGCGCCCGCCCCCACGGCCCGGCCGGGGACCCCGCCCCGCGCTTCCGGGAGGGGGAGGGGAGAGGCCGGTGGCCGCGCGGGAGCCCTAGGCCGCAGCCGCCGCCTGTCGGCCCGGCCCGGGTCCCAGCTGCTCCTGCGGCGCTCCCACGCCCCCGCGGGCGGGCGGCGGGGCCGGGAGGGGGCCTCGGCTGGGGCGGGCGCCGGGAGGGACCGAGTCGGGGCCGGAGGCTGGCCGCGTGCCCACCGGGCCGGCGCCGGGGCGAGCCTGGGCCGCGGCCCCCTCTTCCCGCCAGCCAGCCCACCCCGCCCCGGCGGCCTCTGGGAAAACGCGTCCCGGGCGAGCCCCTGAGGGCAGGATCGGAGTCGGGGGCACCTGGGGAAGGAGAGCGCCCCGTGGGGCCTCGGCCGGTGGCCTGTGCCAAAAGGCCGGGCAGAGCTGCTTCGGTGTCTGGGTGAAGTTTCCAGCCAACCCAAGAAGGAAACCGAAAGGGAAGAGGCCGAGAGAGAGGTTAATTCCTAGTGCTTTGGTTACCGAAAACAGCCCGGCTGGGACTGCTGGGCTGGGAACTTAGCTAAGCAGTGCGGAGGCTGAACCCCACCATCTCTGGGATCCGCAGCAAATCAGAAGCCCCCACCCACGATAAGGGGAAAATGGGGCGCAGAGGGCAGGGAGGAAGGGAAGAGAATGGAAGGAAAGCGCGTCTGGACTTTGAACTGCAGCCCTCTCCCTCTTTCCCTTGCCTCGGAAGCTCCAGGCCCACTCAGCACCAGTTCTGTCTCCTCTTTTCAGCCGCCTTCTCTCTAGCTACTGAGGGGAAAAGTCAGGATGAAGCGGGTCCCTCGGCCTCCAGAAGGTGTTTTATTACAGTCGCAAACAGGTAGAGCGGCAGCCACCCCAGTGATGACTCCCTGCTCCTTAGATTGTAGGGACGCTGGCACCTCACTCATGCTCCTAAGTGGCCATTTTGCGCCCTGGCTGGGCGAGTTAGGCAGACAAAATGAGCCCCCAAAAGTTTAAAGGCCTCCACCAAAGGAGTATTTCTTTTCTGAGGTGTCATTGTATTCCATCCACGAACTTCAGTTCCCCCGGGTGCTCTGGATCTGACATGGAGTAGGATGCTAACATCTAATCCCTTCTTTCCCTTTGGAAAGATGCATGTTTTTTCTCGGAGTCCTAGGGAATACCTTAGAATACTTTCATGGTTGTCATTGGTACACCCATCCCTTGAGGAGCCCTGCCACCCGTAAGTAGGACTGCAAGGAAATACAAAATTAAGAGAAGTATGAACCCTGATACCCAGGAACTTAAAATCAGGTGTATAAATTTTGTACACCTAAAAAATATGGTACCTAAAGAGGCGAACAGCAAAACAAGCAAGAATGTGAATCTTTAAAATGTTTCTATTCTTCAGCGCAGCCCAGGAATTCTACCTAAAGTAACATATCCTAAGGCAACAACCAAGAAGTGTGGAAGAATGCATGTAAGAAGACACAGTGATGTTTAGAATCCTGGGGAAACGGAACAGCCAAAAAGTCTCACAGAGGTTAAGTAAATAATAGCATTTTCATACGAGTACTATGTAGTCATTTAAAATTATGTCTTTCAGTACCTAGTAATGGGGAAAATGTATTCATTATATATTATTAAAGAAAATACAGGGTACAAAACACTGTATATAGACTGATCTCAAATGACTATATATATATTAATATATATGGCCTACAGACACACAGTCATGTATTGCTTAACAATGGGTATACATTCTGAGAAATGTGTTCTTAGTTGATTTTGTCACGTGAGCATCATAGAGTGTACTTCCAGAAACCTAGATGGCATAGCCTACTACACACCTAGGCTATATGGTATGACGTATTGCACCTGGACCACAAACCTGAACAGCATGTGACTGAACTCAATACTGGAGGCAACTATAACACAATGGTAAATATTTGTGGATCTAAACATGTCTAAGCATAGAAAAGGGACAGTAAAAATATTCTTCTAGGGTCAGCAGAGCCAGGGCAATAACCTGGCACCAAGATAAAGAGCAAGAAACTAGATGAATGGATGGAAATGTCTGGATGCTGATCTGAGACATTACCATGGTAAATGCTCAGAAATCACTTTGCAGTGGGCTAATTGCCAGCAAATAAGTCACAGCAGATGGGGGACAAAGGCCCATAGTACCCTGGGTATAAAAAAATAACCGGAATCCTAGTTTGTGTCCTGAGGCTAGTGAGGCTCAAAACAGGGAGATTCCGGCAGGATGTAACTTCTCTGGACACAGTGACTTGCATCCATTAGCTGGTCTGTTGCCCCGAACCCTGTTTATCTTCTCTCCACACTGACCATTGTTTCATCCTTTGACAATGTTCATACTGTTGAGCACCATTCTTATCGAAAGAAGGGAAGGAAGCAACATGGGAGTTACTGGTTCTCCTTGGCCCTATGCAGGTAGTACCGAGTATTCCCCATGGCAGAAGTAGGTCTCCACCTTATTTGTTTTTGCACAACAGAGATGATGCACAGGGCCTGAGCCCGGGATCAGATCCGGTGCAATTGCCTATTATGTTCATTCATTCACACCTTTTTTGAATACCAACTATTAATACATGTCAGATACCCAGTTCAGTACTGGGCATATAAACATTAGATCCTCAGGTGCCTCTTAACCCATCCTAGGGACCTGGTCTCCCAGAATCCTAACTTTGGATGAATACAATACCATAATTGATTAAACTTAGAGTGGCAATAGCTATCATTTCCACCAAGGAAAGAAAAGGATCATCCTCTCACCCTCTTCCTCTTGTCACTTTCCCTCCACCCCCAATGTATGATTACAACAGGTTATACACTACCGTAAGTCCAGAAGGAGATTATGAGAGTCTCCATAGAGATGATGCATTTTATGGTCTCCATGGAGATACTAACCCATTGAGTTATTTACTTTATCCATTGAATTATTTTTCTTCCCTGGTCCTCTTTGTCTTTTGTGTTCACTTAAGGACATCAGTCTGGCAATGAATTATGATCTGAAATATATTCTGGACCACAAAGAATATTTCCATACCCCTATATGGAGCCCCTCCAAATATAAAGCCCCTATGTATTTGCTGCCCCTAAGCTAGTTTGTACGCACTCTCAGCAGAGCTCAGAGAGGAACAGAAAACAAGAATTCCACAATCAATCCCTTCACTTTTCTTTCTAAGTTGAAAAGATAAACACCCCCAAATGCTGCTTTATAAAGAACAGCTAGACAAGTAGAGCATTAGCAATTTAAATTCAGAGATTAAAGAAAGGGACTTACATGGTGAACTTTAAAGGGAGAAATAGGAGTAGCTTGGATAAGTAACTAACAGAAGGCTTAGACAAATTTCTACACATGTTCAGTAGGTGAAGACAAATTATCAAGATCAGTTTAAAGAAGAATGTCTAGTCATTGTTGGATGACACAATAGCAAGAAAAGGTATGCCAAAGCCCCAGAAAAATATCCCAGCTACATTGAGGAATGGTACCAATAAGGTTTCATTCTGTGCGTGGAGAGCTCAGAGGGCAGGCTCTTGCAGGGATATCACCCTAAGTAGGTTTTCAGTTGCACCCTGCCTTAGTTTGCTAGGGCTGCCGTAACAAAGAACCACCAACTGGATGGCCAAAACGACAGAAATTTATTTCCTCACCATTCTGGAGGCTGGAAGTCCAAGATGAAGGTGTCAGCAAGATTGGTTTCTTCCGAGGCCTCTCTCGGGCTTGTAGCGGCCAGCTTCTCCCTCTGTGTTCTCGTGGTCTTCACTGTGTGTTCCTGTGTCCTAATTTCCTGTTTTTATTATTTATTTATTTATTTATTTATTTATTTATTTATTTATTTTGAGATGGAGTCTCGCTCTGTTGCCCAGGTTGGAGTGCAGTGGTGAGATCTCGGCTCCCTGCAACCGCTGTCTCCCAGGTTCAAGCATTTTTCTTGCCTCAGCCTCCCTGGTAGCTGGGACTACAGGCGAGCGCCACCACACCCGGCTAATTTTTGTATTTTTAGTAGAGACGGGGTTTCACCATGTTGGCCAGGCTGGTCTCGAACTCCTGGCCTCAAGTGATCTGCCCACTTTGGCCTCCCAGAGTGTGTGAGGCACCACGCCTGGCCCTAATTCTTTGTTTTTAGAAAGATACCGGAGTCGTACTGGATTAAGGCTCATCCCAATTACTTCATTTTTGCTTAGTTACCTTATTAAAGTTCCTATCTCCAAATACAGCCACATTCTAAGGTACTAGGAATTAGGACTTCAGCATAGGAATTTTGGAGGGACACAAGTCAGCCCGTAACACACCTCCTTTTCTGCAAATGTGTGTCTGGTCAGCCCCCCTTTAGCTGGGTCTTCCAGGCTCAGCTTCAGGAATGAGAGCTTCCTTCTCCCTTGCCAAGGCCTGTGGACCTTTCTGCGCACTTCACATTGCACACTTCTGCTAATAAGCATTGCTTCATATTTCCTTGGGTGTAGGCCTTAAACTTTATCTTGCATAGAAACCAGAACACTAGTCTCCAATCACTGTACAACTGAGAGCAGAAACAGAGAATGCATAGGTGTTTGCTTGATAAAATATTCCTGATTAAAAGAAATCATCTGGAACACGTGACAAAAATCTGCCAGAAAAGGGTTCAGAATATTTTGCAGGCCTATCCATACTCAGTTCAGGCAAAAGATTTAAACAAGATCCATCTTTCTCCCCCACTGCCTCCTCCCCTGTGTTGGGAGGTGCAATTTACCAGGGGAGTTGGGGGTTGAGCCTCCAAGGGGGCTCTTTGTTGCACATGCTCTCTGCTGCAGTTCTGGGGGCTCACACCAGGGAACATCAGGCTGTTTAGAAGGACTCACTTGAACGAGCTCACTAGAAAAATTCTCATGTGCAATTTTGCTTGGCAAAGAACCAATGAACAGGGCTTGTCACCCTCTAAACAGTGGCCACTTGACCCTGCCAATCTGCTCATAAAGACTTCAGTATGCAAAGATTCATCAAGAGCTGTGTGTGTAGATTTCCCTTCCTCTTGAAGCTGGATTTGCTTTCAGACATACCCAGAAAGGGCATACATGAAATCATCCCCAGAAGGATGATGTCATCCAGCCTACAGTCACACAACTGCAGCACTAGTTTTTAAAAGCTCTTGGCCCTGTTTTCTGACAAGGAAGACAAATTGTAAGAAATCATTTTAATTTTCACTTCAACCAGATCCAGGGGATTATGTGCTTGAAGATCATTGTACAAGCACACAAAGGTAAAATGTGCCTATGAGTTGCAGATACTCATTCCACAATGCACAAAACTTAAGTCAGCTTAAAATCATCACAAAAATGTTGACCTATACACTACCCTATCATCAAAGCTTCACCTGCAAAAAGGGCAAGCATGTTGTCTTTTACCTTAATTTTCCTGCCATTTTTTAAATTTGGTTTCCCAAAGAAGCTACGTTGGAGATACTGTTAGTCAGAAGTCTTTGAATAACAAATGACAAATACTTAGCTCAGACCTCCATAAGCAAAAAAGGGACATTTTAGTTCAGCAACAAAAATCAACACTTGGCTAAATCAGGCTTGGATCAATCCAAGAAGATGAGTTCAATGATAAAATCAACTCTGTCTTCCTCTGCCTCTCACCTCTTCTCAGCCTCTCCTAGATGAGAACCTCTCATCTAGGTTCTCTAGGTATGGTGTCAAGAGCTGCCCCATGTGGTCCTTGTAATCCCAGAGAGAAGAGAGTGACCTTTTCTTACCCAGTGCCCATATGCCAAATGTAGTGGAGGAATTCACATCTGTGCATGTCCATTCTTGGGACCAAAGGGCAAGAAGGCACAGTAATGGGAGAGTCCAACCTGAACGGCATAATGGAACAATGGAATGTGGAAGGGGCAGTTCCCCCACGCAAAGAAGATTCCTGGCCTAATACATTCCACTTCTTGGCTGCCCAGACATGCATGCACACATACGCACGCACACACACGTTCTCTTTTTCCATATGTAGAACTTCTTGTGTGTACTCCCCTCCCCAAATAATACAGCCAGTCCATGAGTAACCATTTATACACTCACCTCTTCCCCACAGCGAGTCAACCCTACTGCCTTCTACTGAGGCCATTTGTTTCCTGGTCCAGGGGCTCTGGACAATCTGGTTTTCTCTTTTTCAAGCTGAGATATGGCTCTTCACAGGCCAGCAATCTCTAATTGGTAAATGTGATCACCCTTCATGTGTTTAATATATTATGGAGGAGGATATGTTTGAAAACTACCTTAAAAACTCTCATTTGAAAGGAAAAGAAAAGGAAGGGAGCAGGCATCCATCAGTCCGTAATGTACATGAAACCTTTCTGGAAGATAAGGTCGGGGGGCCTGGGTCAGCCCTTGGGCTGCACTTGGCTCTGCTCTTTGGGAGATGCTCCCTTTTATGTGGTCCTCCATGGCCACCTTGGAGAGAATTCTGGGACAGACTGACCAGCCCACCTCCTGTTGGTGAAGATGTGGGGTTCTGGGGAATATCCTGGAACAGAGTTCCCAATGTTCTCCTTCATAGCACCCTTAGTGCCTCAGTGACTTTTTTTATAGTATCTCTGGGCCAAAGGAAATACCTAACAGGCCAATTAGTTAAGAAAATAGAGGCTGGGTGCAGTGACTCATGCCTGTAATCCCAGCACTTTGGGAGGCCGAGGCAGGTGGATCACGTGGATTACGTGAGGTCAGGAGTTCAAGACCAGCCTGGCCAACATGGCAAAACCTCATCTCTACTAATAATACAAAAATTAGCTGGGCATGGTGGCAGGTGCCTGTAATCTCATCTACTTGGGAGACTGAAGCACGAGAATAGCTTGAACCCAGGAAGCGGAGGTTGTAGTGAGCCAAGATAGTGCCACTGCACTCCAGCCTGGATGACAGAATGAAACTGTGTCTCAAAAAAAAAATTTAAGAAAATAGGTACAAACAAATTAATATGGACTCCTGTCTTAGTAACTTAGCCATTTGAAGAAATAGTACTGTACATTTAAAAATAATAGTTTCATTGTATTCTTAAGTAATCCCAATTACTGATGGGACATGTGTTCCTGTTGGACACTGCACAACTTCCCAATCTTTGAATCACAGTGGACATTGCCACCTTCGTTTTTTGTTCCACATTGATTTTTTGTGTGTTTTTAAATCACAATAACTTCCAAAAATATAAGCAACCACTTTGCAAATAATATGACACCACTGAAAAGAATATAGCATGATCTAATGTTAACCTGAGCTACCCGTCAGTGTGGCATCTGACAGATGTTGAATCTCACTATATTTCCTAAAAAAAAAAAAAGTAAAATATTGCATATGGGCACCTCTGAATTTTCTGCAGTACCCAAGAGCACCTTGGGACAGAGTTTGAGAGCCATGGGCTTAGGGAATTAAACAGTCATCAAGTTTGGGACTGTCCTGGTGATATAACTCCCTTGAAAACTGAGAAGAAACCGCAGCCAGAAGCTTATTGAGTCCAGGCTTTTGAATCTAAACCTCATCACTGGAAGCTCAGCCCTCTGCCCCTTAGGGCCCAAGGTCTTATTCTTTCAGGGTAGTTCTCTGCCTCTGAGTGAGTTGATTGAGGTGATAGGCAGGGTTAATCTGCCCCTGTTTCCCTGGATATACCCCAGGCCTGGCAATGGGGGAAATTATTACTCAGCCAGTAATTAGTACTCAGCAGGAGGAGGGAGGAGCCTGGTGCTAGATCCAAGGATCTTGGAGGATCAGGGTCACTTGATTCTCTGACTTCTCCAGAGTCCCAGGCAGGACCAGCTACATTTGCAAAATAAAAATGTGTGCCCTTGTTCAAAGCATATTAATAGTTTAAAGACTATGAGAATAGAGCAGTAAACCAAGCATAGGGCCCTTCTAAGTGTGGGGTGATGTGTGACCATGCAGGTCACACACCCAGCCTGTAAGCCTGCTCTCAGGCTTACTTCCCAGGTGTTTACCCGCCTCTCTGACTAACTCTCACTTACTCCAACTTGGGAGCGTTCATACAGCTTTTGCATTCTGCAGGAAACATGCCTCTTCCAATTTGGGATTGTTGGTGCAGGCTGGAAAGTCCTCCTTCTGCAAGATTCCGTGGCTTTTATCCAAGACTGCATGGCCTCCTGATGTGCCAATTCGGCTGAAGCCTGTCTATTTCTTCTTGCAACTTACTGAAAGCCACAAAAGTAATCAGCACACTCAGCCTGGTTTTTTTAGACTAAGAACTTCCTAAACACTGGGCTGTGTGGCACACCATTACGGTGGCCGTCCGTGCCCCGAGTCCCAGACAGCTGGGCAGTGCCTGGTATTGAAAGCCTCCAGGCCAATTGCCTCTGGCAGGGAGCACCCTCATCTATTTAGATCAGTGGTGCCTGACACAGACTGTGTTTCTTGATGTCGATGAGGAAGCACCATTGTAAAACTTCATTCTCTGCACTTCCCAGATCCAAAGTCTATAAGTGATTTGAGTCCAAAGGCACAAGAGATACCTGACTCTGATTGGCCTGGGGTGGTGGGAGGGGATAAAATCATCCCTCCTGCATCTAGGGACAGAGGATGATTTATTCAGGAAGGAGGGGATGGTATACCCTAAAAAAAGTGACACTGAACAGATAACAGTCCCGTATCCACTGGAATGGGGGAGTTGGAGGTTTGGTCTATGAAGCCAGCTTCAAATCGAGGTTCACTGGCACCAAGGCTCATCAACTTCCCAAACTCTGAGATTTCTGCTGTCTTCCACTCAGCCTCATGCATACCATTTACCTAATCAATTTTCTTCTGGCACCTTTCACTCCTGGTCCCGGTTTCTATGTATTTATTTAATAGAGATAGGGTCTTGCTCTATCACCCAGGCTAGACTGCAATGAAACAATCATAGCACACTGTGACCTCGAACTCCTGGGCTTAAGCCATTCTCCTGCCTCGGCCTCCTGGGTGGCTGAGATTACAGGTGTTTGCCACCACACCTGGCCATGGTCCCAGTTTTTATGCTTGTCCAGACTCTTTCAGTTTCACAGAAACCCTGTGAAAACTAACTTAGGCAGAAAGAGTAATTAATGGGCTCATGTAACAGGGAATTCTAGTATTTATGAATCAGTCACAGTCAAGTTTTAAGAAGAAAATTGCAGAACATGAAGCTGGCTTCTGAATAGTCCATCTAGGGATTCAAAGAAGGGAATCAGGACTCTGTGGGTTCCTATTTTGGCTCCCTGACCTCTGCTGGCATAACTATTAGGTGGGCTCCTTCCATATGGGAGCAAGACAGTTGCTGTCAGCCTTAGGCCTTCATCATGCTAACAGGTTGAGAGCCTAGATTAAAGGGAGCTGTCTTTCATGACAGATCTGCCAAGAGTCGCAGGGAGGACTCTGAGTGGCCTGGGGTGGTGGGAGGGGACAAGATAATCTCATCTGAATCCAGAAACTGAGAATGATTTATTCAGGAAGGAGGGGGTGGTACGCCCTAAAGCCCTAAATAAAGTGATACTGAGCAGATAAGAGCTCTGTATCCACTGGAGTGGGGGAGCTGGGGGTTTGGTTTGTGCAGCTGCTTAATCTGGCAGTGAGGAAATCTTTATGAAGTTCAAGATCTTCTTATAGAGTTAGAAGGATAGCCAGCCTTTAGATCAGGGGCTGGCAAACTTTTTCCATAAAGGCCAGAAAGTAAATATTTTAGGCTTCATGAACCTTGTGGTCTCTGCCCCAGTTACCCAACTCCACAGTGATATCACTAAGCAGCCATAGACAATACCTATAGAGTGAACATGACTGTATTGTGATGAAACTTTATTTACACAAACAGGTGGCAGGACAGATTTGTACCTGGGAGCCATAGTTTGTTGACCTCTGACCTGAGTGAGTGATTTTGGTAAACTGGGTGAGTGGTAAGAACCATAGAATAGGGTTCAAACAGGACAAGTTTAAGAGAGTAACATAAAGGAATAAAAAGAAACTACAGCCATCTTATGTGAATATGTAGCGTCGACAGAAAGAGATAAAGGAGCCATCCTGGACTGTGAGCTGTAATACATAATTGTAGTTCAAGATAAAGGCAAGGTCCAAAATACATCTATAACTGGTAAGAGCTCAAGGAGGTGAACCTGTCTACAGAGGATTCAGGCCTTCCAGGAACATCACCATGGACCTTCATGAAAAGGGGGTCATGGAAGACCATCTGTGAGGAATCATGAGCTCTGGAAAGTCAGGGTGCAAGTTTATTTTTTTTCTTTGTGACCCCAACAGTGTTCCCACCATAAGAATATAAAAGAATCGTGTAGAAAATACTTGTTCATAAGTCAGACGCAGGCAAGCTTTAATAGAGAATACTGAGTTTTAATAATAGAATTATTTAGAAAATACTTAGGCCGAGCATGGTGGCGGCTCACACCTGTAATCCCAGCACTTTGGGAGGCTGAGGTGGGAGGATCACTTGAGGTCAGGAGTTCGAGACCAGCCTGGGCAACATGGTGAAAACTGTCTCTACTGAAAATACAAGAATTAGCCAGGCATGGTGGTGCATGCCTGTAATCCCAGCTACTCAGGAAGCTGAGGCAGGAGAATCACTTGAACCCAGGAGGCGGTGGTTGCAGTGAGCTGAGATCACACCACTGCACTCCAGCCTGGATGAGAGTGAGACACTGTCTCAAAAAAACAAAAACAAAAAAATATAAAAATTAGCCAAGTGTGGTGACATGCACCTGTAGTCCCAGCTACTTGGGAGGCTGAGGTGGAAAGATCACATGAGCCTGTGGAGGTCAAGGCTGCAGTGAGCCATGATCACGCTACTGCACTCCAGCCTGAGTGACAGAGTGAAACCCCCCAACCAAAAAAAAAAAAAAAAAGCCAGGTATAGTGTGTAGCGGTAGGTTCCTGTAGTCCCAACTACCTGGAAGGCTGAGACAGGAGGATCCCTTGAGCCCAGGAGTTCCAGGATACAGTTAGCCATGATCACGCCACTGTACTCCAGCCTGGGTGACACAGTGAGACCCTGTCTCTAAAAAAAAAAAAAAAAGCTTAAAAATATAGGGAAATCAGCTGGGCGTGGCAGCTCAAGCCTGTAATCCTAGCACTTTGGGAGGCCAAGGCAGGCAGATCAGTTGAGGCCAGGAGTTCGAGACCAGCCTGGCCAACATGGCAAAACCTGTCACTACTAAAAATACAAAAAAATTAGCCAGGTGTGGTGGCACAGGCCTGTAGTCCCAGCTACACTGGAGGCCGAGGCAGGAGAATCGCTTTAACCTGGGAGGCAGAAGTTGCAGTGAGCTGAGATTGCCCCCCTGCACTCCAGCCTGCGTGACAGAGCGAGATTCCATCTCAAAAAAAAAAAAAAAAATAAAGAAAGAGAAATTGGCACTTATGTACCACTGGTAGAAATATAAATTAGTATGATTTTCCTAGAGGGACCTTTAGTGAAACAAGAAAACCTTTCAAATATTCATACTTTTTAAATAAATTTTTACTTTGAGATATGATACATAGGATATAATTACAACTACTTACAAATGTATATATGAAGATGAGATCATATTGCTGTTTATAAGAGAGAAAAAATTGAAAAATGCTTGAAATACACAATTATAACCATTTGGCTAAAAATTATGCTACAATCATAGAATGGTAGAAATTCTATCTAGCATTAAATTATTGCACAAATTAATATTGACATACTTATGAAAGATGTGGATGGTTCATATATGGATAAGTGAGAAAAGCAAGTTATTAGAAAGTATTTATATTATGATAACATTTTTCACTCATGTATATGTAGAATTCTGCTTCTGGATATGGCTGACTAGTTTATTTCAGAGCAATCCTGCCATTAAGAATGACTAGAAAAGCTAGACAGAATAGTTAACAAGGGAAAATCCAAAACCCATGTGCTTGGAATTATCAGAGAACTAGCAAGGCAATTTGTAGAGCCAAGATCCAGAAGAGATGGAAGCTAAGAGAGGCAAGCCTGGCACCGGGCACTGCATCTCTCCTTGAGGCAGTTGCTAATTTGGAAGACAACTGAGTGGCAAAAGGGAAAACAGAGGTTTAGCACTTTGACAGGGCCAGGTGGGCACAGTTTGGGTTTCAGTGCCCTTTATGGAAGAGAAGTTCTGGCAAACAATCCAGGCTTTTGATTGGGACCACAAAGCACTCCATTCTTAGAGTAAGGGTGAATGGAAAATAGACTAACTCTCACAAGGAATGAAGTCCAGCTTCAAATCAGCTCAAAAAATTAGATTAAGATCTTATGCCCCTAGCCCACTTATTTTTATTTATTTATTTATTTTTTAAATTGAGACGGAGTCTCACTCTGTCTCCCAGGCTGGAGTGCAGTGGTGCAATCTTGGCTCACTGCACCCTCTGCCACCCGGGTTCAAGAGATTCTCCTGCCTTAGCCTCCCAAGTAGCTGGGACTATAGGTGAGCACCACCATACCCAGCTAATTTTTTTGTATTTTTAGTAGAGATGGGGTTTCGCCATGTTGGCCAGGCTGGTCTCGAACTCCTGATCACAGGTGATCCGCCCGCCTCGGCCCGGCAAAGTGCTAGGATTACAGGCGTGAGCCGCCGTGCCCGGCCTCCCCTAGCCCACTTTATGCCGGAAGTAAACATGAATCCTCTCTGGAGGAAGATACTATCATCTAAAGCCTCAAACCATCTCTGCATTTTTTCATACACTATGTGTGGTACTCAATAAAAAATACTCCAGGCAAAGTAGAAAAGTAGAATAGAACTTACAAAATAAAATCAGGTATACAAAAAGATAACACTTGACAAAAGCCGGGAGAAGAAGCATACAATGTGAACTCACGCATAGGAGACATGGAAGTGCTGAGCATGAAATTAGAATCAACATGACTAACACATTCAAGAGATTAAATGACAAGATGGAGAATTTTGAGACAATTGGAAACTATAAAAAAGAGTTAAAATTCTGGCCAGGTGTGGTGGCTCATGCCACCAACCTTGCAGTGAGCCAAGATCACGCCACTGAACTCCAGCCTGGGTGACAAAGCAAGACTCCGTCTCAAAAAAAAAAAAGAAAGAAAGAAAGAAAGAAAATCTACAAATGAAAATACAATAGTTCAATGTTAAAAACAAAAACAAAAACAAAACAAAACAAAAAAACAAAGAATAATGGGTTTAAAAGCTGATTAGACCAGGTGCGGTGGCTCACGCCTGTAATCCCAGCACTTTGAGAGGCCAAGGCGGGTGAATCACCTGAGGTCAGGAGTCAGAGACCACCCTGGCCAACATGGAGAAACCACATCTCTACTAAGCATACAAAAATTAGGCAGGTGTGGTAGCACACGCCTCTAGTCCCAACTACTCGGGAGGCTGAGGCAGGAGAATCACTTGAACCCGGGAGGCAGAGGTTGCAGTGAGCTGAGATCACGCCACTGCACTCCAGCCTGGCCGACGGAGCAAGACTCTGTCTCAAAAAACAAACAAACAAAAAGAGCTAATTAGATACAACTGAAGAGAGATTTAATAAATGGAAAACAGTGTGTGTGTTTGTGTGTATGTGTGTGTATGCAGTGATGCACTGATGCTCAATATATAATGTTGAATAAAAGAAGGCAGGTATAAAAGAATACTATAAATACCAAGGAGTACTGCATGGTTCTACTTACATAAAATTCAAAATCAGACAAAACTAATCTATAGTGTCAGACATCCACAGAGTAGTTACATTTAGGAAAGATAAAGAGAACAAGGTGTGGGAATTAAGGAGGGGTGGGGGGTCTATGTCTTGACCTAAGGTATGGTTGGTTACACTATTGAATCCACTTTGAGTTATTTATCAAGCTGTTCATGATTTGTGTATTTCTCTCTGTGTGTTACATGTCAATAAAATACTTACTAATATATATGTGGGCTGGGGATGTGGTGGCTCATGCCCGTAATTTCAGCAACTTGGGAAGCCAAGGCAGGAGGATCACTTGAGCCCAGGAGTTTGAGACCAGCCTGAGCAAGGTGGTGAGACTCCATCTCTACAAAAAATTAAAACATTTATCCAGGCATGATGGTGCACACCTGTAGTCCCAGCTACTCAGGAGGCTTGAGCCCAGAAGGTTGAGGCTGTAATGAGCCAAGATGGCACTGCAGTACTCCAGCCTGGGCAGCAGAAGGAGACCCTGTCTGAAAAAAAAAAGTAAAATTAAAAAATGTATATACACACATATAAATCTGAAATGCTATTAATAGAGGTTATCTTTGAGCAGTATGGATAACTTTTTTGTTTGTTTTTTTCTACAGTAGTCATGGATTCTTTTTGAAAAAGGAAATTGAAAAAAGAAAAAGATGGCCAGGTGCGGTGGCTTACGCCTATAATCCCAGCACTTTGGGAGGCCAAGGCAGGCAGACCACCTGAGGTCAGGAGTTCGAGACCAGCCTGGAATGCAACATGGTGAAACCCCGTCTCTACTAAGAATACAAAAATTACCTGGGCAAGGTGGCAGGCACCTGTAATCCCAGCTACTTGGGAGGCTGAGGCAGGGAGAATCCCTGGAACCGGGGAGGCGGAGGTTGCAGTGAGCCAAGATCACACCACTGCACTTCAGCCTGGGGGACAGAGTGAAACTCCATCTCTGAAAAAAAAAAGAAAAAAGAAAACAAAAGAAAAAAAAGAAAGTAAATGCTGACCAGTATTTACTTATTAAAATTCTTCTGATGCCAGAGTAAAAGGAAAAGGGATTTAGATTTGGTTTTAAAAAGAACCTCCTAGATCTAAATGTAGTTAAACAGATAAAATCATGGATTCTTCTTCCCTGGAGGCCTTTCAAAATAGCATAATTGTTATGTATGGTCTTCACTGAAGCTGTGGCTGTAAACCAGAGAACTTCTTAAGATTCATTTTGAATCTATGATCCTATAGTTTTTGATATGAGAGAGATATAGTCAAGGACATTCTTTTATGGTAGGTTTATCTTAAAGCAGTGAGCTAGGGAGGGGCCAGGAAAAATATGTAATTATATCTTCACAGTCTATAGACATCCCATAATTATAGACAAACTGTGACAAATTAGCATAAATGCCATTCATGAACAATTATGAACTGAGTGCCGGCATGAGTCAGACTGATCAGAAAACTAGGATATGATGGTAAACAAAATGAAATCCATGCTCTCATGGAGGATATATTCTACTCTGAAACAAACAAATACACAGCACATCAAATGCGATAAAGTGTGATGAAGAAAACCAAAGCAGAATAAGGATAAAGAAGGATGGCGGGAGGAGGGTTGTACAGGGTGAGCTGGTTTAGACAGGACAGACAGGGAAGGCCTCTGTGTCTCAGGACGTTTGGGTGGACACCTGGATTAAGAGAGGAGTGATCCAAGTGGCTTTCTATACTTGAGCAGTCCAGGAAGAGGGAGTGTGCCTGGAACATTTCTGAAGTCACGAGAAGGTGTGTCTGGGGCGGTGTGAGCAGGCAAGGGAGCATGGTAAGAGATGGGGTCTCCTAGAGCAGATCACGTAGGGACCTGTGATCCACCCTAAGGACTTTGAACTGATCTTTGGGAGATGGGAAGCTGTTGGGGAGTTTGGAACAGAGGCAGGAGATGATCTGGCTGAAGTTTTAAATGTATCTGGCTGGCTGCACAGTAGAGAACTGATGGTGCCAGGGCTACTGTGGGGTAAGACCAGTGAGAGGCCCTTGCTCTTCTCTAGGTAGGACATGATGGGGGACTGGACCACAAAGGTATTATAGGAATAGTGAAATGGAATATAATTCCGGATCTGTTTTGAAGGCAAAGACAATAGGATGTGTTGCTGGAGTAGATGTAGAGTATAAGAGAAAGAGAAGACTTGAGGATGATTCTAGGGTTTTGGGGGTGAGAAACTAGTAGATTGGAAATGCAGCGCTCATTGAAATGGGATAGTCTTGAGATGTGCAGTTTGGGGGTATGGGCTGTATTAGAATCAACTCACTTCTGTTATTACAGAGGAGGAAGCAACTCTAAAGATAGGGCAGCAGAATGGATGAGGAATACCAGGCCCACATTTTTTTTTTTTTTTTGAGATGGATTCTTGCTCCGTCCCCCAGGCTGGAGTGCAGTGGTGTAATCTCGGCTCACTGCAACCTCTGCCTCCTGGGTTCAAGTGATTCTCCTGCCTCGCCCTCCCAAGTAGCTGGAAATAACACACGCGTGCCACCATGCCTGGCTAATTTTTGTATTTTGAGTAGAGATGGGGTTTCACCATGTTGGCCAGGCTGGTCTCCAATTCCTGACCTCAGGTGATCCACCTACCTCAGCCTCCCAAAGTCCTGGGATTAAAGGTGTAAGCCACTGCACCTGGCCCAGCTCACATTTTGATAGTGCCTTTGCAAATTAAGCATACCACAGAGAGGCTTATAATCCTATCAGTTTTCTTTGTAAACTTACAAAGCTTTTTTTTTTTTTATGGCTAAACAGATAAAAGATAACATTTGTCATGTTTGCCATGTTTAGCGTACAGTTCAGGGGCACCAGTACACTCACCTTGTTGCGCTACAGCCCCCACCCTCCATCTCCAGAACTTTTGCATCTTCCCAAACTGAAACTTTGTGCCCATGAAACCCTAACTCCCACCCTCCTCCTGCCAGCCCCATAACCGCCATTCCACTTTCTCTCTATGAATCCTACCACTCTGGGTACTCACGTAATCCTATGAATTTTAAAAGGTATTCGTTATTCATGTTGTTCAAATCACTTTTCTTTTGGCAATTGTTGCATTTTAACAGGGTTACAGTTAAGGCAAACCATAATCTGCATACCTGGAATCCATTTTAGGTCATACGCATCCTTACCTCTGACCTTTCCTTTACCTTCCTTTACCTTTACCTTCCTGGATGTTTTCACTCCTTCTGGCAAGCTCCCCCTCACCTCTTGCACCTCCAATTAGGTATTCCTCCTTCAGTTTCCATAGCACCTCAAGGGGCCTGCTATTATATTTCTTACCAAATATTCTTACCAAATATATTATGATCATCTCTTTTTTTTTTCTGGCTCATCAGATAGACAAGTTCAATTATCTTTGTGTACCCAGTAGCTGACTTAGGACTTGACACTCAAGAAAATGTGAAAGGAAAGACAGTGGGCTGGGAGGAAAGGAAGCCAGGAAAGATCTAGAATACATTGTCTCCCCATTACCTGAAGGTTATGGGACTGCAATAGGGCCACCTTGCTTCGGTTTACTCCTGGTCCATTAAGCCAGATGAGATGTAGGTGTATTCCAGAAAAGTTGTTCAGTGTGATGAAATGGAAAACCATTAAATGATAACTTCTGGAAGCATCCTAATATCTTCCCACTATTGTAATTGTATTAAGTCTGGAATTATGGACCATAGCTATCCAGTGAACTTTCTGAAATGATGGAAATGTTCTGTATCTGTGCTGCCAGTAGAGTAGCTGCCAGCCATGAGTGGCTATTTGGATAGCTCAGCTATGGACTCTTAATATGGGAAGTCATATTTTCTAATTTCCTCACTTAACAGATGAAGAAACTCTGTCTTAAAGAAGCAGTGTTAGGCCAGGCGTGGTGGCTCACACCTGTAATCCCAGCACTTTGGGAGGCTGAGATGGATGGATCGCTTGAGGTCAGGAATTCGAGACCAGCCTGACCAACATAGTGAAACCCCCGTTTCTACTAAAAATACAAAATTAGCTGGGTGTGGTGACACATGCCTGTAATCTCAGCTTCTTGGGAGGCTGAGGCAGAAGAATCACATGAACCCAGGAGGCGGAGGTTGCACTGAGCCAAGATCGCACCACTGCAGTCCAGCCTGTGCAACAAGAGTGAAACTCCATCTCAAAAAAAAAAAAAAAAAAAAAAAAAAAAAAGCAGTGTTGACTGAGCACAGTGGCTCACACCTGTAATCCCAGCACCACTCTGGGGGCCCAGGAGTTCGAGACCAACCTGGGCAACTTCGAGAAACCCCATCTCTACAAAACAATACAAAAATTAGCCAGGTATGGCAGCACACACCTGTAGTCCCAGCTACTCAGGAGGCTGAGGTGGGAGGATCCCTTGAGCCTGGGAGGTGGAGGTTGCAGTGAGAGGAGACGGGAGATCGTGCCACTGCATTCCAGCCTGGGTGACAGAGGGAGACCCTGTCTAAAAAAAAAAGGAAAGAAGCAGTGTTATTTGCCCAACTTCCTATGTCCCGATTTGGTCACTACTCATTCCTAATGTGACCTTTATGTTGAAATCCTCTTCTGTAGAAATTTTGCATTTTCAGATAGCAGACCAAATGTAATCCTTACAGACTAGTAAGTCATAAGCCACTTAACAAAAGACTGTAAGTGCAACTATATTTAGAAAAATGTGATTTTCTCAATAAAGAATCTTAAAAGTTATGATGTTTGTAATAAATGATATACTATGTCTCATCTGATGATGATTTTTCTTAGGTGGAATTGTTTGTTGAGTCTCAGAACTAGCTGCACATAACCTTACTCTAGTGGTAAAGTGAACATCTGAACAAAGAACCCAATTTCTGAGACTTTACTTTCTCCTCTAGAGAATAATGAACTGGGGACACATAAAATAACCGAAAAATGACTATGTGGAGTAAATGTCACTTCTGGGGTCAAAAGCACTTTCACATCTGTATAGCTTATGCGTTGGGGCAAAGAGGCTGGAGTTGTATGCTTAGGTGACAGTGGTCAGGCAGGAATGGTGGAGGGCTGAGGGGATGATAGGACATTCTCCTATAATAATCAACACAACTCTTGTGAACCTGCTGTGTACCAGGTCCCATAGCCTAGAGAACCTTCTTTTCAATAGCTTAGACTAAGCTCTATTTCTCTTTGTACTTTTCTTGCATGTTCACCCAACAAATCTCCAACACTAGATGGACCAAACGTTCACCTGTTGCATCCTGCCCTTGGGCAGCTGAGTAGCTAGCGTAAATCTCTCTGTACAGCCTGCTGGCTATAGGCTTCAGGTCACTAGTCTGTCTGTCTGTCTGTCTGTCTGTCTGTCTGTCTGTCTGTCTCCCTATCTCTCTTTAGAGATGGGGTCTTGCTATGTTGCCCAGGCTGGTCTCAAACACTTGGCCTCAAGCTATCCACCCCCCTTGGCCTTCCACAGTCCTGGGATTATAGGCATGAGCAGCCACACCCGGCCAGGGTCACCAGTCTCAAATGGGCCCTAACTCTGCCTGCAGACACCTCTGCTGCTCTAGGTGGTCATTCTTCCTGTGCCCTTTACCACCCAGCACTCCCACTTCCATCCATCTCTCTTAGCCATGACCTTCACTCCTGCTTTCCCAAGAACAGAATCCATCAGAAGAGAGATGGTTCTGAATCTCACCACCACGTCTGTAAACCTATTGACATTGGTCCAAATCCTCTCTTGTTGTTATAAAGGGGATGTGCCCTTTCTCACATCTGAGTCCACTTCCTCCACCGCCCCCTTCTCAGTGACCTCATGCTATCTCTGGTTCCCTATCACTTCTGTATCTTAAGTTTCTCATTTTGACTCAGTCTTTCCAATCAGCATTTAAACATGCTCATGCCTCTTCCATTTTAAAAGAAACAAAAACAGGCCAGGTGTGGTGGCTCAGCCTGTAATCCCAACACTTTGGGAGGATGAGGTGGGTGGATCACAAGGTCAGGAGTTCAAGACCAGCCCGGCCAAGATGGCGAAATCCCATCTCTACTAAAAATACAAAAATTAGCTGGGCCTGGTGGCGGGCGCCTGTAATCCCAGCTACTCGGGAGGCTGAGGAAGAGAATTGCTTGAACCCAGGAGGTGGAGGTTGCAGTGAGCTGAGATCGCGCCACTGCACTCCAGCCTGGGCGACAGAGCGAGACTCCATCTCAAAAAAGAGAAAAAAGAAAAACAACCTTCCTTCCACCTCACATACCTCTCCAGCTACCATTGCAGTACCTCTTTCCCTCCACGGACAAACTTCTTGGAAGTGTGTTCCATTCCTTTACCTTATCCTCCCTTCTCAGACCCCTCCAACCTGGTGCACACCCCCACCAGTCCTCAGAAACCATGTAGCCATATTCAATTCACCATAACCTAGGCAGATATAGTTCATGGGCAATTTGCAGCCCTCTGTCTTTTCACCATGGCACCTGACATAGTTGGCTATGCTGGCTTCTGGAAGCAATCTCTTCCATTGACATTTGTATTATAATGTTCTTCTGGTTGCCTCTGACCTTTGAGGTTTCTCCTTCTTAGTATCCCCAGTGGGCTTAATAAGTATTACCCATCCTTTATTGTATTGTATTGTATTTTTTTATTTTTTTTATTTTTTGAGATGGAGTCTCGCTCTGTCGCCCAGGCTGGAGTGCAGTGGCGCAATCTCGGCTCACTGCAAGCTCCACCTCCTGGGTTCACGCCATTCTCCTGCCTCAGCCTCCCAAGTAGCTGGGACTACAGGCACCCGCCACCATGCCTGGCTAATTTTTGTATTTTTAGTACAGACGGGGTTTCAATGTGTTATCCAGGATGGTCTCGATGTCCTGACCTTGTGATCTGCCCGCCTCGGCCTTGCAAAGTGCTGGGATTACAGGCGTAAGCCACCACGCCCGGCTATTTTATTTTATTTTATGTTATTTTAATTTATTTTTTGAGACAGAGTCTCACCTGTCACCCAGGCTAGAGTGTGGTAGCACTAGCTCGGCTCACAGCAACCTCTGCCTCCCGGCTTCAAGCAATTCTCCTGCCTCAGCCTCCCAAGTAGCTGGGTCTACAGGCGTGCACCACCACACCCAGCTAATTTTTCATATTTTTAGTAGAGACGGGGGTTTCACCACGTTGGCCAGGCTGGTCTCAAACTCTTGACCTCAAGTTATCTTCCTGCTTCAGCTTCCCAAAGTGCTGGGATTACAGGCGTGAGCCATCACGTCCAGTCTTACCCATCCTTTAAATACTAGAAGCCCTAAAGGGCCAGTTCCAGGCTCTCTCATCCTCTCGCTCCTCTTTACTCCCTTGGGTCTACTATACCATTTGCTTTACCTAATGATTTCCAGTGCACATCTCTAGCCTTCTCTCCTGAGCTCAAGACTTAGAAATCCATCTCCCTGCCCACTTCATTCGGATGTTTCCTAAGCTCAGGAGCTCCCCCTAGAAACTCCCTTCTCTTGTTCCCAACGTCGACTAATCAGACCACACAATCCCTCCTGCTCAAAAACATGGGACCCATCCTTGGTGATCCTTGGGTCCCCTCCTCCTGGTCAGTCAGGGAGTCCTATTATCCTAAATATAGGATCCTAAATTTCAGAGCTTTCTAAATAGTTCTCAAATCCATCCATTTCCTCCTTCTGTGCTGTTATCATCCTACCCGAAACCCTTGCTACTCGGTGTGGTTCAGCATTAGGAACATCATTATTTACCTGGGGGCTTGTTAGAAATGCGGTGGCTCAGGCTGGGCATGGTGGCTCACGCCTGTAATCCCAGCACTTTGGGAGGCCAAGGTGGGAGGATCGCTTGAGGTCAGGAGTTTAAGACTAGCGTGGCCAACATGGTGAAACCCTGTCTCTACTAAAAATACAAAAATTAGCCGGGCATGATGACACATGCCTGTAATCCCAGCTACTTGGAAGGCTGAGGCAGGAGAGTCGACTGAACCTGAGAAGTGGAGGTTGTAATGAGCCGAGATCATGCCACTGCACTCCAGCCTGGGCAACAGAGTAAGACTCCATCTCAAAACAATCAAACAAACAAGCAAACAAACAAAATGCAGTGTCTCAGGTGCAACCCAAACACTGATTCTATTAATCAGAATTTACATTTCATGCAACTGCAAGTCATTTGCATGTTTGAGAGCATCTCTCTAAACCACTCTTATCTCTCCCCTGGTCTCCCTGCTTCACTCTTGCCCCTTCCAGTAGATTCTCCACCAGCAAACCAAATCATGTTTCTCACATACTAAAAGCCCTTCAATGGCCTCCTATTTTTCTTAGAATAAAGTCTATTCTACCTAGTCTTCCTTTAATAAGCTAGTGATTGAAGATACTGTTGTCTTTTGTCTTTCATCTTTACTAAATCTCTTTTGAGACAAAAAAATTGACAGCTTTAATTTTTAAAAAGGACCTTAAATCAAGAAATCTTTTAATTTTGTTCTTTTTTGTACAAATGTTACATTTGCTTTGCAAAAGGACTATTTCTCAGTTCGTGCCATTATTTCATATAAGAAATGCATACAAAAAGCCCTTAATTATTAAAGAAGTTGTCTTCTTTGGAAAACCCAATACATTATGCTCTGAAAGCTCTAGAGAAACCCCTTGGATAGATGGGATTAAAATCTGAATGTTTTAATGCATGGAAAATAAAACTCTTTCTAATTTTATTTTTGTATCAGGAAGACAGTGCCCTGGACATGATGGCCACTTCTTTAAAAGAACATCATCTGATGTGCCCAAATATGTTAAAAACAGGCTCAGCCTTCTGTTTCAATTCCCAGGTCAAAAGCCAGTGTGCAAAAAGGTTTTGTTGTCATAGGTAACCTATGTTCCAAGAAAACAAAGGCACTCTGTTCAAAGTCCAAAACTCAATTTAAAAAAACGTCTATTTCATTAGTTCAAATGCAAAGGAAAAGAAATATTTGGGAATAGAAATATTTTATAAAGCTACAGGATTCCATCCCAAATATAAAATTCAATGTGGATTCTCTTCAAAAGCTTTCTATACCTTGTAATTTGCAGTGGGGTTGTGGGGACTGCTGGTAGATCTTCACAAAGTATGTCTGGAATGTTGACTGAAATCCTCAGGCACTGCTGCTTTCAGGCAGCAGAGCCCAAGTTACTGCCAGCAGGCTGCAAAAGAGCATCTCCAGGATGGCATTAACCCCTCCACATCACTGGGTGGCCATCATTAGTGCCCTCATAGGGCAGTGTCTTCTTGCCAGAGAGGGCCACAAGCAAAGGCAAGATTTTCAATTGTTTTTCTTCTCAGAAACAGCATCTCAGCCTGTCACTCAGGCTGGATGCAGTGGTGTAATCATAGCTCACTGCAGTCTCAAACTCCTGGCCTCAAGTGATCCTCCCACCTCAGCCTCCCAGGTAGCTGGAACTATAGGCATGTACCACCACACCCTGCTGATTTTTATTTTTTTTAGAGATGGGGTCTCACTATGTTACCCAGGCTGGTCTTGAACTCCTGGCCTCAAGTGATCTTCCCACTTCGGCCTCTCATAGTGCTGGAGTTATAAGTGTGAGCCACCACACCCACCCAAAGGCAAGATTTTCTAGGGACAAATTCAGGAGAGATGACAGTGGCTTCTGCAAAGTAGGAATCAAATAATCTGAAATGTGTGATGGGTTTGAAGGGACAGAACTTGAGGGGAGAGGAGGAGAAGAATAAAAAACACTCAAACAACACAGAGAAGGAAGCCAGTCAGAAGGACCACATATTATGTAATTCCCATCCATAGGAAAAATCCAGAATAGACAAAGCCATAAAGACAGAAAAGAGATTTGTGGTTGCCTAGGGCTAGGGGGAAAGAATGGGGGAGTTGAGGGTTGATAGCTAAAGGGTACAGGGTTTCTTTTTGGCATAATGAAAATATCCTAAGTTTTATAATAGCGATGGTTGCACAACTCTGTGAATATACTGAAAGGTAATGAATTGTACATTTGAAGTTGATGAATTGTATGGGATGCAAATTATGTCTCAATAAACCTGTTAAAAAGTAAAAATAAATAAGAAAAATTTAAAAATACCCCCCTCAAAAAAGGCAAGAAAGAAGGTTTTAAAGATTTTGAACAGTTATTTCTTGTGATGCATATACAGCTGTTTCTCAAATTTTTTTCCCCAAATCAGTTATCAACCACTGGCTTCCTGCTATATGACATGAAGAGTTAACTTCTTACACACAATCCCCCCCAGAGCACCCATGCACACATATACTTTCTCCTCCTACCATCCTCCCATTATAGCTGTATTGTAATTTTTGGTGAGATCAATATTCAGCGTTGATGACTCTCACATTCATATCTCCAGCAGGATTCTTTCTGGACTCTGAACCATATCCAGGTGCTTACTAAACATCTATACTTTAATACTAATAAGCATCTCAACCTTCATTTTCCAAAACAGGGCTCTCAATCCTCCCTCCAACTCCTGTTCCTCCCATTGCCTTTTCCATCTCAGTAAATGGCAAGGCCATCTTCCCAGTGGCTCAAGTCAAAATCCCTAGGGCTATCTTTGACTTCGCTCTTATTCTCCCATCTATATCTGATCTGAGAGCAAATCCATTTGGCTCTACATTTAACATATATCCAGAATCTGACACCTTCTCACCACCTCTATGATAACCCCTTGGTCAAAGACACCATTGTCTCTCTCCTGAATAGAGACTGCCATGGCCTTCCAGTTAGTTTTCTTGCTTCTATCCTTGGTCCCGTTGAGTCTAGTTTCAACAGAGTGATCCAGTTAGAGTAAAGGTCAGACCATGCCACTCCTCTGCTCCAAAGCCTCCAGTGTCTCCCCATTGCTCTAGAAGAGCACAGGCCAGAGCCTCACAAAAGCTTGCAAGGAAGGTCCTGCATGATCCAGCCTCAGTCAACTCTCTGACCTCTTCTCTGGCTGATTTGTTCTCTGGCTCACCCTGCTCTAGCCACATCTGCCTCATTGCTGTTTCTCAAACGCTCAATGCACCAGGCGTGCTGCTGCCTCCAAGCCTAGGAGTGAAGCTTACCTAACATCCTCCTTTGATATCCACGGGTTTAGTTCTCACACTTTTTTTTTTTTTTTTTGAGATGGAGTCTTGCTCTGTCGCCCAGGCTAGAGTACAGTGGTGGGATCTCATCTCACTGCAATCTCCACCTCCTGGGTTCAAGTGATTCTTCTGCCTCAGCCTCCCGTGTAGCTGGGATTACAGGCGCCCACGACCACGCCTGGCTAATTTTTGTATTTTTGGTAGAGACGGGGTTTCACCATGTTGGCTAGACTGGTCTCAAACTCCTGACTTCAGGTGATACGCCCGCCTCGGCCTCCCAAAGTGCTGGGATTACAGGTGTGATCCACCATGCCCAGTCTGTTCTGGCACCTTCTGACTCAATTGTTACCTTCTTAGTGAGGCTTTCACTGGCCACCATAACTAAAACTTGCAACCTCCCCCATTCCTGACACTCTCAATGCCCCTTCCCTGCTTTATCTTACTTTGAAAAAACTCATCATCATCTCATATAGTATAAACATATTTTATATGTTTTTATTTGTATTTATTATGTATGCAAAGAGTCTTCAAAAAGTTCATGGAAAATACATATTGTGAAAAAACCATGCATGGATTTCAACATTTTTTTTTGCACCAAAATAAAACTCATACTAACTTGGTATAACCTGGTTAAACAAGATCTAGTTTAAAGCACTAAAGATAAGACATCAGTTTGAAAAGAGCCCCTATCAGACTGGATTAAGAAAATGTGGCACATATACACCATGGAATACTATGCAGCCATAAAAAAGGATGAGTTCATGTCCTTTGTAGGGACATGGGTGAAGCTGGAAACCATAATTCTGAGCAAACTATTGCAAGGACAGAAAACCAAACACTGCATGTTCTCACTCATAGGTGGGAATTGAACAATGAGAAACTTGGACACAGGATGAGGAACAGCACACACCAGGGCCTGTCATGGGGTGGGGGGAGGGGGGAGGGATAGCATTAGGAGTTATACCTAATGTAAGTGACGAGTTAAGGATGCAGCACACCAACGTGGCACATGTATACATATGTAACAAACCTGCATGTTCTGCACATGGACCCTAGAACTTGAAGTATAATAAAAATAAAAATCATAATAATAATAATAAAAATTTAAAAAAAGAAAGAAAAGAAAAGAGCCCCTATCAGAGCAACATGAATTCTGCTACAATTGAAGCAAGAACAAACATAAAATTTTATGGTGACAGGTGGAAGAAGGGTGATGTTTTATGAAAAGTTTATGGGGACAATGCCCCCAAAGAAATCTCCAGTTTACAAATGAATAACTCATTTTAAGAAGGGATGAGAAGATCTTGAAGATGAAGCCTGCAGTGACAGACTATCCAAATTCATTTTTGAGGGGGAAAAAAGTCATCTTGGACAGGTGCAGTGGCTCACACCCGTAATCCCAGCACTTTGGGAGGCCGAGGCGGGTGGATCACGAGGTCAGGAGATCGAGACCATCCTGGCTAACACGGTGAAACCCCATTTCTACTAAAATACAAAAAAATTAGCCGGGCACGGTGGTGGGCACCTGTAGTGCCAGCTGTTTGGGAGGCTGAGGCAGGAGAATGGAGTGAACCCAGGAGGCAGACCTTGCAGTGAGTCCAGAACATGACACTGCACTTTAGCCTGGATGACAGAGCAAGACTCCGTCTCAAAACAAAAACAAAAACAAAAACAAACAAAAAAAACTTGTGTCCTAATTGAAGAGGACTGATGATTAACAGTAGAAACAATAGCCAACATCATAGACATCTCAACTTTCCATTTATTCATTTCTTTACATCAGTATGGACTTATGGATCCCTGTTTTATTCAATAGTGATAATCCTTTACTACCATTATTTGTTTCAATTTTAGAATTAACCCAGATTTGTCAGTGGAAGCCCATTCAAGCTGGTTTCTATGTTCTTTTGACCTGTTTCCATTATTCTTTGCTATTTCCATATTTTCTGGTACAAGATGGTTCGGCTCATGCAGTATTTTCTCTGCTCCAGCTCTGGAATCAGCCATTTCTCTAAAGAGCTCTGATTCTTTACATGGAGGGTTGTATTCGGGAGTAAGAATGCCGGCACTAGGTGTGTTCATTATTACTGGATGTCACTGATCCCAGGAGCTTTCAGCAACAGAACCTGGGAGTGTGTGTGTGCCTGCATGTGTGCGCGTGTGCTTGTGTGTGTGTGTGTAAATGTTCACATTCACTCATTCACATTTATACTTTTGTTTGTTTTGAGACAGAGTCTCACTCTGGTGCCTAGGCTGGAGTGCAGTGGTGCGACTGTGGCTCACCACAACCTCCGCCTCTTGGGTTGAAGGAATTCTCCTTCCTCAGCCTCCAGAGTAGCTGGGATTACAGGCATGTGACACTACTGCCTGGCTAATTTTTGTATTTTCAGTGGAGACAGGGTTTCATCATGTGGGCCAGGCTGGTCTCGAACTCCTGACCTCAAATGATCCACCCACCTTGGCCTCCCAGAGTGCTGGGATTACAGGCGTGAGCCACTGCACCTGGCTCATTTATACTTTTTTATGTATCTAACTACATATATTAAAAATCATGAGTCCACACCAATCAGTATCTCCAATTCCAAACCAACAATACAGGGTCCATTCTAGTTTTCCCCTTCATATATATATATATATATATATATATATATACACACACACATATGTATATATATTTATTTATGAAGTAAAAATGATTTAAAAAAACAAATACAATTTGGAGGAAAACGATAGGTTTTCAAGAAATAGTGTTGAAAAAAATGGGTATTAATATGCAAGTAAAATCAACCTTGATACAATGATTCATTGAACCATTTACAAAAATTAACTCAAAATGGATCATAGATCTATATGAAACCTATTAATTAAACTTAAAGCTTATAGAAAAAAATCTTCACGAATGTAGGTAAAGATTTTTAAGGTATGACACCAAATACATGATCTATAAGAGAAAAAAATATACGTTGGATTTTGCCAATGAGGGGCTCATTCTCATTACCTCATCTAATCCTAATTACCTCCCAAAGCCCTGTTTCCAAATAAATCACACTGGATATAATTAATTTACATATTAATTGGGGAGATGGGGAACACAAACATTCAGTCTATAATAGTTATAAACAGGGAAATTGATCAAATAAGTGAAAATACAGAAGAAAATGGGAGCCAGGGGTGGGCATGGTGGCTCACATCTGTAATCCTAGCACTTTGGGAGGCCGAGGCAGGTGGACCAGCTGAGGTCAGGAGTTCGAGACCAGCCTGGCCAACATGGTGAAACCCTGTCTTTACTAAGAATACAAAAATTAGCTGGCCATGGTAGCAGGTGCCTGTAATCCCAGCTACTCAGGAGGCTGAGGCAGGGGAATCGCTTGAACCCGGGAGGCGGAGGTGGCAGTGAGCCGAGATCATGCTATTGCACTCCATCCTGGGCAACAGAGCAAGACTCCATCTCAAATATATATATACATATAAATATATATATAAATATAATATATAAATATATGTAAATATATATAAATATATGTAAATATATATACATATATAAATTTATACATAAATATATAAGTATATATATTTATGTATAAATTTATATATAAATATATATAAATATATATACTTATGTATAAATTATATATAAATATACAAATATATATACTTATATATAAATTTATGTATAAGTATATACTTATATATATAAATTTATATATAAATGTATATAAGTATATATAAAAATATATATATTTATATATTTTTAAATATATAAATATTAAATATATAAATATATATATTTATATATATTTATATACATAAATATATATACATAATTTATGTATATAAATATATAAATATAAATGTATATAAATATAAGTATATACATAATTTATGTGTATAAATATATTTATATATGTAAATATATATTTATATATTTATATTTATATATTTATATTTATAAATAAATATAAATATAAGTATATATTTATGTTTATAAATAAATATAAATATAAGTATATATTTATATTTATAAATAAATATAAATATAAGTATATATTTATATTTATAAATAAATATAAGTATATATTTATATATTTATATTTATATATATTTATATTTCTATATAAATATAAGTATATATTTATATTTCTATATAAATATAAGTATATATTTATATTTCTATATAAATATAAGTATATATTTATATTTCTATATAAATATAAGTATATATTTATATTTCTATATAAATATAAGTATATATTTATATTTCTATATAAATATAAGTATATATTTATATTTCTATATAAATATAAGTATATATTTATATTTCTATATAAATATAAGTATATATTTATATTTCTATATAAATATAAGTATATATTTATATTTCTATATAAATATAAGTATATATTTATATTTCTATATAAATATAAGTATATATTTATGTAAATATATATGTAGAATATTAGTGTGTATTTTCTAACACAAACCAATTTAAGTTTTAGATTCCTAAGTGTCTATCTGCATCTAGATTTCTAACTAATGCAGAGGAGGAGGTACTTGGGAGAGGGTGCGGTAAACCAAGCCAGGAGTGCATGGCGTTGGCTGCACGGGCTGGCAGCAATTGGGGGAGACATGCAGTACAGATGGGAAGATTATTGCCCTTGGAATGCTGTGGCAACAGATGTAGTCAAACTGGCTCAGCAGTATCTTGGATTCCTTATCGTTTGGTTTCCTAATTCCGCTTAGGTGTCAGATAGTATGTACTCTCTCTTCCTGGCTTCCTTTGCTCAGCATCACTATTTTAGGATTCACCCATGTTGTTGTATGTAGCAATAGTTCATCCTTTTTTAATGCAAGTAGTATTTCATTTTATGAATATATGTTTTTTTTTTTTTGAGACAGAGTTTTGCTCTTGTTGCCTAGGCTGGAGTGCAATGGCGCGATCTCGGCTCACCGCAACCTCTGCCTCCTGGGTTCAAGCAATTCCCCTGCCTTAGCTTCCTGAGTAGCTGGGATTACAGGCATGTGCCACCATGCCCGGCTAAATTTTTATTTTTAGTAGAGACGAGGTTTCTTCATGTTGATCAGGCTGGTCTCGAACTCCCGATCTCAGGTGATCCGCCAGCCTCAGCCTCCCAAAGTGCTGGGATGATAGGTGTGAGCCACTGCACCCGGCCTGAAAATTTGATAATTAATTTACTGTTGATGGATTTCAGGGTTGTTTCCAGTTTTGGCTATTACAAATAAAGCTGGTGTAAATATTCATTACAAGTCTGTGTATGGACACAGGCTCTCATTTGTTTTGGGTAAACATCTAGGAGTAAAATAGCTGGATCATATGCTGTATGTGTGTTTAACATTTCAAAACATAGAAAATTTGTTTTCCAAATGGCTGTAATTTTTTACAATCCCACCAGCAGTGTATGAGATTTCCATTTGCTCCATATTCTCACCAAAATTTGCTATGGTCATTTATTTCTATTTTTTTGAGATGGAGTCTCGCTCTGTCACCCAGGCTGGAGTGCAGTGGCGCGATCTTGGCTCACTGCAACCTCAGCCTCCCAGGCTCAAGCGATTCTCTTGCCTCAGCCTCCCAAGTAGCTGGGATTAGAGGTGCGTGTCACGTCCAGCTAATTTTTGTATTTTTAGTAGAGATGGGGTTTTGCCATGTTGGCCAGGCTGGTCTGAAACTCCTGATTTCAAGTGATCCACCCACCTCAGCCTCCCAAAGTACTGGGATTACAGGCATGAGCCACCGAGCACGGCCAAGTATTTTTAATTTTAGCAATTCTAATATATGTGTAATGGTATTGCATTGTGGTTTTGTTTTATATTTCCCTGATGACTAAAAATAGCATCTTTTCATGTGTTTACTTGCCATTCATATATCTTCTTTGAATATAAGATAAGATGTCTTTTCAAATCTTTTGTCTGTTTTAAAATTGGTTTTGTAACTTTCTTACTATAGTATTTTGAAAGTGCTTTTGTCTCCTGGATACAAGTCCTATGTCAAACATATTGTTTGCAAATATTTCTTCTTGGTCTATGGCTGGTGTTCTCATTTACTTAATACAGTCTTTCAAAGAGCAGAAGTTTCTAATTTTGGCAAAATCCAATGTATATTTTTTTCTCTTATAGATCATGTATTTAGTATCATACCTTAAAAATCTTTACCTACATTCATGAAGATTTTTTTCTATAAGTTTTAAGTTTAATTAATAGGTTTCATATAGATCTATGATCCATTTTGAGTTAATTTTTGTAAATGGTTCAATGAATCATTGTATCAAGTTTCATTTTACTTGCATATTAATACCCATTTTTTCCCAACACTATTTCTCGAAAACCCTATTGTTTTTCCTCTAAATTGTCTTTGTTTTTTTTTAAAATCATTTTTATTTCATAAAATCATAAATGGGGTTTTGTAACCCAAAGGTGACACATTTATTCTTCATAGCTTCAGAATTTGATAAGCGATTCTAGACCATGCTTTCCAAACCAGTCTTCTTTGCTATTTTTCAAACTTCTGAGATCTAGTATTAAACTGCTTTATTCTAAATGTATGATTTCAGATAACTCTTCTACACTTGTTGATAAGAGTTTTCTGAAAACAGTCTATCAAATATAAAGAATGGTTTCTAAGAATCAGTAGTGACTTAAGAAATATTAAACACCTACTAATAAATCAATTATTCATTTCAAAAATAACAGAACCAGTGCTGTTCTCTGTCATAGAAGAGAACATGTAAAATTAAATTATTTTTATAGACTTTGGTAATATTTTATTCCCCACACAGACCTTCAATCCTACTTAAAGATCTTTGATGCACAGTAACCATCAGGATTTACTGAGTAAAATCCCAGGTATTAACCATGGCCCTAAAATGTGCTATTCCAAAGAGGAAGAGGTTAGCTGATGGAATTTTTTTTTTTTTGAGATGGAGTCTTGCTCTGTTGCCCAGGCTGGAGTGCAGTGGCACCATCTCAGCTCACTGCAACCTCCACCTCCCTGGTTCAAGTGATTCTCCCCTCTCAGCCTCCCAAATAGCTGGGACTACAGGCACTTGCCACCAAGCCTGGCTAATTTTTGTATTTTTAGTAGTGACAGGGTTTCACCACATTGGCCAGGCTGGTCTCGAACTCCTGACCTCTAGTGATCCACCTGCCTTGGCCCCCAAAGTGCTGGGATTACAGGTATGAGCCACCATACCAGCCAGATGAAAATATTTTTTAAATCAACTTCGGGTATAACATGGCATACTGCCCACCAAACAAAAAAGAAAATCTAAATCTTCTTCCTTTTTAGCAGTGCCCACCTTTACTCTGAAGATTACAACATATTCATTCACCTTTTATGCTTGTTTGTTTTTCTGACTGCCTAATCTAACATTTAACTTTTTAAAATTCTGCATTTCAATGTAGTGAGAGTTATTTTTCAAATGATCCTCACAGTCTGGAACCCAGACACCAGAACGACACTCTCAAATCACACTGTTTGACCATAACGAAGAGAAGAAAATGGACTGATATCTGAAGATCTGTATTCCTTCTGTTCTGAAGGTGAGAAAGTTTTTAACATGGGAGAAACACAGAACTTCATTCCTCTGGAGCTCCTTTCAACACAGAATGCGGCCGGGCGTGGTGGCTCACGCCTGTAATCCCAGCACTTTGGGAGGCCGAGGCGGGCAGATCACAAGGTCAGGAGTTCGAGACCAGCCTGACCAACGTGGTGAAACCCCGTCTCTACTAAAAATACAAAAATTAGCCGGGCCTGGTGGCGGGCGCCTGTAATCCCAGCTACTCGGGAGGCTGAGGCAGGAGAATCACTTGAACCTGAGAGACGGAGGTTACAGTGAGCCGAGATCGTGCCACTGCACTCCAGCCTGGGCGACAGAGCCAGACTCCGTCTCAAAAACAACAACAACAACCAACCAACCAGCCAACCAACCAAACAAACAAAAACCTCACAGAATCCTTCAATTCAACAAGTCAATATCCTATTCTTAAAAATTAAAGTTTGGTCACTAAGAAGGACTGAACAAAAATTATTCACCTCCCGCCAGACACAACCAGAGCAGCTCTAATCAGGCCCCCTTCTCCCCACAAAAACAGGAAAGTTGGCGGGGCTGAAGACTTTAAGTGTGACATTTCAGTTCCTACAACATCGCTGCTATTTGCTCCAAGTTCTATGTCTATGTATTTCCCTCTCCAGTACGTCCCCATGTATAAGTTTATTTCCATACATACAAAGGTGCACATATGTGCACTCACGCATGCACACACAGACACACATACACACATTCTCTCAAGTCAGACATCAGACACTTGTGTTTGTTGATAAATTATGAGGATTATGGACTAGGTGTGTACAGGGTTTCATAGGTGCTTTGTGAACATCAGAGTCACTTGAGTCCTTTTCTCTAAAAGCCTAAAATCCAATTATGCAACCAATAACTACTGCTTTTCCTCACGCTGGCCACAGGCTGCATACTGATGTAGGGCAGAGAAAAAGTCGTCATAACTGATGTTTAAGTGGGCAGGCAAAGAGACAATCTCAGTAAATCTGATGTGCCGGGGAAGAAAGCCTAATGTGCTGTCCACAGGACCAAACTTCAATACTAAATCAGGATCAGGAGAACCATTTGAACTAAGTAAACTGCCTAACATAGCTCCTTCCAAATCTGTGGGTCACTTTTGCTTCTGGGCTACTAACTGGCAAAAGTCCTGAGCAGCTCTCAGAATATCTGCTTTTCCATCTACCGGGGACAGCACCTTCACTGCCAAACGGCAATTTAGAACTTGATCACCTTTGTCGTTCCTATTTGCAAACTCTGGTGAGTATTTTGAACAATCTAGGCCCAGAAGTTCTTGCTGCTGTTTTAAAATTTCATCCATCAATATGGAAATATTTCTTTTGAAAAGATTGGTGGCCGTAAACGTGAATGTAGGAGACGGCCACGGCCATACACCACAGCACGAGGCGTGTGATGTCCGAGAAACTCGGCTCTCGTTTCACCGTGGCATCACCAGGCCCATGTGTACATCTAAATTGTTTTCTGAATCGTTGTTGAAAATCAGTTGTTCATATAGGTGTGGTCTATTTCTGTGCACTCCATTCTGTTCCATTGGTCTATTTGTCATATTTATACCAATCCCACATTGTCTTGATGACTGCAGGATTTAATAAGTCTTGAAATCAAGTCGTAGTAGCCTTCCAACTTTGTCCTTCTTCAGAGTTGCTTTGGCTATTCAAGATCCTTTACATGTCTTTCTTTTTTTTTTTTTTTGAGACGGAGTCTCGCTCTGTCGCCCAGGCTGGAGTGCAGTGGCGAGATCTCGGCTCACTGCAAGCTCCGCCTCCCGGGTTCACGCCATTCTCCTGCCTCAGCCTCCCGAGTAGCTGGGACTACAGGCGCCCGCCACCATGCCCGGCTAATTTTTTGTATTTTTAGTAGAGATGGGATTACACCATGTTAGCCAGGATGATCTCCATCTCCTGACCTCGTGATCCACCCACCTCAGCCTCCCAGAGTGCTAGGATTACAGGCGTGAGCCACCGCGCCCGGCTGGTCCTTTACATTTCTATATGAATTTTAAAAGTGGCTTGTCGGCTGGGGGTGGTGGCTCATGCCGGTAATCCCAGCGCTTTGTAAACATCACTTTGTAAACTGCCAAGGCAGGAGGATCACATGAGGCCAGGAGTTCAAGAGCAGCCTGGGAAACATGGTGAAACCCCATCTCTACTAAAAATACAAAAATTATCCTGGTGTGGTGGTGCACGCCTGTAATCCCAGCTACTCAGGAGGCTGAGGCAGGAGAATCGCTCGAATCTGGGAGGTGGAGGTTGCAGTGGCAGAGATTGCACCACCGCACTCCAGATTGGGTGACTGAGACTCCATCTCAAAAAAAAAAAAAAAAAGTGGCTTGTCAAGTTCTGTGAAAAAGTCTGCTGGAATTTTGATTGGGATTACACAGAAAGATGAGCATTTCTGAGAGATGCATCTTCAAAGGTAGGACAGGGTCTAGCTCCAGTATTTAACACTGGCCAATCCTGGGGAATTAATCCAGTGCTCCCTTGACTGGCATTTTGGGGCCATCTTTTGTATAACCAGCTCACACCCAAGTCAGGACACAGCCAGCCTCCCCTCCCTGCTCTTTGGCTAGGTTCACATTTCTGTTTCACTGAATCTCTGCACAGGAGAAGAGAGGCATCTGCAACTCACGAGCTGCTCATTTGCTGGTTAAGTGGGAGCCCCACTGTCACCACCCCACAAAGCACGGACATCAGGGATGGTGAGATTTCTGAACCAGTAAATCCAACTGGCCCCTGGCTGGTCTGTTACTGAGGTATACAAGCCTAATGCCTAGTAGTTTTCTGGATGGAATAGAAAGGTTAAAACTCTACTTAAAACATCAAGCATAGGCCGGGTGCAGTGGCTCACACCTGTAACCCCAGCACTTTGGGAGACTGACGCGGGCGGATCACCTGAGGTCAGGAGTTTGAGACCAGCCTGGCCAACATAGTGAAACCCCATTTCTATTAAAAATACAAAAATTAGCCGGGCATGGTGGCGCACGCCTATAGTCCCAGCTACTTGGGAGGCTGAGACAGGAGAATCGCTTGAACCTGGGAGACAGAAGTTGCAGTGAGCTGAGACTGTGACACTATACTCCAGCTTGGGTGACAGAGTGAGACTCTGTCTCAGAAAAAAAAAAAAAAATCAAGCATGAAACAACTCCGCCTTTGTCTATTAAGCTTACACCATTTTCCAAAGAACACATTTTTTCATCCTGGTAAACAGAAGTCCTTGCTATTGCTCTGAGATGGGACAAGGACACTAGACTACTTTTTAAAATCCAGTCTAAACTCTCTAATGCAAATCCAGCTATGATTTCTTTCCTTTTCCTTCCTCCCTTCCTCCCTTTCTTTCATTCCTTCCTTCCTTCCTTCTTTCTTTCTCTTTCTTTCTTTCTCTCTCTCTCTCTCTCTCTTTCTTTCTTTCTTTCTCTTGCCAGAGTTTCTGCTCTTGTCCAAGCTGGAGTGCAATGTTGCAATCTCAGCTCACTGCAACCTCCGCCTCCCTGGTTGAAGTGATTCTGCTGCCTCAGCCACCCAAGTAGCTGGGATTACAGGCACCCACCACCATGCCTGGCTAATTTTTTTGTATTTTTAGTAGAAACGGAGTTTCACCATGTTAGCCATGCTGGTCTCGAACTCCTGACCTTTGGTCATCCACCTGCTTCGGCCTCCCAAAGTGCTGGGATTACAGGTGTGAGCCACCGGGCATGGCCTGGCTATGATTTCTTAAGGAGGACAAGAGGGGGAAAACCTGTCCATTTTCCTAAACTACTCTGTCTACACAATCCCTCCTTGGTCCCTCACACGAAGCACTTACAGTCTATCCGAGGTCCTGACTTGGGGAACTGACAGGATGCTCCAGAAAGAGACAGAGGCATATCGTCGGGGCCACTCTTCGGATGCTTCAAAATCTGTTTCTTTCTGTTTGCAAATGACCCTGTGTCTAACTATCATGGCATTCGTGATCCTGCTATTGTTCTATTAATCCACAGTAATCATCTTAATGTGTGAAATCCAAACATGTTATGTAGGAAGTAGTATCACTGGGAACTGAGAAATAGATTTTTTTGGATCACAAAAGCAGCATGAAGAGGATTTATAGAAAAGTTGCTGTAAGCTGCTGTGGTTACAGTTTAGGAAATGTGGTTATTTGAATAATCATTTGAGCCTATTTTTTCTCTTAAATACTGGGAAGGGGATTGGGGCCAGTATTGCCTTCTGCTGAAGTTGTTAGCTGTCCTCCCTCACTGGCCAGCGAAGGAGGGCCTCCAAGGGAAGCCTCTGCCCTGGGTATCTTGCTGGTTAAGCTATTTCTTGGTACCAGCCTTACTCTTCATGAATCTTCTCTTTATTCATTCAGTTCCCTGGGGATTCCATCTGATTTCCTTTCCCCTTCACATCTTTTATTAATTACCCCTTAAAGTTCTTCTTCCAAAACCAATTGCAAAGTGGGAAAGAATGTGACAGTTTCTCTTCTCCTTGCTCTCCTTCATTCTCTTATTCACAAATATTTACTGAACACCTATGATGTGTTTCTCAATGTTTGAGTCAGACTCCATCTCTGTCCTGGTGAAAATGACAAGAGTGAGGCAGACAGATATTAAACGAGCAGACAACAATATGTACTTGAACGGTATTATTACATTTTAACATTTCTGAAATTGAAATGCATCTTATAGGTGATGATAATGAGAGAGAGAGACAGAGACAGAGAGAGGAGAACCTCCAAGTTAGAGGAGAGCAGTGTAATATAGTTATTCTTTAACACTTTTAGGTTTTACCTCTGCCATTTGACTGAATGCGTCTAAATAATTTGCTGAAGCTGCTGTCTTATGTTTCTTTCCTCCCAGAGGCAGAGCTTGGGACAAGGGCTTGCATATGGGTGGTTTATTTGGACTAGTGATCCTAGAGAACAGGAGTAAGGGACTGTGCAATGTGGAGGAGGGAAAGCCAATGTCAGGTGCTTGATGAGTCAGTTGGCACATGGGCAAGTGGGGTTCAATCCTTCTGGAGCCTTCTGATGGGCGATGTAGAACAGGCTCGAGAATTGTCCACCCTAGAGGTAGAAGGGGAAGCATTTATCCACCAGCTTTACGTTTCCACATGCATGGGTACCGCACTGCAGAGCTGGAGAAGTCTAGCTATGTGAGGCAGCTGCGGTGAGGTGTGTTCAGATTACACCTGCTGCTGGGGCAATGCTTGGAGACAGTGGTGGGCTGAGAAGAGGAGATGCAGCAGAACAAATGTTTGATACAGGCCAGGCGTGGTGGCTCATACCTGTAATCCCAGCACTTTGGAAAGCCAAGGTGGGCAGATCATCTGAGGTCAGGAGTTCAAAACCAGCCTGCCCAACATGGTAAAACCCCATCTCTACTAAAGTACAAAAATTAGCTGGGCATGGTGGCATGTGCCTGTAGTCCCAGCTACTAGGGAGGCTGAGGCAGGAGAATTGCTTGAACCTGGGAGGCAGAGGTTGTAGTGAGCTGAGACCACACCTCTGCACTCCAGCCTGTGTGACAGAGCGAGACCCTGCCTCAAAAAAAAAAAAAAAAAAAAAAAAAAGTTCAATACGATCGCTATTCTTTTCTCCTATTTGCTAAGAATGTTCATAGGAACTTTCTTCACAATAGCCCCAATCTGGAAACAATCCTGAAGTCCATCAACAGGAGAATGCATAAACAAATTGTGGTATATTTGTCCATTGAAATCCTGCTGAGCCACAAAGAGAATGGACCACTGATACATGCAACAACATGAGTGACTCTTACAGACATTATGCTAAACAAAAGAAGGTGGAAACAAAAGAGTACATACTGTAAGGTTCTACTTTTTTTTTTTTTTTAAGAGACAGGGTCTCACTCTGTCACCCAGACTAGAGTGCAGTGGTGCAATCATGGCTCACTGCAGCCTTGAACTCCTAGGCTCATGTGATCCTCCCACCTCGACTTCATAAGTAGCTGGGACTACAGCCACACACCACCTCACCTGGATAATTTTTTTTACAAAAATAGAGATAGGGTCTTGCTATGTTGCCCAAGCTGGTCTCAAAGTCCTGGCCTCAAGTGATCCTCCAGCTTCAGCCTCCCAAAGTGCTGAGATTACAGGCATGAGCCACTGTACCCGGCCTATAAGATTCCACTTACATAAGTTAAAGAACAGGCAGGCCGGCCATGGTGGCTCATACCTGTAATCCCAGCACTTTGGGAGGCTGAGTTGGGCAGGTCACTTGAGCTCAGGAGTTCAAGACCAGCCTGGGCAACATGGCAAAACCCCATCTCTAATATGAAAATTAGCTGGGCATGGTGGCACGCACCTGTAGTCCCAGCTACTTGGGAGGCTGAGGTTGGGGGATTGCTTGAGCACAGGAGGTTGAGGCTGCAGTGAGCCAAGATTGCATCACTGCACTCCAGCCTGGGTAACAGAGCAAACACTGTTTCAAAAAAAAAAAAAAAAAAAGGCAGGCCAGGCATGGTAGCTAATGCTTGTATTTGTATGCTTGTATTTGTTTTCTTTTCTTTTTTTTTTTTTTTTGAGACAGAGTTTTGCTCTTGTTGCCCAGGCTGGAGTGCAATGGCGCCATCTCAGGCTCACTGCAACCTCCGCCTCCCAGGTTCAAGCGATTCTCCTGCCTCAGCCTCCCAAGTAGCTGGGATTACAGGCATGCACCACCACACCCGGCTAATTTTGTATTTTTAGTAGAGACGGGGTTTCTCCATGTTGGTCAGGCTGGTCTCAAACTCCCAACCACAGGTGATCTGCCTGCCTCGGCCTCCCAAAGTCTTGGGATTATAGGAATGAGCCACCACGCCCGGCTAATGCTTGTAATCCCAGCACTCTGGGATGCCAAGTTGGGTGAATCACCTGAGGTCAGGAGTTCAAGACCAGCCTGGCCAACATGGCGAAACCCCATCTCTACTAAAAATACAAAAATTATCTGGGCATGGTGGTGTGCACCTGTAGTCCCAGCTACTCAGGAGACCGAGGCAGGAGAATTGCTTGAACCCGGGAGGCAGAGGTTGCAGTGAGACGAGATTGTACCACTGCAGGCATTCCAGCCTGGGCAATAGAGCAAGACTCCATCACAAAAAAAAAAAAAAAAAAAAGAGCAGGCAAAACTAATCCATCGAAGGGGAGGTGATTAGAGCAGTGGCTGTCTCTGGTAGAGTATAGGGATTAACTGCAAAGAAGTGTGAGAGAACTTCCTGAGATGATAGAAATTGTTCATATTTTAATAAGTATGTGGATTATATGGTTTATGCAGTCATCAAAACTCATTGAATTGTATGCTCTCTTTATTTCTTTATATATATAAAAAGAGAGAGAGTATATATATAAAAAATTGTATGTGCGCTCTCTGTCTCTCTCTCTATATATATGTACATTTTACCTTAGAAAAAGAGCTATAAAGAAATAGTTAACTCTAGGTAGTAGACTCACTTCTCGCAGTGGTAAAACTTAACTCTGAAAGTATTTTCTGTGTCCTCAAGTCTCTAGCAGATGAATAGTGTATATTTAGGATAATGAGAACTAGGCTTCTTGCTCTTGTAAAAGGGCATTATAAATATGGACAGAGTGAAGACTAGAATGTACCTGTGGTGTTGGATGTATCCATATGAACACATGGTTTTCTGTGGATTAATAGAGACAGAGACAGACCTATGTATATATGTTTATGTGTGATGCACACACATGCACACACACACACACACACACCATTTCCTAGCTCTATCTGCTGAAAGAGCCTAGAAGCAATGACACACCAGGAAGAATGAGCTTGCTAAGAATCGGAATCTTGGTTTCTAGATACCATTCTCTACCAAAAGAAACCAGAGCTCTTTTTAGAAATGGCTGGCTCTAGGGCTGGGGCAGGGGAAGTACAAAATGACCCTGAAACATATTAGATAAGACAGTAGCTCCAAGGCTGATGGAGAGTATCAAAAAGACAGTGGAGCCAACTTGAAGGAGTCCCCAGTGGTCAAACGTTGGGGCAGCTTGAGCATAAAAATAAACAGTGATAGTAATGGAAATTAGTAGTCGCGGAACCCATGATGAACTAAATTGAAATGATGCTAAACTAAGAGCATTCATCAATAAAATGAAGCATGACTGGAGTAGCAGCAATTGGAGACAGCATCATTAATATCCAGATAAACAGCATCCTTTCCCTGAACTGCAGGATCCCAACAATCCAAGTATGCACAAGGGCAGCCAAGTCACCAAGAACTTGAAGCCGCCAGTTAGACTTCTGCAAAGTACCCTGGCTTAGAATCCGCCAGGCGCGGTGGCTCACACCTGTAATCCCAGCACTTTGGGAGGCTGAAGCGGACAGATCATGAGGACGGAAGTTTGAGACCAGCCTGGCCAACACCGTGAAAGCCCGTCTCTACTAAAAATACGAAAAATCAGCTGGGCATGGTGGCGCACGCCTGTAGTCCCAGCTACTTGAGAGGCTGAGGCAGGAGAATTGCTTGAACCTGGGAGGTGGAGGTTGCAGTGAGCCAAGATCACACCATTGCACTCCAGCCTGGGCAACAGTGCAAGATTTCATCTCAAAAAAAAAAAGAATCCTCCGTGTTAATTCTAGTCGCTTCTAACCCTAGTACCAGTAACTACAGCATACTTAGTAGCTGTAGGAGGTATGAATCTTGACTCACAAACTCAGAGTGTACATAAAGTATCAATTTCTTTGTTTTCATTATATCAAACTAAATCTTTCAACTCCTCAGCCTCCTAGGCTGGGAGAAAATTACATTGTCATTGGCGTTGAGGTCTCTTCTCTTCCTGGCTCTCAATGGAAGTTGGACATTCTCTGTGGTGCCTAAAACAGGCAAGACACCATCCTATGTTTTGTGTTCTCTTTATCTTCACTCTTTCTCTCTTTTTATTTTTAGATGGGGTCCCTTTTTGTCACCCAGGCTGGAGTAAAGTGGTACAATCATGGCCCACCGCAGCCTTGACCTCCTGGGCTTAGGCAATCCTCCCACCTCAGCCTCTTGAGTAGCTGGGACTAGAGGTGCATGCCACCATGTCTGGCTAATTTTATTTTATTTTTATTTTGACACGGAGTCTCAGTCTGTTGCCCAGGCTGGAGTGCAGTGGTACAATCTCGGCTCACTGCAACTTCTCCCTCCCGGATTCAAGCGATTCTCTTACCTCAGCCTCCCAAGGAGCTGGGATGACAGGCACGCACCACCCTGCTTGGCTAATTTTTGTATTTTTAGTAGAGATGGGGTTTCACCATGTTGGCCAGGCTGGTCTCGAACTCCTGACCTCCTGCTTCGGCCTCCCAAAGTGTTGGGATTACAGGCGTGAGCCATTATACCCAGCCTTATCTTCATTTTTTATACCCACCAATGTTTCTTTCAGTCTGGCTGTTCTCTGCTTCCTTGAGGCTGGGAGCCCTATGGTTGGGGCCCCACTCACCAAGTCAGCCCCTCTGAAATCTTCACACTCCCTCTGGGAGAAGCAGAGGGCAAAGCCCACTGGCTGGAAGGAATCCCTCCTGCTGCCTTTTCTTGCCTTAAAGGCAAAATGCTTCTCTCTCATTGGTGTCCTCAAAAGAGGAGCACATTATCTCCTTCGTAAACTCCAATTTTAGAAAAATAAAGCCCAGGAAAAAAGCATTTTAAAAGTAATTTCACCTTATCAGAGTAGCCCCCAACTTCCTCTGAGGCACAGGGTTAGTGGGGGACATGGGGGAGCACACAGGTCCTGCCTATTTTGGGATAGAGAGGAGAAGTGTTGGAAAAAATATTCCAAGAAACGGCCCTGTCACGTAGATCATAGGTGATCCTAGCTGTTTGTAAAGTGAAAACGTATGGCTTGTGTATTAATCACGTAGAAGAATCGAGAGAGGGCTGGGTGCAGTGGGTCATGCCTATAATCCCAGTGCTTTGGAAGGCCGCGGTGGGGGAGGATCGATTGAGGCCCAGAGTTCAAGACCAGCCTGGGCAACATAGTGAGTCCCTGCCTCCATAAAAAATAAAATAAAAACCGGCCTAGCATGGTGGCTCCCAACTGTAGTCTCAGCTACTCAGGAGGCTGAGATGGGAGGATTGCTTGAGCTCAGCAGTTCAAGATTTCTGTGAACTATGATCATGCCACTGCACTGCAGCCTGGGTGACAGATTGAGACCCTGTCTCTCATAACAATAATAATAATAATAAAAGAGAGGGTATGAGTTTTTAAATCAGTTTTAGGTCCATTAGGGGAACTTTGTGGTCCACTGATGAGCCCTGATCTTTCTTTGAGAATCCTTATCTGGTCCCTTCTTCTATTCATGGAAGACACACATCATGACATCCCTCACACGGCAGTCACCCAGCTCCTGCTTGAACATGTCTGGGCACAGAAGCAGCTGCCTCCCAGGCCTTTCTAAACAGCTCCCATTGAAGGCAGCTTCTGCCTCTTTAACGTCTATTCACTGATCCAGCTTTCACCCTTTGGAGCGTTCCTGAGTTTGTCTAGTTTACTAGCAGTGGTTCCAGAGACATGATTTTAAAGTTTTTGCAGGACTCTGGGGTATCATCTGCTTGAGTCTTAAACTCATTTAAAACATCTATTTTTATTTTTATTTATTTATTTATTTTTTTTTGAGACAAGGTCTTTCTCAGGCTGGAGTGCAGTGGCATGATCTCGGTTCACCGAAACCTCCGCCTCCCAGGTTCAAGTGATTCTCGTGTCTCAGCCTCCCAAGTAGCTGGGATTATAGACGCGTGCCACCACGCCCAGCTTATTTTTGTATTTTCTGTAGAGACAGGGTTTCACCATGTTGGCCAGGCTTGTCTCGATCTCAAGTGATCTGTCCACCTCAGCCTCCCAAAGTGTTGGGATTACAGGCATGAGCCACCGTGACTGGCTTCATTTAAAACATCCAGATCATCTCTTGTGAACTCTATCTAGGACTTTATGCCCTCTTAGGGATGTGTGTTCTCTTCATTCTAGTTGGAAAATTTTTATTTAAAAAAACTAAATGGGGTTGGGCGTGGTGGCTCACGCCTGTAATCCCAGCACTTTGGGAGGCAGAGATGGGTTGATCACGAGGTCAGGAGATCGAGACCATCCTAGCTAACATGGTGAAACCCCATCTCTACTAAAAATACAAAAAAATTAGCCGGGCGTGGTGGCGGGCACCTGTAGCCTCAGCTACTCGGGAGGCTGAGGCAGGAGAATGGCATGAACCCGGGAGGCGGAGGTTGCAGTGAGCTGAGATCATGCCACTGCACTCCAGCCTAGGCGACGGAGAGAGACTCCGTCTAAAAAAAAAAAAAATGCTAAATGGAAATGAAATAGTTCTACTTTTTTCTCTCATTGCCTTACACAAACAGTGGAAGTTTCTACTCATGTAAATTCCTGGACGAGATAGATTGTTAGACTCTGGGTACCAGTTCCATATTCCCAAGAGGGAGAATCTATTGGCTTGCTTTAAAGCTTGGACGTCTTTTACAAAAATAGAGAAAAGATGGCCAAGAGAAGAAAAAGCCAATAAACCTAGCACCCAGACCCCTTCATTTATAATGGATAAACAGAAGTATAATCATGTATACCAAACATTCCACTGGCGGGCTGGGCGTGGCAGCTCATGCCTGTAATCCCAACACTTTGGGAGGCCAAGGTGGGCAGATCACCTGAAGTCAGGAGTTTGAGACCAGCCTGGCCAATGTGGCGAAACCCTGTCTCCACTAAAAATACAAAAATTAGCTGGGCATGGTGTTGAGCGCCTGTAATCCCAGGTACTCAGGAGGCTGAGGCAGGAGGATCACTTGAATCAGGGAGGTGGAGGTTGCAGTGAGCTGAGATTGCACCACTGCACTCCAGCCTGGGCAACAAAGAGTGAAACTCCATCTCAAAAAAAAAAAGAACCTGCCTTTTCCTCTTAACAATATGCCTGGTAAGGCCAGCTTTCCCACGCTCACCACTGAACATGATCCCCAGGCATAAGCAGCAAGTAACCTCTTCATTATTCTTCCTATTCAAATACATCTATTTTTATAAGCTCTTGAATAGTTTGTTCTTTGGGTTTTTGGGACTATTTGTTCAGTCCCATAACCATCGTTTATTTGATTCTGTGTGCCTCCTTCTGTCTGTGTACACATTCTTTATCATCTGTCCTTGGTGTTGTCACCCATGCATGATCCTGCTGTCTTTAGATATTTTCCCATTTCTTTCTCAAAAAAGAGCATCGCTTGTCATTGCTTCTTCAGAATTTTGCTTTTGTGAAGACTTCGTTCCTCTTGAGCCAACTAATCTTTGGAGTGAGATCTATTTCTTTCCCCTGGACATTTTTTTTTTGAGACAGAGTTTGACTTTGTTGCCCAGCCTGGAGTGCAATGGTGTGATCTCGGCTCACCGCAACCTCTACCTCCTGGGTTCAAGTGATTCTCCTACCTCAGCCTCCCGAGTAGCTGGGATTACAGGCATGCACCACCGCGCCCGGCTAATTTTTTGTATTTTTAATAGAGACGGGGTTTCTCCACGTTGGTCAGGCTGATCTTGACCTCTCAACCTCAGGTGATCCGCCCGCCTTAGCCTCTCAAAGTGCTGGGATTACAGGCGTGAGCCACCGTGCCCAGCCTCCCCTGGACATTTTTGACATCTGCTTGGCTGAACCCAGAGCAGGGGATCCAACTCCAAGTGGGCCAGGCCAGGCCTATCCTGGCGCTTTCTGATAATCTGTTGTTTTGCCCATTCCTCTGCCCAGATATAGCAACACACACACACACACACACACACACACACACACACACACACACTGAGACCCTACAGTCAATGGCTCAATGGTTGCCCTAGCGACTATCGTTGGCTTCTTGGTCACAGCAGGCAGTTGAACTGGGGCAAAGACATCTGGTTCAAATCAAGCCAATAGATTTTCTCTCCTGGGAATATGGTACCTTGACTCAGAGTCTATCAGTCTGTCTCTTCAAGGAATTTACATGAGAAACCTCATCTCTACTAAAAATACAAAAAGTAGCTGGGCATGGTAGTGAAGTTTGCAATGAGCCAAGATTGCACTAGTGCACTCCAGCCTGGGTGACAGAGTGAGACTCTGTCTCAAAAAAAAAAAAAAAAAAAAAAAATTGGCAAGCGAGCCCAGATGCATGCAGGTAGCAGAGGAAGCTGCTTTTCAGAGACAGAGGAGAACAAAGCAGATGCAGAAAAGGAGGCAGTGTTGCCCTAGCAGACAGAGCTGCCGCCTTGCCCAGATCCCCTCGGCTCTCATTCACCAGCTTCGTGCATGCTCACAGCCCAGTTCCTGCAAACTCTGTCATTCATGGCCCTCGCCAGCGACTTTCTGAGGATTGCCTTTGGGTGTTGCAGGCATCCCACCCACATGGAGAGCTAGATTCCCCCAGGAGTTTTCTCTTCTCCCCATTACCTCCAGCCCCACCCCTACCCATGGCTGTGACCCTCAGCTGGCTGGTGTGCAAGTGAAAAGGTCCAGCTCCATTGCTTGAGGCAGCACATACCCTGAGGTCTCATTGACACTCCTGAGCTCCCCATTCCCACACTCCTTCACCAGTTTCCCCTGGGAGCACCTCCCTGGAGCATCTCACTTCCACCCGAATCCCTGGCATTTAGGAGAACAGATGTGAAACCAGGCGGCCCAGAGGAATGGAGGCAGTGCCCTGGGCCTGAAGATTGCTAGTTCTCGTCCAGGTCCCTTGGGAGACCCAAAGCTCTTCCAGTTTGTGGCTTCTATGACATACTCCTCAATCTTCAACCAGCTTCCTATGTGGGTTAAATTTCAACCAGCCCATTTCTAAAAACCTTGCTGCAGGCACCCAGCATTCCCCCAGGGCCAGCATCATCTCATCTCCCAGAGGTCTCGGTCTTTCACCGCAACCACTGATTTCCAATTGCCCAGCATCTGGGAGATGAAATTATCAGCAAGGCACGTTTAGAATTTATCAGATGCTTTTCCTGGAAGGTGGTTTCCAGTAGGATTTCTAGACCTTTAAATCACTCATCACGGCTATTTTTGGCCCTGTGTATGCTTTTGCATTTATTTCTAGACATTTAAAGATGAAATATACATTTATTTACATAAAATAAATAGAAATTTAATATAAATATTTTATAAGTAAATCTGTATTACATAGGTGTGTATTATTCTTGTCCTAGAACAAAATTTTTACTATAATTAATGGCTTTAAAAATATTCTTTTAACGGAAAGTTCATGTCTTTTGCCCACTTATCCAAAAGTCTATTTATAGAAAAAAAACAAGCCCACGTTCCTTATTTGGTATCTGTGCTTCTTCCTTCTTCTACTCTAGCCTGCCTGAAAGATATTTTTGTTGCTGATATGAAGGGGTTTTTTTTGTTGTTGTTCTTTCCTAAAAGCCATGGACTTCATTAGATATTAATTATCAGGTTCCTCCCTGGCTGTGATGAAAAGTAATATTGCTTAATAGACTTTTCTGTCTATAGAGTAGCTGTTTCCATTATAAAGAGAATACATTATACAACAATTATCAATATAGAAAATCAGAAAGAAATGAGGGAAATCACCCTTAGACCTGCCAGAAGCCATATTTCCAAATAAGTACCTCACTTCCCAGGCTTCAGCATCCTTCTTAATGAAATAAGGGAGTTGACCCAAAAGACCCCAGTGATTCTTCAAAATACTCAAAAAGAACATACTGGGGCTGGGTGCGGTGGCTCACGCCTGTAATCCCAGCACTTTGGGAGGCCGAGGTGGGCGGATCACAAGGTCAAGAGATCGAGACCATCTGGGCCAACATGGTGAAACCCCCTCTCTACTAAAAATACAAAAAAAAAAAATTACCTGGGTATGGTGGTACATGCCTGTAGTCCCCAGCTACTCAGGAGGCTGAGGCAGCAGAGTTGCTTGAACCTGGGAGGCAGAGGTTGCAGTGAGCCGAGATTACACGCCACTGCACTCCAGCCTGGTGACAGAGCGAGATTCTGTCTCAAAAAAAAAAAAAAAAAAGATCCTGGAAGGAAACATTGGCCACGTGTTGACTTGGAGAAGCACAGGACTAGAAACCAGTTCTCATTCCTCATCCAGTCCTTTTCCTTTTTCTGTAGGGCTTTCTTCTTTTCCACGTTCTCCCCAACTGTCTCTTTTGTTTCCAGCTGTTCCTGTTTTTTTGTTTTTGTTTTTTTTTTTGAAAGAGTTTCATTCTGTCACCCAGGCTGGAGTACAATGGCATGATCTCGGCTCACTGCAACCTCTGCCTCCTAGGTTCAAGCAGTTCTCCTGCCTCAGCTTTCTGAGTAGCTGGGATTACAGGTGCCTGCCACCACACCCGGCTAGTTTTTGTATGTTTAGTAGAAACAGGGTTTCACCATGTTGGCCAGGCTTTTCTCGAACTCCTGACCTCAAGTGATCCCTCCGTCTCAGCCTGCCAAAGTGCTGGGATTATAGGTGTGAGCTACCACACCCAGCCTCCAGCTGTTATTTTGATTCCCTGATCATCTTTTGACACAATGCTTAGGGGTTCCAAACATGTTCATCCAGCACTCCCAGATCACTGGACTTTATTTTGTCACATGCTGACCACAGGTCCAGAGGGCCCTTTGCGTAGCACCTGCATGTAATAAGGTATCAGTACATGCTTGCTAAGTGGCTGGATAATCAAAAGCAGAGAAAATATACAGAAGTTGACCGGGTGCGATGGCTCATGCCTGCAATCCCAGCACTTTGGGAGGCCAAGGCAGATGGATCACTTGAGGTCAGGAGTTCGAGATCAACCTGGCCAACATGGCGAAACCATCTCTACTAAATATATATATATTTAAATTAGCCAGGCATGCTGGTGTGCCTGTAATCCCAGCTACTTGCACGGCTGAGGCAGGAGAATCACTTGAACCCAGGAGGCAGAGGTTACAATGAGCTGAGATCGTGCCAATGCATTACAGCCTGGGCAACAAAGCAAGACTCTGTCTCAAAAATAATTTATATATACATTTTATTTATATATAAATTTTATTATATGACATATTTATATATAAATACAATGTATATATAAATAAAATTTATATATATAAAAATTTATACATATACAAATAAAATTTATACATATATATGTCATTTGTAATTCAGTCATCATGACAATTCCAAAATGGAGGTGCTACAGCACAGTACTGATTTCAGTAACTCTAGTGGGAAGTACACTTTTTTTTTTCTTGGAGACAGAGTTCTACTCTGTCTCCCAGGCTGGAGTACAGTGACCCAGTCACAGCTCACTGCAGCCTTTAATGCCTGGGCTCAGTGGGATCCTCCTGCCTCAGCCTCCTGAGTAGCTGGACTACAGGTGTAAGCTACCATGCCTAACCAAAAATAGACATCTTTTTTCACTAACATCTCAGAATGCTGGCGCTTCTTACTATTTTTGGCATTTTACAATTGGCATTGGCCAGGCAGTAAGTGGTCGTTTTTGCCTGTGCATGCACAAATTTGGTCATTACTGTTAATATTATCATTTCAACTTAGTGATGAGCATTGTTGGGACCACATGTGTCGAGCTTGACATTTTATGTTTTCAAAAAATATTGCACTATTATTCAGCCTTGTAATGAAAATACAGTCAATGCAGAAAAACATACAAATAGAGCCGGAGGCCGGGCACAGTGGCTCACACTTATAATCCCAGTGCTTTGGGAGGCTGAGGCAGGAGGATCGCCTGAGGCCAGGAGTTTGAGACCAGCCTGGGCATCACAGTGAAACCTTATCTCAACAAAAAATTTTACAATTAGCCAGTTATGGTGGTACATGCCTGTAGTTCTAGCTACTCAGGAGGTTGAGGCTAGAAAACCACTTAAGCCAAAACATAGAGGCTACAGTGAGATGTGATTGTGCCACTGTGCTGCACCCCAGCCTGAGTGACAGAGTGAGACTTTATTGAAAGAAGGAAAAGAAAGTGGAAAGGAGAGGAGAGGAGGGGGACGGGGATGGGAGTGGGGAGGGGAGAGGAGGGGAGGGGGGAGGAGAGAGGAGGGGAGATGAGGGGAGGGGAGGGGGAGGAGGGGAGGGGAGGGGGAGGGAAAGGAGGGAAAGGGAGGCAAGGAGAGGAGAGGGAAGGAAGCTGGAAACTTGTCATTGGAGAAATGATTGCATTTGTACATTTTCTTGTGAAACAACCACCAAGGGCTTTATGCACCCAGAAAATGAAGATTCCCCCCAAAGGTAGATGAAGCTATATCACCTTTAGTTACTGACATATGTGCAAAAAAACTGCCCATTACATACCAAACAGTGCAATAGGAGCAAGGAGAAACTGCCAGATCTCTGGTGCAGATGAAAGAAATTTCAAGGCAAGGAGAGGCTAGTGTGGCCAATTCATACATTACATAGGGCTATGGTTTCAGGCAACATGCCAAAGTTTAATTAGCAGCACTTGTCTTTCTTAGAAGTAAAGAAATAATGTATGCCTTTAAGGAAAGGCATCTTATATTTGATTAAATATATTCCTCCATTTTGCAGGTTAAAAAATTGAAGATTAAAGAAATGAATTTGCCCATTTCACAATGTCAGTAAGTTATAGAACCAAGAGTCAAATCCCAGCCAGTCTGATTCTAGATCTCACAGTCATAATTGCAAAACTGCCCCTCACTGCACTTAGCATGGTGCCTGGTAAAATAAATATTTGTCAATGCAAACTAAACTGTCTAAAGAAGATGTATTCCTGGTGAGAAATAATCAAATACATGGAGAACTTTTCTAAACATGGAAACATCATTCTGGTAGGAGAAGAACTCAGCGCACAGTTGCTTCCGAAGCTCTGAGCCCAGGAATAAACTGGAAAGCCAGAGGACTGCATTTTCACCTATAGTCTCTAGTCCAGACCCCTGCAGACACCAGGGATGGGGGCCAAGGGTCATACTCTTGGGCCTCTGGCTTGGAATTTTTTTTTTTCTTTTTTTAAGACAGAGTCTCACTCTGTTGCCCAGGCTAGGGTGCAGTGGCACGATCTCAGCTCACTGCAACCCCTGCCTCCTGGGTTCAAGTGATTCTCCTGCCTCAGCTCCCAAGTAGCTGGGATTACAAGTGCCTGCCATCACACGTGGTTAATTTTTTTTTTTTTTTTTTCTGAGACGGAGTCTTGCTTTGTTGCCCAGGCTGGAATGCAGTGGCGCAATCTCAGCTCACTGCAACCTCCACCTCTTGGGTTCAAGTGATTCTCCTGCCTCACTCTCCCAAGTAGCTGGGACTACAGGCACCTGCCACCACACCTGGCTAATTTTTGTATTTGTAGTAGAGATAGGGTTTCACTATGTTGGCCAGGCTGCTCTCAAACTCCTGACCTCATGATCCACCTGCCTTGGCCTCCCAAAGTGCTGGGATTATAGGCGTGAGCCACTGCGTCTGACCAATTTTTGTATTTTTGGTAGAGACACGTTTTCACTATGTTGGCCAGGCTGGTCTTTAACTCCTGACCTCAAGTGATTTGCCCGTCTTGGCCTCCCAAAGTGCCAGGATTACAAGCATGAGCCACCGCTCCTGGCCAGCTTGGAATTTGTAAGAGCTGGCCCCCAAGAGGCTAACTTCAGCCCATCAACTGAATTATCTCTGATTTTGAAACTTAAATATTTTATTATGTTAACTATTTTTTCTGATTCCTAAAGTAACTTATGCAAAAAAAAATATGGAAAATACATAAGAAAATGTAATCACTGTTCATGTCCTGGCATATACACTTATTTTTTCGTAATCTGTGATTGTGGGTTTTTTTTTTCTTTTTTTTCTTTTTTTGTTGGAGACAGGGTTTTTTCGTTTTTTTATTTTTCTTTTTTCTTTCTTTCTTTTTTTTTTTTGAGACACTGCACTGTTGCCCAGGCTGGAGTGCAGTGGCACAACCTTGACTCACTGCAACCTTGAACTCCTGGGCTCAAGTGATCCTCCTACCGCAGCCTTCCAAGTAGCTGGGACTATAGGCACGCACCACCATGCCTGGCTATCTTTTATTTTTTATATAGATGAGGTACCACTATGTTGCCGATGCTGATCTTGAAATCCTGGGCTCAAGCGATCCCTCTGCCTTGGCCTCCCAGAATGCTGAGATTACAGGTGTGAGCCACCATGCCCCGCCTGATTTTATTTTGATTATCTTAAATCTTATGATCACAGATAATTTATAAACTCGTGTATGTCTCTTCTACTTTAATCCTTCTAATGAGTTGCCAAAGCACACATACACAATAGTTCTGTAGTTTTATGTGTTTTTGAATAGCTGTTTCAAGACAATCCTAATTATAATTTGCTCTCTCCAGGCCAGGCGCTGGGGAGATTGAGTAGGGAGATCGGTGGGAGTGAGAGTGCGCCACTGCACTCCAGTCTGGGTGACAGGCGAGATTTTGACCATCTAAAAAAAAAGCACCTGACCTTATAGATCATCTATAAAATGTGAAAAGTATTAAATATTTTTTGGTATTACACAGAAACCACACTAAAATGCCTTTCAGTAAGTAAAAAGCCTGCTTTTTTTTTTTTTTTTTTTGAGATGGAGTCCCTCTCTGTCACCCAGGCTGGAGTGCAATGGCACGATCTTGGCTCACTGCAAGCTCCGCCTCCCGGGTTCAAGAGATTCTCCTGCCCCAGCCTCCCGAGTAGCTGGGACTATAGGTGCATGCCACCACACCTGGCTAAGTTTTTGTATTTTTAGTAGAGACATGGTTTCACCGTGTTAGCCAGGATGGCCTCGATCTCCTGATCTCAAGTGATCTACCTGCCTTGGCCTCCCGAAGTGTTGGGATTACAGGTGTGAGCCACTGCACCTGGCCAAAAAGCCTGCATTTTAGATACAGGGAATTCTGATTAGATTAGCATAGTCAGGACCAAAAATATAAAGTAGACATTGCTATCTTATCTTCAACCCTTGCCCTTAATACGCCAATGAACACAAATTAAACCACAGGTGAGTGTTACTTGGTTCTGAGACAGTGAAGATATTTCCCCAGTATTTAAATATAGTCATATAACCAGTTGTATAAATGTAAATATAAAACTGACCTCCAATATGTTTTGAGACAACATTTGCCATCTCTGTGAGAAGTTGGACATTACTAGTGAAGTCCAATCATATCTTTAGAAGGGGAAAATGGTAATAGTACTTTGAATTACTATCAAAATTCAAAAAAGCTGATCATATTCATTTAGCTATAAGCCAGTCTTATTTAAATCAGGACTGTTCAACCAAAATATCCTGTCATTCATGATCTGAATTCTGGTGTATGAGATCAAATTATGGTAACACATTTGAAAAGTCATGAGACATTTCTGTTTTGTAATAAACAAGGCAGTGGCCAATTATTATCCATTAGCAGCTTTTTTGAGATAAGCTATCAAGTCTGCCCTTTCTGACCTCTCAATGTCAGCAAAGATGATTTCTGTTCCAGGGATGTACTTCTTGGGATTCTCCTAAGACCCCATCGGTGTCTCCTCTCCCCAGGTGATGCCTTTGTTCTTACTGGCCTCTGTGTGAGAGGATCCAGCTGCCTGACTTGTCTTCTGCCCAAAGAGACCATGGGGATTTGGCCCAGTTATGTGCTTGCCTCCATTTTCCATGGTGTGGCAAGGGGTGCACCGTTTTTTGTTTGTTTGTTTTTTTTTTTTTTTTGAGATGGAGTCTCTCTTGTCGCGCAGGCTAGAGTGCAATGTGTGATCTCGGTTCACTGCAACCTCCGCCTCCCAGGTTCAAGCAATTCTCCTGCCTCAGCCTCCTGAGTAGCTAGGATTATAGGCACATGTCACCACACCCAGCTAATTTTTGTATTTTTAGTAAAGACAGGGTTTTACCATGTTGGCCAGGCTGATCTCGAACTCCTGACCTCAGGTGATCCGTTTGCCTCGGCCTCCCAAAGTGCTGGGATTACAAAGTCTTCTTACTGTTCTCCACACCACCCCTATTTAATAGTCTTTTTTGTTGCTCCCATTACAAAGGTTCCTGCTTAGAAGCCAGATGTCCCTCTCACTTCGTGTCCACATTTTCAAGTTTTAGATCAGGTTTCTTTGTAACCTTTTCTTCAGATGTAGTATATTTTCTAAATCCCTTCTCATAGATTAAACATCTAAAGTAGAGGATTCCATTGTATAATTTTTTTTTTTTTTTTTGAGACAGCGTCTTGCTCTGTTGCCCAGGCTGGAGTGCAGTGGCGCAATCTCCGCTCACTGCAACCTCCGCCTCCTGGGTTCAAGTGATTCTCATGCCTCAGCCTCCCAAGTAGCTGAGATTACAGGTGCCTGACACCACACCCGGCTAATTTTTGTATTTTTAGTAGAGATGGGGTTTCACCATTTTGGCCAGGATGGTCTCAAACTCCTGGCTTCAGGTGATCCACCCACCTCGGCCTCCCAAAGTGCTGGGATTACAGGTATGAACCACTGTGCCCAGCCTTTTTTTCTTTTTTTTGAGACAGAGTCTCGCTGGAGTGCAGTGGCGCAATCTCGGCTCACTGCAACCTCTGCCTCCTGGGTTCTACTAATCCTCCTACTTCAGCCTCCCGAGTAGCTGGGATTACAGGCACATGCCACCATGCCTGGCTAATTTTTGTATTTTTAGTAGAGATGGGTTTTTGCCACGTTGGCCAGGCTGGTCTCGAACTCCTGACCTCAAGTGATGCACCCACCTTGACCTCCCAAAGTGCTGGGATTACAGACGTGGGCCACCATGCCTGGCCCTAAGTGACATTCTTGAGGGCTGTGTCTCAGGCTTCTCTTTCTGGTTCTCTATGCGCTGCTAGGCTCACATGCCTGCTATTTGTAGGTAGATGTCTCTCACTGACCTCTGTGTGAGTCCGGACCATAACATCCTACTACCCATGACCCACTTTCCCCCGAGTCTGACAGCCACTCAGACGCTCTGTGGCCATGGCTGAACTCTTCATCTTTCCCACGATTGTGGCTTCTTTTTTTTTTTTTTTTTTTTTGAGATGGAGTCTCGCTCTGTCGCCCAGGCTGGAGTGCAGTGGCACGATCTCAGCTCACTGCAACCTCTGCCTCCCGGGTTCAAGCGATTCTCCTGCCTCAGCCTCCCTAGTAGCTGGGACGGCAGGCACCTGCCACCATGCCTGGCTAATTTTTTGTATTTTTAGTAGAGACAGGGTTTTGCCATTGCTAGGATGGTCTTGATCTCCTGACCTCGTGATCCACCCTCCTCGGCCTCCCAAAGTGCTGGGATTACAGGCGTGAGCCACCGCACCCAGCCGCTTCTTGCCATTTTGTTGTTGTTGTCTCAGTGAATGGTGCTCATGACACCCACTGGACTGCTCCACCTGAAATTTGGGAGTCGTCCTTGCCTCTTCTTCCTCCCATGCCTCAGCGTTCCATCAGGCATTCACCAAGCCCCCTGAGGCTCCTCCCAGTCTCTCCTCCATCCCTTCACCTGAGTTAGGGCCACCTCCGACTCCCCCCCAGATTCCTGCAGCCACCTCCTAATGAGGTCCCTGCCCCCCATCTTGTCTTCTTCCAACCCACTTTCTACACTGTATTCACAGTGATCTTTCTAGGATGCAAATTTGATCAGCATCCCACCCCTACCTCCACTCAAAACCCTCAAAGCCCTCAGAATAACGTTCAAACTTCCTAAAATGCCCCACAGTAAGGTGGCCTGTTCATGACCAAATTAGCAAACTGGAGTTTGTTCGGAAGAGAATCCTTTAAGACTGGATTTCCAGTCCTCCTCCTCCTGTGTGCCCAGTGGGATTTTGCCTTTGTCTCTCAGTAGCTTCCCATCTCTCCATCCTCCCAGGCAAGTCCAAGCTTTGGGGCTCAGTGGTACAGAAGCCCAGCAGGAAAGGAGGCAGTAGGAAGCTCTGAGAGGCTTTGCTTTTTTCATTTGTCTATTTCTTCTTTTTCAATTTTTTTTTAAAACTTAGAGAGAGCATCTCATTTTGTTGCCCAGGCTGGAATACAGTGCAGTGTTGGGATCAAAGCTCACTGCAGCCTCAATCCTCCTGCCTCAGCCTCCCAAGTAGCTAAGACTACAGGCTTGTGCCACCATGCCTGGCTAATTTTTTAAAATATGTTTTGTAGAGACCAGGTTTCGCTATGTTGCCCAGGCTGGTCTTGAACTCCTGGCCTCAAGTGATGCTCCTGCCTCAGCCACCCAAAGTGTTGGGATTACAGCATGAGCCACCACGTTCAGCCTCCTTTGTCTATTTCTTTTGAGACGGAGTCTCACTCTGTCACCCAGGCTGGAGTGCAGTGGTGTGATCTCGGCTCCCTGCAAGCTGTACCTCCCAGGTTCATGCCATTCTCCTGCCTCAGCCTCCCGAGTAGCTGGGACTACAGGCGCCCGCCACCACGCCCGGCTAATTTTTTTTTTTTTTTTGTATTTTTAGTAGAGACGGGGTTTCACCATGTTAGCCAGGATGATCTTGATCTCCTGACCTCGTGATCCGCCTGTCTTGGCCTCCCAAAGTGCTGGGATTATAGGCGTGAGCCACTGCGCCCGGCCTCCTTTTTCTGTTTCTTAATACAACATTGTCAGCGCACAGGCCCGTTCTCTGCTGCAAGGTGTTTCCATGTTTTCTTTAACACTTACAATCACCTTGTGAGGTAGGTTTTGTTCTTATTGCCATTTTGCAGTTGAGAAAACAGGCTCAGAGAACTTAAAAGACTTGCCCAAATTCCGTAGTCAGCAGGAAGCAGACCTAAATTCAAGTCCACATCCAAAACAACGAATGTCTTCCACTCTCTCATGCCGTTTCTCATACCCTTTCTGCTCCTTTTGCACTAGATTTCTCCAATGCCACTTCCTTCTGCATTTTCACTTCTTTTGTGCAAGGGAAGTGTTTCTTCTGGCTTCCTGTCTCAGCTCTCCCACGGAGCCCTTCTGCCTGTTCTATTGCATTCCACAGAGCTGATGAATGAGCTATCACTGAAAATGGATCTTCTTATTTGAAAATATAATTATTAATTTAATTTTTAGAACAAGTAATTTGTATCAATGGCTCAAAAATTAAACACACAGAAAGATATAGAGGGAAACTATTTCTACTATCTCCCATCTTTTTGTTTCCCATCGATCATCACTTCCATTATTTTCTTATTTGTTCAGAGCTTCTCCATGTGGTACAAGTACCAATATCTATTCTGTTACCCCTTACCTTTTTTATTTATTTATTTATTTACTTATTTATTTATTAATTAAGACAGAGTCTCGCTCTGTTGCCCAGGCTGGAGTGCAGTGACACCATCTAGGGTCACTGCAACCCCTGCCTCCCGGGTTCAGGCCATTCTCCTGCCTCAGTCTCCCAAGTAGCTGGGATTACAGGTGCACACCACCACACCTGGCTAATTTTGTATTTTAGTAGAGATGAGATTTCACCATGTTGGCCAGGCTGGTCTCAAACTCCTGACCTCAGGTGAACCACGTGCCCACCTTGGCCTCCCAAAGTGCTGGGATTACAGGTGTGAGCTACCACGCCTGGCCACCCCTTACCTTTTATACAGAATTTTGCATACTATACACTCTTCTACACTTTCCTTTTTTCATTTAACAATAATATATATAAGAACCTGTCTTTTATCAGGGCATAGAAAGTTATCTCATTCTTTATTATAGCTGCAGAACAGTTCAATGAATGGATGTATTCCATGATTTATTTAGTTAGTTCCCTAGTGATGGAATTTGACTAGTTTCAATTCTTTGGCTATTATAGAAAATGCTGCAAGGAATAACCTTGAAGATACTTCATTTTGCACACATAGAATAAGTATGCCTTGTCAAAGGAAATACTTGATAGTGCCAAATATCTGTCATTATTTGTCTAATATTATATATTGTCTAATACCCATTCCCTGAATGAGAGTGCCTGGCCAACAGTTTGCATTGTCAAAGTTGGGAATTTTTACCAATCTTATAAACATTGGTATTTTACTGTAGTTTTAACATGCATTTTGTTTATGTGTAATGGGAACCGTCTTTTCATATTTTAAAGCTGTTTGTATTTTTTTTTGATAGCTGTTCATGTTCTGCTCTTTCCGGGATGGTGTTCTGGCCTTGTTGACACTTAAAGATTTTTGTATATTTCGGAGAGTAGTAGTTTGCTTGTGATATAAATCACATAAATACTTTTTTTAACTTTGTCATTTGTTTTCTGACTTTGCTTATAATGCTTTGTGCTATGCAAAAAGTGACTTCGTTTTTTTAAACTAACATACAGTAAAATTGAATTGTTTGGTGTGGAATTCTAGGAATTTGAACACACGTATAGACTGTGTAACCACCACTGCAATCAGCAGACAGAACTGTTCCATCTTCCCCAAAAAATTCTCGGTATTATCTTTCCCTCCACCCTTCCAGAGACCACCGATATGTTCTCATTCACTCTAGTTTTCTCCAGAATATCTTATAAATGGAATTATAAATATGGAGCCTTTGAGACTGGCTTGGCCCACTTAGCAAGCATAATGTCTTGAGATTGGCCTGATGTGTTGCCGCATTGATTACGTGTTCCTTTTGATTACTGGGTAGTACACCATTATATGGATGTACCACAGCTGTTTGTCCATTTACCTGTTGAAGGACAGTTCGATAGTTTCCAGTTCTTGGCAATTATGGATAGAGATATATAAGCATCTGTGTTGGCTGGGCACAGTGGCTCATGCCTGTAATCCCGGCACTTTGGGAGGCCGAGGCAGGCGGATCCCTTGAGGTCAGGAGTTCGAGACCAGCCTGGCCAACGTAGTGAAACCCCATCTCTAATAAAAACACACACAAAAAATTAGCCTGGCGTGGTGTGCACCTGTAATCCCAGCTACTCAGAGGCTGAGGAAGGAGAATCACTTGAACCCAGGAGGTGAAGTTTGCAGTGAGCCGAGATTGTGCCACCGCGCTCCAGCCTGGGCAGCAGAACAAGACTCTGTCTCAAAAAAAAAAAAAAAAAAAAAAAGCATCTGCGTACAGGTTTTTGAATAAACATGAGGTGAATACCTGGGAGCGGAATTTCTGTGTTGTATGTTTGACTCTATAAGAAGTGACAAGTTGTTCTCCAGAGTGGCTGTCTCATTTTGCATTCCCACCATGAAAGTATGAGCATTCCAGTTGCTTCTCATCTTCACCAGCAACTGGTGACAGTATTTTTATTTCAGCCATTTTAATAGATGTGTAACAGTGTCTCATTGTGGCTTCAATTTGCATTTCTCTAAAAATGGCTGTGATATTGAACATATTTTCATGTGATTATTTCCTTATGTTCTCTTTGGTGAAATATCTGCTCAAGTCTCGCCCATTTTTAAATTGGGCTACTTGTGTTTTTTTGCTGTTCAGTTTAGAGTTCTTTGTATATTCTAAACACAAGTCCTTTGTGGGATACATGATTTGAAAACATTTTGTTCCAGTGTGTAGTTTATCTTTCCATTCTCTTGGGTCTTTGTAGATAAAAATTTGTATCCACATGATACAAAATCATATAATTTTGATGATGTCTAATCATTTTTTTCTTTTATTGATTATGCATTTGGCATTCTGCCTGAGAACTCTTTGCTTAACTCAAGTTCATGAATACTTTCTTTTATGATTTCATCTGAAAGATAGCCTTTCATTTTACATTGAGATCTAAGATATATTTTGAGTTAATTTTTGCATAAGCTGTGAGATTTGGGGCTCATTTTTGTATGTGTGCATATGTTCAGTTGCTCAAACACCATTTATTAAAAAAGATAATGCTTTCTCCACTGAATTGCCTTTGCATTTTACTCAAAATTGGTCATATTTGTCTGGTCCAATATTTAGGCTCTCTTTCCTGTTGCACTGATCAATATGCCTAGCCCTTGCCGTACCACACTGTCTTGCTTACTTTAGCTTTATAAAAATTTAAAAATTTAGTAGTATGATCCCTCTGAATATATTTATTTCTTTCAAAATAGTTTTGACTACTCTAGTTCCTTTGCCTTATCAAATAAACTTTAGAATCAGCTCATCTATATCTACAAAAATCCCTACTGGGATTTTTTTTTTTTTTTAGATTGCCTTATATCCGTGCATTCATTTTGGGAGAATTGCCATATTTAATATGTTGAGTTTACTAATCTATGTTTTTGAGACAGGAGCTCACTCTGTTGCCCAGGCTGGAATGCAGTGGCACAATCACGGCTCTGCAGCTGCAACCTCCCAGGCTCAGGTGGTCCCCCTGAATAGCTTGAATCTCTTAATCTATGAACACAGTATATCTCTTATTAATTTTTGTCTCTTCAGTGTTCAAGTTTTATAGCTTTCAGTATTCAGATTCTATACATATTTTGTTAGATTCATACCTAATCATTTATTTTTGAGTGAGCGATTGTAAATAATGTGTGTGTATATATGTTTAAATTCTTCAATACACTTTGTACTATTAGTACATAGAAATACAATTGATTTTCATGTTGACCTCGTATTCTGCAACCTACTAAGCACATTTATCATATCTCGGAGGCTTTTTGTTGATTCTTTAGGATTTTCTATGTAGTCAATCATTTTGTCTGTGCAAGAAAACCATTTGGATCCCTTCCTAATGTGTATGTGCTTATTTCTAGATCTTGCCTTATTGTACTGGCTAGGACTTCCAGCATGATGGCAAAGAAGATGCCAAAACTTTTGTAGTTTTTGTTTTTACTTTTAAAGGTTGCATTTATCAACCTTTTCTCTTTTTTTTTTTTTTTTTTTTTGTTGTTGTTGAAATGGAGTCTCACTCTGTCACCCAGGCTGGAATGCAGTGGTGTGATCTCAGCTCACTGCAACCTCTGCCTCCTGGGTTCAAGCAATTCTCCTGCCTCAGCCTCTCGAGTAGCCAGGATTACAGGTGCGTGCCATCATGACTGGCTAATTTTTGTATTTTTAGTAGAGATGAGGTTTCACCATGTTGTTCAGGCTGGTCTCAAACTCTTGACCTCAAGTGATCCAGCCGCCTCGGCCTCCCAAAGTGCTGGGATTACAGGTGTGAGACACCACGCCTGGCCAATCTTTTCAACTTTTATTTTAGCTTTGGGGGTACACGTGCAGGTTTGTTACCTAGGTAAACTTGTGTTATGGGGTTTGATGTAGATTGTTTCATCACCCAGGCCCTAAGTCTAGTATCCAATAGTTATTTTTTCTGATCGTCTCCCTCCTCTCACCCTCCACCCTCAAGGAGGACCCAGTGTGTGTTGTTCCCTTCTTTTTTCTATGTGTTCTCACCATTTAGCTCTCACTTACAAGTGAGAACATGCGGTGTTCCTGTTAAAGATAATCTATCAATCATTTCTTAATGAATGATAATGTATCATTAAGAAATGATTGATGCATTATCCTTACATTTTTTATTTTGAGTAATGATAAAAATTGCTTTCCCACTGAAAGTTATTTTATAACTTTCCTTCCTATGTTTTTTGGAAAAATGATGGGCCGGGCACGGTGGCTCATGCTTGTAATCCCAGCTGAGGCATTTGGGAGGCTGAGGCAGGCAGATCATGAGGTCAGGAGATCGAGACCATCCTGGCCAACATGGTGAAACACCATCTCTAATAAAAATACAAAAATAAGCTGGGTGTGGTGCCGCATGCCTGTAGTCCCAGCTACTTGGGAGGCTGAGGGAGGAGAATCATTTGAACCCAGGAGGCAGAAGTTGCAGTGAACCGAGATTGCACCACTGTACTCCAGCCTGGAGACAGAGCAAGACTCCATCCCAAAAAAGAAAAAAAAAAAAAGATATTAGGGCAGCTACATTTGTGAGGCCTGGATGAGTGAGAAGGAGAGACTTAGCCATGTATTATGGTAGTTTATGTATTTCTTTTCATAGTGTCTGAGAAATGCTATATGAGAACTTGAGTTATTTTGAAATTAATTTTTTAATTATTGAACTCCATTCTTTAATCGCACTCCACTCACACTGGATGATGTGAGTGAGGGCTCTACGGGGGTCATATTACCTCAAGGATACAAAAGGTATCCACACTCATTTTTTTTTCTTGAGATGGAGTCTTGCTCTGTCTCCCAGGCTGGAGTGCAGTGGTACGATCTCAGTTCACTGCAATCTCCATTTCCCAGGTTCAAGGGATTCTCCTGCCTCATCCTCCCAAGTAGCTGGGATTACAGGCACCCGCCACTACACCCAGCTAATTTTTGTATTTTTAGTAGAGACGGGGTTTCGCCATGTTGGCCAAGCTAATCTTGCACTCTGGACCTCGAGTGATCCACCCGCCTTGGCGTCCCAAAGTGCTGGGATTACAGGCGTGAGCCACTGCACCTGGCCCACATTCAGTTTTAAAAAGAGTGTGTTTACTAATGTGAAGTGAGGCTTAAAGTTCAAGTGTCCTGCAAATTTTAAGTACGATTTCAAGAACAACTAATAAACATATAAAAACATGCTCAATCTTATGAGACATCATAAAAATCAAATTAAAGTTCCAGTGTGACACTATTGCATACTCAACACAATGGCTAAATGGAAAAGGACAAATACTGAGTATTAGTTAGGATATGAAAAAAACAGAATGTTTACGCCCTGCTGTTGTGAATATAAATTGGTACAATCAATGTGAAAAATTAGTGATATCTACCTAATGCTACCGTACATATCCCATGACCTGCCAATTACATACTTAAGTAGATGTTCAAGATAAATGCACAGCTATGTTTGACAAAAGATATACACAAGAATATTCATAGCAGCACTATGAGACTAGTCCGAATTGGAAGCTACTTAACTCTCCATCAACAGTGGAATGGGCCAGGTGTGGTGGCCCATGCTCGTAATCCCAGCACTTTGGGAGGCTGAGGCTGGAGGGTTGCTTGAGCCCAGAAGTTTGATACCAGCCTGGGCAACATAGGGAGCCCTGGTCTCTACAAAAACATTTAAAGAATTGGCCAGGCATGGCGACGTGTTCCTGTGGTCCCAGCTGCTCAGGAGGCTAAGGCAAGAGGACTGCATAAGCCCAGTGTGAGGTTACAGTGAGCTGTGGTCACACCACTGCACTCAAGCCAGGGCAACAGAGCAAGACCCTATCTCAAAAAAACACCAAACACACACACACACACACACACACACACACACACACACACACACACACACACCAGTAGAATACACAAAAAAATTATGGTATAGTCACATTGCTGTATACAAAACTATATCCACTAAGAATAAAGGCCAGGTGCACCTTGAATCCCAGCACTTTGGGAGGCCAAGGGGGAAGGATGGCTTGAGGCCAGGTGTTTGAACTAGCTTGCTTAACACAGTGAGACCCCGACTCTGGATAAGTTAAAAAAAAAATTAGGCCAGGCGCAATGGCTCATGCCTGTAATCCCAGCACTTTGGGAGACCAAGGCGGGCAAATCACCTGAAGTTGAGAGTTCGAGAGCAGCCTAGCCAACATGGTTAAACTCCGTTTCTACTAAAAAAAAAAATGTTAGCTAGATGCAGTGGTGGGCGCCTGTAATCCCAGCTACTAGAGAGGCTGAGGCATGAATCCGGGAGACAGAGGTTTCAGTGAGCCGAGATCATGCCACTGCACTCCAGCCTGGGCAACAGAGCAAGACTCCATCTCAAAAAAAAAAAAAAAATTAGGTGAGTGCAATGGCACATGCCTGTAGCCCCAGCTACTTGGGAGGCTGAGGAAGGAGGATTGCTTGAGCTCAGGAGTTTGAGGTTGCAGTGAGCCATGATCACACCACTGTACTCCAGCCTGGGCAACAGAGCAAGACACTATCTCAAAACAATAACAACAACAACAACAACAACAAACACGAATGAACAACCTGTAACTACATACAATACTGTGGATGAATCTCACAAGCATACAAGCATAACGTCAAGTGAAAGAATCTAGACACAGAATAATGCATACTGTGTGAGTCCATTTATATAAAGTTCAAAAATAAGCAAAACTGCTCTATGGGGTTAGGAATATAAGACAGCAGATACCCTAAGGGGTATAAGAGCAAAAGGAGGCATGAGAGAGCTTCTGATAACACTTGGTCTGTTGATATGAGCCCCATTACATGAGTGTGTTCAATTTGTGAAAATTTACCAATTTTACTATTATTATTTGTGTACTTTTCTGTGTATATTTTACACAAGTTTTAAAAACAAACATGTTTTTATTTAGTAATCATGATTGTTAATTGGTGGAATAAGACACAACTGGTCTCAAAATTCAGTCACATAATGCATTATTATTATTATTATTATTATTTGAGACAGAGTATCACTCTGTCACCCAGGCTGGAGTGCAGTGGTGCAATCTCGGCTCACTGCAACCTCCACCTCCTGGGTTCAAGCGATTCCCCTGCCTCAGCCTCCCAAGTAGCTGGGACCACAGGCATGTGCCACCATGCCCGGATAATTTCTGTATTTTTAGTAGAGATGGCATTTCACCATGTTAGCCAGACTGGTCTCGAACTCCTGACCTCAAATGATCTGCCCACCTTGGCATCCCAAAGTGCTGGGATTACAGGCGTGAGCCACCGTGCCCAGCCTGTGCAAACTCTTCACAGTTTACTTGACCGTCACCATCAATATCTGCTTCCCTGATCATTTCGTCAACCTCTTCATCTGTTAACTTCTCTCCAAGGTTTGTCATCGCATGGTGAAGTTCTGCTGCACTAATATAACCATTGCCATCCTTATCAAACACACGGAATGCTTCTCTCATTTCTTCTTCACTGCCTGCGTCTTTCATTTTTCTTGCCCTCATTGTCACAAATTCAGGGAAGCCAACTCTGCCATTACTATCAGCATCTACTTCATAAATCATGTCCTGTAACTCTGCTTCTGTGGGATGCCGCCTAAGAGACCTCATTTCTGTTCCCAGTTCCTTTGTTGTTATAGTTCCATCACCGTCTTTGTCAAATAGTAAATAAGCTTATTTGAATTCTACAATCTGCTCTCCAGTCAGTTGGTCAGCCATGCTGAAAGCGCTACCGGTTTCCGAGACGCGACTGCACGACCACTCGGCTCGCTCGCTCCACTCGGACTCCCTTCTACTTTAAAGATCAGATAATTTCAATGCTCTTAATTCCAGACCATAGAAAAAAAGAAAACTATAGATCAATTTCACTTATGAATATCAATGCAAAACTCTTAAATATAACTGTAGCAAGCAGAATCCAACAGCGCATTAAAAAATAATACATTGGCCAGGCGCAGTGGCTCATACCTGTAATCCCAGCACTTTGGGAGGCTGAGGCGGGCGGATCACCTGAGGTCAGGAGCTCGAGACCAGCCTGGCCAAAATGGCGAAACCCCATTTCTATTAAAAATACAAAAATTAGCCAGGCATGGTGGCAGGTGCCTGTAGTCCCAGCTACTTGGGAGACTGAGGCACGAGAATCGCTTGAACCTGGGAGGCGGAGGTTGCAGTGAGCCGAGATCGTGCCACTGCACTCCAGCCTGGGCGACAGAGAGAGATTCCATCTCAAAAAAAAAAAAAAAAAAAAAAGTTTGTACAGATGATGATAGCAAAGACCTTGCTCGAAATGTGTTAAATTTCTTTTACAAAATTATTTATTTGCCTTTTCTTTGTTTGTAACTTATCTGTAAAAGGTTTCTCCCTACTGTCAAAAAAAAAAAAAATGCATACATAGTAATTAGGACTTAATTCCTTCATGTTTTCTTCCCCTGTCTCACTGTCATTGTCCTGAAACTTTATTTTAGAAAATTGAGGCCGGGCGTGGTGGCTCACGCCTATAATTCCAGCACTTTAGGAAGCCGAGGCAGGCGTTTTAACTGAGGTCAGGAGTTCGAGACCAGCCTGGTCAACATGGTGAAACCCTGTCTCTACTAAAAATACAAAAATTAGCCGGGCGTGGTGGGACACGCCTGTAATCCCAGCTACTCGGGAGGCTGAGGCAGGAGAATCACTTGAACCCAGGAGGTGGAGGTTACAGTGTTGAGATAGCGCCATTGCACTCCAGCCTGGGCAATAGATTGAGACTCCGTCTCAAAAACAAACAAACACCACTATATATATATATATATGTATACTTAAAAGTAGCACTATTGCAAAATGGGCATATTATTCAGGTACTCTCATACTTTTTTTGAAATGGAGTCTCGTTCTGTTGCCTAGGCTGGAGTGCAGTGGCATGATCTCAGCTCACTGCAATCTCCGCCTCCTGGGTTCAAGCAATTCTCCTGCTTCAGCCTCCCGACTAGCTGGGACTACAGGTTTGAGCCACCACACTTGGCTAATTTTTATATTTTCAGTAGAGACGGGGTTTCACCATACTGGCCAGGCTGGTCTTGAACTCCTGACCTCCTGATCTGCCCGCCTTGGCCTCCCAAAGTGCTGGGATTACAGGCATGAGCCACCACCCCACTGGGCCTATACTCTTTTTTTGTACTACTGGTTCTGTACCAGAAACATTTTAATTGTTACTTGCTTTTTAAACTTTGTTTAGCCACTTAAAGAAAATCCACTTATGATACAATTTGCCTCAAATTCATTCCAAGTTGTATATTTGTTTTCTAATACAAAGTTACAATAAAATCATAATAATAAAGTAGATGGAAGGTAGAATTCCCCTGTGAAATCTGGGCTTGGCGTACTTAATTATTTATTTTTTTGAGACAGAGTCTCACTCTGTCGCCCAGGCTGGAGTGCAGTGGCTTGATCTCCGCTCACTGCAAGCTCCACCTCCTGGGTTCTCGCCATTCTCCCGGCTCAGCCTCCCGAGTAGCTGGGACTACAGGCGCCCGCCACCACGCCCGGCTAATTTTTTATATTTTTAGTAGAGGTGGGGTTTCACCATGTTAGCCAGGATGGTCTCGATCTCCTGACCTCATGATCCGCCCGCCTTGGCCTCCCAAAGTGCTGGGATTACAGGTGTGAGCCACTGCGCCCCGCCAGGCTTGGCATATTTTTGAGGAGAGCTCTTTAGCTACTTCTTCTATTTCTTCAACGGTAGTTAGCCTGTTTCAACAGGTTAATTTTTTTAAGTAGTGTTTTTCTTAAAAATTATGTATTTTACCTAAGTTTTCAAATTTATTTACAAGGAATTGTATATGGTAATGCCCAATTTTTTATTTCCTCTGTGTTATGGTTATTTCTAATTTTGTATATTTATCCTAGTGGTTTAACTGTTTAGTTTACATTTTCAGAAACCAACTTTTAGATTTATTAGTTCTGTTTATTTTCCAACTCATTAATTTCCGTTTTTATATTTATTGTGGTTTTTTTTCCCTTCTGCTTTGGTTTGGCTTATTTTGTTTTTTCTTTAGCTTTCTAGAAAGGAGGTTTAATCAATTAATTTCCATATCCCCTAGGTACTTAATGGTACTTATATATACTTAATGCAATAAATGTTCCCCTAATCACTGCTTTAGTAGTATGACACAGATTCTGATACATCATATTTTCATTATCTATATTTTCAAGAAGTTTCCATTTCAATTTCATTTTGACCCAAGAATTATCTAATAGTATACTTTGAAATTTGCAGGTGGAAGAATATTTTGCTTTCATTATTTCTAGTTATATTGCTCTGTGGTCAGAGACCACTGTGTACTTTCTTTCTATTTCTTGACATTTCTTGAGATATTATCCTTGTGCCCTAAAATGTGGTTATTCATGCATATGCACTTGAAAAAGTATATTCTCCAACGTTAGGATTTGGAGTAAGTTCTGTTCAGCCTACGTATTAAATAGGTTTTTAGTTTTGTATTCCTTCTTCCTTTTGTCTGCTTGATCAGGCTTCTACTGAGAGTGCTCAGGTCCACCCTTATCGGTGTGTTTGTTGGTTTCTCACACGTCCTAAAAGTTCTGCTTTATGAAAGTTTTAACTTTTAATTTTTTTAAGTTTTAAGTTTTTTTTTAACTTTTAACTTTTAAAACATATTAATTTTTCTGAATCTTTTTTGAGATGTGTCTCTTGTATATAGCAGAGTGGTAGAGTTCGCTCTTTTAAACAAGTTTGAAAATCTATTGTTTCTTGGCAACCAGTGGCAGCCGACAAGTCTGATGACACTGTGATGCCCTTTTTTAAAAAGCGACTTGATTTTTTTTTTTTTTTGCTTCAATATCCCCTTTTTTTTTGGCTGCATGCAGTGGCTCATGCCTGTAATCCTAGCACTTTGGGAGGCCGAGGTGGCAGATCACCTGAGGTCAGGAGTTCGAGACCAGCCTGGCCAATATGGTGAAATCCCATCTCTAATAAAAATACAAAGATTAGCCGGGTGTGGTGGTGCATGCCTGTAATCCTAGCTACTTGGGAGGTTGAGAAACGAGACTCACTTGAACTCTAGGGGGTGGAGGTTGCAGTGAGCTGAGATCACACCACTGCACTCAAGCCTGGAGGACAGAGCAAGACCCTGTCTTAAAAAAAAAAAAATCCCTTTTCTTCCTCTATTGTCCAATTGTTTTGCTAAAATATGACTTGGTGCTGGCTGTTCTGGGTCAGTTTCCCTAGGTATGACAGGTAGCGTGATCTTTTAGTAGGACGTTCCGGTTGTCTTTCTTTCAGGAGGTTTTTCTTTCTTAGATCACTAACTGTGCATCTTGGGCTAATTACTTAATCAGAAATGGAAGCCTCCATTTCTGTCTGAAAAAGGGAATAATGAGAGACCCTCTTTCACAAGAATGTTGTGAAAATTAAACATCATCATATGCGCAAAACCCTTGACTCTGTGTCTTGCAAATAGTAAGTGAATATTAAATATTAGCCAGTATGACAGAGAACCTTAATACCAAAAAAGATTCTTTCAGAACACCATTGATCTTCTTAGCATTAGAAGAATCAATTACACTTAAATCCACTGCCTTGTAGTAATACCCTTTCCTTGGATAATCACCAGTATAACACATACTAAAAATTTTGCTTTTTCAATTTTTCCTTTATAGTTTAAGGCATTTCACCTACATTACATTCATTGGTTTTACATAAGAATTGACAAGTAGGCAGTAGTTTTTAAATAAGCATTTAAAATGTCCGAATATAAAATTAATAGATGTTCATTGCAGAAACTTTGGAAACTGGAAAATAATATTTTTAAAGAAAAAACTTACCTTAACACCCAAAAAATACACTCACAAAATGGTAGGTTTACCCTCAAATTTTCTTCCTGTGCATTTAAAAATCAAAGTTGTGATTCTCTTTTACATACAATCTTTTGTCCTGGTTCTTAAACCCAATATAATGCAAATAATAACTTGTTAGCTTGAGCCACCAATCTCAGCACAGTGTCTTATCCAACAAAAACATACATGACCTTAAAAAGCCAGGAGAAGTCTGGGTGCGGTGGCTCATGCCTGTAATCCCAACATTTTGGGAGGCCAAGGCGGGGGGATCACGAGGTCAGGAGTTTGAGACCAGCCTGGCCAACATGGTGAAATCCTGTCTCTACTAAAAATACAGAAAAATTAGCCGGGTGTGGTAGTAACATGCCAGTAATCCCAGCTACTCGGGAGGCTGAGGCAGGAGAATTGCTTGAACCCAGGAGGCAGAGGTTGCAATGAGCTGAGATCACACCATTGCACTCCAGCCTGGGCAACAGAGCAAGACTTGGTCTCAGAAAAAAAAAAAAAAAAAAAAAGGCCAGGAGAAATCATGTAAAACTTTACCCAATATCTCTTATGAAGGTGGTGTTGGGGGAGATTGAAGCAGATGTAACAAGGAGAATTCCTAGAAAATTAGAGCAATGTAAAATGGACTTGGGGATGTTTTGCTGTGTTTTCGTGGTTAACACCCCCTTCAGAGTCCCCAGAGATGGTTACGGGACAATGACCCGTGTCTTGCTTGCCTTGCCTTAGCCCTCTGTTCTAGTTGTCCCTGACATCCATTCTCCCTTTATTTGCTATAACTGGGATTCTGGGTTTGGCATATGGTAGCTCTACTGACTATATTTCCAAGACCCTTTTGCATGAATGCATCATCGTGACCAAATTCTAGCCAACAGGGTGTGCCTAGAACTGACGCGTGTAACTTCCAGGCTGTGGTCCTGCAGGGAAGGGGTGTTCTTTTTTCTTCCCCTTTTCTCCTCCTTTAGAATGTGGGGACTGGAGCAGTCATCTTGCGCTATGAGATGGAGGCTGTGCTGAGAATGGTAAGTCACAGAAGGAAAAGAAACTGGGTCTCTGATGATGTTAGGATTCCCAGACAACCTGCCTGGATGTCTCTGCAAGATAATTAAACTTCCACCTTGTTAAATAGAAGTTTCCCTGTCAGAGCAACCAAACCTACATTCTAACTAATACACCTTCACATGTGAGTTTACACTCAGTTCTCATTGGCTTTGCACTTGCTCAGGTCTTTGATCCCCTGGTCTGGTATCTTTGCGAATGCCTCATCACACAGGTGGGTGATCCATTCCTGCCACCACCCTTCCCCGCCCAGGCCTGGGCATGGAGACCCTTCCCTTCTATCTTAGTGCCCCTCTAGCTCCATCAGGCAGAAGAGCCCATGAAGCATCTTGTTGAAAGTAATTAAGGCCAGGCGCGGTGGCTCACGCCTGTAATCCTGGCACTTTAGGAGGCCAGGTGGCCCAGGAGTTCAAGACCAGCCTGGACAACATGGTGAAACTGTGTCTCTAAAAAAAAAATTAAAAATTATCCAAGTGTGGTGGCGCATGCCTATAGTCCCAGTTACTTGGGAGGCTGAGGTGGGAGGATCACTTGAGCCCAGGAGGTGGAGGTTGTAGTGAGCCATGATCGAGTCACTGCACTCCAGCCTGGGTGACAGAGTGAGACTCTGTCTCAAAACAAACAAACAAACAAACAAACAAACAAACAAAAAACCCAAGTGATTAATAAACCTTAAAGAAACAATGTTTTGATAGCTGAAAATATTCCATTCTAGAATTTTTAAATCAAACCCTATTATTGGTTATTTAGGTTTGTTTCCAAATATTTGCCATTACAAAAAAAATAACAAGGCATAATGGGAGGAAAATTGGCTGAGAGAGGCAGATGGGAGTTTGACCTCTGCTCCGACCACTCACCATCTGGGTGATTTGGGACAAGGCATTTTTCCTCCCTGGCCTTCAGTTTTCTCCTTTGTAAAATAAACACTATAATACTCATCTCTCTGATTTGTTATGGAGATTAGAGACCATTACATAACTCAGCTAGCACAGTAGCAATCATATAGGAGGCTCAATACATGGTAATTACCAGCAGAGGAGTAGTTACGTGCTTTTGTACATAATACTATTTCTAGGTACCAGAGTTTTTTATTGATAAAACTCCTGAAGCAGGAGATTACTGGTTCAAACAATATAACTTGTTCAGATTCTTAATACACACTTGATAGGAATTATTTCTGACATTTTTTCAGATGAAGAAACCAAGGATCGGAGAAGTTAAGCCATTCATCTTGGGTTTTAGGGCTCATTAATAGTAGAGATCAGATTTAACCCATATTTTCTAACTTTTAATCTAGGGCAGTTTCTACTGTATGTCACACACCCAGAACCAGAACCCTTACAGTACAGGAAACTGAATTAAAACCCTTTGTGAAAATCAGATAGGCGTGATGGCTCACATCTGTAATCCCAGTATTTTGGGGGGCTGAAATGGAAAGATCGCTTGAGGCTAGGAGTTTGAGACCAGCCTGGGCAACATCTTGTCTCTACAAATAATAATTAAAATGTGTGTGTGTGTGTGTGTGTGTGTGTGTGTGTGTATTAGCTGGGTACAATAGCTCACACCTATAGTCCTAGCTACTGAGGCAAGAGGATCACTTGAGGTTGCAGTGAGCTATAATCTGTCTTCCACTTCAGCTTGGGCAAGAAAGTGAGACCTTGTCTCTCATAAACAAACAAACAATAAAAAACATTTTGTGAAAATCAACTGTGTTTGTATCAGCTTCTTTCTAATACTGTTGTTACATTCTGACCTCTGCTTCCTTCAGTGAACTTTATGGGTGTCTAATACCGTTGCTACATTCTGATCTCTGCTTCCTTCAGTGAACTTTATGGGTGTTCAGTAAGGAAGGGTGTGGAGAGAAGCCACCAGCTTCAGGGAGTCAGGAGGGCTGGGATTTCTTCCCAGTCTTGTTATCTACTATTCATATTCTCTTGGCAGAAAAGTCAACTTATCTGGGCCACAGGTAACTTATCTGTAAAGTGAGAGAACTCTGGGTGATACCTAAGGTCACTTCTTGTTTAAAGTTCAATCATTGAGCAGAGTGAGGTAGACAATTCTGAGGAATCCAGACTGAAACTGACTTCCTCCATGCCCTATAGTAAATATTAGGTCACAGCGGAATGAATTGTTGCAAAAGGTATGTACATTTGTTCGTAGATTTTCATTCAATTTTTTTTTTTTTTTTGGGGACAAGGTCTCACTCTTTTGCTCAGGCTGGAGTGCAGAAGCACAATTACAGCTCACTGCAGCCTCAACCTCCTGGGCTCAAGCCATCCTTCCATCTCAGCCTCCTGAGTAGCTGGGACTATGCGTGTGCACTACCACAGTTGGTTGATTTTTTTGATGTTTTGTAGAGACAAGGTCTCAGTATGTGGCCCAGGTTGGTCTTGAACCCTGGAGCTCAAGCAATCCTCCTGCCTCAGCCTCCCAAAGTGCTGGGATTATAGGTGTGAGTCACCGTGCCTGGCTCAAGATATCTTTCTACATCAGAAGGACTCCTCATGTATGCATCATCCCATAAATGTTCAGGAGAAGTTGTGTTGAAAATTGAAGATGGGTCTACTCAAGAGTTTTATGTGTAAGAAAAGCATGTATTCGTATGGTAAAGGGCTGGAGGGAAATGAAGAAAGGAGAACCACTTGATTTGGAGAGATAATATAACAGTAGAATTTGTCATGTTTTTGTTAAAGGGATAGAGTCTTGCTCTGTCACCCAGGCTGGAGTGCAGTGGCACCATCATAGCTCACTGCAGCCTCAAACTCCTGGGCTGAAGGGATTCTCCTGCCTCAGCCTCCCAGGAAGCTGGGAATATAGGAGCACACCACCACACTTGGCTAATTTGTTTTATTTTTTGTAGAGACAGGGTCTTGCTGTGTTTCCCAGGCTGGTCTCAAACTCCTGGCCTCAAGCAGTCCTTCCATCTCAGACCCCTAAAGGGCTGTAATCACACGTGTGAGCCATCATACCTAGCCCAGTTTGTTTTTTAAATTTTCCTTAATGTTGTTTATGCAGTAATAACATCATCATTGACAACAACAATCATACTTCTTCTTCTTTTTTTTTCTTCGAGATGGAGTTTCGTTTTGTCGCCAGGCTGGAGTGCAGTGGCGCAATCTCAGCTCATTGCAACTTCCGCCTCCCGGATTCAAGCGATTCTCCTGTCTCAGCCTCCTGAGTAGCTGGGATTACAGGTGAGCATCACCATGCCCAGCTAATTTTTGTATTTTTAGTAGAGACAGGGTTTCACCATGTTGGCCAGGCTGGTCTTGAACTCCTGACCTCGTGATCTGCCTGCCTCGGCCTCCCAAAGTGCTGGGATTATAGGCATGAGCCACCGCGCCCAGCCAACAATCACACTTCTTAAGATGCTGGTGGTGAACTTGGACTTTGAGAACTTTGCTTTGAGGACTTTAAAAGAGGAGTCTTCTGTTTGACTTGGCATGGGTAAACATAATAGATGCAAGTAGCCTCGTGGTAGGGGACAGGAGGGTATCTCTGAAATTGTCCAGAATCTACAAATGGGCAGATTTGTGCACATAGCATATTTAATTATTTGTTGCACAAACAAGTGTTTGAGATGCAGCGGCAGGGGATTGCCTAAGCCTCTGTTACAGCATTTACCTGCTGGCTCCAACCCTCCCCTCGCTCCAGTCTTACTTTCTGCACCCACTTGAAAGCAGAGGCCCTGTGTCCTCTTCTTATTGCTCTGAAAGTGGAGGGCAGCTTGGTATCCGTAGTTTTCATCCATGGGTGGTTTTGCCCCGCAGAAGGGATATTTATCAATGTCTGAAGACATTTTTCCTTGACATAAACGAAGCGTCTAGTGTCAAGGCCAGGGGTGCTACTAAACAGCCTCCAATGCACAGGGTAGCCCACATAGCCAAGAATTATGCAGCCCCAAGTGTCAATAGTGCCAAGGTTGAGAAACCATACTTCAGAGATAAGAGAAGCAAAGACAGGGTGGAGGCTTCTACCCTGGTCCCCTGGGGCAGGCCATTGTTTGCAAAGGGCACAGAGAGTGAGCAGGGGCAGGGGCTGGTCCTGCAGCTCTGCCCCAGTGATGTCATCGAGCCCTGGAACTCGGTGCCCTTCCTGGAAGGGCTTCGCCTAGATGGAGACTGACCTGACAGGAATCGGCTCCACCTGTGGACGTACGGAGTTGGACTTTGTCCCAAAACTGTGCCTGTGACATACATTCCTACCTTCACAAGGCTCCTTCATGCCAATCGCCCTGTCTATAAAGCCTGTTTCTCACTGCAGCAAGCTTCCTGCAAAGCCAGTTTCTCAAGCTTGCCATCCCGAGGGGTGTGGTGGCATAGCTCGGATGCTTCCGAGCCTCCTCTTCCTTGATTACATGAATTCCAAGACATGCAAGGATGTTCTAGACAAGGAGGCCAAGCACTTGGTGAAGGGGAAACTGACAGCAGCAAGGACTGAGAAGAGAAGCTTTGAGAAATGATCATAAAATAGTCAGGTTCTGATGAGGAAGTGCAACTAGGATTGGCACGAACTCCATGCAAAGGATGATGATGGTGCAATGTTTTTGTGAGTTGAGTTCTGAGAGTTGGCTTGGAGCATTGAGAAGGGAAAGGTGAAGAGAAAGGAATTGGTCAGAAACACAGAAATCAGAAAGGAAAGGGGTTCACAAGCAGGATAAACAGTATCTGTCTCTCGATAGTGGAGAATGGGAACTTATTAGCTGACCATGGCTTGGTAAAAATATTTCTTCCAACAGCTGGCTTCTTCTATTTTAATTTCATATTCACAGCACAACTCCAATCCGAATGTATTTTTTTTTCCAAGGTTATTGACCTGCTAAAATGAAGATGTGACTGTTTTCACTGTAAATGTGTGAGTGAGCATGTTGGTTTTGTTGAGTCTTGCCCATGGGAAAGGACTTGAATAAGTCTGAATGGTGGGATCTCTAACGCTGCGAATTCTGGAAACTGAGCTGGAGGCCTTTGGCAACCTCCATAGCAACAAGATGAAGACCCACATTGCTTCTGGAAGAGTCTTTCAGAAACCAGGTATTAAAACTGGTTTTCAGCAGTCATGGGTCTCTGTGCACAGATTTGCATACCAGAGCGGTGCTCCTGAAATATATAGTCTTGTCCAATCCTTCATGGTCGACATCGCTGATGGAGAGAGGAGATAAGGTTTCAGAAACACCTGATTGTTTGTCTCTCCCTCTCCCCTAGAAGGATTTGGTCCCCCCCATTAGTCCAGCTGAGGACATAATCATATTAGTTAAGCAAGACAGTAGGGTACCTGGTTAGGAAAAAGGGAGGGCCTTTTAAGTCATAGGAATGGGTCAGGTAGATGGGCCCCAGCAGATCAGTAGACATAAAAGTTTTTTCCAGGGTAAAACAGATTACAAGAGATTCTCAAAAGCAGACTCTCTGGAGCGATTGTCAAGGCTCATGTGGTAAGCAGGGTGGGGCAGACCCCTGTGAAACAAAGGAGGCTGTGTCTCCTCAACTCCCGTGCCCTTGGCACCCGCCTCACTCAAGTCCCTTCCCTGGTGGTTTGGGCCTTCTTCTTCCAGCTGCTCCAACCACTGGCTTCTGGAATGTTTTCAATCTTCAGTCTCCCGCTCCAGACTTTGACTTTGCTCGGTGGACTGTACCTGCTCAGATCTTGGTCCCATTTTCCACCCCGGAGCCCCTACTTGGCTTAATCACACTCAGACTTGCCTGGAGAGCTTAAACAGATTCAATGTAAAGGTTCCAATGGAGGGAAATGACTATGCGTCCCCTTGATGCAATGTTGTATTTCTTCTGCCAGATCCCATACCCTTCATCTGAGATCAACAAAACCAGAGGAAGAGTTTGAGCTGGGTCAGCTAGGAAAATACCACCTGCACTGTGACATTATTAAGATGTACGGAAGCTCTGTAAAGGCCAAATTACAGTGTGGAGCCCATGTGGCAACAAGGAAAGATGCTTATGGTGAAATGGTTCAGTGAAATAGGACTAGAATGTATATGATGCCGAGATTACAGCCCTGTACAAGAAGATTTCTCAAAGGCAATGCTCTCAGAAGTATCTAGGTCTCCAGTCATAGGGCTGCTGGATCAGAGCTTTTGGGGCTAGAGTCCAGGAATCTGAACTTTAAATGAGTTTTCCAGGTGGTTCTTCTGCACTCTATAGAATGAGGTCAGCTATGTAAAGAACTGTGTGCTCAAGGCATCATATTGCAGCAAAGAATTGTGGCCAGATTCAGTGGGACTACTGATGGATTTTTCTTAACCCACAATTTTCAAATTTTATCTGTACAAATAAAGTATTTTACTTTTATAATAAAACAAAATACATGAAAATAAAAACAAAAATAAATAAAAAGTTAAAAACATATCAATAAAAAGGATAGATAAATTAGATGAAGAAGGGCCTGGAGACAGGGACAAAGGTAGGCAGCCACTGATTGGCCCAGGTGAGAGAGGATGAAGACAGGACCTTTGCAGTGCAGGTGTAGACAGACAGGTCCTTTCGACCCAGACTTAGGAAGGTTTGATGCCAGCTCTGGGTTGCTGGCTGTTAACTTGGGGTGAGACATTGAGCTGTAGGATGTTGTTGTGAAGTCCAAATGTAATAATTGATGTTCTTGAGCACTTTCCATGGGCCAGTCCCTGTTCTGAGTGCTTCACATATCATGTGATCATCACAGAAGCTCTTTGGTGTAGATACTATCATTATCCCACTTTTTCAGATGAGAAAATTGAGAAACAGAGAGGGTAAGTAACTTGCCCAATGACACTCAGCTAGGAAGTGGCAGAGCTGGGAAGTAGGTATGGACGTACACTGTGATGTGTACAGCTCCATAGAATGTTAGGGGGCAGCATTTTTCTGTCTCCTAAACGTGGCAGAGTAATCCCTTTAATTAGAAGGAAACCTTTAGATTCTTCTTAGTGGCTTCACATATTGCTCTGTTTCTAAAGAGTCTTTCTCTCTCTCCCTGTGATCAGCACAACCTGAAATGGAGGCTCTCAAGTGGGAAAATACCATCCCTCCGTGGCAAGTATTGTTGAGGGAAGCCCAGTCTCTACTGTCAGGCTTCTCACGGTACATCTGCTCTGTGACCTGGAGGTGTTACCTGCACTTCCAGCTCCAGGAACTGGCTCCTTAAGCCAGAGCTTGGGTTCCCGTCAATAGATCTGGGCTCAAGTCACAGCCCTGCCACCTACTGGCCATGGGATTGCCTGCAACATATTTAACGCAGGGGTTTTCAACCAGGCTGCCCTGTCTGGGGATTACCAGGGATTGGGCATTTAAAACCCTCCAGGTGACTCTCGTGCACAGCCGGTGCTGAGAACCTCTGGCTGACCTCTCCAAAGCTTTTTGTTCCTTATGTGTAAAATGGAGGGATCCACTCTTCACCAAGATTTATTCATTGAGCACCTTTGTTTTTTTGGCCATCAGCAAAAGCCCCCAATTTCAGTACTACATATCTCCCATGTAACAGTTTGTGATTAGCCGCAAACTAGACCCAAACCTAGCTGATCCGACTGCTGGCCAGTTCTTCCCCCCATTCCACAGCCCTCCATCAACAGCTATCCCAGCTGATCCGACTGCCGGCCAGCTCTTCCCCCCATTCCACAGCCCTCCATCAACAGATATCCCAGCTGATCCGACTGCCGGCCAGCTCTTCCCCCCATTCCACAGCCCTCCATCAACAGATATCCCAGCTGATCCGACTGCCGGCCAGCTCTTCCCACCATTCCACAGCCCTCCATCAACAGACACCCCACTGATCCGACTGCCGGCCAGCTCTTCCACCATTCCACAGCCCTCCATCAACAGATACCCCACTGATCCGACTGCCGGCCAGCTCTTCCCACCATTCCACAGCCCTCCATCAACAGATATCCCAGCTGATCCGACTGCCGGCCAGCTCTTCCCCCCATTCCACAGCCCTCCATCAACAGATATCCCAGCTGATCCGACTGCCGGCCAGCTCTTCCCCCCATTCCACAGCCCTCCATCAACAGATATCCCAGCTGATCCGACTGCCGGCCAGCTCTTCCACCATTCCACAGCCCTCCATCAATAGATATTTTCCACACATGGTTGTTCTGAGGATCAACCACGAAACTCCAAGTACAGTGCCTGGAGCATGAGTCAGTAGCAGTAATATACTTAATTAACTTGAGATTAGAACATTAGAACTAATTCTAATTTACATCTTTCCAGGTATCTTGGAGCTCAGTACATACATACCTACATACTACACACACACACACACACACACACACACACACACACACGTATATATGAAAAAATAAAGACAAACAGAAATTAAAATACATATAGCCGGGCGCGGTGGCTCACACCTATAATCCCAGCACTTTGGGAGGCTAAGGCAGGCGGATTACCTGAGGTCAGGATTTCGAGACTAGCCTGGCCAACATGGTGAAACCCCATCTCCACTAAAAATACAAAAATTAGCCAGGCGTGGTGGTGGGCGCCTATAATCCCAGCTACTCTGGAGGCTGAGGCACAAGAATTGCTTGAACCCAGGAGGCAGAGGTTGCAGTGAGCAAAGATCGAGCCACGGCATTCCAGCCTGGGCGACAGAGTGAGACTCCATCTTGAAAAAAATAAACAAATAAAATTAGGGCCCTTACCCCTAGTCCTGGATTTCCTGGATCAACTTTTCTCATCCAGGTCTGCGTCAGGTGGTCCTTGGGATCATTACAATGTGGTCTGTTTGCTGGAGTGGAGGAAGATGATGGCTTCCAGTGGAGCATGCGGGCTTGGAAGTGGTGTGGATGCAGGATGGCTTGAGCCATATCCCGTTTGTCTCCCTGAAGGTCCCGTTTCAGGAAATCTTTGACTCTTGTTTTGGGGTATTTGAGTGACTTCCTGATATAGTCCCCAAATTCCAGGGCTGTGGCTCCAGGGGGCCAACTGAGGGCTGTGCATTCTCAGGGTGACAGCCTGAACCACACAGACGTCAGGAAAGCCTTCCTTGAAATCCCTGCGCACTTCCCCTCTCCATATCAGAATCATCTGGAGACTCGTTAAAGCACAAGTGTGGAGGGTTAAAGCAGAGTGTTTGATTCAATACAGCTGTGGCAGTGCCTGAGAAGGCGCATTTCTAAGTTGTTCTCAGAGGCTGCTGATGCTGCTGGTCCAGGGACCACACTTTGAAAACCACTAGACTAGGGAGAGAGCTGGCATCATCACCTGAGTCTTGTGAGGCTGCCTCTTGGGGATTCTAACAGTGACTTTGAGGCCTCTAGGCCTGACCTGGTCCATGAACTCTTTGTTCACGTTGGAGGATAGAAGACCACGGGGAGAAGTAGGAGGAGGAAGTTTGGGCAGATCCACGACCAGGAGTGTAGGAACTCACACTTGAGGCTGGACAGGGAAGTCTAGAGTACAGAGTCTGTTGTTGTTGTTGTTGTTGTTGTTGTTTTAAAGAGGTAGGAGTCTTGGGTGTTTTTTTTTTTTTTTGAGTTGGAGTCTAGCTCTGTTGCCCAGGCTGGAGTGCAGTGGTGTGATCTCGGCTCACTGCAACCTCCACCTTTCAAGTGATTCTCCTGCCTCAGCCTCCCGAGTAGCTGGAATTACAGGCATCCGCCACCAGGCCCAGTTAATTTTTGTGTTTTTAGTAGAGATGGGGTTTCACTGTGTTGGCCAGGCTGGTCTTGAACTTCTGACCTAGTGATCCACCCGCCTCAGCCTCCCAAAGTGCTGGGATTACAAGCGTGGGCCCCTGTGCCGGCTTTTTTTTTTTTTTTTTTTTTTTTTTTAAAGAGGCGGGAGTCTGTCTATGTTGCCCAGGCTGGTCTTGAACTCCTGACCTCGAGCCATGCTCCAGCTTCAGCCTCCCAAGTATCTGGGACTACAGGCATTTGCCGCCATGTTGGCTTAGTTACAGAAGTCGTACACGCTAGGATTGAACATCAAAGTCCAGGGATAAATGCAAGCCTTGAATGCCAAGAAAGTCTTCACAGCAGACAAGGTTCAGAGGCAGCAAAATGTGGGATGGTGATGCCAAATGGGAATCACTGCCATGATGAATCCTCAGGCAGAGAAGGACCTGAAATTCTGTGTGCAAAGGTGGTGAAAAGGGAGGTGGGATCCTGAGCTCATAGGGTAATAGCTAAAGCCAAAGGCAGAGGTGAAAGACCATAGATGCATTCTGATTGGGCCTGGGGCAGAGGAGCCCAGAGCCCTAGGAAGCAACTCTGGCCAAGCCATGTGGAAATATCAGTGTGATAGGCGTATGCTTTTTGCCACAGGAAACTTAAAAATAAGTTTTTGTATGATGCTAACTGAGGCAGGTAATTGACCTTGAGAAACTGCTTTGGTAAAAAATATCTGATGTCAATGGTTTTTGCACGTTTAGATAGTGAGTCCCCAGGCTGGTCTAAGCCAGCCATTGCTGTGAATCTGCTGGTTCTCTTAAGTGTCAACTTCATTCATTTGGAAATCGCATTGTATTCTTCTGCAGTATGGTTAAGAGCAAGTGAGGGCTGGGCTCGGTGGCTCACACCTGTAATCCTAGCACTTTGGGAGGTTGAGGCGGGTGGATCACGAGGTCAGGAGTTTGAGACCAGCTGGCCAATATGGTGAAACCCCGTCTTTACTAAAAATACAAAAATTAGGCTGGGCACAGTGGCTTATGCCTGTAATCCCAGCACTTCGTGAGGCTGAGGCGGGTGGATCACCTAAGGTCAGAAGTTCAAGACCAGCCTGGCCAACATGGTGAAACCCCGTCTCTACTAAAAATACAAAAATTAGCAATGGGTTGTGGCGGGTGCCTGTAATTCCAGGTGCTTGGAAGGCTGAGGCAGGAGAATCGCTTGAACCCCGGAGGTGGAGGTTGCAGTGAGCCGAGATTGCGTCATTGCACTCTAGCCTGGGTGACAAGAGTGAAACTCAATCTCAAAAACAAAAACAAAAACAAAAAACAAAAAATTAGCTGGGCATGGTGGCAAGCAGCTGTAGTCCCAGCTACTCAGGAGGCTGAGCCAGAAGAATCGCTTGAACCCGAGAGGCGGAGGTTGCAGTGAGCCGAGATTGCGCCCCTGCACTCCAGCCTGGACGACAGAGTGAGACTCTGTCTCAAAAACAACAACAACAAAAAAAAAAGAGCAAGTGAGATGCAAGGCTGGGGTTGGGACAGGTAACTGCTTTCCCTGCAGGAAGCAGTGAAGCCCTCGAAGAGTCCTGTGCTTCCCCCAAGCTCTTCATTACTCATTCAGGCTCGCTTGGACATTTCCAGATCAAATGAGGGCACACTGCTTTAAATGAGAATAGGAGTTATTTTTTGTCTAGGAGTTATTTTTTGTTAGGAAAAAAAACTGTACTCTGACTCATCACAATAAAAAACATTTTCAACTTGCTGTTCTTCAACCGGTAAATTATTTTTATCGGAGCATCTTAACATCATTAGGCTAACACATGTGCTCTGAAATTCGCTGGTATCCAGGTCAAAGGAGGTTCACTTCTTTTGCTTGGAGCCTGGGATGAAAAGGACACCAGGATCTGAATGGTTAGCATTCTCCATTGACAAGCATGTTTTAGTTCTGTCTTGCATGTGTTTTCTTCTTAATGGAATTTTAATTGCACTGAAAACTGTGTTGGCTAAAATAAGGCTCAGGAATGCATATGAAGTCGTAAGGTGAGTAAGCGCACAAATGGAAGAGAAAGTGAAATGCGCAAATGTGAGGCTGCCCACGAACCTGAGAACGGCTGAGAGGGCCTCGGAATTATATTGAAAGGTCTTTGGAACACAGAGGGAGTTTGCAAATACTCTCTGCAGTACTCCTCAGAGAGATTTTTGAGAGCATTTTTCCTAATTCAAAAAAGATCCAGAAAGTGAAACTCAGTGTGTTCATTGGGTTAAGTATTCACACGGGCGTTGTTTTGAGAACTTTCTTGGACTAAGCCCACATGACTGTCGTCACCATGCAAGGGAGTGGCTCTTTGTCCATTGTCAGCCAGTCACCATGCAAGGGAGTGGCTCTTTGTCCATTGTCAGCCAGGTTTTAACGACAAGATCACATCTCAACCCCCATGTTGGCATGTGATTCCTTTCTCTTCATCCCAGTCCCTTAATTCTGTCAGGCCTACAAAATTTTTGTGAACGATAACAACAAACACAAAAACAAACAAAGGTCCAGGCGCGGTGGCTCATGCCTGTAATCCCAGCACTTTGGGAGGATGAGGCGGGCAGGTTAACTAAGTTCAGGAGTTCGAGGCCAGCCTGGCCAACATGGTGAAACCCCATCTCTACTAAAAAAAACAAAATACAAAAATTAGCCAGGTGTGGCGGTGGGTGCCTGTAGTCCCAGCTACTCAGGACACTGAGGCATGAGAATCACTTGAACCCGGGAGGCGGAGGTTGCAGTAAGCCTAGATTGCACCACTGCACTCCAGCCTGGGTGACAGAGTGAGACTCTGTCTTAAAACAAAAACTAAAACAAACAAACAAAAACAAAGAATACTGGCGTTGCCAAGGACATTCAGTGTCTAATCCAGTCTCTGATGGTATGGACATTTGGGGCCTGGTTGTTTTTTTACAACCCTAGAACAGCAGTCCCCAACCTTTTTGGCACCAGGGACTGGTTTCGTGGAAGACAATTTTTCCATGGCGGGGATGGTTTTGGGATGAAACTGTTCCACCTCAGATCATCAGGCATTAGATTCTCATAAGGAGCGCTCAACCTAGATCCCTTGCAGGCGCAGTTCATAACAGGGTCCGAGCTCCTATGAGAATCTAGTGTGGTGGCTGATCTGACAGGAGGCGGAGCTCAGGCAGGAACACTCACTGGCCCACCACTCACCTCCTGCCGTGCTGCCCGGTTCCTAACAGGCCACCAACCTGTACCAATCTGCAGCCCGGGCGTTGGGGACCCCTGCCCTAGAACATCCCACATGGCTGAATTTACACCTTCTCAAAATACGGGATAAACCATTTTGGTGAGATAGGAGCCTTTTCTCTAAGACTTTAGTGTTTAGCCTTTCCCTAGCTCTCTCCAACACTTCCACATCAAATGAGGGCACACGGCTTCAAATGAGAAAAGAATTTGACCTCATCTAGGAGTTATTTTTTATAAGGAAAAAACTGTACACTGGCTCATCATAATAAAAAAATATTTTCAACTCGCTGCTCTTCAAGGACAAAAGCAAGGGACATCTCTGAATATTAAAGTTACTCCGTTCCTTGAAGGAAGAGCTGAGAAGGCATAGAGAACTCTACGCTGAGGTCTGATTCACTGTTGCCTTTGTTTGTTTGTTTTTTCTTGAGATAGGATCTGGCTCTGTCACCCAGGCTGGAGCATAGTGGCAGGATCTTGGCTCATTGCAACCTCAACCTCTGGGACCCAGGTGATCCTCCCACCTCAGCCTCCTGGGTAACTGGGACTACAGGCATGTACCAACATGCCCTGCTAATTTTTTGTATTTTTAGTAGAGACAGGGTCTCACCATGTTGCCAGGCTGGTCTTGAACCCTTGGGCTCAAACGATCCTCCTGCCTCAGCCTCACAAAGTGTTGGGATTATAGGCGTGAGCCGGGCCCACTGTTTCTACTGGGGCCCCAATTCAGTCTTTGCCTACAGGTGGTGGTTGGCATGGAGGAGAGGCTTCGTGTTTTGTACCTAATCATTGCTACTACCAGTCATCTGATCCGTCCAGGGGTTGCCAAGGGTGCTACTAATTCTGTGGGGTCCCTAGTGTCTCCTTACTGCCCCAGCCATGCTGCCTGCTGCTCCACCATGGTCAGTTCTGCTGGAGACTTTAATTTGATTTCCCGAGGGTCACTTCCTGTGAAACTCCAACCAGATGCCCACAAGGCTGATGCCTGAAGGCCTGGAGCATTCACGTTGGGCAGTGCCTCCCGAACATCGGAAAACCACCTCAGGCCTCTGTCTCATTATTGGCTCTGGGAAGAGCAGGCTGGAAGGAGGGGCCAGGAAGAGGTGGCAGGAGGGTTGGGCGGGCAGTGGAGGGTTCTAGAGGTGAGAGGGCTCCATGCCACCCTTGGCACACGGATTTACCTCGGCAGCAGGGAGGACATTGCTCTCACCCAGCCTTGACCCTGGAAGGGTCTTCTCTCTTCCTAGGCAAGAGAGGCTGTTTCTTGCATCGGAAGGAATCAACAAAGACCACTCAAAGGAGCACAAGGAAAAGCAATTTATCCAGAGCTTGCCATAGCAGGGGAGCTGGCCACCATCACTGGCATTTGGCAGAGACTCAAAGACAGGCATGGGAATGGGGGAGCTTTACCGCTGACATGAGGGATGGCTTCAGGTGTGCCCTGTTGGAGGCTGTTGCCTGGGGAAGCCAGGGGCAGCTGAATAGCAGTGGGGCAGCCACGTGATTGGTCGGGGGCAAGCTGGCTGATCCTAAGCTAGAAATGGGCACAAACATCAGGGAAGTGGTCAGTTACTAATCGAGTCCTGGCCATTTGGGGCCCACTATTGGAGGGGTTACTGTTTGGCTTCCTGGGCTGGTGGCTGGATGTGGTGGCCTGGGTCCCACTGGTCTGATTCATAGATATCAGGCCACGTCCTGGGCTGGCTGCTACAGCTTTGGGGTCAGAGTTCTATTTTCATGTATGATCTGGCCACGAGCCATCTGTATATTCAGCCTCTCACCTTCATCTTACTGCACAGGGGTCCTAAAGAAGGATAACAGGGCCGGGCGTGGTGGCTTACGCCTGTAATCCCAACATTTTGGGAGGCTGAGGAGGGTGGATCACGAGGTCATGAGATCGTGATCATCTTGGCTAATACGGTGAAACCCCGTCTCTACTAAAAATTACAAAAAATTAGCCGGGCATGGTGGCAGGCGCCTGTAGTCCCAGCTACTCAGGAGGCTGGGGTAGGAGAATTGCTTGAACCTGGGAGGCGGAGGTTGCAATGAGCAGAGATTGTGCCACTGCACTCCAGCCTGGGTGACGAGAGCAAAACTCCATCAAAAAAAAAAAAAAAGGAAGAACGATAACAGAGACTGTGGACCATGAATGGGGAGTGGGCCAGGGAGAAGGGCTTCTTATTCCCCAATCCCAAAGGCCCTGCTGAAGGCAGCTGGCACGCCCATCTAATGGTCTCACCTCTGGAAAGGGAAGGAACGCCAGGTGGGTGTAGACAGAGCACGGCCCTCTCTCACTTTCCTTGGCGGGCGCTGGCCCTGCATGCTGGTATCCTTGCTGCCCTACCCAGCCCTCTCACAATGCTTGGCCCATAAAGGCCGGAGAGGGCCTCTCCCCAGGCTGCCCTCACCTACGTGCCCAGCTCCAGCACACTTTTTCCTTCTCCACCTCTCCTCCGTCCTCCTCTTCTGCCTCCAACGCTCTGTTCTCAGAGTGTGAGGTCTTGGTGGGCATTGCAAACAAGCAGGCATGTGAATGTGCCCAGGTGATCGGCCTCTCTGAAGAAGATGCTGGTTGAAGCTAACACAGCTCGCTCATGATAGCTCCGGGCTGTGTGTCTCAGGGAAAGATGCCCAGGTGATTGGTGTCCTGTGCAATGGGAGGGACGCTTTAATTTAGCTGGCTTGCTGGAGTGAGAGGACAGTGAGCCAGGAGATCTGAAGCCACCCAGAGTGGTGCAATTCATAGGAACCTCGCCACCCACCTGGCCTCTCAGCCTGGAGACCCAATCAAAGCACGTGGGCTGGCAACAGCCCTTCGTGGGTAACTTACGGAACTCTGTTCCTGTAGATTTGGGCTCAATATTTTGATGCCGATAGAGCATGTTCTGCCCACAACACAAAGTCTGTGAGTGAAAAATCGGTGGCTTGGAATCTGGAGAAGAAGCCAGAGCGTGGGGTCTGGCCCCCCTTTGTCTGATTAACAGAGAAGATTTGCATCTCTGGCCTCGGCCCTGACATGAAGTCTGCATGCCTGGTGCTGCACAAAGTGTTGGCGAAATAGAATTAAAGTTTTTAAAAATCCACTCCCAGCCCAGAAAACCTCTCCTGAAAGATAGAGAGGAAGAAGATACTGTTATCATTGAATAAGCATCTAAACCAGAACAAGATGAGCATTGCAGGTGACAGCTAAAGGTGTCATGGCTCTGACATTAGGCAGATTTTACAATGTGGAGTCAGGTGATGCTCTAGGTTCTTCTCCTCCCAGGAAAGTGGGAGACAGGAGGGACGCTCCTGTCCTGGATGATTCCATTGCAAAGAGGGGGCTCCCCCTGGGTCCCCGAGGAAACATTTCTGAGTTGTAAGACTGGCTTATTTAACCATTAAAAAGACTCACATAGGCCAGGCACGGTGGCTCACGCCTGTACTCCTAGCACTTTGGGAGGCCGAGGGGCAGGCGGATCACTTGAGGTTAGAAGTTCAAGACCAGCCTGGCTAACATGGTGAAACCCTGTCTCTACTAAAAATACAAAAATTAGCCGGGTATGGTGGTGCGTGCCTGTAATCCCAGCTACTCGGGAGGCTGAGGCAGAAGAATCGCTTGAACCCAGGAGGCAGAGGTTGCAGTGAGCCAAGATCATGCCACTGCACTCCAGCTTGGGTGACAGAGCAAGATCCCATTTCAAAAAAAAAAAAGAAAAAAAAAAGATTCACATACATTTGAAAAGGATGGAGAAATAACTTCTGGAAGAAAAGGGAAAGGTGGGGCATCCCTTTCTTTTCAGCTGGGAGAATTACACCTTTGTTTTTAATTTGTATTTGCCAGATTTCAGGAATCAGGGACTGGTTCAGAGGGCTGACCCCGGAACCTGCCAGTGATCAAGCCTGGCACTGACATCACCCACGAAAACTAGCAGGAGTGGCGCAGTTTCCCCCTTCAAATGCTCCCTGCAGCCCAGCGCGAGACCTGGGCTGGGGGTCCTCATTCATGCTAGGGAACACTTCTCTGGCCAAGGTGGGGACCTGTGAGGGCTTACATCACCTTTCCTTCTCCCCACAGAGCCTAAACGCCTACCCTCTGTTACAGAAAAGGGGTCCTGATCCAGATCCCAAGAGAGGGTTCTTTTATCTCTCGAAAGAAAGAATGATGGGTGAGTCTGCAGTGCACAGCAAAAATCGTGCCACTGCACTCCAGCCTGGTGACAGAGTGAGACTCCATCTCAAAATAAATAAATAATTAAATAAATAAGAAAGTAAAGTGGTGAAAGAACAGGCTACTCCATAGACAGAGTAGGGCATTCCGGAAAGTAAGAGGAAGAGCGCGTCTGCCCTAGGTACAAGCATGTATATATACGTTGTTTATATATACGTATATATATACATTGTATATATATGCGTATATATACATTGTATATATATGCATATATATACTATGTATATATACATTATATATGCATATATATACAATGTATATATACACACATTGTATGTGTATACATATACACATTGTATGTATATATATATACACACATTGTATGTATATATATACACACACATATGTATATGTGTGTGTATATATGTATACGTGTGTGTGTATATATATGACTAAAAAAAGATGATGGGAAGATGTGCTCTTCTACAAGGGTTTGTGATAAAGGATTAATTTCATTTAATTACTATATTTTGTAAGAATCAATATTATTAACTTTAAAACAAAATTAGGAATGCCTTTGTTTTCCAGATATTGGATATCTGGACATTCCCAAGTCTGGGTCTGTCTAGTAAGTATTATCAATCTGTTCCCTTAACCGTAAACTCTAGAGGCTCAGAATGCCTGACTCTCTGGGAAAACAGCCCAGCAAGCCCCAGCCTCATTTTCCAGCCCTCACTCAAGATGGAGTCGCTGTGGTTCGAATGCCTCTGACACCTCCACAAGTCTCACGTTTCTCTCTGGTCCTGACTCACCAGATACAGTTTCTATAATGGAAAATACGAGCACAACCCATGTCAGGTGGTGAGTCAGAGATGTTCAACTGTGACTAAAGAAGCCTGCTCCACGGGTGGCTCGGGCACTGACACCTACGCAGAGGAGGAACCTGCCAGGGAGTCGCGGCTGCTACACGTTGATGTTCTTTTGTTTCCCTTCCAAGTCATCTTTTCCCAATCTAGTCCTTTCTGGAACTGCAGCCCCTGTCCTCCCTATGGCTTCTGGAGCTCTGAGTGGAGTGGGTGTTCTACTGTTTCTAAAACATTCCCTCAAAGCCTCAGGCATCTATTTGGTGGGTTTCTAACAAAACAATCAAATGTCAAAAAAAAAAGGCAAATAAATCACAAATTCAAATCCTCTGCCTCCAGACAGGTCATTGCCTGATGTTTTCAAGGTGGATAACTGCTGGTCTTCTCTTAAATGAAATATCAACATTGCCACATTCTACCGACCATACATTCATTCACTTGTTGATTCCTTTTAACAAAAATGTATTGATGGCCAACTCTGCATTGGACACTACTCTAGATGGTATGGATTTAGGATAGATTCTGCCTCTGTATGCCCCAACAGACTGAACAAATGTGGCAACCTGTGGGGTTTGAGCCATGCATCCCCAGGGATGCTTAAGTGTTCCTGGCAGTGACCAGGGACCCTTGGGAGTCATTTGCCATGTGGTCTGAATTCTGTATCTCTCATATTCCTGAAAACTGTTCAGTGGAAAGACCGGGAAACCTTTGAAAACCTTGAAAAGCATCTGGTAGCAGATAAGGAAGCAAGGAAGTTTCATTTAGCCTGTGCATTTGGCCAAAGTCTGTCATTCAGCTTTGTGGTTAGGATTGCCTTTAGAGTGTCTGACAGCAAACTTCATTGCTTTTTTGGACATCCTGACCTCATGTACCTAGGTTACCATTAAGTCTAATCAATGTAGTGATGAATGCTGTTCAGGTTAATTATTATACCTGAATACTTGCTTGCAGATATGAGTAAATATTCCAGATTAATGTGTAATGAAAACACCCAGAAAACACATTCTTTAAGCAATGCACAGGTCTTAGTTTATGGGATTGCTTTGATGAGCTTGTATTTTTGCCATTGATCAAATCAGTAAGCTCAGGAGTTAAAGAACAAATACATCTTTGCCTTTGTTGCTTGCCACTTGGAGAAGAAAGGAAGCTTAATAACTTGGTAAACATGATCAACCCCAATGCCTGCCCTGGCAAAGGTAATCCCCCAGAAATCTTGCTCCCCCACTGACTTTATTGGAAAGTGAGTGACAAATCTCACAAAAATGTGGTTTTGTGGCCACGAAAGAAATTGCTTTTGTGTTGAAACGTCAAAATTTAAAAACTGACTTCTTAAATTCTTGATAACATTGAAATAATAAATAATTTTTGATGAAATTTCAGGTTTATTTTTGTAGCCCAGAGGTTTAGTCTTTGATGATTATTTTTGGCTTCAGCATCAGCTGAATATTGAATTTAACACTCAACCATTCCCATTTGGCCAAAATAAACATTTGATGCACCTGTGGTCACAAAGACCTTCAGGCTGACTCTCCCTCACTCTCCATGACTGGTCTGTGGAGGGGTTGGGGTGGGGACAATGAAGAACAATGAGGGCAAAGGTCAAGGGGTAAACAAAATAGCTGGAGAAGTTGTGAGCTCAAAAGCTTGTGACATTAGTCTTACAGCTTACCCTCCACTAATCTCCTTTTCTTCTAAAGGTAGGGACAGCTGCATTTCTCTTTTGAGCCCAGGGCCCTGGTTGGTACTAGCATTTTAGCACCTGGACCTCCTCTTGTCCTGCTCCTGGTCTGAGTTCTTTGGTCCAGAGGCCTTGGTCCCTCTAGCACTGGGATCTCGTCTCATGCCCTAAGTCTACCTTTGAAGCTTTGCGCTCATGGCTCTGCCCCTACTGTCCATTGTCAGGTTCTCTGAAAGAACTTTCCATCTCTCAGAGTCTAAGCCTTGGTCTCACTGCATGGCCCCTTCCTGTGGCTGTTGGCTGGCTGAGCCCCACTCTCTAGATTGAGAAGGTTCTGCTCCTGTATTGGCTTTCTCTGAAAACCCTGTGGCAAGGGCACAGCTGCCATATTGATTAAGTGTAGAAGCAGGCTTGGTCAGACTGTTAACGCAAAATACACTGGAATTCAAGAAATCTTTGGAATAAACAGATAAAGGAAGAAACATACATCATAGGTACAGGCATTTTAAAAAATAGCTCTTGTAGCAAGCCAGATAACACCTGGTTTGGAACTGACACTGATGACATCAGTTAATGGGACTGAGGACCCCATGAGATGCCAGAGCAGGTAATGGGGAGGGGGCAAGCTCACTGCTACAATATCTTACTTCATCTTGATTATATGCCTGGAAGAGATGCTCAGAAATATTTGCCATAGAATTAAATGAATTGGAAATCCTTTTACGTCTGTCTTTCCAAAGCATGCTGTTAATATTTGATTTAACAATTTACGATGACGTTTTCATTTTTCATTCAAAATTTTTACCCTGAAGAAAATCTCAGGCATCAGAAAAATTACAAGACTAGAATAATGAGGCTGGGCTCAGTGGCTCATGCCTGTAATCCCAGCATTTTGGGAGGCCGAGCCAGGCAATCCCCTGAGGTCAGGAGTTCAAGATCAGCCTGGTCAACATGGCGAAACCTCGTCTCTACTAAAAAATACAAAAATTAGCCAGACATGGTGGTGGACACCTGTAATCCCAGCTACTCAGGAGGCTGAGGCAGGGAGGATTGCTTGAACCCAGAGGCGGAGGTTGCAGGGAGCCGAGATCGTGCCACTGCACTCCAGCCTGTTCTACTAAAACATAGTACAACGAATTCAACAAATTTCATACAATCTTTACCTGAATACACCAATTCTAGCCATTGTTACATGTTTGCTTTCTTGCTCTCATTCTTTCTTTCTCTTTCTCTCTCTCTCATAGTATAGTATCTCATAAGAACAAAGGCATTCTGTTACCTAACTAGAGTACAATTAGTCAGAGTCAGGAGATTGAATAATAACACTCTTCTACTAGCCCAGGCGCAGTGGCTCATGCCTATAATCCCAGCACTTTGGGAGGCTGAGGCGGGCAGATCACAAGGTCAGGAGTTCCAGGCCAGCCTGGACAACATGATGAAACCCTGTCGCTACTAAAAATACAAAAATTAGCCCGGTGTGGTGGCGCATGCCTGTAATCCCAACTACTTGGGAGGCTGAGGCAGGAGAACTGCTTGAACTCGGGAAGCGGAGGTTGCAGTGAGCCGAGATCGCACCGTTGCACTCCGGCCTGGGTGACAAAGCGAGACTTTGTCTCAAAACAAAAAAACAAAAAACAACACTCTTCTATTATCTAACCAACTGTCCAGTAATGTCCTTTAGAACATTTCTTTCTGATCCAGGATCTAGCCCAGGATTGTGACTTGTATTTGGTTGTCATGTGTCTTTCCTTTCCTTTATCAAGACCAGTTCCTCAGCCTTTTCGTTTTGGTCTCCAATTATATATATATATATATATTTGTCTTTCACGACATTGGCATTTTGTAGGGGTACAGGCCATGTGCTTTGTAGATTATTTCCCCATTTTATCTTTGTTTCCTAGTGATTATGATCAGCTTTCTTGATTAGAATCAGGTTGTTCATTTGTGGCAGGGTTTCTACATAAATGATGTTGGATCCTTCTCAGTGCAATGCATTAGGAGGCATGTGATGTCAGCGTGTCCCATTACTGCTGATCACTCAGGTAAGACAGTACCCTCCCGGTCTCTCCACTACAAAGTTCCCTTTTTTCCCATTGCAATTAATAAATTAATTGTAGGGATAGGCTTTGAGATACATCCTGTGCCCCATTGTATTAGTCAAGGTTCTCCAGAGAAACAGAACCAATAGGATGTGTGCATGTGTGCGTGTGTGTGTCCATGTGCGTGTGTGTGTGCGCGTGCACAGAGACAGAGACTGATTTAGTTTAAGTGGCTCCTGCAACTGTGGAAGCTGTTGAGTCCAAGATTTGCAGAGCTGGCAGGTTGGTGGCCCAGGGAAGAGGAGATGTTGCAGCTTGTGTCTGAAGACAGTCTGAAGGTAGGATTTCCTTTTTCCTCAGCGGACCTTAGTCTTTCTCTTCAGGCCTTCTGCTGATTGGATGGCCCCCCTCCCCCATTAGGAAGGATAATCTACTTTGCTCAAAGTCTGCTGATTTAAATGTTTAGCTCATATAAAAAAGACCTTCACGGCCACATTCTGGTGTTTCAGCAAATATTTAACCCAGCCAAGTTGACACATAAAACTAAGCATTACCCCTGTCAAACTTTCACTGTTTCCCAGTGGTATGGTATACACAATTATTACTTTGACGTATATAATTCCAAAGTATTTCATTTTTTAAATATTTAAATCTTTGCTTCATTTGGAACTTATTCTGAGTGCAGTGTGACCTATGGATCTAACTTCATTTTGCTCCAGGTTAACTATCCTACTTTCCTATCATCGTTTGTTGAAAAGTCCATGTTTTCTCCCACCAATTTGATATGACAGCTTTATCGAATTCTAAATTCCCATATGATTGCAGTTCATTTGGATCTTTATCTTCCATTCCATTTGCTTACTTGTCTTTTCATACACCTGTATTTCCTGTTTTAAGTAAAGAGGATGTAGACCATTGTCTTTGGGTCTCTTGCAGTTTTCCACATCTTGTGAGCTGAAGATGCCTTTGGTCCAGACTGTCTTTATGAGGATATTTAGATGGCAAACAGCCTTGAAAGATAGAGATGGTGGCTCCCTGAAGTGAAGGACAGGCACGCCTATGCCCACCGTAAAAGATTTGGCTTTCCTAGGCTCAGAGCTCCTTCCCTTAGTGTAATACACAGTACATGCCGGTGTCCCCTGGCCCATTCTATGTCACCTTATGGGAATCAGGGGCTGGGAAACCCACACAAGAAAATGTTGATAATGCGGACACGTGGCTTTCCCCAGGAATCTCATGTCTTCTACTGGCATCATGAAACTGTGCAGGGTAACTTGTTAGCTTGAGAGAGGACGAAACATCACACTCTCCACCATCCTTGATGCCTCATACAGTCGTCTCTCCTCGACGCTCTTCTTTTTAGTTTTCCTGACATTTTTCCATGTCTACTTGTCCCTGTAAACTTAGAATTATCTAGTTCCAAAATGAAATCAATCAATTGAAGAAACAAAAGCTTCCAGTATTTTTATATGGAGTGTGTTAACTTTACAAGTTGATTGAGGGAAAATCTGTCTTCGTTGTCGAATATTCTTCTTTTCCAGTCTCATGCTCGACTTTGTAATCTGGGTCCTTATTAATTACAACTGAATTATAGCCCTTCTAAGAATCAAATCTTGGATTTAGTTTTAAATAAGTGAAACCTTAGGATGAAGAGCATAATGGCCAAAATGTGGCCTGTCATTTAGCAGAACCTGGGCTCCATCTGAAAAGTGAGGCAATAACAGAGGCAATCCTGTAGGGCTACTGGGGAGACCACGTGCATGAAGGCATATGGGTCAGGCGTGAGGAGGGCTGGATAAATGGCAGCAACTGTTATTCTTATAACTGGTTCTTTGTTGTAATAGTGATCTTTCATCTCATTTGGTCCTAAAAGTCCCAGTTCTAACCATTGTAATATGTGCAAATCTGTACAGTGAGGAAAGTCAGAATAATTCTTGCAATATGGAAATATGATTTATTGGACTCCTGTTGAACACAAATTCATTAATTTGACTAATATGGTTATTATCATCTATAAATAAAATCATTTCCCTCAAATTTATCTTTTAATTGAAAAACATTTCACATTTCTCATGGAGGCCACTACTTAATCATTTTTACAGTGTAATGAGAATGAGAGCCCTGCTTATTCAGAGAGGGGTAGTAATTGATGGCTGTGTTCCCTAGCAGAACTATTATGCTAAATCTGGGTCATCCATCCTTGGAAATGTTTGGTTCATAGATTAAAACCGATAGAAGGCACTGCAATCTTCAGAGTTTTACTGGAATTTGGCAATTTGCTTCATTCTAAGATATATTTTTCAATTCCCAATATTTCATTTGGATACTAAGAGCCCTGCCTTTGAGGTCATAATCAAGTGACTGAGTGATTTCCATAATTACATGCTAATTTTTAAGGCCTAAATCTAAAAGCGCAAGGGGACGCCTGAGTTGTTAAGGGCAAACCACTGAGCACAGTAACCTCGTCCAGAGGCAGGAGCGAAACTCAGGCAAAGCCTGTGTGGGTCTCATGGAGAAGCCGGTGGGACTTAAGACACAGCGCCCTAGTCCAAAGACAATGCCCTCTCTTATCTGTGACCTGGACGCTCCCTCCCTGCTTCGAGTCTTCCTGCCTTCGCTTCAAGTTGTCCCGCCTTTCCAGATGGAACCAATGTACTTCTTACCTATATCATTGATGCCTCATGTCTCCCTAAATGTATAAAACCAAGCTGTGCCTTGACCGTCTTGGGCGCATGTTATCAGGACCTCCTGAGGCTGCGTCACAGGCGCGTCCTCAACCTTGGCAAAATAAACTTTCTAAATTAATTGAGGCCTGTCTCAGATGTTCTGGGTTCACAGTATGGACCACATTTTCTTTATCCAGTGTATCATTCATGGGCATTTGGGTTGATTCCCTGTCTTTGCTATTGTGAATAGTGCTGCGATGAACATATGTGTGCAGGTGTCCTTATAATAGAATGATTTATATTCCTTTGTCTACCCCTACTCTTAAACATAGAGCAGACAGCCAAGGGTCATAAGACATCGAATGAGATCTGCTATTTGAAAAACATACCAAAAAACAAGCACATCAGAAAAAAAGGCAACTTGGGGAAAATAGAGATTACGTAGGGTAAAAAAACTTCAAAATCCGTATGTCAACTGTCTGAAACTTCTAAGAGAAGACACTGTAATCAAGAAGTACAAGCTGGATACTATAATCAATAACAATTCAGGTAATTAAAAAGCCCTTTGGATTGAAGACTTGATGAAGGAAGTAAAAAATACATGAGAGAGCTTAGAGCATAGCTGAAGCAATCTCAAAGTAGAGGCTGGGCACGGTGGCTCACACCTGTAATCCCAGCACTTTGGGAGGCCAAGGCAGGTGGATCTCTTAAGGTCAGGAGTTCGAGACCAGCTTGGCCAACATGGTGAAACCCTGTCTCTACTAAAAATACAAAAAATTAGCTGGGTGCGTTGGCAAGCACCTGTAATCCCAGCTACTCGGGAGGCTGAGGCAGGAGAATGGCTTGAACCTGGGAGGTGGAGCTTGCAGTGAGCCGAGATCATGCCACTGTACTCCAGCCTGGAAGATAGAGTTAGACTGTCTCAAAAAAAAAAAAAAAAAAAAGTGAGAAAAAGAAGTAGGAGAGAAAGGATAAGAAAATTAGAGAGCTGGTCAAGGAGGACTAACCTCTAAATAACAGGAGTCCAGAGAGAACAGAGGAAGTGGAAGGGAGAAAATTAAAAATGAAAAATTCATAAAAATGTCCCACAATCAAAGGACATGAGTTTCCAGTTTGAAAGGGCCACTGGAGCATCAGCACAATGGTTAAAAATGGGCCCATGCCAGATATATCATCATGAAATTTCAAATTTCTAGAACCCAACAGATGATTCTACAAGCTTCTGGAGAGAAAAACATTCTTACACACAAGATCCATAACAATCAGAATGCCTTGGGCTTTTCAATAGCTGAAGCATTGAAAGCTGGAACAGTGGAGTGATACTTTCAAAATTGCCGGGGAACACTGGGCATGGTGGTGTATGCCTGTAGTCCCAGCTATTCAGGAGGCTGATGGGGGAGGATCGCTTGAGCTCAGGAGTTCTGGGCTGTAGTGTGCTATGCCAATCGGGTGTCCACGCTAAGTTCAGCATCAATATAGTGACCTCCTGGGGGTGGGGGACCACCAGATTGTCTAGGAAAGGGTGAATTGGCCCAGATTGGAACTGGAGCAGGTCAAAACTCCTATGCTGATCAATAGTGGGATCGTACTTGGGCATAGCCACTGCATGCCAGCCTGGGCAACATGGTGAGGGTCCATCTCTTTAAAAAAAATTACCAGGAAAAATGGTCTCCAGCTGGAATTCTATACACAGTCAAATGTCAAGCAAAAGAGAAGGGAGAATTCAAACATTTTCAGACCTGCAAGACCCTAGAAAAAGTTTACCTCCCCTATTACCTTTCTCAGGAAGTCACTACAGAAAAGTACCCCACCAAAAAAAGGGTCTTCTTTCTAAGTCAAGAAAGAAGATGATATGGGGTACAGGAGGTGACAAAGTGGTGAGATGAAGGGGACCCCAACATAGTTTTTTGTTTTGTTTTGTTTTTTGTTTTTTAACCCAAACCAAAAATGGTCAATACCCAACATAGTTTTAGAAGGATTTCTCTGAATTCTGCTGTACAATGGGCCTCCAGGTTGGAGTCCTTCAAAAGGTTCTTCAAATACTGAAATTAATAGAATACTCATCAGAGTTGACTAAAATATCAGCCTTCATTACTCTCTGCCTCCCTACTCTCTTTGTTTCTGCTTTGTGACACTTATCCACACCTGACGTTAGACTCTCTGTCAGTTTATCTGGCCTACATCCGTGCCTAGAAAATAGTAATGCTTACTAAATATTTGTTGAATGAATGAATAGATGAGGACATATGTAAAATAATGCAAACCCTGGCATGTAGGAAGTGCTTTGTCAATGTGAATTTCTTTCCTGAATTTCTCCTAATTCAGGTAAAGCCCGTTGCTTCCACAAGATGTCTGGTGCCATCTGGAGGAATTGCGATCCCTGCTGGAATCCCTACCTGAGTCCAGACAGACTGTAAGTCCGCTATGGCCAGTCCCAAGATTGAAACTTCTAGAAATACAAATACTCAGTTTCGGACAGGCCTTCTGATGTGTACGCACAAAAAATTCCTAATTTCTGACATTGAGAAAAGCCTTTTGTTGCCATGTTTTCCTACAAATGTGCTTTCCTGCCATCTTGTGGCCAATCTGGGGAACTTGCAAACAGTTTGCCCGGACCTCACTCAGTCTAAAGAAAAGCTCCGGGAGCTGGGCTTGCCCAGAGCCATTTGGCAAAGCACCTGTGGTCATTTGACCACACCCTGGGGCCATCCGGCTTCTCAGACGCCCATGTTTTCGAAACAGGAAGCCACTGAGGTCACTGCTCTGTTTGGTGGCTTCTGCTGGGGACAGCTGAGAGAAGTGCCTGACCTTTGTCCTCCCATTTAGACACAGCCCCACTATTAACCCTGTCATGGTTGGACCCCAAGGATTTGCTCTGAGCATTCCGTGAACACCTGCAAACTCCTTGAGGGCAGGGCTTTATCTATGTTTTACCCCCAGTGTATCATACAGCATTGAACACATAGTAGGTGCTTACTAAATAAATGTTGTTGAAGAGATACTATCATTGGAGCATCTAAGAGCACTTCAATGAGCCAAGTCCAAGCACTTTACATAGATTGTCTTATTAAATTAAAGTGACCAACTCATCCTGTTTGGCCAAGGACTGTCCTGAGAATCCTCTCAGTCCTGGACCAACGAGGGCAGTTGTTCGGTCCCCTTAATGCAAATTCTGGCAACACCTCTCTGACATTGACACTACCATTATCCCCATATTTCAGAGAGAGGACTGAGGCTCAGAATTCTAAGAACTTGCCCATTATCACACAGGTCCTAAGAGCTCCCTACTTAGGGACTTAAATCCAAATCTTGGACTCTGCGACCTCCGTTCTCACCACCGTTCTGTGCTATTCCCTGAGAGGCAGCGCAGGTCCTTGCGTCGCAGATGGGGCTGCCTGTCTCCAAGGCCTTCCCTGCTCCTATGACAGTGGAGGTGTGAAGGGGATTGGAAGTGTCCTCGAGTTCTTTCTGAAGAAACACATCAGGCAAATAACAGATTTATAAAGGTGAGCTGAGGGGCGGTGGGGAGAGAGAGAGGGAGAGACAGAAAACATGCTCTTCTTAGCAATTCCACCTTGATATGATTACAGACTGGAAGTCTATACCTAGACTAGTTAACCAGGAAGGCAGATGGGAACTTGGATTTCCTACTTCCCAACTGTGGTTTCTGTTTCAATCACAGACTACTGCAGTCACCTCTCTGTTGGAAACAAACATTGACTCTCTGCTTCCTCCCAAGGTGCAGGCACTCTCAGAATTCGAGAGAACAGAGGCACAGGAAAGCCATCATCAAGCTTGGGTTTGTCTCTGTCACTTACAGAGTTGTAGGATCTCGAGCAAGTTATTGAACCACAGTGTGCCTCAGTTTCCTCATCTGTGGCATGAGGATGCTGATATGCTTACCTCCAAGGGCTGCTCAGGGTATTAAATGAATAAAATGCTCAAAGCCCTTAGAACAGGCCATGCTGAAAGTAGCAAATATCTTTCTCTTGTCTCCCACATTTCATCTGTCAGAGAATCCTGTTGGCTCCATCAACCTCCAAAGTATATCCAGAATCCCACCACTTCTCACCACCACACTGCCACCTACCTAGCCAGAGCCACCCTCCTGGAAGGTCACTTGGGAACCTGCATGGACACTTGGCCCCTTTCAGTTTATTCTTTTTTTTTTTTTTTTTTTTTTTGAGACGGAGTCTCGCTCTGTCGCCCAGGCTGGAGTGCAGTGGTGCGATCGTGGCTCACCACTGCTCCGAACTCCTTGGCTCAAGGAATCCTCCTACCTCAGCTTCCTGAGGAGCTGGGATCACAGATGTGTGCCACCATACCTGGCTAATGTTTAAATTTTTTGTAGAGATGCGGTCTCCCTATGTTTCCCAGGCTGGTCTCCAACTTCTAGGCTCCAAGTAATCCACCTGCCTCAGCCTCCCAAGTACCCAAGTGGCTGGGACTACAGACGCGCCACCACGCCCAGATCACTTTATTCTTAAGACAGTAGCTAGAGGGGTCCTGCCACACAGCAGTCACGTGACTTCTAGGCTCAAAACCCTCTGTAGACATCTCAAAAGCCCAGGCTTTCACCCTGGCCTGCCCAACATGAAAGACACACCCTTTCTCTCCGCCCTCAGCAACTCGCTCCCCTCACTCCCCTGATCCTGTGTGCTGACCTCTCGCTCTCCCTCCTTCCCCCTCCCCACATCCTGTATGCCGGCCTCTCGCTCCCCTCACTCCCCTGATCCTGTGTGCTGGGCTCTGGCTCTCCCTCACTCCCCCTGATCCTGTGTGCTGGCCTCTCAAAGACACCAGGCATGCCCCGCCTCCGGCCTTTGCACGGCTGCCCCTCTGCCAGGCACTCTCTGCCCTCACCTTGTTGAAGTGGCTGCTCACATGCCACCATCCCAGGAAGCGCCCTCTGACCATCCTTTTCAGTCACAACCTCTGTCCCTCTGCTCTATTTTTTTTTTTTTAGATCCATGGCACCCAACACCTCCTACTATACCACATCATTTTCCATAATTTCCTTATTCAGCCCATTTGTTGCTTATGGTTCATCGGCTGCTGCGAGAATGCGAGTGTGCACAGAGGCAGGGGTCTGGCTTCTTTTTGTTCTGGGAGGTATCCCACCTGCCTGGCATGTGTCTGCCCTTGGTGCATGCTCGGTAAGCATGGGTAGAACAACTAGCACAGGGCAAGGGCTCACCCAGGGGCCTTTCTTGGCACCACAAGGGCCTTACCCCAACCCTGGGAAGCGGGCACTGTCTTTATTTTACAAATGGTGACGTTGACGCCTCCAGCGGCCTGCCCAAGCTCACAGCTCAAGGAAGGGAAGAACCAGGAGCATGATGTGTTTCCACCCTCGCCCTGCAGTCTCGCTGCAGCCCCACCCTCCCGAAAGCACGCGTTCACCCAGGCTGCAGGGTCTCTCCCTGTGTCCGCTTCTTGCCAGCACCTGCCTGCTGCCCGACCCCTCCCGCCTGCAGGCAATTTGCCCGTCTCCACTTGCCAGAGGCACCTCCCAGGCCACACCACAGAAAGCCTGCACACTCCGATTTACCTCCATGTCCCGTGTTGGTCACTGCTGTGGTTTGGGAGCCACCGCCCTCTGCTACTGACTTGGTGCCTTCCTGGACCTCCCTAGTGGGCTCATCTGTTTCATCTTTCTGTACACTCATTAGGGAAGATGGGCACACACACACAAGCACCCACGCACGCACGCACGCACGCACACTCTCTCGCTCCTGCTGTAGGTCCTTAGCAACTAACGACTAGTTGTGCCTGTTAGTAGCTGGGTGGGACTTATTCCAGATCCTTTCCAGGTTTGTAAATCAAATCAAGGACCTGAGTCAGACTCCGGACTTACTGAAGTTCAACCTTCCTGAAGACGAAAACAGGCTGAGCAGCATGGATGGCAAGGCCGTCTCTGCCCCAAGGCACCAGCTGGCGGACAGGATCTCGGTTCCATCTACCAGCCACTGCAAAGCAGGGACATGTGTGTCAACCGGGCCCTGGGACAGGTGGTCTGGGCCTCCCCTCTCTTCCCTGTGGTGATGGGGACAGGGAACTTTGTAGGAGAAACCTACGAAATGGAAACTGTGAAGGGAAATGCTTTTTTTTTTTTTTTTTTTTTAATGAGATGGAGTTTCACTCTTGTTGACCAGCCTGGAGGGCAGTGGGGCGATCTCGGCTCACTGTAACCTCCACCTCCTGGGTTCAAGTGATTCTCTTGCCCCAGCCTCCTGAGTATCTGGGATTACAGGTGCCTGCCACCATGCCTGGCTAATTTTTGTATTTTTAGTAGAGATGGGGTTTTGCCATGTTGGCCAGGCTGGTCTCGAACTCCTGGCCTTGGGTGATCAGCCCACCTTGGCCTCCCAAAGCGCTGGGACTACAGGCATGGGCCACCGTGTCCAGCTGGGAAATGCTTTCCTTGACTCAGTGCTAGGAGTAGGATGGCCCCAAGCACAAAGGGCTGCTTAGTCAATCCTCTGACTGCCAGAAGGTACAAAGCTCTTAGAGCCTGACATGGTTTGGATGTGTGTCCCCTCCAAATCTCAGGTTAACTGTGATCCCCAGTGCTGGAGGTGGGGCCCAGTGGGAGGTGTTTGGGTCATGGGGGTGGGTCCCTCCTGAATGATTTTGTGCCATCCCCTTGGTGATGAGTTGTCGCTCCGTTAGTTCACATAAGACCGGGTTGTTTAAAAGTCTGGGATCCCCCCACTCTCTCTCATTCCCACTCTTGCCATGTGATGGGCCTGCTTCGGCTCTGCCTTCCGCCGTGGTTGTAAGCTTCCAGGGGCCTCGCTAGAAGCCAAGCAGAGGTTGGTGCCATGCCTGTACAGCCTGCTGAACGGTGAGCCAAATAAAACTCTTTTCTTTATAAATTACTCAGTCTCAAGTATTCCTTTATAATAACACAAAAGCGGACTATGAATAATACAGGGCCCCACGCTGGCCTCCAGAACATTCAGCCCTTAGAAATGCATGGCTTTTTGTTCCAGGCGCGCCAGAACAGCACCCCACCAGATTCGCTTCCCGTGGCTTTTGAGTCTTAAACATATCTACGGCGTCTAGGAGCCTCATTAGAACAAACCAGACATTACATCAAATGAAAACCCCAGTGGTTCTGAATCACCAGATGTTAGCAGGAGGCGAGATGAAAAGCCACAGTCCTCTCGCAGCAGCTGCTGGAGGTGGCTGTGTCCTTGCTGATGGACCTGGAGGTGGCTGTGTCCTTGCTGATGGACCTGGAGGTGGCTGTATCCTTGCTGATAGACCCGAGATACCTGGAGACCCAGGCTCACTCCCTGCTCACTGCCTCAGATCAGGGCTGGAGACAGAAACCCGGACACACAGGACCCTCTTGAGAAAGCCCAGGAGCCCTCAACATCACAGGACACAGGCAAGTGGAAGGAGAATGGCTTTTTCGTTTCTCACACTCTGGTGGCCTCTGGGGTGAGGGGGAGTGGGGAGTTAGTGTGGAATGCGGACAGAGTTCCTGTTTTGCAAAATGAAAAAAGTTCTGGAGATGGATGGTGGCCATGATGAAAAAGTTCTGGAGATGGATGGTGGCCATGATGAAAAAGTTCTGGAGATGGATGGTGGCCATGGTCCTCCAGCAATGAGGATGTTCTTCATGCCACTCAACTGCAGACTTAAAAACTGGTTCAAATGGTAATGTTACCTTATCTTTATTTTGTCATAATTTTATTTTTTGAGACATTCTCACTTTGTTGCCCAGGCTGCAGCACAGTGACACAATCCTGGCTCACTACAACCTTCGTCTCTCGGGTTCAAGCGATTCTCCTGCCTCAGCCTCCTGAGTAGCTGGGATTACAGGCGCCCACCACCAGGCTTGGCTCATTTTTTGTATTTTTAGTAGAGACGGGGTTTCACCATGTTGGGCAGGCTGGTCTCGAACTCCTGACCTCAGGTGATCTGCCCGCCTCAGCCTCCCAAAGTGCTGGGATTACAGGCGTGAGCCACCACACCTGGTCTGTATTTTGCCATAATTTTAAAATAAATAAATGGAGGAGCCTGCCCCTTCTTGCTGCCCTGTGCTGTAGGCCCATGGACTTCCATGCTCGCCTTTCCTCTCCTTCGCTGTTTCTGGCCACTCCTTTTTCTGTGGCTTTTACTCCCTCTGCCCCTAAGCCGGCTGCCCCTCCAGGTGAGATGCTGGCCTACTGTGTGGTGAGTTTCAGAGCTAATCACCACCGCCTTGTTGGGGGGGTCACCCACCGGGACACCCATAGGCAATAGGGCACTCACAAACCGGGCCCATGGGGGAGGGGGTTCCAACATCCTTACAGGAGGCCCTGACTCCACTAAGAGGATAAATGTGCTGAGACTCCACTAAGAGGATAAATGTGCTGAATCTTTTCTGTTTAGCCGTTTGAGAGCAGGGTTTTTCAGCCTCTCCTTTCTACACACTTAAGCCCCTCTTAACCACCGAGGCCAGGCCTAGGGGTTCATCCTTCCCTTCAAGCGGACAGTTCACTCTCCGAAGCCCTTCAGTGCCCACTTTGCCTTCCCTTGCCCCCTTTACATGGCCTCAGCCATCACAAGTTTGCTTTCTGTTATATGAACATAGTGTTGTGGTTAACAGGGCTTTCTCTTTGCCCAGACATGCCTGGGTTCAAATCCTGGCTCAGCAAGCAGCCAGATATATGGCCTTGGACCAGTTACTTAAATTTCACGTTCTCCAGTTTCCTTGTATCCAAAATAGGAATAACAAAACCTTCCTTAGTTTTGTTATAAGGATAAAAACAGAATTAATCCATACTGCCCATTGAACATTGGCAGTGAGAGGCGGCTCTGTGCAATGACTGGCAGCTGGGCTCTGGAGCAGGACTGGGATGGCCTGGGGCAGGGTACTTGGTTTCACTGTGCCTATTTTCTCCTCTGTGGAATGGGAATGGGTAACGGTAATCTACATTACAAGGCTGTGGCAAGGATTGCATGTTTGTAAATTTCATTCAATAGAGTGCTTGGCATGCTGTCTGCACATACTCAGTGTTCAGTAAATACTCACCACTTTTGTTAGCAAGTGAGGTGGCCATTTAGAAACGAGGTGGCCAGGCACAGTGACTCACACCTGTAATCCCAGCACTTTGGGAGGTCGAGGCAGGCAGATCACCTGAGGCAGGCAGACCACCTGAGTCAGGAGTTTGAGACCAGCCTGGCCAACATAGTGAAACCCCCGTCTCTACTAAAAATACCAAAATTAGCCAGGCATGGTGGTAGGTGACTGTAATTCCAGCTACTTGGGAGGCTGATGCTGGAGAATCGCTTGAACCTGGGAGGCGGAGGTTGCAGTGAGCCGAGATCATGCCATTGCACTCCAGCCTGGGCAACAAGAGCGAAACTCCGACTCAAAAAAACAAAGAAGCTACCAGGCCAGACTCGGTGGCTCACGCCTATAATTCCAGCACTTTGAGAGGCCAAGGCAGGTGGATTGCTTGAGCTAAGCAGTTCGAGACCATCTGGGGCAACATGGTGAAACTCTGTCTCTACAAAAATTGGCAGGGCATGGTGGTTTGCACCTATAGTCCCAGCTACTTGCAGGGCTGAGGCGGGAGGATAGCTTGAGCCCAGGAAGCAGAGGTTGCAGTGAGCCAAGATGGTGCCACTGCACTCCAGCCTGCATGATAGAGCTAGACCTGGTCTTTAAAAAAAAAAAAAAAAAAACTACCAAAAATATTCCAGAATGCATGACAAAAATCAATGTCTAAAATAGTCAACAAAAATCAAACCTGGACATACATTAACTAAAGTAATTTTATAACATCTAAAAGAGATATCAAAATAAATATTTTAGTGCCCTGAAAAAAAGAAAGAACATTCACAAAACGAAAAACATAATTGGCTGGGCATGGTGGCTCAAACCTGTAATCCTAGCACTTTGGGAGGCTGAGGCAGGCAGATCACTTGAGGTCAGGAGTTTGAGAACAGCCTGGCTAACATGGTGAAACCCCATCTCTACTAAAAATACACAAATTAGTCAGGCGTGGTGGCACACACCTATAATCCCAGCTACTCAGGAGGCTGAGGCAGCAGAATCGCTTGAAGCCAGGAGGTGGAGGTTGCAGTGAGCCAAGATCGTGCCACTGCCCTCTAGCCTGGGCAACAGAGTGAGACTCTGTCTCAAAAAAAAAAAAAAAATTATGGAACACATGGAAACAACAAGAATAGTGCAACATGAAAAATATTCATATATGCATTGTAAATACTTCTCAAGGTATGCTGGCTTTTAGGAGTAAGAAACGAAGTCCTGCTATGTCCAATTAAAGCATTTCCATCCCAGGGGCTTCTTTAGCTCCTCCCAACCCATGCTGAATTGTATTTTAATAGTCAGACAATGATCAAGTCAGTGTACTATTTTGGTTATACATTGGTCATCATGGAATTTAGAGAAAGGCACAAAACACGAAAAAAAATGAGTTGCAGGAAAAGTACAGAAGAGCAGAGGTTAGTGATGTGGCCTCTGCATTCCCCTCCACCACCCCCATCCATGACATTTGCAATTGCATGAGGTCTTGCAAAGAGGGCACCCATGTTGGCCTCTGTCCATCTTGATTATGCTTGGAAGTGGTGAAATGAGAGCCAGAGGGAGGATTACTCTGAAAAGTCAACCCTGATGGGCAAAATGCCCAAGCTCCCCTCTGTGCTCTCTGCATGTCCATCAAAGGTTGAAGAAGAGCCTGTAGGCATCATTTCCACCCATATGCAGAGCACACTACATGTTAGTTACTCACACGCAAAGAACACTATGTGTTAATATCAGACTTGGTTGAGGGGCATGACAACGACCTTCATTCAAATATATGAATGCCTGTTGTGTGCCAGGCACCCTTAAACAAAGGATTTATTTTTTTATTTTTATTTTTATTTTTCTTGAGACGGGGTCTCACTCTGTTGCCCAGGCTGGAGTGCAGTGATGCGATCTCGGCTCACTGCAACCTCCGCCTCCCGGGTTCAAGTGATTCTGCTGCCTCAGCCTCCCGAGTAGCTGGGATTACAGGTATGTGCCACATGCCTGGCTAATTTTCGTATTTTTAGTAGAGATGGGGTTTCACCATGTTGGCCAGTCTGGTCTCAAATTCCTGACCTCAAGTGATCCACCCGCCTCGGCCTCCCAAAGTGCTGGGATTACAGGCGTGAGCCACTGGACCCAGCCAAACAAAGGATTTTTAAGGCCTCACATTGTCTGCCTGGTATTCTCTTTATTTCACAGGAGAGGAAATGATTAAAAAGATCAAAACCTGCCCAAACTTATACTGCAACTATAAGAGTGGAGCACTAGGGCTGGGTGCTGTGGCTTATGCCTGTAATCCCAGCACTTTGGAAGTCTTAAGCCCAGGAGTTCGAGACCAGCCAGTGAGACCCTGCCTTTACAAAAAAAATTAAAAACTTAGCTGGGTGTGGTGGCACAAGCCTGTAGTCCTAGCTACTTGGGAGGTTGAGGTGAGAGGATCCCGTGAACCTAGGAGTTCAAGGTTGCAGTGAGTTATGATCGTGCCACTGCACTCCAGCCTGGATAACAGAGTAAAAACTTGTCTCTTAAAAAAAAAATTAAAAATTAAAAAACAAATAGAGGATTACTATGTTCTGGAGACTGAACAGTGAACAAGATATACAGAAGAGCTTTTGGTCTAGGAAAAGCTAGATAGTGATGATCCACTGAGGTCTGTGCAACTTGAAAATGTGAAGCTGTGTTATGGGAGCTCAGAGCAGGGCCACAGCCTAGCATGGGAGGGAGGGAGGACAGGAAAACTCTTGGAGGACATGGCATGAAAATGAAGAGGGCTTAGCCAGGTGGAGGGGTTGGGGGTGGTGGAAATTAAGTATCTTGGGGTATTCTTTTTCTTGCCTTTTGACTTGGGAATGAGAATGTGATGTGTTCCAGGAAGGAGCAGCAGCTCCATGCTGGCAGGATCAGAGTGCATGGAGAGAAAGGAAGTGTGTCCAGAGGGAAAAAGAGCCTCATGGCCCCTAGTTAAGGAATTAGGACTCGATCCCAAGGCTAGAAAAAGTGTTAAGATTTGATAATCACATTATGTTTCTCACTCTGGACTTTGAGTCTCCCCTTCAATGCAGCCCCTATGGTGCAATGGCGAGCTTGTATATAAGCATTTTAGAGGCCAAATGCGAACTCTTCCTTCTAATGCAGGAACCAGTTTCAATCATCAGAGTTGCGCACTAGTTTGTCTAAGAACTGTGGCTTGTTTGTGTAGGAGTGCCAAGGTAGACTCATTCTGGACCTGATACCTGGGATGGCTAAATGATAAACATCTCTAGGATAAATTAGGCATTAGGTGTTTAAAATGTTTTAGAAGAATTTTTACGCCAGCAGGAAATGTTTGTGAGTATCGAGAAAAACACTAGGAGATGGTACACAAATGTGCACATAGGACGGTCCTAGTAATATAAGTCTCTCCTATCTATCTATCTAATCTATCTATCATCTACCTGCCTACCTACCTACCTACATTTATCTATCTATCTATCATCTATCTACCAACCTACCTGTATCTATCCATCATCTATCGATCTATCTATCTTCTTCTTTTTTTTTTTTTTTGAGATGGAGTCTTGCTCTGTCGCCCAGGCTGGAGTGCAGTGGTGTGATTCCAGCTCACTGCAAGCTCCGCCTCCCAGGTTCACGCCATTCTCCTGCCTCAGCCTCCCCAGTAGCTGGGACTACAGGCGTCTGCCACCACACCCAGCTAATTTTTTATATTTTTAGTAGAGATGGGGTTTCACCGTGTTAGCCAGGATGGTCTTGATCTCCTGACCTCATGATCCACCCGCCTCTACCTCCCAAAGTGCTGGGATTACAGGCGTGAGCCACTGTGCCCGGCCTATCTATCTATCTTCTATCTACCTACCTACCTTTATCTGTTTGTCTGTCTATCTATCTATCGATCATCTACCTACCTACCTTTATCTGTTCATCTATCTATCTAATCTATCTATCTATCATCTATCTATCTGCCTATCTACCTTTCTTTATCTGTTTGTCTGCCTATGTATCAATCAACCAATCAATCAATCATCCCTGGGGAAAACAGGACCAGGAAGAAATTTTAATGAGCAGGTGCTGCTTTTATAATCAGATAGGATGTTAAAGATTTCTTACCCTACCCAGAGATACATGAACACTTAGGCTTAAGAACAGAAATTTATTTCACACCATTGAAACTTCAAAAAAATCATTACTGGCCTTCACCTGAGCTGTCTTTCGAGTTATCCATAATTTAAACACAGGTAGGGACTAGAAAAACAAAATAACAAAAACCCAAAGGTAAAGTTATCAGTTAATACCAGCTGGTCCTTATCACAGCCATTTCAAACCTGTACGTTCACTTTTGGCCTTGGCTCCTGCCTCCTTTAGAATAGTTTTCGTAAGAGTATTAGAAATGAACAGTATGGAATAGGAAACTTTGTTACCATTTCAAAATTAAGCTAGTCCAAAATAACATCATTTGTGTGATAGGGAAGATGACCAATGTGGGGTGGGCTCACAGTACTCTAAGACAGTGTGTGTACGTGTGGCTTAAATAAGCCTTTCAAACAGAAGACTTCTTCCAGAGTTTTAGATTCACTGCTGGCTGCTTAGAAAATAGCGTTCACGGCCGGGCGCGGTAGCTCAAGCCTGTAATCCCAGCACTTTGGCAGGCCGAGGTGGGCAGATCACCAGGTCAAGAGATCGAGACCATCCTGGCCAACATGGTGAAACCCCATCTCTACTAAAAATACAAAAATAGCTGGGCGTGGTGGTGCATGCCGCTAATCCCAGCCACTCGGGAGGCTGAGGCAGGAGAATTACTTGAACCTGGGAGGCGGAGGTTGCAGTGAGCTGAGATCGTGCCATTGCACTCCAGCCTGGACAACAAGAGCAAAACTCTGTCTCAAAAAAAAAAAAAAAAAAAAAAAGAAAAGAAAAAGAAAAAAGAAAATAGCATTCATGGTTTAGTTCCCAATTCTGAAGTCTTCCTCATCAGGGGCCATCCAATGGAGTGTCCTGCTACCTGGGGGCAGAGGTCAGGGCATCTGCGGGCCCAGTCCATCCTCCACTTGCCTCCTGACCTTCACATCTGTTTCTGTGAATTGGCCCCTGACATGAAATATGGGTTACTCTTTTCCAGTCTGTTTTTCTTTTCATCCTCATCAAATTGAGCTTCGATCTCCGCTGGGTTGATGTAAGTATAGAACCGAGCCATGATGGCAAAAATTACACAGACGACCAGAAGCAACGCGGCAAATAGAATGTACTCGGCCCACTTTGAAGAAATCAGAGTTGGAGCAGGAAAAAGAACAAAAATAAAACAGGTCATACTGATGAATATATGGTGCGTACATGTTCTTGCTACATGCAGATGGAGAGTGCTTTGAAATTAAATTATGGAAAATTGGTAAGCAACCAATACAGATACAGTAAGCCCAGCTTTTCTGGAATGCCCAAGATAGATAGATGCTAATATAGACAACATGTTTTGAACAGCACTAAGGTACAGAAACAACAGACTTTGGGAAGATGAGAGAAAATTTCTGAAATACTGAAGCCTTAAGACATGTGGCTGGACCTGGAAGGATGGGGACCAAGAGAACAGCAAGCAGTCCCCACAAGGGAAAAATGAATATGCTGAACTCCAGCAAGTTAAGAGCCCCACGTTCCTCCTTGGAAACACCTGGAGCTCATAAGCACACAGCATTAGCACATCTGCTGCTGGGACCTGGTGCAGGAAGTCATGAAACGGATGGGATAACAGCTCCCTTATGAGGCAGACATGCTACAGTGCAGAAGGAAAGAGTGTAAGTATCAGTAGAGCCCTCATTTAATTTTAGCTGGAAAATTTATAACCAACTCTAGGATGGCTTTAACTTCAGGTGTTATGAAAGTTCCAGGATAACATGTGTCTGCTTTGCAGCTGCTAAGCTGCATTCACTGAAGCTAGGAGAGATGTTTCCCTTGATAGTAAAACACATAAGGGCAACTTCAAGTTAACCCATTCCAGCTATTTTGGTTGTCAATTTCCAGCTGCGTTAACAACAAGTGGGAATAAGAAGAATCATCAGGCCAGGTGCAGTGGCTCACACCTCCCAGCACTTTGGGGGGCCAAGGTGGGCAGATAGCGAGGTCAAGAGATCGAGACCATCCTGGCCAACATGGTGAAACACTGTCTCTACTAAAAATACAAACATTAGCCGGGTGTGGTGGTGGGTGCCTGTAGGCTCAGCTACTCTGGAGGCTGAGGCAGAAGAATCACTTGAACCCGAGAGGCGGAGGTTGCAGTGAGCCAAGATTGCGCCACTGCACTCCAGCTGGGCAATAGAGTGAGACTCCGTCTCAAAAAAAAAAAAAAAGAAGAAGAAGAAGAAACAGCAGACACTTTGCCATAAGGCTATTTGGGAACAGCCCTGGCTGGTCTGGCAGTTTAATCCAGCTATTAGCCTAGATGACCACACAGAGCACACAGATGGCTAGGGAAGGCCACCATGATGACCATGAACAGGAAAGACAGAGGTATGTGCAATCTCCTCTCCCACGCCATACCTGTTTGCTGAACTGGCCTGCCCCTGCCACGATGAGCACAATGATGTTGCCAACAGCCACGGTCAGCAGCCATCCTGCCTGAAGCACCGACTTCATGTTGGAAGGAGCCTGAGGAAGCAAAGCAAAGTGAGTCCTGCTCCAGGTCTCACCCTCCGAGCAGGAGAACACAGCTCACCGATGGGCGTTTCGTGAAGCAGATCACCCTAACAATGCACACGAAAAGTCAGGTGGCCTCAATGTAAAAAGGATCATCACTTAAGTAACAAGACACCCAAACATGCACAGACGAGTAGACAAGAATTCCTGTGTTTCACGCTCCACATCCTTGCAAAGCTGTCCCCTTAGTTAAATGGACACATCTACGGAGGAGCTGATCCTATTTCTACAGGAGAGCTTCCAAGCAAAGCCACCCAGCCTGGCATAGTCTTCCCCTCAAATGCAGGCTGCCCTGGGCTGCAAGCTTGCCCTTCTGTGGCTTTCCTGCCACATCTCCAAAATCTCTTCAAACACCTGTCACCTGTATTACAGTTATCTCCTTTATTAGACTGTGAGGTTATCACAGAAAGTGATTTTCTGACTCATCTTGGCCTCTTTACTATAAAAATTGATGGTACTAGGCATTGTGGGCTATAATGCCTATAACTATAGCTCTGACAACACAGTTCAATAATTAAGCTCTAATTTGGGTATCAATAAAACCTAGCTCATTAGTCTAACACACTTAAAAGCAATAATTCTTTTAAACTTTTTCTTTTTCTTCTTTTTTTTTTTTTTTTGAGATGGTGTCTTGCTCTGTTGCGCATGCTGGAGTGCAGTGGTGTGATCACAGCTCACTGCTGCCTCGGACTCCTGGGTTTAAGCAATCCTCCTGCCTCAGCCTCCCAAGTAGCTGGGACCACAAGCGTGCTCTACCATGCTCAGCTAATGTGTTTTTTTAATTTTTTTTAATTTTTAAAGCTAGACCTTATTTGTTATGTTTACTGGGAGCTATAAAGAGACCTCAACCAAACCTATCATGAGGACATAGACCTGTAATTGAGCTGTTTTATGAATGGTTGGTTACATTTGGTTGTTTCAGAAAGGAGAATCTGCTGACCTTCATCACTCTGGTAGCAGTCAGTAATAAATACTGGGCGCTAAATGTCTAGGGTATGACTGTGGGGCTATGGACACATGTGAACACGTGCTCTTGCAAAGTTCAAGACAGTAATAATTCTTATTCACTAAGGACAACACTTGGTGACCTCAGAGACCTTGCTGTAGGGAAGATACCATAATGCTTTCTAGACTTTTTAAAAAATATAGTTATCCCAGATTTAAATTAAGTCCCATCAGCATTTTCTGCAGGCAGGGGTATTGCAGATGGGTGGTAAATACAACAAACAAGAAACCTGAGAATATGAGAATTCCAATCCCGTGACAGAGAAGACCACTTCGCCACAGGTGAGAAGAAAATACTGCGGGATTTGCAGAGCCATGTTAACTGTGTTGGCTGAAATATCTTCAAACACCTTCACTTCAGGGCAGCTGTCATTCTGCAGCAGTAAGGCAAAAGCAGAAGAAGTTGAGATAGCTTCTAAAATAAAAACTGTTCGAACAGGTAAATTGAGTTTGACCTTCTAGGATTACATCATATGATTTGTCAAGTACGTACACATTTTAAACATAAGGCAACACTGCATTTTACACTTGCAATGGGATTTGAAGACACGTTCAGGAGGATTTTTCTTTTAGATAAGAGAGTAGGTTGGAAGTCATTTTAAAACACTGCCCTCTCTTTGAACTATGAGTTCTTTAAGTCCATGTTAATAGTCTAGAAGGAGGCATCAGATATTGGTTAACATAAATTATTATCCAGGGGAAGTCAGTCTGTTTAGATTCTAATGATTAAGTCATCAATAAGTTAAAGAATTAGCCAAGCAAATTAATTCTAAGCCCATTTAAAATACAGATCCTAATATCACTCTAGTTAAATCATATTATGTCCTAAGTGTTTGTGAGTCTTCATATCAATCGAGTATGAGCAGATCTTCTGATACAATGAAACGAGTTACTAACCTTCCTTTGGACTATATAGGTATAAGCACTACCAAATTCAAGGTAGAAAGTATTGAAATTAGGTTGACATTGTGGCGGAATCTCTGTTGAGCTTATTGTGAAGCCTTTTCTATCAAAATAAAGAATAATATTGGTTAACATTCTTGGCATTAAAAATTTCAATGCATTTTTTAAAGAAAAATTCTTGAACCTTTGAGTGAAGCATTCAGTCTCGGTACTTACATGCCAGAAGGAAAAAACTGGTATGTGCTGGCATTGTAGCTGCTGATGTTTGCATAAACTTTCCCACTCATTGTGATGGTGATGAGCTCGTTAAAAGTATTTACAAATCTGAAACAGAAAACCATCTGTCTTGTAACTGAACTAGAGAATAATATATTCTAGGTCACAGTACATGCACCTGAAGTTGGGCAATACTCCCTATTTTGAAGGAGTTTAAGATGTTTTCAGAATATTTCTAGAGAATAAAGACAAAAAGTGAAAAACTCTGGGTTTATCCCTGCTCACCCACTCATGAGAACACACCTAAAAGAATGTATTTAACAGTGTTTATATGTGCTGGTTACTGCTCTAAGTACTTTGTAAATCTAACCTAGTTCAATACATTAGGAATATTAAGCAGGGACTGAAGTAGATACTGAGCCTCTTCCCTTCAAGAAGGTAGCCGTGCCTTTGTGTTCCTTGTTTCAGAAACTTTATTTATTTATTTAGAGATGGAGTCTCGCTCTGTCACCCAGGCTGGAGTGCAGTGGTGCAATCTCGGCTCACTGCAACCTCTGCCTCCCAGGTTCAAGCGATTTTCCTGCCTCAGCCTCCCGCGTAGTTGGGACTACAGGCATGCACCACCACACCCGGCTCATTTTTGTATTTTTAGTAGAGGTGGGGTTTCGCCATGTTGGCCAGGCTGGTCTTGAACTCATGACCTCAGACGATCTGCCCACCTCGGCCTCCCAAAGTGCTGGGATTGCAGGTGGGAGCCACTGCGCCTGGCCAGAAACTTTAGCGCTCAAGTAGTGAAAGACCAAAACCAGATGCTGCCCAGTTCCTAAAAGATAGACCCCAGTTCCTAAACGACACCCCCTTCTTTAGGGGGTTGAGGAGGAAAGCCCACCTACTTCCTACCTCTAGGAGCCTCAGGTGGGGAAGGGCACCCGGGACTGGAGAGGAAGAAGTGGGCCAGCCCAGTAACAAGAGACGGTTTTTTCAGTCTTTTTTAGAGATGAGGTCTTGCTCTGTTGCCCAGGCTAGAGTGCAGTGATACAATCACAGTTCAATGCAGCCTCGAACTGTGGGCCTCAAGTGATCCTCCCACCTTAGCTTCCTGAGTAGCTGGGACTACAGGTGTGTGCCACAATGCCTGGCTAATTTTTATTTTTATTTTTGTAGAGACAAGGGTCTGGCTGTGTTGCCCAGGCTGGTCTCAAACTCCTGGCCTCAAGAGATCCTCCCTCCACAGCCTCCCAAAGCACTGGGATTATGGGTATGAGTCATTATACCAGGCTGAGAGACAGCTTTAAGGAATCCCCTTCAGAGGGTGGAGGCCTGTGTGGTCCTGGAGTGACAGTGGTCAGCATCCTGCTGGAATACAGCTTTGAATGGATACCCAATAAGACCGACTTCCAGGTCCAAGGCTTCCTATCTCTACAAAGTCCCGTGAGGCTACGCTTCATATGGAAGCAGGTGAATTGTTTGCCTTCATAGGACCATACAGATGGTGAACAGCACGGATGGCTGATTACAGACCCCTTTCATAGCTGTTCCAGGCTATAGACGACCCTGAAACTCTCATACAACCCTAGTGACCAGGACGGTGTTGCTCAAAATAAGACCAGTTGACTTTTCCTACCAAACACATGAGTGAAGGCCTAGAGCAGATTATCCAGGGTAGAGAACAATAAGTCTTACTAGTGTACACCTCAGCAGTGTAAAGAATAATTTAACCTTTCCATGGCTAAAATGTGGGGCCAAGTTTCATCAGTTTTGTGGCAACAAATAATACTGATCAAATTTTAGGTGCTGGGAGAAAATGGCTATGAATTAAACTCAGGTCCTGAAGTCCCGAGGCCTTCTACTTGGTGTCATTTGATAGCTGATTAATATGGAAAATGGAACCTGAGACAGATCCACACGGGCCTTAGCTAGAATTCCCACTGCTCTAGACTGTAAGAGCTGCTTTTATCAAAGATGAAGATCACCCACACAAAAGAGAGCATGTGGGCAGAGTGAAGCCGAGGAAGCAGAACGTTGGGCCTGAGGCCTGGCTTTATAACTTATCAGCCATCAGACTCTGAATGAAACCATCCCTAAGGCTAGAGGATTCTGAGCTGCCTGGCCTATGTCTTAGGGCTGGTGCGACAAGAAATGAAAACACAGTCCGAGTAACTTAATGATGGGGATGGGGTCTGGGAAATGCGTCCGGAGGCGATTCAGTGGTGATGGGAACCTCACAGCGGGCACTTACCCACACCTAGACGGTGCCACCCACCACACACCCAGGCTGCATGGGTGTGGCCTTTGGCTCCGAGGCTACAAACCTGTGCAACGTTGGCTGCACTGAATACTGGAGGCAACTGTGACACAATGGTAAGGATTTGCACATCTAAACATGTCTAAATACTCCCATTCGTTCCTCCCTGGCCCCCTGGCAGCCATTCATCTGCTTTCTGTCTCCATGGCTCTGCCTGCCACTTGATGTCAATGGAATCATTCTATGCAGGTCTCTGTGACCAGCTTCATCCCTCTTAGCATATTGTCTTTCACATTCGTTCATATCGTGGCATGTATCCGTACTCCATTCCTTTTTTGTTTTTTTTTGAGATGGATTCTCACCCTGTTGCCCAGGCTGGAGTGCAGTGGTGCGATCTCGGCTCACTGCAACCTCCGCCTCCCAGGTTCAAGTGATTCTCCTGCCTCAGACTCCCAAATAGCTGGGACTACAGGCCCCCGCCACCGCACCTGGCTAATTTTTTGTATTTTTAGTAGAGAGGGGATGTGTTAGCCAGCATGGTCTCAATCTCCTGACCTCATGACCTGCCCACCTCGGCCTCCCAAAAAGTGTTGGGATTACAGGCGTGAGCCATCACACCCGGCCACTTCATTCTTTTTTATGACTAACATTCCATCATATGGATATACCACCTTTTATCAGCTGATGGACATTGGATTTATTTGTACGCTTTCTCTATTGTGAATAATGCTGCAATGAACATGCATGCACAAGTTTTTGTGTGGACATGTTTTCATCTCTTCTGGGTGACACCTCACATGTCACATTTGGCAGGCTTCCAAATCAACCACCTGAGGAAGGTCTCACAATACATGGCGTATAGCCTGTCTGTGAGTAAAGAGTGACTCCCTCCAATCTTATTGTGTTGATATCTGATTAATACGTAGCCCACTAACACTGAAAAGGATGCAGATTTGCTTCTGAATCATGACGTTTTACTGACTTTCTTGTGGTAAAACATTTTAGCCCATATGTTGTCATCTGTAGCCAGTGATCATAACCTCTGTATTATAACCTCCAATGAAAATGGAAAGCTTGAGCGGGGCACGGTGGCTCACGCTTGTAATCCCAGCACTTTGGGAGGCCGAGGTGGGCAGATCATCTGAGGTCGGAAGTTTGAGACCAGCCTGACCAACATGGAGAAATCCCGTCTCTACTAAAAATACAAAATTAGCTGGACATGGTGGTGCATGCCTATAATCTCAGCTACTCGGGAGGCTGAGGCAGGAGAATCGCTTGAACCCAGGAGGTGGAGGTTGCGGTGAGCCGAGATCGCACCATTGTACTCCAGCCTAGGCAACAAGAGCGAAACTCCATCTCAAAAAGAAAAAAAAAGAAAATGGAAAGCTCTAATATGAGGAGTCCCCCTCTCTTCTCCTAAACTTTTTTTTTTTTTTTTTTTTTTTTTTTTTTTTTTTAAGACAAGGCCTCACTCTGTCACCCAGGCTGGAGTGCAGTGGTGCAATCATGGCTCACTGCAGCCTTGAACTCCTGGGCTCAAACAATCCTCTCACCTCAGCCTCCTAAGTAGCTAGGACTGCAGGAGTGCATCACCATGCCTGGCTAATTTTTAAATTCTTATATTTGCAGAGAGGGAGTTTTGCTTTATTGCCCAGGTTGGTCTTGAACTCCTGGCCTCAAGTAATTCTCCTGCCTCCACCTCCCAAAGTGCTGGGATTACAGCCATGAGCCACTAAACCCGGTCTTCCTAAACTTTCTTATAAGAGTCTTCCAACTTGCAGTAGACTCTGGGACATGCCCTACTTTGCTGATGTCTCTTTCCAGGTTGATCCTCACATTTGGCTTCCAATAAATCAAATTATTTCTGCCTCAACACCCGTAATTTTGGTCAACATGGTTATATACCCAGGAGTGAAACTGCTGAGTTTTGTAGTAAAACTCTATGTTTAACATTTCAAAGAACTGTTTTTCAAAGTGGCTGTACCATTTTAGATTTACCACCAGCAATGAATAAGGGTACTAATTTTTATTTATTTGTTTGTTTGTTTGAAGACGGAGTCTCACTTTGTCACCCAGGCTGCAGTGCAGTGGCACCAACATGGCTTATTGCAGCCTCGACCTCCCGGGGCTCAGGTGATCCTCCCACCTCAGCTTCCCGAGTAGCTGGGACACACCACCATGCCTGGCTAATTTTTGTCTTTTTTTGTAGGGACAGGGTTTTGCCATATTGCTCAGGCTGGTCTTGAAATCCTGGGTTCAAGCACTCAGCCCACCTTGACCTCTCAAAGTGCTGGGATTATAGGCATGAGCCACCATGCCCAGCCAAGGGGTCCAGTTTACCCGCATCCTTAACAACACTTGTTATTGTCTACGTTTTTTTTTTTTTTTTTTTTTTTTTTTGAGACGGAGTTTCAATCTTGTTGCCCAGGCTGGAGAGCCATGGCACAGTCTCAGCTCACTGCAACCTCCGCCTCCCGGGTTCAAGCGATTCTCCTGCCTCAGCCTCCCAAGTAGCTGGGATTACAGGCACCTGCCACCATGCCCAGCTAATTTTTGTATTTTTAGTAGAGATGGGGTTTCACCATGTTGGCTAGGCTGGTCTCGAATTCCTGGCCTCAGGTGACCTGCTCACATTGGCCTCCCAAAGTGCTGGGATTACAGGCGTGAGCCACTGCGACTGGCCTATTGCCTATCTTTTTGATCAGAACCTAGAAGGTAGGCAGTGGTATCTCATTGTGGTTTTAACTTAAATTTCCCTAAAAACTTGGAGCATATATTCATATGCTTATTGACTGGATATCTTCTTTGAAGAAATATCTATTTAAATACTGTGCCCATTTTAAAAATTGGGTTGTCTTTTTAGTACTGAGTTGTGAGAGTTCTTTATGTATTCTGGATATAAGTCCCTTATCAGATATATGATTTGTAAATATTTTCTCTCATTCTGTGGGTTGTCCTTTCAATTCTTGATGACACCATTTGCAGCACAAAAGTTTTCAATTTTTATGAAGCCCAAATTCTTTTTCCTTTTTTTGTCACTTGTGGTTTTGGTTTTCTTCTATAAATTTCATTGTTTTGGTTATGTGAAAGGAAGTAGAACCTCAGGACCCCAAAATCACTATGCCAAAGGGAAAGCGAAGCTTGGGAACAGAGTCACACAATACTGGCTTCCCTTTGTTCTCAGATAGCTGTAATTTTACAACCCTGTGTCACAGTCTCACAGTAAGCCAGCTTCCACAATGATAGAAGGCCACATATCTCCCCAGGTGGCCTCCCTCACCAATTGCTTACCCCCTAAATCTTTCAGGATTTAAGTCTTTGATCCATTGAGTTAATTTCTGTGGAGAGGATCAACTTCAGTCTTTTGCATGTGGATATCCAGTGGTCCTAGCACCCATGGTTGAAAGCTTCACAATATATAGATGAAATCTTTTTAAAGCATCAAATTATGGTCAATTATGCCCCACCGATACTCCCTTCTTGAAGTATCTTTTTCAGTATGACAGTCATGAAAAACAAGCATTGAAATGAACTGAACTTAAAGCCAGACCTTTGCATAGCTGTTTTCAAATCTTACATTGAGATTTTTAGAAATGAACAAAGTATATTTCAACCACATTATCTACACTAATGATTTCTGTACCACTAATGAATAAAAATATTTGTAAAATATTGGTTTAAGAAAACTTTTCTCATCCCCTTTATATTTATTTTTTGCATTATTTATGAAGTACATTAATTTGATGCAGTTTATATATATAATTTATAAAGGATACCATACTCATACATAGTGGGTGCATGCTCAAAATATTTTCATTACATGTGACAAAAAGTTTTAAAGAAATCACTGCCCTAGAGAAACTTCATACATGTGGACAAAGAAACAGGTAAGAATGTGAATTTTGGCATTGTTTGGCAAAATCAGAATCATCTAAATGTCTTTGACTAGAAGGAATGAATAAATAAATTGCAGTATATCCATGTAATAGAATACTATACAGTGGTTAAGTGAATGGATAAAAGATGCATTGGCTGGGCATGGTGGCTCATGCCTGTAATCCCAGCACTTTGGGAAGCTGAGGCGGGTGGATCACGAGATCAGGAGATTGAGACCATCTGGGCCAACATGGTGAAACCCTGTCTCTACTAAAATACAAAAAAAGATTAGCTGGGTGTGGTGGCATGCACCTGTAGTCCCAGCTACTCAGGAGGCTGAGGCAGGGGAACCGCTTGAACCTGGGAGGTGCAGCGAGCCAAGATCACACCACTGCACTCCAACCGGGGTGACAGAGTGAGACTCCGTCTCAAAAAAAAAAAAAAAAAAAAAGAGATGCATATATCAATATGGCTAAATACTAAAATAAAATATTTTCTAACATTATTTATAACATTGCAGAATGACATGCATGCAGGACACTCACTTTCCTATTTAGTGTAAAAATGTGCTTAACAACGTGTTGTTTATAGACATATACATACGGAACAATGTATAACATTTAAAAAGTGCATGAGAAAGATCACTATCAAACTCTCAACCAGTTATTTTTTATTTTTTAGATACAGGGTCTCACTATTTTGTCCAGGCTGGCTTCGAACTCCTGAGCTCAAGTAATGCTCCCGCCTCAGCCTTCCGAGTAGCTAGGACCACAAGCATGCACTGCTATGCCAGACCCAGTTTTTTTTGTTTGTTTGTTTAAGACAGAAGTCCCACTCTGTCGCCCAGGCTGGAGTGCAATGGTGCAATCTTGGCTCACTGCAACCTCCGTGCCCCAGGTTCAAGTGATTCTCTTGCCTCAGCCTCCCGAGTAGTTGGGATTACAGGCACACACCATGCCCAGCTAATGTTCTTATATTTTTTAGTAGAGATGGGGTTTCACCATGTTGGCCAGGCTGGTCTCAAACTCCTGACCCCAGGTGATCTGCCCACCTCAGCCTCCCAAAATGCTGGGATTACAGGCTTGAGCCACCGAGCCCTGCCCAAGCCCAATTTTTGGCTGATGCATTGCCACTTTATTCAAAAGGTTCTCCTGAAGTTAATCACTTAAGTCTTGCAGCTTACTGATACCACATAGTCAAAGGATTCCATTTTGCTTAAAATAGTATATACTCTTCCTTTAATTCACATATTGCTCAGAAGTCTGACTTCCTGAGATTCTCCGTTGTTCTATTTCTCTGTTATTTTCTGACACCAGTTTTCTAGAACTTCTCCTTTTTTGTGTTTTTTCCCTAGAGCCTCACTGAAATAATAAAACCTTTGATCCATTAAAGATTTGATGTTACCAATTAAAATTAAAAGGAAAAAAGCTTCCAGTTCATCTTTTACCACATGGGTGGGGTAGTCAAGTGTTGCTAATCTCGTGGGTCTGTCTTCTTTTCTAAGATCTCTTTGAAGACAATTTTTTTAAATGGAGCTTTGGGACTGGGCACGGTGGCTCGCAACTGTAATCCCAGCACTTTGGGAGGCTGAGGTGGGCGGATCACTTGAGGTCAGGAGTTCGAGACCAGCCTGGCCAATATGGTGAAACCCCGTCTCTACTAAAAATATGAAAATTAGCTGGGCGTGGTGGCATGTGCCTGTAATCCCAGCTACTCGGAAGGCTGAGGCAGGATAATTGCTTGAACCCGGGGGCGGAGGCTGCAGTGAGCCAAGATGGCACCAGTGCACTCCAGCCTGGATGACAGAGTGAGATTCCCTCTCAAAACAAAACAACAACAACAAAAAAAAACCCAACAACAAAAAAAGAAGCTTTAACAACACCAAAACAAGAAAGGATCCCCCAATATCAATTGCTCAAAGTTTCCAAGGTTAGGAAACATTCCTGAAGAAAGTAAAGCAACGGAAACCACATTCTGAGGCGAAAGGGAAACTCCAGAGGTGCTTCCAGCTCAGAATCAAATACAAAGACCAGGACAGGACCGGGTGACCACTGTCAGTGTGTTTCCTTCCAGATCAGCCATGGCAGCTGTGTATGAGCACGTGTGGGGGACAGGAATGATCCCAGAGAGGTGGGAGAAGGGGTGAGGGGCTGAATGGTGTCGCTCTCAAATTCACAGGCTGGAACTCTAATCCCCAGTACCTCAGAGAGGGACTGTATTTGGAGAGATTTTTAAAGGGTTTCCTCCTTTAAAGGTGATTAGGATGGGTCTTAATCCAATGTGACAAGTGTTCTCATATGAAGAGATGATTAGGACACAGCCACACACAGAGAAAGGGCCATGTGAGGACCTAGAGGGAAGGTGGCATTTACAAGCCGAGGAGACAGGCCTCAGGAGAAACCAGCCCTTCTGGCATCCTGATCTTACACTTCCAGCCTCTGGAGCTGTGAGAAAATTAATTTCTTTTCTTTTTTTTTCTTTTTGAGAGGGAGTCTTGCTCTGTCACCCAGGCTGGAGTGCAGTGCCGCGATCTTGGCTCACTGCAACCTCTGCCTCCTGGGTTCGAGTGATGCTCCTGCCTCAGTCTCCCCAGTAGCTGGGATTACAGGCACGCACCACCACGCCCGGCTAATTTTTGTATTTTTAGTAGAGACGGAGTTTCACCATGTTGGCCAGGCTGATCTTGAACTCCCGACCTCCTGATCTGCCTGCCTCGCCTTCCCAAAGTGCTGCGATTACAGGTGTGAGCCATTGCTCCTGGCCTGAGAAAATAAATTTCTATGTACATAAGCTACTCAGCCTGTACTATTTTGTCATGGCAGCCCTACTGACCTCATGGAGAAGGAAACAAAGAAGAGGAACGAAGGAACAAAAAAAAAATGGAAGACCCTCTTGCTGGCAAGATGAATACAATTATAGCCATGTTTAGTTACACTGCAGAGAAATTTGGCAACACCAAAGAGAAAGAAGACACTGAAAGCTTGATGAGCAGAAATGGAAATCAACCACAAAGACTGGCTGATGCTTTTTTTTTTTTTTTTTTTTTAAATCTTTTAGTCAAGCCTCCAAAGTTATGGAAGAAAATGGTGTCTAGCCAATGATCCAAGTGTGAGAATATAAAAAGGCAATTTCAGGCAAGCAACAACTTGGAATTGACCTCGTTTTCTCTTGACAAGATATTTGGCCATACGCTGCCGCAAAAGTAGAAAGAAGGCTGAGAAAGATGACATAAAATCCAAGAAAGAAAGGCATTAACCTGGCACACAGTGAAAAATTCTACCAGGATAGTGGTTCAGCAGGACGACAGAGCCAGTGCTCCTGTTAGCTCAAAGAATGTGCTGAAGAGTTGGTTTTTCAGGAGGAAAAGTGGATTCCCAGAATAATAGTATAATTAGGAAGCTGGTAACCTTGGAGACTGGGTAAAGGCTTATGTTTTTGTTAACAAGAGGCCAACTAGGTTACGGGGAAAAAAAATAGAAGCTGTGCAAGAAAGCCTTGGTGAAATGAAAGCAATCAAGATGGGCACCGCTGAGCAATTCATCAATGTAATAGGAGAGTCCAACGCACCTGGATAGTCAAGACATTTTCAGTTGAGGGATACATTTTCAAGGATATAAAGTAACATTTTCTCTTGCAGACTGATCACACTTTATTATGTTGTAAATAATATTTATAGGGTCATATTGTAAATCCTGTTTATGGATCTATTATTTAGACTCAGCCTAGCACAGGGAAAACAGAAACATAAATCTAATAAATATTAACAATGTGAAGCAAACAGGAGGTGAGATGAAAAGTAAAAGTCCATTTCACCACCATTTGTATTAGTAAGTTGTTTTTTGGTTTTGTTTTGTTTTGCTTTTTTGGAGACAGGGTCTCACTCTGTTGTCCAGGCTGGAGTGCAGTGGCAAAACCTTGGCTCACTGCAGCCTCCGCCTCCACAAATGTTCAAGCATTTCTTCTGCCTCGGCCTCCCGAGTAGCTGGGATTACAGGCACATGCACCATGCCTAATTTTTGTATTTTTAGTAGAGACAGGGTTTCACCATGTTGACCAGGCTGGTCTTGAACTCCTGACCTCAGGTGATCCACCTACCTCAGCCTCCCAAAGTGCTGGGATTACAGGCATGAGCCACCATGCCCAGCCTACATTCGTAAGTTAATAGACATTGTCCCAAAATATACTTAATATATTTTTTGTATACTTTTGTATATTAATAGTATACAAAATATACTATTACTGTGTGTTTTATTGCCAACTAGTAAAAGCTAAAATCAGGAATTATCAAAGTTGTAGCTACAGGGGACTGGAGACTGGGGTTGAACGTTGAGGTGAACAGGATACCTACTCTCATTCCCCCCAGTTTATTCTTATTAAATATTTATTTATAGTAAATTGGCTTTTGGGGTGCACAGTGCTATATAAATTTTAACATTATCTTGATTTATAAATACTGTCACGATCAGAATACGTAGACCCCAAAATTGTGCTACCCCATAGTCAAACCTTTCCTCCACTCCTAACCCACGCCAATCACTAATGTGTTCTGTGTCCCTGGAGTTTTTGGCTTTCTGCGAATGTCATGTAAATGGAATTATACAATTATTCTGTCAATGCCACTCTTTTGGGGGAGTGGGACTGGGCAAGAGAACAATTTCCATTTTTAACCACAGAGCTATGGCAGAAGGAACCAGTGAGCTGTCCCTCTGTTCCCCTTCTCCACATCTCCAATCACAGGTGTGAGAAAAGGAACTCCAGCCCAGGGTGGGACCAGCCCCTCCCCACACCCTCAATGTTTAAGAAATAAAAGTGTGTAATTTTTTGAGGCTGGCTTCTTCCACAGCACAATGCATTTGAAATGCATTCACATCGTTGTATCAAGTTTGTTCCCTTTTTTGCTGAGTGGTGGGTGTTTATGCATCCTCCATTGAAGGACATTTGAGTGATTTCCCATCTTCAGTGATTATAACCAGAGCTTCTATAAACATTCATGTGTGGGCTTTTATGTGAACACAAGTTTCCAGTTCTCTAGGGTAAATATCTAGGAGTGGGATGGCTGGGTCACATGGTGAGTGTTTACCTGTATAAGAAACTGCCAAACTGTTTTTCAGAGGGGCTACAGCATCTTGTCCTCCAACCAGCGATGCAGGGGAGTTCCAGGTGCCCCATATCCTCACCAACACTTGGTATTGTCAAGGTTAAAACAATTATTACAGCCACCTGATAGGTGTGTTGTAACTCATTGTGGTCTTCATTTATATTTCCCTTAATAAGACCAATGCTATTGTTCATGTGCTTATTTGTCATGTGTGTATATCTCCTTTGGTGACATAGCTGTTCAAATCTTTTGCGTTTTTAATTGGGTTATATAAAATTAAATTTAAATTAAGATTATACAGATTTGCTGTGAAAGAAGCCAGCCTCAAAAAGTTGCACACTGTATAATTCTATTTACATTGAGCTTTTAGAGTACTTTACATATTTTGGATACAAGTTCTTTGTCAAATACATGATTTCTAAATATTTTCTCCCAGTTTATAGTGAATCTTTTTATTCTCTTCAGAGTGATATTGGCTGGGTACATGTATTCAAATTTGTATTCAAATCTTAGTGTAGGCCCGCACAGTGGCTCATGCCTGTAATCCCAGCAATTCGGGAGTCTGGGGTGGGAGGATTGCTTCAGCTCAGGAGTTTGAGACCAGCATGGGCAACATAGTGAGACCCCATCTCTACCAAAAGTGAAAATTAGCTGGGTGTGGTGGTACATGCCTGTAGTCCCAGCTACTTGGGAGGCTGAGGCAGAAGGATCACTTGAGCCCAGGAGGATGAGGCTGCAGTGAGCTGTGACTACACCACTGCATTCTAGCCTGGGCAATAGAGCAAGACCCTGTCTCAAAAAAAAAAAAAAAAAAAAAAAGGGTGACATCGACAGAACAAACATTTTTAGTTTTGGTGAACTCTATCAAGTTTTTCTTCTATAGATTGTGTTTTTGATGTCATATCTAAGAACCCAAAGTCACAAGAGTTTATGTTTCTTGTATAAATTTTATAGTTTTACATTTTACTTGTAGATCTAGAATCAATTTTGAGTTTTCATATAAGATGTGTAAGAATTTAATATAATTTTTATGTATGAATTGTGTATAAGATCTGAGGTTTAGGTCAAGTTCATTTATTACATATGAATGTTCAAATGTTTCAACACTGATTGTTGAAAATACTTCCCTTAATCCATTGAACTGTCTTTGCACTTTTGACAAAAATCAGTTGGTTGGGTCTGGATTATTCATTCATGTATGGGTCTATTTCTTTGCCAATACCATTTTGTCTTGATTGCTGTAACTTTATAGTAAGTTTGAAAACTAGTGGTAGTAAGACTCTTCCAACTTAATTCTTTTTCAAAATTATTTGAGCTATTCTAGTTCCTTTGCCTTTCCATATACATTTTAGAAGCAGCTTTTTTATAAAAGCAAATAAAAATAATGCTACGATTTTGATAGGAATGGCAATAAACCTACAGGTCAGCTTGGGGAAAAATGACATCTTTACTATATTAAATCTTCTGATCAATGAATACAGCTGTCTCTCCATTTAGTTAGCTTTTCACTGATTTCTTTCATAAGCAATTTTGTAGTTTTCACCACTCAAATCCTGCACATTTTGTTAGATTTATATCTAAGTATTTCATATTCTGTGGGGGGAGATAGTATACATGAAATAGTTGTAAAATTTCAGATTCCAACTCTTCATTGCTAGTACATTGAACAGTGATGGATTTTGTTTTTGTCCTGTGTCCTGTGACTTTTCTAAATTCACTTATTGATTCTGTGAGCTTCTTTTGGTACAGTCCTGGGGACTTTCTATATAAACAATTGTCATCTATAAAGTAGAAATTTATTTATTTATATATATATATTGATTTATTTTGAGACAAGGTCTCATTCTGTCACCCAGGCTGGAGTTCAGTGGCAGGATCATGGCTCACTGCAGCCTCAACCTCCCCAAGCTCAGGTGATCCTCCCACCTCAGCCCCCTGAGTGGCTGGGATTACAGGCACACACCACCATACTCAGCTAATTTTTTTTTTTTTTTTTTTTTGAGACAGAGTCTTGCTCTGTGGGCTAGGCTGGAGTGCAGCAGCACGATCTCAGCTCACTGCAACCCCCGTCTACCAGGTTCAAGCAATTCTCCTGCCTCAGCCTCCCGAGTAGCTGGGATTACAGGCATGTGCCACCACATCTGGCTATTTTTTTTAAAAATTTTTATTAGATACAGGGTTTCACCATGTTGTCCAGGCTGGTCTTGAACTCCTGGGCTCAAGAGATCCACCTGCCTCAGTCTCCCAAAGTGCTGGGATTACAGGTGTGAGCCACCACACCCGGCCAATTGGAAATATTTTTATTTCTTCCTTTCTAATCTAGATGCTTTTACTTCTTTTTCTTGTGTCTTTGCTCTTGCAACCAGAGGATGTTTAATAGAAGTGCGGAGAGTGGAAAAATCTTACCTTGTTCCTGATCTTAGTGGAGAGCTTTTAGACTTTCGCCATGAAGCATAATATCAGCTCAAGCTTTTGTAGATGTCCTTTTTCAGGGTAAGGAAGTTCCCTTCTATTCCCAGTTTGTTGAGAGTTTTTGTCATGAATGGATGCTGAATTTTATCAAATGCTTTTTTTAATCAATTGATAAGATGACGTACAATTTCCTCTTGAGTTTACTAAGATGATGGGTTATATGGATTGATTTTTTTGGGGAATATTCAGCCAGCCTTACATTGCTGGGACAAACCCTATAATCTCATTTTATATCCTTGTTACATTTGGACTTTACTATGGGTATGCATTACTTTCATAAGAATCTGATAAAACTTAAATTTTAAAGAAATATACATACCTGATTCCATTTTCCCCTTTTTCTGGCTTCTGGTTAAGACCATCCTTTACCTGAGAGAGAAAACAGTAATGTAAAAATATTTTCAAAATAATATTCATTAGAATGAGTTCAGATGAATATTTCAGTCTTTGAGAAGGTGGTATTGACACTTATCCTAGGACCTAAGGACATGGTTACATTAGAAGGGCTCTGGAGGCCGGGCACAGTAGCTCACACCTGTAATCCCAGCACTTTGGGAGGCTAAGGCAGGAGGATCACTTGAGCTTAGGAGTTTGAGACCAGCCTGTGAGACACAGTGAGACCTTGTCTCTCTTAGAAATTAGCCAGGTGTGGTGATGCACACTTGTAGTTGTAGCTGCTCAGGAAGCTGACGTGGGAGGGAGAATCATTTGTTGAAAATTATTCTTGGGTCTGGGAGGTCGAGGCTGCAGTGAGCTGTGACCATGCCACTGCACTCCAGATGGTGCAACAGGGGGAGATCCTGTCTCAAAAAAAAAAAAAAAAAAAAAAAAAAGAAAAGAAAAAGAGGGTTTCTGGGCCAGGCATGGTGGTTCATGCCTGAAATCCCAGAGCTTTGGAAGGATCTCTTGGGGCCAAGAGTTTGAGACCAGCCAGGCAGCATAGTGAGATCCTGTTGAAAGTGAAAGGAAGAAAGAGAAAGAATGAAAGAATGGATGGACGGACAGAAGGAAGGAAGGAAGGGAGGGAGGGAGGGAGGGAAGGAAGGAAAGGAAGGAGAAAAGAGAAGAAAAGAGAAGAGAGAAAAGGAAGGAAGGAAGAAGAAAGAAGAAGGGCTCCATTTCTTCAGCCTTGATTTTCTTTAAAGCTAACATGAGCCTCTACAATTTTTGATCATTGGTTGCCGGTGCTTCCACAGAACACTACTGTCCAAAACTTTAGAACAAGCCACTCAGCAGCTCCCTAATTAAGCAAATGACCAAGAGTCTTAATTCCATATTGCAGTTCCGTAGAAGCTCACTGAAATGCACTTTACAGAATGCCCACAACTCTACAACTCTTTCATTTAGCTCAACTATACCTTTGTAGCTGCTGCTGCTGCTTTTTTTTTTTTTTTTTTTTTTTTTTTTTTTTTTTGAGACAGGGTCTTGTTCTGTCACCCAGGCTGGAGCACATTGGCATGAACATGGCTCACTGCAGCCTCTACCTCCTGGGCTCAAGCAATCCTCGCACCCCAGCCACCCAAGTAGCTGGGACGACAGGCATGCACCACCACACTCAGCTAATTTTTAAAATTTTTGTAGAGACAGGGGTCTCACTGCGTTGTCCAGGCTAGGTTTCACAGCTTTTTATGTGCGAATGACATATTTAGATCTCTGTATTTTCTCATCAAATATTTTGTATGCATAGTATTTTATTGCTTTTACCTGGTAGGCTTATTATACTTTTTCAGAGACTGCTCTAATTTTCTGACTATTTAGTGCAAATTTTTAAATTCAGTGCAATTAATTATATATTTTAAATTATCTGAAAAAGTCCCTGAGAATTCACATATGTACTCTGTGTGACTTCTGTACACACACGCATGCACATCTGTGCACAGACCCCATACAATGTCCAGAAGTTGTCTTTTTAGAAATTTCAATTAATATTAACTTTTACTATCCACCAGTCATACTTTTATTGGAAGTCTGACAGGTGTTCTTGAAGTCTTGTGTTCCAGAAGAAGGAAGAAATTGAGGATGATCTAATATAACACTATATGGGAGTAAAACAAAGTCACACCATAAAAATTTTGGCCTCCAGTATCACAAATAGCAAAGAGTCAGCTGTAGGTCTTCACACACTTACCACCTGGTAGTGATTGGGGGCCCACACTAGAAGCGTGTGGCGTTGGCCCTGCTTGAAGTCGTCAGTTACAGCAGTGACTGGTGATCCAGGAGAAGAAATGTTTATCCTTGTCAGTTTGTTTACATCAAAAGTCATAAATGCATTTGTCTATAGAGGGAGGGAAAGAGGCATAGTTAATATCACAGAGTCTCGGCACTATGCAACTGAACGCTGGAAGAGCAGTTATCTGATATTCTGCATTTCCAGGTTCATGTTCATAGATACCAAAAAAATGCCTGTGGGGAGTTGGCCTTTATTTGCCTCAGCTTCCCACCCACCCTTACAGACACCGTCATGAGGTTTTTGGTACCACCACAGGAACCATACTTTTCACCAAGCATCTTACTTTTATTTTGCTTTTATCAAAAATAAATACTATGAGAATAATTTCTACTGTTAGGCAAAGAACAGCACCAGAGCAAAAGCAACAGCCCTGGTAAAAATCAATACTGGGCTGCTCCAAGCATTAGGAATCGGGCTTTTTGTTTTTACCTTCAAGATTATTAGTTTCACAAGGTCTAAGGTTGTGGTGCTCAACCATGGCTAAACAGGAACGAGACTGGCTAAATCTCAACATCTCTGGGGCTAGGGCTGGGCGCGGTGGTTCATGCCTGTAATCCCAGCACTTTGGGAGGCTGAGGCAGGCCAATCTCTTGAGGACGGGAGTTTGAGACCAGCCTGGCCAACATGGCAAAATCCTGGCTCTATTAAAAATACAAAAATTAGTTGGGTGTGGTGGTTCATGCCTGTAATCCCAGCTATTTAGGTGGCTAAGGCATGAGAATCGCTTAAACCCAGGAGGCAGAGGTTACAGTGAGCCAAGATAGCGCCACTGCACTCAAGCCTGGGCGACAGAGTGAGGCTCTGTATTTAAGAAAAAAAAAAAAAAAAAGGGATCTCTGGGGCTGGGACCCAGGTATCAAAATTTTCAAAGCTCTCCGGGTGATTCTGACATGGGCTGGAGGTTGAGTACCACGAATCCAGAACAAGGGTGATCTAGAGCAGGGTTTTCCATCCTTGGCACTGTGAACATTTGGGTCACGTAATCTTTGTTATGGAGAGCTGTATGTCAGCATCCCTGGCTTCTACATGAGATGCCAGCAGCATACTCCCAGTTGCTACAACAAAAAATGTCTCCAGAGATGGCTAAATGTCCCCTAGCATCAAAATCTCCCCCAGTTTAGATCCTTGATCTGGTGGTTCCAGGCTCCAGCAGCAGCAGCATTCCTGAGAGCTAGTTAAATGCAGCATTTCAGGCCTGCTGATTAAAAATCTGCATTTTGGCTGGGTATGGTGGCTCACACCTGTAATCCCAACACTTTGGGAGGCTGAGGTGGGTGAATCACCTGAGGTCAGGAGTTCAAGACCAGCCTGGCCAACATGGCAAAACCCTGTCTCTACTAAAAATACAAAAATTAGCTGGGTGTGGTGGCACACACCTGTAATCCCAGCTACTCAGGAGGCTAAGGCAGAAGAAATGCTTGAACGTTTGTGGAGGCAGAGGCTGCAGTTAGCCAAGATTTTGCCACTGCACTCCAGCCTGGGTGACAGAGCAAGACTCCATCTAAAAAAAAAAAAAAAAAAATTCTGCATTTTAACCAGCTCCCTGGGCAATCTGCATACACAACAAACAACATAGTGTGGAGCACACTGGTTTAGAATATAGCCAACATGAGATCAAGATCCTTAGTTCACTTCTGGGCTGGCCTTGGCATTTATACAAGGACCAAGAAAAACAGCTTCTCTAAATCCTATTATAACAGGGTCAGAAGATGAAAAAGAAGGCAGCAATTTCCTTCTACTTACTTGAGACATTGGGCCAAGTGTCACCATCTCTCCAGGAAGAGATATATTCATGGTATTGTTTCCTATATTCAAAACTTTAATTTGGACTTCGTTTCCTTTGGGGAAGACTGGAAGAGTTTTCTGAGCAAAATAAAAGAAAATTGGCAGTGAGGTCTTCAATACAACATGGAAAGTCATCTTAACCCTGACAAGGGGGTGCTTTCCTCCAGCTGGGAAAAGCTGCGCTGGCTGAAACACGCCAGGTGTCTCCCACTAAGCTGCCAATCACAGACCTCGTGGCACCCACAGAAATGACTTTTGCACGGAATACTGAAGTGATATGGTTTGGCTGGGTCCCCACCCAAATCTCATCTTGAATTGTAGATCCCATAATTCCCGGGTGTTGTGGGAGGGAATCAGTGGGAGATAACTGAATCGTGGGGGTGGCTTCCCCCGTACTGTTCTTGTGGTAGTGAGTAAGACTCACAAGATCAGATGGTTTTATAAGGGAAAACCCCTTTCGCTTGGCTCTCTTTCTCTTTTTGCCTGCAGCCATGCAAGATGTGCCTTTCACCTTCTGCCATGACTGTGACGCTTCCCCAGCCATGTGGAACTGTGAGTCCATTAAATCTCTTTTTCTTTGTAAATTACCCAGTCTTGGGTACGTCTTTATCAGCAGCATGAGAATGGACTAATACGTGAACGAGTCAGAAAGATGCTGCTCTTATCTTATCTAGCCACTTCCAGGTCAAGGGCTGCCAAGATACGAAGCCAAATATCTGATGGCTCTGAGTCACTATAACCTAAACAAATATCCTTCTTGTCATGACACCTGAGATCTACCGTCACCCGACTCCAGTGTTCTACTGTAAGTCTGGAAGCCCAGTCCCCAGCCCTAGACGCAGCAGTGTACACATCTCACAAATGCCTGATGCTCTCCTGCCTCCATACCTTTGTTCAGAGTTTTTGTCTTTTTTCTACAATGCCCTCTTTCAAAACCCAGTGTCACTGAAGCAAGCCATGTCCACCTTAGCCCACAATTCATCTTCCACAAAGCTAGCTATGTCCAAGAGGAGCGTGAGTACAGCCATGTTCATGGCGGCACTGTTTGCAATAGCCAAAAGGTGCAGGTAACCCAAGTGCCTGTCGGGGGTGAATGGATGAACAATGTGGTGTATACACACAATGGGTTTAGTATTCAGTTTACAAAGGAAGGAAATTCTGACACAGTCTACAACAGGAGGAACCTTGAAGACAATATACTAAGTGAAATTAGCCAGTCACAAAAGGACAAATACCATATAATGCCACTCATAGGAAGTGCTAGAGTAGTCAGATTCATAGACTCAGAAAGTAGAATGGGGGTTGATGGGGCTAGGGAAAGGGGAAATGGGAGTTGTTTAATGGGTACAGAATTTCAGTTTTGTAAGATGAAGAGTTCTGAAGGTTGACTGCACAACAATGGAAAGGTACTTAACGCTACTGAACTGTACACTTAAAAATGGTTAATATGTGACCGGGCATGGGGGCTCATGCCTGTAATGCCAGGACTTTGGGAGGCTGAGGTGGGAGGATTGATTACCAGCCTGAGCAACACAGGGGGACCCTGGCTTTACAAAAAAATTTTAATAAATTAGTCGAGTGTGGTGGTGCATGCCTACAGTCCTAGCTACTCAGGAGGCTGAGGTGGGAGGATCGCTTGAGCCCAGGTGTGGCTGCAGTGAGCATGATCGCACCACTGCACTCCAGCAGCCTAGGCGACAGAGTGAGACCCTGTTTAAAAAAAAAAAAAAAAAAAAAAAAAAAAAAGAATACGGTAAATGTTATGTTATATATATATATATTTACTGCAATTAGTTTTTTTTAAATTTAAAGATATTAAAAGAGCTGCTCTGCCTGTGGAGTAGCCAGTCTTTATTCCTCTACTTTCTTAATAAACTTGCTTTCACTTAAAAATATAAACAAAGATATTAAAAGGGTGGGGGAGGGAAGGAACGAGAGAAAGACAGAGAGAGAGAGGCAAAGAGAGGGAGGAAGTGGTGGGGAATGGTGGGGAGAGGGAAGAGACCCTTACCCACCACATAACCCTGTTTCTAGGAACTGATCTCAGACTACCAGCATTAGTCTAGTTTAGCCCACTGCGAGTCCAATAGATGTGTGGATTAACTGAGAAACCAATCCTTTTTAGAAACACTAGAATTCAAAATACATTCTCACATCAAAAAGACCATTTACACACATTTGAAGTGATGCTTGTTTGTAAGTGATGAACTTCTTTTAACCAGATTCCCTGGGAGTTCAGATTGTGAAGGAACACATTCTGTAAACTTCTTTTCCATTATAAAAACTGTATTATAAATGCAAGCTACTTATGTAAGCCTTTTTCCCCTGCTGAAGCCCACCCACTGTACCCTCACACCCATGGTGCCTCCCACTGCCCACAGCTCCAGGGCTCAGTTTACAGAGAAAGACCTTGGCCTCCCCTAATCCCCTTCATGCTGAAGAAAGAAGATTCTGAACGCTCCACCTAAATCCACCAGGAAAGGACATGGGAGAACCAGGGGACAACTCACATCGATTTCCACCTGCACGATGGCAGCCACCACAAAGGCCATGGAGGCCAGGACCATGCCAACTGCCATCTTCTTCAAGGAGCTGATGGCACAAGAGAAGAGTGACTCTCAACCAGTTTCACATAGATGAGCTAAGCTAAACCCCCACCCCCACCATCCCCCCAACAAAACTAAATTCCTTCCAAAAACATGGGCTTGAAAGCACCTCTCCCCATCTTGGTCATGGATTCATGAGGATTCAAGGAGGATAAGTGGAATATAGCTTCTTGTTTGCATATTTACTTTTTTTTTTTTTTTTTTGAGACAGAGTCTCTTTCTGTCACCCCGGCTGGAGTGCAGTGGCACAATCTCAGCTCACTGCAACCTCTGCCTCCTAGCTTCAAGCAATTCTCATGCCTCAGCCTCCAGAGTAGCTGGGATTACAGGTGAGTGCCACCACACCCAGCTTATTTTTCGTATTTTTAGTAGAGATGGGAATTTGCCATGTTGGCCAGGCTGGTCTCGAACTCCTGACCTCAAATGGTCTGCCTGCCTTGGCCTCCCAAAGTGCTGGAATTACAGGCGTGAGCCACTGTGCCTGGCCTGTATATTTACATTAATTTCTAGAAACTATGGTTCAGGTGATACTCCAGATTACAATGACCATTCCTATCATCTGCGTAGAGAAGAAAGCCTTGATTAAAGGCCTTTTCAGGCTGTCAATCACAGCATTTTTATTTTAAAGAACATTTTCAGAAACATCAGCACACGAACATTTGTTTTCTTCATTCTTCAAAACCCTATCCTCTAGGCGAGGTTGCGGGAAGGGCTGCAGGCTGAGCGCAGCCCATCTGCAAAGCCCTGGGACCAAGGGAGCCTCAACCAACCCAACCCACCCGTCACCTACGTGAAATTGAAGCCACATTTTGCAATGAGAGGGTACAGCACAGCATCGAAGATCGGGACCATGATCACGATCAGGATGGCGTTCACGGTCTGCAGAGGAAGTGGAGGAGAAATGTTAAGCTTGTCTCAAAGACGACTCTGATCCCTGAAAGCAACTTACATGTCTTCTACCTGCATCTGATCGGGCTGAATTTCAAGAGCTCCCTAAAAAGAGAGGAAAACAATCTCAGTGAAAAATGTCATGAAAGGGAAGAAGAAAGGGGACAAAGAAACTAAAACAAAGGAGTCAAACTTACGATTTTCCCGGACATAGTTGTTGCCTGCAGTGTCCACCTGGAGCCCTTAAAAATGAATACATTTGCTGTATTATTTGGGGATGTGGGTTTTTAAAATTTTACAAGTCAATGGTGAGTCTTTTCCAAATCAGGAATGAGGTCTGACATGTTATGGGATTTAAAGTTGTTTTAAACATCAAGTTAATCTCCCAGCTCTATTATAATACTAGGTCAAAAGAAACCAGTTGCATTTCTAGCGTACGAGTGAACACAATACGGAGTGCTCCAACCCCTCCTGAAGCTGCACAAAGCAGTACCCTGAGATGAAGCTATCCCTAGGAAATACAAAAATGCATTTCTGAGGCTCGTTGGAAAGCATGGCATCGTCTGCAAGGTAAAAGTAGCTGTGCGTGTTGCAGATGGTCCATATTCACTGCCATCCAAGATTCACAAATATTATTGTTAACAGCCATTTTGACAGTCTAGGCTGGCTGCACCTAGATCTCCATCAAGAGAGTGGTGGATTTATACCTGGGCAGCCCCTTTACAGTCAACCTATTTCACAGTGAAAGAGGACACAGGACTGTACAGGTAAATATGATTATGTCTATGGAAGACTAAACATGTAAATGCTTCCGTATGAATCCATCAACTCCACTAGAAAGACATCATAGAAAGTCAGGAAATTGGCCAGGTGCAGTGGCTCACACCTATAATTCCAGCACTTTGGGAGGCCGAGGCGCGTGGATCACCTGAGGTTAGGAGTTGGAGACCGGCCTGGTCAACACAGCAGAACCCCGTCTCTACTAAAAATTAGCCAGATGTGGTGGCAGGTGCCTGTCATCTCAGCTGCTCAGGAGGCAGAGGCAGGAGAATCGCTTGAACTTGGGAAGTGGAGGTGGCAGTGAGCCAAGATAGTGCCACTGTACTCCAGCTTGGGCAACAGAGTGAGACTCTTGACTCAAAAAAAAAAAAAAAAAAAAAAAAGAAATCTACCCCTGTTTGAGTTCTTCATACAGGCCAGTCACTGAGTACCTTATGGATGTTCTCACACTGGACCCTCACAGCCTTGCGGAGGGTGATTAGCACCCTTTGGAAAATGTTAAGGGTTATTACAGTGACTCAAGTCTCACAGCTACCAGGTGAGGAGTGTGTTTCCAGTGACCGGCTCCTGTCCGCATGCAGCACTGCCTCCCGGGTCTGTCTGACACATCTCAATCTCCTACTTAAAATGAGGAGATGAATGTGTACACTCACATTTCTCCCAAGCAATGGCTTATCCCTATCACCATCCTCCCTGCTCAAACCACATGTGTTCATATATATTTTTTTAACTCCATTTCCTAAGAGAAACAATAGCTATTTTTTCATTCTGTAAACCAGGATTGATCTTTAAAAACAAACACTTTCCAATTGCTTTGGTTACTGAGCCCCATGCACTGAGTTGTCTAACACGATTGTGAAAAATTCCTGGGTATGTGTCTTAGGGCTGTGGTAGAAAGAGACAACAGGTCACCTGCCAGGTTGTAGGTCCCTGCTTGGAGAGGAGTCATTTTTCACCCCAGGATGGTACTTCTAGCCCAAGCATTCCATCTTACAGTGGAAGAGATCAAGTCCCTCTCCATTTATGTATGGGCTCCATAAAAGGCAATGTAACTTGTTACCACGCTGTATTGGTAGGAAAACAAACTCTTGACTCTCAGTTTTGATTGGAAGAGTGCTGGATGAAATCTTTCCCAAGGCTACTTGACTTGACCTCATGTAATTGTCTTCATTGTTAGCAACAGAAATGTGGATAGAACTACCTAGAATTGCTTTTGGTTTTGTTTTGTTTTGTTTTGTTTTTTACAATAAACTCAATGTGATCTAACAATTAAACAAGTGAAATATAAATAAGAAACTGGAGGAGAACTTTTTAGATGTGAAATATGAAGTGAGCCTTGGTACCTGGCAGTGCGGGATGTACGCTTGCTCCGTGAAGAAGAGCACAAGCAGAGTTTCACATTACCTGCTGGTCAAACAAGGCCCAGAACATTGGGAGTGGAATATACAGGAACATCACCCTCGTAACCATCTTAATTTGGGAGATGAGCCGCTCCTGTAGTTGGAGTGGGGAAGGGACAAATCAGCCACACCCTGTGTCCTGTGCCACTCACGGCTTACAGGTGCTGCTGATTTCAGTGGAGACACAGATATTTGCATCTAGAGGCAAGCTGGGAGGTGATTAATCCAAAACATACTGCCGCAGTTTTCTTTAGAAAATCGAAAATGTCTAAACTATTTAAAATATGAGTGAAAACATCTATTTAGGAGGTAAATTACGTGAATTTACTAAATGTAAATCCCACCACCGCCGTCACCACCTCTTGACTCTCCTATATTCAAACTAAGGTTATGTGATCCCAATTACATATAATTAATGCCAGATTATACCAAATGAAAAACTATGAAAAGGTAATATTATTTCCAGATCTATTTATCAAGTTCTTTCAATTAAAAAAATGCACTCATGCATAGTTTTATTTAATATGCTGTAAAGGTTAGGAAGGTATCACTGACCATTTTGTCCATGTAACCTTAATCTGAATTGAGATTTTTCAGTGTTCACTTCCTGGGGGAATCAGGGTCATTGTAGCAATGACCGTTACTTACATCGTATTTCTCTTTAGCCCAGTCCAGCCAGTGCTCCCTCTTGGGAAATGCCTTACTCCGATGCCTAAATCTATTTTTGATGGCAAACTGAAGGAAGGAAGAAAAATCGAATTTCAAAACAGGACCAACAACTTTGTCAGGGAAGCACATTTCAATTAAACTACCTTTAGGAGAAAAATATACGTGTGAGAAAAGCAAAATATACAATTGTATCTACTAGTATATGAGTACTTATTTCTATTAATAGTCTCTGTCCAACTAAGAGCGTTTGAGTTGGGGTGAACAGAATTAAGCTGTGTCCACTTTACTCTCCAGATCCTCTAGAGAAGCACGCCCAATAGAAATACAACACGTGTTTGCAATTTAAGTTTTCTAGTAGCCAGCTTAAAAAGTGAAACAGGTGAAATTCATTGTACATACATTTGTATAACATGATAAACCCCACTATGATTTTAATAGGTAATCAATATTTAAAAATTAATAAGAATTTTTACCTTCTTCTTCCATATTGTCTTCAAAATCCAGAGAATATTTTACACTTATGACATAATCTCAGTTTATTTGTTTGTTTGTTTTTGAGACAAGGTCTTGCTCTGTCGCCTAGGCTGAAATACAGTGGCACTGTCTTGGCTCACTGGAGCCTTGACCTCCCAGACTCAAATGATCCTCTCAGCTCGGCCTCCCAAGTAGCTGGGACCACGGGTATGTACCACCATGCCTGGCTAATGTTTTAATTTTTTTTTTAATGGAGACAGGGTTTTGCCATTTTGTCCAGACTGGTCTCAAATTCCTGAGCTCAGGCGATCCACTCGCCTCAGCCTCCCAAAGTGCTGGAGTGGCATTAGCCACCATGCCTGGCCAGCATATCTCAATTTGGATGCTAGATTTTTATTAGAAATACTTGATCTGTATTTAGGTTTTATAAAGTTTGTGTTTGAAAAACCAGATTTACACACTAAGTTGTTTCAAACATACTTAAAATCCTTCCAATAACTGAACTATTAGTTTTTAAGAGTAAGAACACACTACAGAGAAATACATTTATTAAAAAATTAAGGCTATAGGGAAACATATTTTAAGATATAATAACACAGGTCAGAAAAATACGATGGCCCACCCATCATAAAATTAGGGGCCACTAAGATTCCTTGTTAGTGTTGTTTAGGAAAAAGGCCTTTGGGAAGAGCAAAGTGCATTTGCAAAGACACAGCAAGAGGTGAGGCTGGTGGAGGCTGGAGGCATGAGCGTGATCGAAAGGCAGTAAGTTGGCCAGGCGCAGTGGCTCACACCTGTAATCCCAGCACTTCAGGAGGCTGAGGTGGGCGGATCACTTGAGACCAGGAGTTCAAGACCATCCTAGCCAACATAGCAAAACCCTGTCTCTACTAAAAATACAAAAATTAGCTGGGCGTGGTAGTGTACGTCTATAGTCTCTGCTATTTGGGAGGCTGAGGCTGAGGCAGGAGAATTGCTTGAATCTGGGAGACGGAGGTTGCAGTGAGCCGAGATCGTGCTACTACACTCTAGCCTGGGTGTCAGAGTGAGACTCTGTCTCAAAAAGGAAAAAAAAAAAAAAAAGAAAAGTAAGTCAAAGCTACAGGCTGACTTTAGGATACTTCGCAATATAGTTCTCATGACCCTAAATAGCTTGAAGTTGTTCTTCTGGAGTTTGAACTAAGTTGTCAATGACTTGTTAAGGAAGGACTTGGATGGGTAATTGGTAAGGTCCCCTCTTTGCTTGGAAAAAGCTTTTTGGTGGGAACAGTTCTAATGTGAGAAGAAAACAGTACAGCTGTCCTTGAAGGGATTTTTTTGACAGGGAGAGGGCACATTTATTTCAAAAAGTGAAATACAACACAATACAACAATCTAATAGTACAATACAATTGAAATATAATACAATAATCCCAGCACTTTGGGAGGCTGAGGCGGGCGGATCACCTGAGGTCAGGGGTTTGAGACCAGCCTGGCCAACATGGCAAACCCTGTCTCTACAGAAATAGAAAACTTAGCCAGGTGTGGTGGTGTGTGCTTATAGTCCCAGCTACTTGGTAGGCCGAGGCAGGAGAATCGCTTGAACTGGGAGGCAGAGGTTGCAGTGAGCTGAGAGTGCACCACTGCCCTCCAGCCTGGGCGACAGAGCAAGACTCCATCTCAAAAAAAAAAAAAAAAAAAGAAATGAAATATAATACAATAATCTAACGCAATAAGGCCAGGTAAGATAAAGTAAGTGATCTAAAATTATCTTAAGGCTGCCTTTTCATCCATAAGATTCACACATGTGATTTTTTTTTAATAAATGACACATTTACCTCCAGTTATACAACATATACAGTATGTTCACTAAAAAAATGGGGAGTGTATAAGGAAAAAAATCATTTGATTCCATTATCTAAGGATTCTACTCTCAACATTTATTTCCCACCCATAAATGTATGTGTATATGCATATCCTATGGAGGTACTTATGGAAGAAACCATATTCTGCACATTCCTATTACTACATATTCCTTAAAAACAAGACTGCTCCCGGCTGCATGCTATGCCAGAGATGAACTGTAAGTTCAGCACTGTCTTCCTATTTGCAGCAATTTGTGGGCTTACATTTTTGCTATTATAAGTATTACAATGATAATCTTTGTACATGAGTCTGTGTTCACTTTTTAAATATTTTTTTCTTACTCTAGTTTTGTTTTGAGACAGAGTCTCCCTCTGTCGCCCAGGCTGGAGTGCAATGGCACAATCTCGGCTCACTGCAACCTCTGCCTCCCAGGTTCAAGCAATTCTCCTGCCTCACCCTCCAGAGTAGCTGGGATTACAGGCACCCGCCACCATGCCTGGCTAATTTTTGTATTTTTAGTATAGACAGGGTTTTGCCATGTTGGCCAGGCTGGCCTCGAAGTCCTGATCAAGTGATCCGCCCGCCTAGGCCTCCCAAAGTGCTGGGACTACGGGCATGAGCCACAGTGCCTAGCCTATTTTCTTACTCTTAATTCTTGAAAGCAGCATGACTGACTTGAAGCAACTGAACACCTGAGACTCTTGCTACACATTGCCAAATTGAGCCTCCCCATTTTTGATTCACTGCTCCCTGACAAACCTCAAGCACTGTTCTGCCATTTCGACAGATGAAGAGTCACTTTGATTTGCTTTTCTTTGACCATTGATCTTATTTTATAAGCTCAAGAGCCATTTCTATTCTTCCCTTATTAAGTTCTGTTTGTGTCTTTTTGCATTTAGAAGAAGCTACAATTTACTGAAACAGTTAAGAACACTAAAAATATATTTAAAGGAAAGTCAAAGCTTAAATTTTAATTTAAAGAAAGTAGAAGGTTCTGAGGTGGTTAAATAGCCTTGAGAAAGAGCAGCTGAGATACTTACACCGATGCACTTGGCCACTTTACCCATGATGTTGCCCTGTGGCTTGAACTTCTTGTACATCCCACTGCCAAGGACAAACACAACTAGATAGGGCAGAAGAAGACATGTCAGCAAAGCATGTGACCGAGCGCCCTGTGGCCTAGAGAGATGCGCCTTTATTTGAATTATAACTTTGTTTTGGGATAATGGGATTACTTATGGAATGGGTTTACCTTCCAACCTCACAGTTTAGAAAGTGCTTTTAACTCTCACAATCCACAAAAACCTCTGAGTAACGTTAGGTTTGTCTTCTAATATGCAACCTGTAAGCCTAATATCATCTACTTCCCATAGCTTAAGGTAGCTCACGTACACTCACACAGCTATTTAAGCACAAGTTCTATCTCTATTTAAAGGGAGACAAAAGGAATCAGTACTTTCATATAACACATTAAAGTACTATTCTACTAAGACAATAAATGGGGCCAGGCGCGGTGGCTCAAGCCTGCAATCCCAGTACTTTGAGAGGCCGAGGTGGGCGGATCACTTGAGGTCAGGAGTTTGAGACCAGCCTGACCAACATGGTGAAAACCCGTCTCTACTAAAAACACAAAAATTAGCTGGGTGTGGTGATGGGCACCTGTAATCCCAGCTACTCGGGAGGCTGAGGCAGGAGAATTGCTTGAACCCAGGAGGTGGAGGCTGCAGTGAAATGAGATCGTGTCACTGCACTCCAGTCTCGGTGACAGAGTGAAACTCCATATCAAAATAATAAAAATAAAAATAAATGGAGCTGTAATCTTCTGAATGCAATGGGAAGAGAAACCTTTTTCTTTCTCTTTTTAATATTCAGGAAAAAAGAATTAATCTTAATCATATGTGGCAGAAATTTTTTCTGTGGTCACTGTACAGAAGCAGTTAAAATTAATTGCATCTGCAGCTACAGTTTTACAAAAGTTAGAAGCACCTTTTCAATGAGGTCATTCTTCCACGGACCTTTTTGGCAAGTCATATTGTGAAAATAACTTAGAAAAAAACCATTCTAGGGCTGAGTGTGGCAGCTCATGTCTGTAATCCCAGCATTTTGGGAGGCCAAGGCAGGAGGATCACTTGAGACCAGTAGTTCAAGAGCAGCCTGGGCAACATAATGAGATCCTATCTCTATCATCTTATTAAAAAATTTTTAAAAATTTAAAGCATTGTTGCAAGTATATCTGAAAACATAGTCCATATACTAGGATTTCTGATTATCCAATACCACAGTTCAATAATTTAAAAACACCGATAGCTTGAATTCTACTTATTTTTCTCAATTAAGAGGGTCTGAGATTTTTGACAGGTGCTAGCTCCAAGTATGTGCCTATAATATAGATGTTCTTTATAGCTGATAAAAGAGATGTTTACTTATATTCTTGCCCAATGTCAACATTTCTGAATGCAGACATGGATGGTAAAGATGTCCAAGAGATTGAGTCTATGTTTTCTTTTACCACTAATATTTAATCTTTAAGCTTCTGATTAACTGAAACCTAATTCAAGCGTAGGAATTTCTAGAGGCAGTGTTGACACATCGGATTTGGCCTGTTCTCAATTCCTCCAGAAGAAAAAGCATAATCGTTGATAGAGGAATGACTTGTACAGATGAGATAACAATGTACCTAACGTGCTTAATACAGTGTCTGGTGTAAAGCAAGACTTTTGGAAATGCTCTCTGTCTCCTGCCAAGAATTAGAGAGGAGGAGGTATCAATGAGCCTGCTAGGGGACGGTGGCAGTATGGGAAGAACCATGGAAGAAAAGAGACATTAAAAAGAGGAGAATACTGAGCTCTCACCTAAATGAAAGGGGAAAGCTAAATTGCTACACTGTGAGCAAAAGAGATTGAAAACGGTCCTATTCCATGTACTACTAAGATCTGAAAACAAAAATTGGAGAGAGAGACGTGATTGTCAGCTGAGCAAAGCTGATGACAACCTCATTTGAGTGGGAGAAGGGGCTCTGAAGAGTTGAGGTGGCCGCTGGGCTGTTTTCTTTTTGCACCGTTCTTGGCCACCTTTCACATCCAAGCATCCCATGTAGAAAACGCCACCTTTCCTAAAAGCCAATGCCAAGAACTAATGTGCCAATGAATGCCTCGAATAGACATATATGTTCTGTCCAGTGGGAAAGAATTCTAGTAGAAACATATGGGGGGCGGGGGGAGGTGATACTAGTTTGGTGCAAAAGTTATTGCGGTTTTTGCCATTACTTTTAATGGCAAGAGCTGCAATTACTTTGGCACCAACCTAATCAATTATGGAAATGTAGATGTTCATTGGAGTGTTTCAGTGGCAACTGAACCAGGTTGCCATTTCTTCAAGCAAGTTATAGATACGTACATGTTGACAAGAACAAAAGCTTTTAGCCTTGGGTTCAGCTAATCCAGCAGATTCTATCACCTTCATCTTTTTTTTTTTTTTTTTTTTTTTTTTTTTTTTTTTTTGAGACAGGGTCTTGCTCTATCATCCAGGTTGCAGTGTTATGGTGCAATCATGGCTCACTGCAGCCTCGACCTCCCAGGCTCAAGCAATCCTTCCACTTAAGCTTCCAGAGGAGCTGGGACTACAGGTATAAGCCACAGCACCCAGCTAATTAAAAAAACAAGCAAAACAAATAAACAAAAACAACAACAAAAAAACCAGCTAGGTGTTGTGTCTCATGCCTGTAATCCCAGCACTTTGGGAGGCTGAGGTGGGTGGATCACCTGAGGTCAGGTGCTCGAGACCAGCCTGGCCAGCATGGTGAAACCCTGTTGCTACTAACAATAAAAAATATGTGGTGGCCGGTGCCTGTAATCTCAACTACTTGGGAGGCAGAGCCAGGAGAATCGCTTGAACCCAGGAGGCGGAGGTTGCAGTGAGCTGAAATCACACCATTGCACTCCAGCCTGGGCGACAAGAGCAAGACTCTGTCTTTTTGTTTGTTTGTTTTAGAGGTAGGGTCTCTCTCTGTTGCCTAGGCTGGACTTGAACTCCAGGCTGGTCTTAAACTCAAGGGATCCCCCTGCCTTGGCCTCCCAAAGTGCTGGGATTACGGGCATGAGTGACCATGCTGGGCCTCTCTCACCTTCATCTTAATCTGCCTAAATAGTATTACACCTTTCAATGACCAACTCAGTTGGTTCCTTTTCCTGTAATTCTTTTTTTGATCCTATTCCCTCGGAATTGATGTGCCAATCCTACTTTCTTTGAATACTTAGAGCATGTTTAACATCTGATGCCAATTCTTCTCACTACTTTTTGTTGCCACTTGTTACATGCACTTTAAAAAATTAGTCACAATCATTCACGTAGGGCCTGACCTGGTCCTAGGCTTCTATTAATTCAACCGATTTCCACTTACTCAGGGCTACAGCCATGAGAGCAGCAGGAACCCCAAAGGCCAGTGGGTAACAAGCTTGTTTACTGTGAATTCCACATTGTTGAACTGGGGAGAAATGACAAGATTAAAATTGTTATGGCATTGGTAATGAGCATATAGTTCCCATTTGTAAAGATCCCTCACTGATAATTACGTATTGCTTTCACATACTGTTCTAGACATATCCATTTGCCTCACTGACATAATTGCCAGCTAAGTAAAGCAGCAGTGAAGCAGGAGGAGCAGGAGATGGAAACCAGTTCTAATCTCAGCCCCTAAATAGATGGGTGTTCCCAGCTTGGCCAAAATCAGCGGCCCCCTCTTGGTTCTGTGGATTTTCTTTACGGGGGAGATAAAGATGACCTGGATACACTAACTTGATTATATGGGACTCAGTAAATCAAAAGTACACTGGAAAATCAATACTATCTGTTCCTGAATTCATGCCAATCAGGTAGCAATTCGATGACCTAGGGCAGGGGTTGGCACACTTTTCTGTGAAGGGCCCAGCAGTAAATATTTCAGGCTTTGTGAACCATTGGTCTCTGTCAACTACTTAACCCCACCTTTGCAGGGGAAATCAACTGTAGACAATACATCAATGAATGGTCTTGCCCAGATTTCTGGATTCGGCCCATGGGCCACTGTTTGGCAACCTCTGACCAACAGCCATTTTAGCTTTGAAATCCCAGGATTTATATATATATTTATAATAAATAAATAAAAATTATTTTAAAAGTAAGCCTTTGTAAGAAGTCACGGAGATTCCTGGAAATCCTTTCTATGGAATGCTGGCGCCTCCAGGCATGATCTGCTGCTATCAGGGTTTTGCTTTGGTTCAGCTATCTCACAATTCGGGAGAGAAAGAAGTTAACTAGCAGAAGTGACACTCATGCAAATGTTTCCTGTTCATGGCAAAAAATAATTTTCCCCCTATAAAGAATAGAAATTTGTTAGTCAAATCTTTATTTGAACTGATTAATTATCAACTAATTAACAAGTTACATAAAATTTTTGTCACATATTCACTTTATATTTGTAAGAGAGTCATGAACTTCCTTTTAAAAAATTATCCTTTAACAGATTCTATAATTTAAACATGCACCCTCTAGTAGAACATAGAGGTAGGAGAGGTGAGCGAACAGGACACACGAATAAAAGCTGTTACATTTTTATACAAAACAAGTTGGAAAAAAACAAAAAATAAAACAAGTTGGAATGGGGTTTAATTGTCTGTCATCTTCAAACCACTATGCTGTGGAAGAATACATAAATCCCCCTGAAATCTTTATTTCATAATCTAATCTGATTCAAATGTGGACAGGATGGTCTTGTTAGTTTGTCACCAGTAACACCACATATTCCCTTCCACATGGGAAATTCACAAACTCTCTATGGAGCATTAGCAAGCACAAACCTCTGATAGTTACTGACACTGTCCCATTCTCTTTATCTGAGCAGTTCTTTTGGAAATACTTGAGATGATGGGAAAGCAAAGAAAAAAACTTTGCCTTAGCCAGGCGTGGTGGCTCACACCTGTAATCCCAGCACTTTGGGAGGCCAAGGCAGGCAGATCACGAGGGCAGGAGATCGAGACCATCCTGGCTAACATGGTGAAATCCCATCTCTACTAAAAATACAAAAAATATTATCCGGGCATGGTGGCAGGCGCCTGTTGTCCCAGCTACTCAGGAGGCTGAGGCAGGAGAATTGCTTGAACCCAGGAGGTGGAGGTTGCAGTGAGCCAAGATCACGCCACTGCGCTCCAGCGTGGGTGACAGAGCAAGACTCCTTCTAAAAACAAAACAAAACAAACAAAAAATCAATACAATTTTGCCCAGTAAACTCTTCCTAAGTCACAGAAATATCACTGGGGAGCAAAGCTTGAAGGCTAAAATGGCAGCTACGGCCACCAGCTTGGCTTCCAAGGCACCTCTCTTGCCTCTTACCTCTTACCACGAGCATGACTTTGCATGAATAACAGTTTAGGAAGATGGATGCCCATGCTAAGGATGGCTTAGACTCTCCAGTGGTCACTGGGATAAGGGATTTAAATAAGACAAAAAGGAGGTGAAACTCACAGGGAAGGAAGCACTTACTCCAGATTCCAACGTGCATCCCAGCATGTAGCTGACAGCTAGAAAACAGGGCAGAAGGGAAGAACAGAACAAAACGAAGAAGACACGGACTTGGCCTTACTAAAAAAAGACCAACAGAAGTTCCTTTCAGGTATCTCTTACCTCTGAGCATGGGTGTGATGATTGTGGAAAGCAAACTTCCAGCATTAATAGCCAAGTAAAAGATGGAAAAAAATCTGTTTCTTTGTTTCTCCTGCAATGAAAAGGAGAAAGTAAGATGACTTTGGCTATCAATCCACTGAGCACAGGGAGCTGATGATCTCATTTTACTACTAACTTAGTTTTGGTTGGTATCTTACTTTCTAATGTACTTAAAAAGAATCCGATGTAGAACAGACTTTGTGCCCGTGGCCTCTGACTCCTGGATGTGTAGTTCATTCACGTGGGCTCTGGGGAGGCCCCTACCCTTACCTGGCCCTCTTCAAACTGATCTCCACCAAACGCAGACACACAGGGTTTGATTCCTCCAGTCCCGAGAGCTATCAGGGCCAGGCCGATCAAGGACAGCACCCTGGGAAAGACAGGGTGTTAGGGCCAACATGGCAGATCCTCGCAAGTAGAAGGCCTCTCTTTTCCCCAGTTTCCCTCAGTGGGCCTGGCATAGTGACACACATAGAGAAGAAGACAATCTCGCGAGAAGCCAGCTCACAGGAATGCAGCGTGATAGTCAAATGCAAACTTGAACTCATGGGCCTTCAAACTCCTGCCCCCATCTAATAATTTACCATCCGGAAAACATAAAACAGTAGCTTGCGAGCTGAGCAAAGCCTTAGGTTTGGGGTTCTTTTGTAGCTTTATTGTTTCCAGTAAAAGAGAGGATAAATGAAATGTTATTGAACAAATATAAGCATTGTGCCTGGTACAGTCATAACCGACTCATAATAGTCATTAAGTAACATTGGAAAACATGATTTCATTGCAAAGCGGAATATCAGGTTAGGTAGTATGATCTCAGTTTGTTTACAAGGTACAGAAAACTGGAAGGAAATAGACTAAAAGATTTATTGTCATGTCTAGATGGTGGGATTAAGGGTTATTTAATTTACTCTTGTATTTTCTAGGTTATTGCTAAGTATTTTAACTCCTGAGTTGAAAAAAAATTCATAGCATTTATTGACCCTCACTTTGTAGTTTTATTAAATTTACAGGTAGGTACTACAAATTTCTGGTTTTATAGGCATGTATCCCATATCTTCTTGGTTGCTAATGTTGCTTTTAAACACTTAAAAAATTTTATGAGACAGATAAAGTCAAGGAAAATATTGCACAGGTAAAGAATTCTTTAAAAATCATGCTTCCTGAACCAATCTTCCTGAATTGGCTGGCCAAATCACCCCTTTAATCTTGTCTGCCTCTTAATACAACTTGCATTTAATGTTGTCAATCTAAGCATTTTAAAAGACAACAAAAACACGGCCAACTGAATATTATATACAATTTACTCTTGTGAGAATTTTAGGTGTGCTCCAATACGAACTCCATGAAATGAAAAATGAAAAGCTAATATTTCTTGAGCACTGATCACTTGTCAGGCAGTGTTCTAGGTGCTTTACTTGGATTAACCCACAACAGTCCTACACGAAGTAGGTACTATTACAACCAAGGAAACTGAGGCATAGAGGTTAAGAAACTTGCTCAAGCTCACACAACTAGGAAAGGGCACAGCCAGAATCTGGCTCCAAAGTCCATGTTCTTAACTGATATTACAGATTAGAAAACTGAGGCTCAGAGAAGAACACCTCCCCAAGGCCACAGAGCTGCTCTGTGGGAGGGCTCACAGCCACTCCCTCCACCGACACAGTTCCCTCTGGGCACCAAGAGTGTTGCATCAAGAGATCCAGTCTGGACAGCAGTCTGATCAACTGATAAGCCAGCAGTGTGGGGATTGCCGATACTAATTTGAGTTTCTATTCTTCTTTCCCAGCTCATTAGATAGTTTACTTATAGATCAAGGAACTGAAGCACAAAAACAGGAAACTAAATAAATCTCTACAACTAGTCTACTAGGCCAGACTGCAGTGAAGCAAGATTAATCCAGCACATGAGCATTTATCAATAACACCTGCCATCCAGAGCCCAGCACAAATGGCTGGAACAAATATTTATGAAACGGGATTATTGAAAAATAGGCAGAAGTGTGGTACAAGACAGAAAACCCAAGGTCCTGGAGTCCTGAGGACACCTGGCGGTGTGAAGGATCAAGGTCTGTGGGACTTTATATCCCTCCAGGGTAGGTCAAGACCAACATGAATCCCCTGCGCACTGACTGTACTTCACATGGGATATGATGGCGCATGACAGCTGAGCCTCAGAGTGAGCAATGCCTCTAGACAACTGTTAGGGTGGTGACATCCTGAAGACCCAGCTCAATCTATTTGACAGCCTTCTCCATGCTGCCCAAGGGGGAGGAAAAACCTCCTTATGCTCTCAGTGAAGTTCAAGGAAAAAGACGAAGACTTAAGGCATCAAATGCGCACAAGGTGGGAGGGTGATGGGGGCAGCAGTGAGCACCAACTCACACGTGCACAGGAAGGCTGTCGGGGGTGCCATCATGGTTGTGGTCTGTGAGGTCATTAATGGAGCTTACTGAGGTGACTGCTTGTCCAATTGTGTAGACAATGGAGAGCGACACAATGGTCCTGTGTTTCCAAAGATTAAGAGAATCCGAGTTAATTGCACAATAGCCATCCACTTTTGACTCCACCACAAAAGACCCCCTCCTTGAAAGCTTTCAAGAGCCCAATCCTGAATACACTTATTTCTCAAACTTGAGTAACACTGTTAACTCTCAGGAACTCACATGGGCAAAAAGAATAGAACAAAGTTTTGGGCTAGGCATGGTGGCTCATGCCTGTAATCCCAGCACTTTGGGAGGCCAAAGCAGGAGGACTGCTTGAGCTCAGGAGTTCGACACCAGCCTGGGCAACATAGCAAGACCCCATCTCAACAAAAAAATAAAAAATTAGTCAGGTGTGGTGGTGCATGCCTGTGGTCCTAGCTGCTCAGGAGGCTGAGGTGGGAGGATCACTTGAGTCCAGGAGGTTGAAGCTGCAGTGAGCCAGGATTGCACTACTGCACTCCAGACTGAGTGACAGAGCGAGACCCTGTCTCTTAAAAAAAAATTAACAAAATTTTGGCCAGAGGGCCAGGAGAGGGGAAAGATCCGCCTCCTGGGTTAACACCATTCTCCTGCCTTGGCCTCCCGAGTAGCTAGGACTACAGGGGCCCGCCACCATGCCCGGCTAATTTTTTGTATTTTTTAGTAGAGACGGGGGTTTCACCACGTTAGCCAGGATGGTCTCGATCTCCTGACCTTGTGATCCACCTGCCTTGGCCTCCCAAAGTGCTGGGATTACAGGTGTGAGCCACCGCACCCAGCCTATATTTTTAAACAGTAAGAATTACTTATATTCTGATTGGTAATGATATTTGGACAGGAAGTAGACCTTTGGTAATTTTTGTAGAATTCTTTAGAGGTAGTGATTCTTCTTTCTTCTGTCCATGCTACAGTTTGGTTATCTGTCTCCTGCAAACCTCAAGCTGAAATGTGATCCCAGTGTTGGAAGTGGGGCCTGGTGGGAGGTGTGTGGGACACTGGGGCAGATCCCTCATGAATGGCTTGGTGCTGTCCTCATGGTCATGAGTGAGTTCCTGCAAGAGCTAGTTGTTGAAAAGAGCCTGACACTTCCCTCCTCTCTCTCTCTCGCTTCCCCTCTGGCTATGTGATCTCTGCACATGCCAGCTCTCCTTCACCTTCCTCCATGAATGGAAGCAGCCTGAGACTTTCATCAGATGCTTGGTCTTCCAGCCAGCAGAATCATCAACCAAATATACCTTTTTCCTTTATAAATTCCCCAGCCTCAGGTATTCCTTTATAGCAACACAAGTGGACTAAGACAGCCCACGTCATTCCTTTGGCCTGGAAGAGCCTCTACTTCCTTCTTCATTAAGTCCCAGGAAAACTTTCCTGACAACATCCCACTGGGTGTGCTCGTGGAGCCCTTCCTGGAGGGCTGGGTGACTTCTCTCTTTAGTGACCTCACACCATGTGACCTCAAGCAGCGTGAGCCCCTCAGCAGCCAAGGGGGTATTTTAGAGAGTTTCTTCATATCCCCAGACCTTAACTCCATGCCTCACACATCACTAATAATAGACAGTATCCCTGCTACTGTGTCAAGATGTGACAAAGATGCTACATTTGTTTGCATTAGGGAAAAACAAAAACCTATAGATGCTGCTTGCAGTCACTAAATGTCAGGCACTGTTTCAGGCTCTAGGGACAGGATACTGAGCAGAAACAGCGCTGTAAATGCTCTCCTAAGGGTTTGTTTCTGTTTTTAATTTGTTTTTGAGACAGGGTCTTGTTCTGTCATCCAGGCTGGGGTGCAGTGATGTGATCACAGCTCACTGCAGCCTTGACCTCTGGGGCTCAAGCGGATCCTCCCACCTCAGCCTCCCAGCTAGCTGGGGCCACAGGTGTATGCCACTATGCCTTGCTAATTTCTTTATTTTTGGTAGAGATGGGTCTCACTATGTTGCCCAGGCTGGTTTCAAACTCCTGCCTCAGCCTCTCAAAGTGCTGGGATTACAGGTATGAACCATACCACACCTGGCCTCTCCTAAGAGTTTCTGTTCTTTGATTCATCATTCCCAGATTCCACCATTCCCAACTACAAAACCTACATTTACTTTTTCGCTTGTTTGTGAACAAGAAATTTCCAGCCACTCACTTGAACTTTCCCAGCCACGAGTCGGCGATAAGAGCTCCGAGAATTGGCGTCAGGTAGCACAGAGCCACAAACGTATGGTAGATGGCGGTGGACAGGTTATCATCCCAGCTGATGAAATTTGTGAAGTACAGAATCAGGATTGCTTTTGCAGAGGGCAGGTGGAAGAGGAGGGGGAAACAAAGTTAGGACTGGTTATGGCCACTCCCGCTCTTCCCTGAAGGGTGAGAAACGGCCAATACAGTTACCTCGCATTCCATAGTAGGAAAATCTTTCGCAAAACTCATTGACCACGATGAAGAAGATGCTCAGGGGATAACCAAAGAAACTCTGACAAAAAAGAAACAAGCACAGGATTGAAATACACCCCCCACTGGTCCATAGCCACAAAGGAGCACCAGTGGCATGAAAGGCAGCCAACGCAGATTCAGTAACTTACCGGTGACTGTCTAGAGCAGGAAACTAGCATTTAATCATTTTATTCCCTACACTAATCCTTCCACATAGAGACAGCAATGAAATAAAGCATCCAGTGGTATTGTTAGTCTGAGGAGGATTATCCACAGCATTTCCTCAGGAGAGGACATCTCACATGGAAATCCGGGATCATACCCTCACTGGTTCCAGATGTACAGATCTGTTAGGTGAATGAACCCTTAGGGGTAAAACAGATGATAAAATTTACAAGATGAAGATATGTAGAGAAGGAAAAAGGGTACTCACGTGTGATTTGGACATTCCTAAAAGAAAAACAGAATCCCAATATTAAAGTCAAGCCATTACAATAGTTTTTGCTGTGTCTAAACTCAGAGCCTCTGACTTTTTAGGGTGGTCAGAGGGGCCATTCACCAAACAGCTCCAGCCCTCCCTGGGATCCCGGCCCCAGACTCATGCTTCTTATCTGAGGTGGGGCCTGGCATCTGTATTTTCTTTTAAGAAGCTCCTCAGGCAATTCTCGTATGCAGTCAAAATTGAGAAGCAGCAGCTCAGAGAATCAGGCCTAAACCATTTCCTCCTGAAACACTTCAAAGGCCGCCCATCGGGATAAAATCCACACATTCTAGCATGTTCTTCAATATCTGACAAGTGTTTTGGTGGGGATGAAATTTCTGTAATATAAAATGCTTCTGAGTGCCTGACACACTGTGCACACTCAACCGCCACCTCCTATGGCTTGGGCCCTGCCTGCCAGGCTCACCCCATGATTTAAGTCTTGCCACCGATATTCCCTTCCCAAATCATCTCTGATGTGCCTACATCACCATACTGTAATGATGGGCAGTTTATATTTTTGCTTCCCTTCTGGACCAGGTTCTGAAAGCAGAAGAATCATGTGCCATCCATCACACCAACATCCCCACTTTCAACGTCCTGTACAATACCTACCACTGGTAGGGGGTTATGTCACAAGAATGAATGAGAAGAGCAGGAAGAAACAGCCTGAGAATACAAGGGAGCTGGTGCACGTCAAGTCCAGTGGACTCTCCCATGTGCATCCTAGGAGCGCCTCATCCCCATCCCGTCAGCACCTGCTCTTCTGTCTCCCCGGAATTTTGGCAAGAGCTGAGCTGTGCCCTTGTCTCTAGTCTTTACACCTCCTCACTCTGCTCCTACACAAACACATTGCCCTGTGTTCATCCGTGTCTATCACATACTACCCTGTTTCCCACAGGACATCCATCCCCTTCCCCCTCACTCACCCCGATTTCCTTATATTAGAGTTCTTTGTTGCCAGGGCTCCCTGAACATGCTCCACCTCCATTAGGAATCTAGGAATCGGTGACCCCATAGCAGTGGGTCTCACACTGGAGTGTGCCTCAGAATCACCAGAGGGCTTGCAAGAACAGATGGCTGGGCCCCATTCCTGGAGTTGTTGATTCTGTAGGCCTGAGATGGACACTTGAGCTTGCATTTCTAACAAGCTCCCAGGTGTGGGTGCTGCCACTGGTCCAGGCAGTGTGCTTTGGGAATCACTACACTGGAAAATTATTCTTTAGACTGTTCTTTTCCCAGTGTTTGTTCTTGGCAGCTTTGTCAAAAATGAGTTGGCTATAAATGGATGCATTTATTCCTGGGTTCTCTTTTCTGTTCCATTGGTCTATGTGTCTGTTTCCATGCTGATTTGGTTACTACAGCTTTGTAGTATATTTTGACATCAGGTGGTACCTCTGGCCCTATTCTTTTTGCTCAGGATGACTTTGGCTTTTCGAGGCCTTTTGTTGTTGTATATGAATTTTAGGATTTTTTTCTATTTCTATGAAAGTTGTCGTTGGATCTTGTCATTTGCAGCAATACAGATGAAACTGGAGGACATCAGGTTAAGTGAAATAAGCCAGGCACAGAAAGATAGATATCACATATTCTCACTCATATGTAGGAGCTAAAAAATTGATCTCATGGAGGTAGTAGTGGGTAGAATGGTGGTTACCAGAGGATGGGAAGGGTAGGTGAAGGTGGGAGGATGAAGCAAGGTTAGTGGATACAAAAACACAGTTCTGTAGAAGGAATAAGAGCTGGTGTTTGGTAGCACAACACGGTGACTACAGTTAACAAAAATTTATTGTATATTTCAAAATAGAGGCTGGGCGCGGTGGCTCACACCTGTAATCCCAGCACTTTGGGAGGCTGAGGTAGGCGGATCGCTTCAGGTCAGGAGTTCAAGACCAGCCTGGCCAACATGGTGAACCCCCATCTCTACTAAAAACACAAAAATTAGCTGGGCATGGTGGCACACGCCTGTAATCCCAGTTACTTGGGAGGCTGAGGCAGGAGAATTGCTAGGACCTGGGAGGTGGAGGTTGCAATGAGTCAAGATCACACCACTGCACTCCAGCCTAGGCCACAGAGTAAGGCTCTGTAAAAAAAAAAAAAAAAAAAAAAAAAAAAACAACAAGCCCCAAAACAAAAAACAAACAGAATAGATAGCAGATCTGGAATGTTCTCAACACAAAGAAATGATCAAGGTTTGAGGTGACGGATATTCCAAATACCCAGATTTGATATTAACTGTAAAATATTGTATTAATATTAATATTAAATCCAGATTTGATATTAACTGTAAAATATTGTATTAATATTAATATTGTGTACCTCTATTAAAAATCATATGTACCCCATAAATATATATAATTATTATGTATCCATAACAACTTTTTAAATCCTTAAAGCCCTATGGCAACCCCAGTGTTTCGAGCAGCAGCAGAGCTGCCCATATGAAAAGCAGCTCAACTGGAAGGCAAGGCCTGCCTCTGTGGCTGGTATTTGAGAAGACTGACTTCTCTCTGCACCTGAGATTTGCATCTCTAACAAGAGTCAAGGTGATGTCAATGATGCTGGTCTGGGGACTACACTTGGAGGACCACATGCAGGCTGTGATGTCCTGCTGCCTAATGGCTCTACATAAGAGAGTTTTATCACTTCCCTGGTTCCAAACGCCAGAAAGACCACGCCAGCTATCCAGAGCAGACACCGAATACAGGAGCCATACAGCATGCGGAAGCCTCCACCACAGCACCCTCCTCCATCTCCCACATCGTTTCCCTCTGGGGCCCTTCCTTGCAGATTTACTGCCTTATATTTTCATTATGTGCAAGTTCAAAGCCCTATCCCACAATAAACAAAGCCACAACCCTGGCAGAGGAACTCCCTTCCCGACCCTGACCACGGGGCCCTCCAGGCTTCACCACCTCTTCCTGGGCAGGCGCCTTCCCTCCTGATCTGTCAGCCTGTGCTGGTGTTATTTCCACTCCTGCAGCTCGGCGTGGCCCCAGGGGCCTCCTACCAGATGGTCTTGCATTTTTGCCCACTTAAGAGCATTTTAGGGCCGGGCGTGGTAGCTCACACCTCCATCCGAGGTGGGCAGATCACTTGAGGTCAGGAGTTGGAGACCAGCCTGGCCAACATGGTGAAACCCTGTCTCTACTAAAAATACAAAAATTAGCTGGGCGTGGTGGTGCATGCCAGCTACTCAGGAGGCTGAGGCAGAAGAATCGCTTGAGCTTGGGAGGCGGAGGATGCAGTGAGCTGAAATCGCACCACTGCACTCCAGCCTGGGCAACTGAGCGAGACTCCGTCTCAAAAAAGAAAAAAAGGAAGGGAGGGGAAGGGAAGGGGAAGGGAAGGGGAAGGGGAGGGGAAGGGGAGGGGAAGGGGAGGGGAAGGGGAGGGGAAGGGGAGGGGAAGGGGCATTTTAGATGCTCTTTTTAGTCCTTGTCCTAAGGGGGAAATACACTGTACTGGTTTCACAGGACCCCAGTTCCCAACTCTTCCTGCCTATTAGAGTTCTGGACAGAGATTCCTCCGCACGAATAACCTGGTTTCCTGCCGAGTGAGACCTGTCGTGGGATGGGGCTGCTTCCAGGGCAATACACCAAGAGCGAGGGCCATGGAGTCAGCCCTGCGGCCGAGTTTCATGCTGGGACCTGCCAGCTGCATGGCGGGTGAGCCCATCTGTTTCGGGCCAGCCGAACAACCAAATGAGGATGACCTCCGCCCTGCGGGGTTGCTGGAAGAGTCCTGCGAACCCCACAGCCCTCAGTGCATCGTTACGGGGGAGACGCGACTGCCTCAGGGTCCTCAGCGCCTCCGCGCCGCTTCCCACAGAGGGGAAATTCAGTGTTTGTGGGACACGTTTCCTAAGGCCCCGTTTATCAGTCACAGAGCACAGTGCTCAGATCCAGCTCTGCATGGTGGGTCCCGTGGGCCCTTCCAGGACCGTCCTTCTTCTTCAGCTCCCAGGCTGACCTGCAAGGAGCTCATCCATGTCCCGGGTCTCGACCTAGCTCCCAGGTCCTTTGGCCAACAGGGAGCCCTGGGAAGATCAGAGGGAGGGAAGAAACGTTGGGGTATTTGTTTTTCTGGTGCCCTCCCTGCAAGGTCACCTCGGACCGTCACTTCAAGTGACAGTCACGGCTTCTCTGACGTCAGCCCTTCCCACACAACTCTTTCCTTCCAGGTTTCAGTAGCGGTTCCTTCCCCTCATCTTGCAGGCCAGGGGGCAACAGGGAGGCTGCTGCAGGCCCAGGTGCCACACTACCATTTGTTGTGCCCGTCCACAGCGGCATCTTTCTGTGACCAAGCCCTCCTGTGCTGAGCATGGCCTCTGTGTCCTGGGAGGTCCGTGGTGAGGCAGCGCACCTGCTGTGGACTTGGGCTGTCTTTCACACCAGGCAGGGAAAGCGCCAGTGTCCGGCGAATAGGAAGGGCTGGTCGGGCAAGCGTGTGTTTTGCAAGCTCGGTGCAAACCAGCCTGAAGGTGCAAAGCGTCATTGCTGTAGTGCCGTGCGTTCTTGAGGACACGGCAACAGCACGTTATGCTTCGCCTACTTAGACTTTGGGTAATATGGCCTTACCATTGCCTCCCAAAGCCAACGAGAGAGGTGAAGTCACAGAAAGGTCCCTGTTATCCTTGGCCCTCTTCAGGGAAGCAGGAGCGAGCTCTGAAAACCCAAATCACCCAAATCCAGCAGAGAGAGCCCGGGGCTTCATCACAAACCTTCCTTCCCTGTGTTCCCAGGGCTTCATCACAAACCTTCCTTTCCTGTGTTCCCCGGATTTTTATTTGCAGGGAAAGACTTCATCTTTCCAGAGTCGTCCTTTTGTCTTTGCTCAATATTTTGTACCTGTTATTTGCTTAATAGTGGTAAAGTTTTTCTCTACTCCAACCCACTACAGTTACAGAAAAGAGGTCATTCAGAAAGCTTAGGTCTTAACAATCATTATACACCTAACTAAATTATGGGAAAGGCAATCCCTTGAAGTGTAAATCTGAGACTCAGTACCCAGCCATTACCAAGAAGGCATTTTGTTTTCTGAAAGTGTGTATTCCAAGAACTGCTTTTATTATTACAGGGCAGAGGTTGCTAAACTCTTTGACAGAATCCAGAGCTATCTACTGGGTGTAACACTGCAGTCAGCATTTCTTATCTTAATGTACCTGTGTCAACAGGATTGCTATCTTAGAAAGCTCAAATGCAGAAGTGGTGTTTACATCGAGACTTCAGACCGAACTCAAGTATCAACTCTCACAAGATTCTGTTTACTTTGGTGCAGTCCTGTTTACGTTGGTTCCCTGCTAGTAAACCTCAGAGGCATATTTGAGTAGCCTAATGTTTCTAGTATTACTCTGGGGTCCCTTGTGTTGAACTATGATCAGAGCCAAACCCAGCTTAGAATCTGGACTTCCCATAGGACTGTTCCTTAGCACCCAACACATTGCAATCACTGAATAAACACAGGCTCTTCTTGCTATTCTAGGCCCAGAAGTGGTTTTGCTTTCTTTTTGCTAAATAATTTGATGAAATAAGTGTATATTATACATTTATATGATTACTGACTTGGGGGTTGGGGGGGACAGGGAACACAGGAGAAAACAAGAGACTCCCCTCTTCCGCACGACTCAATAAAATCTCCCATCCATATGAATATTTCCTACTATTTATATAAAGCATGCTCCATATTTTGAACCATTTCAGGATGGAAACTCTAACTTTGAAGTCTTATTACCTAAAAATTAATAACTCCCTCAGCAACTGAAGGCTGCCGAGAGTGCATCTCTAGGAGTTGGACTTCGGAAGTTGGAAGGAATGAGGCATTTTGCTGAGGTCTAAGAGAGAAGGCCTCCCTTTCAGGCAGAGAGATAACTGTTTCCTACCATTACCAAGAGTGAAACTGAAGGAATACTGTAAGTTTCACATACTGCTTTGAGGACGTGTTTCTGAACTTTCAAGGTGTGGTGGTCAGAATGGTGGTCCCCTAGAGATGTCCATGTCGTAATCTCTGGGATTCAGGGATACGTTCCCTCCCATGGCAAAAGGGTCTTGCAGATGTGATTAAGTTAGGGGCCTTGAGATAAAGAGTTTATCTTAGATTATCCAGACAGACCCAATATAATCACAAGAGTCCTAAAATCAGTCAGAAAAGGTGAAAAGCAGGGGAGTGACTGCAATTGTTGGGGGAGGGGTCCCCAAGTCAGGGAATGTGGTGGCCTGGAGAAGCTGGAAAAGACAAGTAGGGTTCTCCCCGAGAGCCTTTCAAGGTAGCACTGCCGACACCTTGATTTTAGCCCGGTAAAATTCATTTTGGACTTCTGACCTCCAGAACTACAAGAAGACACCTGTGTGAAGCCACTAAGCTTGTGGTTTTTTTGTTACAGCAGTAATTAGAAACTAATACACATAGGTTTGCCCCAAACTCTGTAAATACAGGTCTTTATAATCACTACTTACATATAAGTAAGACTCAAATTCCTGCCACATTTTATTTGTTGGTAAAATGCTCTCTTTATTAATTTTTTCCTAAACTATATTTTTCTACTTGGAGCTTAGAAGTGCATACCTGGCACCTGGCTTTTAAACTGGATTTGGCAGAATCTAAGCTCTGGTGCTTCCTCTGAAAATGGTTTCCTAAGCCAAGGGTAAAGGAGTAAAGTAGACAAAGTTGGTCCCACAAAAGCCCCAGGAAGCCAATGGTCCCTGCAAGAACACAGCTTGGCCTTGCTAATGGCAAAAGTGGTTTTTCAGTTAAGGAGAGAATTTTCTCAGTATTGCCCCTGCATCTAGCCAGTGGAAAGACATGGGCTTTTGGGAATCAGGAGATCGAACCTCAGTGTAGAGATATTCCTCCTAGCCATGTGGCCTTGATCAAGGTGCTTACCCTCTGGGCTTCCATTTCTTCATCTGCGATATAGTTTGCATGTATGTCCCCACCAAAATCTCATATTGAAATGTAATCCCCAAAGCTGGAGGTGGGGCCTGGTGGGAGGTGATTGAATCACAGGGGTCTAGCACCATCCCTCTTGGTACTGTCCTCACCACAGTGAGTGAGTTCTTGTGAGATCTGGTCGTTTTATTTTATTTTATTTTTTGAGATGGAGTCTCACGCTGTTACCCAGGCTGGAGAGCAGTGGTGCAATCTCAGCTCACTGCAACCTCCGCCTCCCGGGTTCAAGCAATTCTCCTGCATCGGCCTCCTGAGTAGCTGGGATTACAGGTGTGTGCCACCATGCCTGGCTAATTTTTGTATTTTTAGTAGAGACGGGGTTTCACCATGTTGGCCAGGCTGGTCTTGAACTCTGGCCTCAAGTGATCCACTCACTTCAACTTCCCAAAGTGCTGGGATTATAGGCATGAGCCACTGCACCCAGCCTTAGATCTGGTTATTTGAAAGTATGTATCATCGATATAGCTCCCCTTTCCAAGATGGCCAAATAGGAACAGCTCTGGTCTGCAGGTCTCAGCGTGATCAACACAGAAGATGGCTGATTTCTGCATTTCCAACTGAGATGAACCTGGTTCATCTCACTGGGACTGGTTGGACAGTGGGTGCAGCCACGGAGGGCAAGCTGAAGCAGAGTGGAGCATCGCCTTACCTGGTAAGCACAAGGGGTCGGGTCAGGGGATTTCCCTTTCCTAGCCAAGGGAAGACTGTACCAGGAAAAGTGGGACACTCCTGCCTTAATACTGCACTTTTCCAACGGTCTTAGCAAATGGCACACCAGGAGATTAAATAGACGCAATAAAAAATGATAAAGGGTATATCACCACTGATCCCACAGAAATACAAACTACCATCAGAGAATACTATAAACACCTCTATGCAAATAAACTAGAAAATCTAGAAGAAATGCATAAATTCCTGGACACATACACCCTCCCAAGACTAAACCAGGAAGACATTGAATCCCTGAATAGACCAATAACAGGCTCTGAAATTGAGGCAATAATTAATAGCCTACAAACCAAAAAAAGTCCAGGACCAGATGGATTCACAGCCGAATTTAAAGGTACAAAGAGGAGCTGGTACCATTCCTTCTGAAACTATTCCAATCAATAGAAAAAGAGGGAATCCTCCATAACTCATTTTATGAGGCCAGCATCATCCTGATACCAAAGTCTGGCAGAGACACAACAAATAAAGAGAATTTTAGACCAATATCCCTGATGAACATCACTGCAAAAATCCTCAATAAAATAAAATACTGGCAAACCGAATCCAGCAGCACATCAAAAAGCTTATCCACCATGATCAAGTTGGCTTCATCCATGGGTTGCAAGGCTGGTTCAACATATGCAAATCAATAAACGTAATCCATCACATAAACAGAACCAAAGACAAAAACCACATGACTATCTCAATAGATGAAGAAAAGACTTTGACGAAATTCAACAGCCTTCATGCTAAAAACTCTCAATAAACTAGGTATTGATGGGACGTATCTCAAAATAATAAGAGCTATTTATGACAAACCCACAGCCAATATCATACTGAATGGGCAACAACTGGAAGCAGTCCCTTTGAAAACTTGCACAAGACAGGGATGCCCTCTCTCACCACTCCTATTCAACATAGAGTTGGAAGTTCTGGCCAGGGCAATCAGGCAAGAGAAAGAAATAAAGGGTATTCAATTAGGAAAAGAATTGAATAGTCAAATTGTCCCTGTTTGCAGATGACATGACTTTATATTTAGAAAAACCCAAAGTCTCAGCCCAAAATCTCCTTAAGCTGATAAGCAACTTCAGCAAAGTCTCAGGATACAAAATCAATGTGCAAAAATCACAAGCATTCCTATACACCAATAACAGACAAACAGAGAGCCAAATCATAAGTGAACTCCCATTCACAATTGCTTCAAAGAGAATAAAATACCTAGGAATCCAACTTACAAGGGATGTAAAGGACCTCTTTAAGGAGAACCACAAACCACTGCTCAATGAAATAAAGGAGGACACACACAAATGGAAGAACATTCTATGCTCATGCACAGGAAGAATTAATATCATGAAAATGGACATACTGCCCAAGGTAATTTATAGATTCAATGCCATCCCCATCAAGCTACCAATGACTTTCTTCACAGAATTGGAAAAAACTACTTTAAAGTTCATATGAAACCAAAAAAGAGCCCTCTTTGCCAAGACAATCCCAAGCAAAAAGAACAAAGCTGGAGGCATCACGCTACCTGACTTCAAACTATACTAGAAGGCTACAGTAACCAAAACAGCATGGTACTGGTACCAAAACAGATATATAGATCAATGGAACAGAACAGAGCCCTCAGTAATAACACCACACATCTGCAATCATCTGATCTTTGACAAACCTGACAAAAACAAGAAAGGGGAAAGGATTCCCTATTTAATAAGTGGTGCTGGGAAAACTGGCTAGCCATATGTAGAAAGCTGAAACTGGATCCCTTCCTTACACCTTATACAAAAATTAATTCAAGATGGATTAAAGACTTAAATGTTAGACCTAAAACCATAAAAGCTCCAGAAGAAAACCTAGGCAATACCATTCAGGACATAGGCATGGGCAAGAACTTCACGAGTAAAACACCAAAAGCAATGACAAAAAAAGCCAAAATAGACAAATGGGATCTAATTAAACTAAAGAGCTCCTGCACAGCAAAAGAAACTGCCATCGGAGTGAACAGGTAACCAACAGAATGGGAGAAAATGTTTGCAATCTACTCGTCTGACAAAGGGCTAATATCTAGAATATACAAAGAACTTAAATAAATTTATAAGAAAAAAATCAAACAACCCCATCAAAAAGTGGGCAAAGGATATGAACAGACACTTCTCAAAAGAAGACATTTATGCAGCCAACACACACATAAAAAAACGCTCATCATCACTGGTCATCAGAGAAATGCAAATCAAAACCACAATGAGATACCACCTCACACCAGTTAGAATGGCGATCATTAAAAAGTCAGGAAACCACAGGTGCTGGAGAGGATGTGGAGAAATAGGAACACTTTTACACTGTTGGTGGGAGTGTAAACTAGTTCAACCATTGTGGAAGACAGTGTGGCAATTCCTCAAGGATCTAGAACTAGAAATACCATTTGACCCAGCCATCCCATTACTGGGTATATACCCAAAGGATTATAAATCATGCTACTATAAAGACACATGCACACGTATGTTTATTGTGGCACTATTCACAATAGCAAAGACTTGGAACCAACCCAAATGTCCATCAATGATAGACTGGATTAAGAAAATGTGGCATATATACACCATGGAATACTATTCAGCCATGAAAAAGGATGAGTTCATGTTCTTTGTAGGGACATGGTTGAAGCTGGAAGCCATCATTCTGAAGCATCTGTCGCAAGGACAGAAAACCAAACACCTCATGTTCTCACTCATAGGTGGGAATTGAACAATGAGAACACTTGGACACAGGGTGGGGAACATCACACACTGGGGCCTGTCATGGAGTGGGGAGTTTGGGGAGGTATAGCATTAGGAGAAATACCTAATGTAAATGACGGGTTAATGGGTGCAGCAAACCAACATGGCACATGTATACATATGTAACAAACCTGCACATTGTGAATATGTGAACACTAGAACTTAAAGTATAATAATAAAAAAAGGAAATAAAATATGTAGCAGCCTCCCCCTCCCCTCACGCCTGCTTTTGCCATGTGACATGCCTGCTCCCTCTTCACCTTCTGCCATGATTTGAAGCTTCCAGAGGCCTCACCAGAATCAGATGCTGCCATGCTTCCTGTACAGCCTGCAGAACCGTGAGCCAATTATATCTCTTTTCATTATAAATTACCCAGGTGTTTCCTTATAGCAATACAAGAATGGCCTAACACAGAAAAATGGTACTGAGGAATGGGTCATTGCTATAAAGATACCTGAAAATGTAGAAGAGCTTTGGAACGGGCATAGGTCAGAAGAATGTGGAGGGCTCAGAAGAAGACAGGAAGATGAGGGAAAGTTTGGAACTTCTTAGAAACTGTCTAAATGGTTGTGATCAAAATGCAAATAGTGACATGGACTGTGAAGGTCAGGCTGAAGAGGTCTCAGGTGGAAATGAGGAACTTATTGGGAACTAGAGCAAAGGTCACTTTTGTTATGTCTTAGCAAAGAACTTGGCTGCATTGTGTCCATGCCCTAGGAATTTGTGGAAGTTTGAATTTAAGAGCAATGACCTAGGATATCTGGTAGAAGAAATTTCTAAGCAGCAAAGGATTCAAGATGTGACCTGGCTGCTTCTAACAACCTATGCTCATAGGTGGGAGCAAATAAAATGACTTAAAGCTAGAACTTATATTTAAAGGGGAAGTAGAGTGTAAAAGTTGGGAAAATTTATAGCCTGGCTATGTGGCAGAGAAAGAAAATGCTTTTTCAGCAGAGGAATTCAAGCAGGCTGTGGAGCAACCACTTGCCAGAGATATTTGCATAACTAAGAAGGAGTCAAGTGCTAACACTCAAGACAATGGGGTAAAGGCCTCTAAGGAATTTCAGAGACCTTCCTGGCATCTCCTCCCATCACAGGGCCCAGAGGCCTAGAAGGGAAGAATGGTTTCATGGGCCAGCCCAGGGCCCCACAGCCCTATGCAGCCTCAGGACACTGCTTCTTACATCCCAGCCACTTAGGCTCCAGCCTTGGCTCAAAGGGCCCAAGATACAGCCCAGGCTGCTGCTTCAGAGGGTGCAAGCCATAAGACTTGGTGGTTTCCACATGGTGTTAAGCCTGCAGGCGCACAGACTGCAAAAGTGAGGGAGGCTTGGGAGTCTCTGCATAGATTTCAGAGGATATATGGAAAAGCCTGGATGTCCAGGCAGAAGCCTGCTGCAGGGGCGGAGCACTCACAGAGAACCTCTGCTAGGGCAGTATGGAGGGGAAAGGTGGGGTTGGAGCCCCCACACAGAGTCCCCATTGAGGCATTGCCTAGTGGAGCTGTGAGAAGAAGGCCATCATCCTCCAGACCCTAGGATGGTAGATCCACCAACATCTTGCACTCTCAGCATATAAAAGCCACAGGCACTCAACAACATGTGAGAGCAACCTCTGGAGCTGAACACTGCAAAGCCACAGGGGCAGAGCTGCCCAAAGCCCTGGCACCCCACTTCTTGGATCAATGTGCCCTGGATGTGGGACATAGAATTACAGGAAACTATTTGGGAGCTTTAAGATTTAGTGCCTGCCCTGCTGGATTTTGGACCTGGGTGGGGCCTGTAGCCCCTTGCTTGTGGATGATTTCTCCCTTTGGAATGGGAATGTTTACCCAATGCCTATACTCCCATTGTATCTTAGAGTAACTTGTTTTTGATTGTGCAGGCTCATAGGTGGAAAGGACTTGCCTTGCCTCAGATGAGACTTTGGACTTGGACTTCTGCATTATCGCTGGAATGAGTTAAGACTTTGGGGGATTATTGGGAAGGCATGCTTGTATTTTGAAATGTGAGAGGGACAAGAAATTTGGGGAGGCCAGGGGGAATGATACAGTTTGAATGCATGTCCCTGCCCAAATCTCATATTGAAATATAATGCTCAATTGTTGGAGGTGGGACCTGGGGGAGGACACTGGATCATGGGGACAGTTTCTCATGAATGGTTTAGCACCCTCTCCCTTGATACTGTCCTCACAATAGTGAGTTCTCATGAGATCTGGTTGTTTAAAAGTATGTAGCACCTCCCTGCTCACTCCTTGCTCCTACTCCAGCCATGTGACATGCCTGCTCCCCCTTCACCTTCCAACATGATTGAGCCCTCCCCAGAAGTGAGCAGATGCCAGCACCATGCTTCCTGTACAGCCTGCAGAGCCATAAGCCAATTAAACCTTCTTTCTTTATAAATTACCCGGTTTCATGTATTTCTTTATACTACTGCAAGAACAAACTGACACAATCTACCACTTTCTCTGAAAGTTAGTTAATAAGATTGAATCTACAATGAATAAAATAAGGTTTTTTATTCACTTCATCTCAGGAAGACAACTTGGCAGATTCTTAATTGAGTATGGATGGACATTTAGAATGGACTGACTTAAAATACGACAAGAATTTACCATGGGGGACCCCTGGCAGAGGTGAGGAGGTAGCCATCAAAGAAGAAAGAGCCCCCTCCAGGGTCAATTACATTGACCCAAAGTAGAAGTGCCGATGATGTCACGCTGGAAGTCAGACCATGGGGATGAGGATGGTGTGGACCAGAGCAAAGCGGTCTTCTCAAATACAAGCCATCATGACAAGCCTTATATTGTCTTTCAAACTGCTTTTTGGGTGGAGGTTGCTATAGTGTGCACCAGGCAGGAGCTAGGGAGAGTGAAGGTCCTGTCACTCCGAAGCCATGCTAGTGAGCTGATGCAGAAACATGCCTGGGGCAGGGAGGTGCTTGCTAGGCACGGCCCCTGTCCAGGGTCACCCGCTGTGCTCCGCACTCCACCTGGACTGTCCACCGTCCACACCAGCAACCTGAGCTTCCCCCAGTGGAGAACCTTGCTCCCAAACCTTGCGTGCTCTCTCCTTCCTGCAGGTGAAGCCCTACTCCTAGGCCCGGCATTCAAGGCCCCCCAGGGTCTGACTGTGGCTCCATCCTCCTCCACCCCAGCTGTCCATCCACATGACTCGTTTTCTGTCTCCACTTGGGCCCTTTCAGAACTCCATGTGCTATGTGGTCTCCCTCTGCCTCCTCGGCTTCCCAAATCCTCTCTCCTTTCTCAGGGCTCTTTAGACCCTTTACAGCTGCCCTGGCAGAGCAAGGGGTTGTACTTCAGAAAAACGTCACAGAGCCTCCTGTAGCATAGGTTGTCTCTCACTTCTTTTTAAGAAAATAAAGCATGTGCCACTTCAAAAAGCAGCAGTGGGACCTGCACCAGGCTTCACTGTCACTGCCCTGAGGACAGGGGTGGGGTGGTGGGAAAGAGGAAGGATATGGGTGCCTGGTGTCACACACTTGGTTTGATGTCTTTTCCAAAATGGATGAACTTTGATCGAGCAATGAAAAGTGTTTTTCTTTCCTTAAATGGGCTCTTCTAGCATCAGAGTCAGGTTAGCTTTAGAAGAAATTCAGCGCCTATAACCCAAAGCCCTTGTTTCTGGAGTGGCTCTTGTTGAGGCTGTTTCTTGCCCAGCTTGATGCTTTTTTTTCTTCTTGGATTTGAATGTTTTGCCACCTTTCCCACCCTCGGGGACTCTGCTTGTCCACCCAGCATTCTGGTGTGGATTAGAAAAGTGTGGGCTTCTAGGCCGGATGCAGCCCAGTGGGGCCTGGCCTGACAAGTGAGCGAGGGCCACTCAATCCAATCAGAAAAAGTGTCCCTGATGGCTGCACTGCTGGTGACTGGAGCATGGGCTGCATTCCATACCAGGGGTCCTCCTGCTGGGACCGCCATGAAGGCATAGCCGGCACCCAGGCTGTGCCCATCCTCAACTGCTCTTCATAGAAATAGCCTCCTTTTCAGGAGCAGGCACGGTGGCTCACACCTGTAATCCCAGCATTTTGGGAGGCCAAGGCGGAGGGATCACTTGAGTCCAGGAGCTTGAGACCAGCCTGGCCAGCATGGTGAAACCCCATCTCTACTAAACATACAAAAATTAGCTACACTCCTGCAATCCCAGTACTTTGGGAGGTCGAGGCAGGTGGATCACTTGAGGCCAGGAATTTCAGACCAGCCTGGCCAACATGGTGAGAGCCCGTCTCTACTAAATATACAAAATGTAGCCACATGCCTGTAATCCCAGCTACTCAAGAGGCTGAGGCCCGAGAATTGCTTGAACCCAGGAGGTGGAGGTTGCAGTGAGCTGAGATCATACTACCGCACTCCAGCCTGGGTGACAGAGGGAGACTCCGTCTCAAAAAAAAAAAAAAAAAAAAAGGCCTCCTTTTCCACGGCTACTTTCTTCCCCACTAGGAAGCTGCTGCAGTTCCTCTAATCCATAAACAAACAGGGCCATAAACACAGAACATGCTGATGTGTGGTTTTTGAATGCCATTTGCTCAAAGCAAATGAGGTATCAGACTCCAAGAATGAAGAAATCTCACTAACCCCTAACGGCAGGAAACTAACTTAGAAACCATGTGGGGAAACTGGTGCTGAAGGGAGACTGTGGGTTTATCAAGTGACTGGGTGTGTTGCCATGTGGACAGCAGCCTAGCCCTGCGGACCTTGCACGTGGGCCACTGGGCCAAGGCTTGACTGCAGCTGACCTGAGTCTCAGCAGACGCCTGGTGGTCCTCCCAGAACACAAGAGAATGGGAAGGCCGTGAGGGGCTCCACCTCCCTCAGGACCCCCGAGGATTCTGGTGAGGCGGTGGGGGAGCTTTCTGCCCAGCACCCTCACAAGAGAGACATGGAACACAAAACCACTCAGCCGCAGCCTGGCCCCGGCTCCTTGGCAATGAGCCACCTCCTACCTGTCGCCAGCCCCTGCTGCTACAGGGCTGCTTTTCCCGCCTACATGGGTCATGAGCTGCCTTGCCTGTACCTCTTCCATGCAAAGTCTGTCGCCATCTGTCGTGTGCTGGACAGCCTGCCTTCACCTTCCTTTAAGACAGTTCCTCCCTCAGCTTGGGTGTCCATGGCTCCAGCCTGGGGACAGCTCCTGGTCAGTGTAGGAGTTTGCCAGGGCTGTCTTACAGAGTGCCTCAAACCGCGTGGCTTACAACATGGAAATGTGGCCTTTCACAGTTCTGGAGGCCGGAAGTCTGAGATGGAGGTCGGCAGGGTTGGGTCCTTCAGAGGACGCAAGGGAGAATCTGTCCTGGGCCTGTCTCCTGGTGCTTTGAGGCCCAGCTTTGGTGTTCCCCGTCTTGTAAGAACATCACCTCCACCTCTGCCACCATACTCACGTGGCGCTTGCCCTGTGTATGAGTCTATGTCCAAATCTCCTCTTTTTACTCATTTTTATTATTGTTGCTATTTTTGAGATAAGGTCTCACTCTGTTGCCCAGGCTGCAGTGCAGTGGCACGATCATAGCTCACTGCAGCCTTGAACTCCTGGGCTCAAGGGATCCTCCCGCCTGAGCCTCTTGGGCAGCTGGGACCACAGGCGTGTGCAGCCATGTCGGCTAAGTTTTAAAATTTTTGTAGAGACAAGGTCTGCTATGTTACCCAGGCTGGTCTCAAACTTCTTGTCTCAAGTGATCCTCCCACCTGGGCCTCCCAAAGTGCTGAGATTACGGGCACGAGCCACCATGTCCAGTCCAGATTTCCTCTTTTTGTGAGGACACTGCTCATATTGAATTAGGGGCCACCCTACCCTGGTATGACGTCATCATAGTGAATTACATCTGCAACGACTCTATTCCCAAATAAGGTCACGCTCCAAGGTATTGGGGCTTTGGGCTTCAACATATGCATTTTGGGGGATAAATAATTTGCCCACAATAGTCACAACTTACTGATTTAGGTTCAGATATCCTCCTAGCTTTTAAAAAGGTTTCCACACACAACTATCTAAAATCATAGGCTGAAGAGGCCTGAAATGACCAACCTCTCGTGGTTTTATAAATTACCTACAACTTTCAGCATCTTGTTCCTGTAACTACAGGCATGAATCTTTGAACGCCATTCCTGTCCTCCTTCAGGAAGAAATGATCTCTCTGGGACCCAGGATCCAGCCACCTTTGGACATGCTGACAGACAGTTGATTTCCAACCTGCTCTCAGCTTCAGGGAAAGGTGAGCCAGACCACAGAGTGCTCCAGGGTTCACATGCAGCAAAGCTGTTTGGCAAAACAGGAAAGATCTCAGGACAGTCCTAAGTCCTGCCTCAGGTAGAGGCCGGGTAGTCAGGTGAGATGATTTTCCTGGCTGTTAGTACAGCAACCCTTGCTCTCCAAGTTAGCTTCCTGATCTACACCTGGATATTTTTAGTCTAGAAGAACACCTTTCCTTCAGAACTAAGAGTGAGACTCTCTTTAAATGCCAGACTGCCGAGGGTAAATAAACAAATATATGCTCAGGTTAAAGAGAAGAGAGACCCTTCCTCAGAGCAGACTCTAGAAGGAGAAAAGAGGAGAGAACACAAAGGGAAGCAGATACCAGCCTCCGGGACAGCATCAGCTCCCCACACCCAGCAGGCAACAGAAACGGTGGCCCTAATAATATTGTATATTGTCACAGGAGAAAATGACTCTAAAGATACATAAATGTCGCTAAATTAAAAGGAAACAAGCCTGGGCAATGTGGCAAGACCCCACCTCTACAAAAAATAACAAAAATTAGCCAGGCATAGTGGCACGTGCCTGTAGTCCCAGCTACTTGGGAGGCTCAGGCAGGAGGATTGCTTAAGCCAGGGAGGTCAAGGCTGCAGTGACCTGTGATTGTGTCACTGCACTCCAGCCTAGGTGACAGAGTGAGACTCTGTCTCAAAAAAAAAAAAAAAAAAAAAAAGAACCAATCTCTTGGTCTTTTGGAGGGTTGTTTTTCAAGGCAATGAGGTTGAAGACCCTAACTTATACACACACAGACTTTTTTTTTTTTTAATGGTAAATCATGACTAGAAAAAAATGCTTTACAATCATGGTTAAGTATGACGTTAGGGTATAAAACAGAATGCAAGTTTTCTGCCCACATGATAGATTAAAAGTAATGGCAAAGCCGGGTGCGGTGGCTCACGCCTGTAATCCCAGCACTTTGGGAGGCCGAGGCGGGCAGATCATGAGGTTAGGAAATCAAGATCAGCCTGGCCAAGGTAGCAAAACCCCCTCTCTACACAAGATACAAAAATTAGCCGGGCGTGGTGGCATGTGCCTGTAATCCCAGCTACTCGGGAGGCTGAGGCAGGAGAATCATTTGAACCTGGGAGGCAGAGGTTGCAGTGAGCCGAGATCGCGCCACTGCACTCCAGCCTGGGCGACAGAGCAAGATTCCATCTCAAAAAAAAAAAAAAAAAAAAAAAAGGCAAAAACCGCAATTACTTTTGCACCAACCTAATATTTGGGTTGCACATGGCTCTTTCCTATCATAAGAATATCTGTAAGAAAGTTCTAGACATAGAATGCTGTTAAAATATTGTGTGTATTTTAAATTTCATTAGATATTCTCTAACAATTCTCCATAAAAATGTCAGGTGACTTATTTTTTTCAGTCTTCTAATTTTAGAATTAGCATGCATAGCAGAAACAGCTATATTTTTCAAAAACCAGAAAAGTGAAACACTGCACATGAAGACTGCCTGGAAACTTTATCTGCAGGTCCACAGTACCGCATCAACAGAATGGGAACGTCGTTTTTAGAACTAGAGGTAAATCGCCTGTGTCTCCTAGATCACTTTGGGGCCTGTTTTCTACGTACCAACTCTCTTACTAAGTGGACCGTTTACAGTTGACCAGAAACTATGACCAGAAAACCCATCTGTCTTGCTGGGGGAAGGAACTGGTCACCAGACATAGCATCCGAGCTGAGGACCATGGTGGAGTTATCTTTACACTACAAATGTTTTCTACCTAAAGTCATCTATAAGCCATGGACATAGTTCAGAGAGAATACTTTCTGTTACCATGTCGGGGTGTCGAATAGTGTCCTGCCCATCCCCCCACAAATTCACATCCTTCTCAATCTCAGAACTTGACCTTATTTGGAAATAGGATCATTACAGCTGTAATTAGCTAAGACCAGGTCATACTGGGACAAGGCGGTCCCTCATCCAATGTGAGTAGAGTGCTCCTAAGAAGAGGAAAAGTGACACAGAGACAGATGGGCTGGCAGAGACGGCAGGGGTGTGTCCGCAAGCCAAGGAATGCCAAAGACCACCAGCCACACCAGAAGCAAGAGAAAGGCCTGGATCGGCTTCACCCCCAGAGCCTTCGGAGGGAGTGTGGCCCTGCTGACCCCTTGACTCTGGGCTCCCAGCCTCCAGGACTGTGAGAGAAGACTTTTCTGTTGTTTCAAATTCCCCAGTTTGTGGTGCTTTTGTTACAGACACCATAGCAAACAAGTACACCATGTGAGTTTAGGTGTCTTGATGTATTTTTGTTTTTTTTTTAACTTGTAACATTATTTATTTACCATTTTAACTTCGATTTTAGGGGTACATGTGCAGGTTTGTTATATAGGTAACTCGTGACTCAGGGTTTTGATGCTCAGATTATTTTTCCACCTAGGTACTAAGCCTAATACCTAATAGTTGGTTTTTTCCAAACAGCTCTCTCCTCCTACCCTCTACCCTCAAGTAGGCCCCAGTATGTGTTGTTCCCCTCTGTGTCTTTGTGTTCTCATCATTTCGCTGCTGCTTATACGTGGGAAAATGCAGTGTTTGATTTTCTGTTCCTGTTAGTTTGCTGAGGATAATGGCCTCCGGCTCCATCCATGTTCCTATAAAGGACATGATCTTGTTGTTTTTTTATTGCTGCGTAGTATTCCGTGGTGTATATGTACCACATTTTCTTTAGTCTATCATTGACAGGTATCTAGGTTGCTTCTATGTCTTTGCTATTGTGAATAGTGCTTCAGTGAACATATGTGTGCATGTGTCTTTATGGTAGAATGATTTATATTTTTTTGGGTATATACCCCGTAATGGGACTGCTGGGTCAAATGGTAGTTCTTGGAGGAGTTGTCACAATGCTTTTCACAATAGTTAGACTAATTTACACTCCCACCAGCAGTGTATAAGCATTCCCTTTTCTCTGCAAGGTGTTTTGATTTAATGGAAAAAAAGGAAAAACGTTTATTTCCTCAAGAACATCTCAAATGTATAAACATCTGCCATGTCCTAATAGAGCTTATAATAAAATCTTGTCACTAGGGGCAGATTGTAGAAGTTCTAAATGCCTAGTTTGAGAACTTTTAACGAGCCTTCTTATGGAAGTACATTTTGTGAATTTTCTATTTGTTAATCTGATCTCTGAACCAAAATTCCCTCTGGACATGGACCTGTTGTTCCATATCCCCACATCATACCTGGAGGACTCTAAACCCTCTCTCCAATGAGAGACCCCTTTCCGCAGCCCGGTGAGGAGCTTTGAGCAGTTTCCAGTCTAGGAACCAGGAGAGGAACTAGACCTTCCTCCTTCTTAAGCCTCTGTGGAAGACCCTGTCCCTGTGCCCCGTGGCTGTGGCACTTCCCAACGGCTGAGCCTGTGCTTTAACTGTGTTCTCATAGCTGCCCTCATCCTAAACCCCAAAAACCAGAGGGGCCGAGAGAAGAGGTGTGGCCCCCCCCACCCCGGCTGACACAGCCTCCTTTGTATCACATCCATGAGGTGAACCCAGGGTCCAGTGTCCTCCGCAATAGACTTCCAGCTTCTGAAACCAAGGGACAAAGGTACAAAAGAGTGACTCCCTGGTTCTTGGTGTTGCAACCCCGGGATGATGAGTCAACCGTGCTCGCTCAGCTGAGAATACTGCTCTTTCTCTCACTGTCCTCAAGGAAGAATGTGGAAAGGTTCCTCAGGCCTGACCCTTGTTTTTATTTCCTTATCGGCTCACCTGGGACACCTACCCACTTTCTCATCCTGCAAAGCATAGAATCAAGACGCAACTGTGTCTGAGAGCTTCTGCCTCCACCATGGGAACACACCTGGCTGGGAAGTCTTAGCTCCAAAGTTCTACACCAGGCCCCCAGTCATCAGCAGCTCCACCATGGGGAATAGAGTAGCAGTCCCATTTTCTAGGGAGGATTCCTGGTAGCTCAACTAGCCCATTGAGTAAGCCCTGTTTGTTCTTCATGGAATGGTTCAGTAACTCAAAGGGCAGTAGAAAAAAATTATTAATCAAAAAAACCCAGCCTGGCACAGTGGCTCAGGCCTGTAATCCCAGCACTTTGGGAGGCCAAGGCAGGCGGGTCACCTGAGGTAAGGAGTTTGAGACCATCCTGGCCAACGTGGTGAAACCCCGTCTCTACTAAAAATACAAAAGTTAGCCAGGTGTGATGGTGCGCACCTGTGATCCCAGCTACTCTGGAGGCTGAGACAGGAGAATTGCTTGAACTCAGGAGGCAGAAGTTGCTGTGAGCCGAGATTGTGCCACTGCACTCCAGCCTGGTTGACAGAGCAGACTGCATCTCAAAAAACAAATGAACAAACAAAAAAACCCAAGGGAATCGAAAATGGAATAATCTTACTCAGGACATTTTGTAAGAGACGTGAAAGACCATGCAAACATTTAGCATTCCATCCAAACTGGGCAAACCTAAAGTAGGCAAACCCTCCTGCTCAGACAAACACTCCTAGTTGCTGCTTTCACTGGTCTCATAGTACCTCATTTTCCTCAACTCTAACTCGGAGTGGAAGAGTGTTGTTTACGGGCTTATGTTCCTGCCCCCTGAGGATATAATTTCTTCAGGCAGGATTATTTTTATCCTCACATGGTTAAGTAAATACCTGCATAGATATGCAATTCAGGTGCATCCTGGCCAGCCCAGCTGAACCACATTCATTTCTCACTCCTATTCATTTCTACTCTCTTTACTTCTTTGTTTTTGTCTTGTTGTTGCTTCAGACACAGTTTCTCTGTTGCCCAGGCTGGAGCACAGTGGAGCAATCTTAGCTCACTGCAACCTCCACCTCCTGGGCTCAAGTGATCCTCTGGCCTCAGCCTCCCGAGTAGCTGGGACTAGAGGTGCGCACCGCCATGCCCAGCTAATATTTTTGTATTTTTTTTGTGGAGACGGGGTTTTGCCATGTTGCGCAGACTGATTTCAAACTCCTGAGCTCAAATGATCCGCCTGTCTCAGCCTCTCCAAACGCTGAGATTACAGGCGTAAGCCGCAGTGCCCAGCTATCCCTACGTTAAGACGGCACCGGCAGACTAATTCTCAAGTTCTACCTGCTAATTTACCCAATGCTTCATCATCACGGACATGTACCCACATGGACAAGCCAGGGCCCAGACTGTACTAGACCTTCCCACAGCCTAATTTTAGGGCACAGTGGCAACATGTTCACATGGGCAGGGGTCAAAAAAAAGAACCCAGGGGATCTTTAGAGTCGTGGTTCTCAAAGCGTGGGCCTGGGAGCAGCAGCATCACACCACGTGGGAACGTGGTCAAATGTCAGTGCATGAGCTCTACCCTGCACCTGAGACTCTAGGCAAGAGGCCCAGCGAGCCCCACTGCTGGAACAAGCCCTCACTCAGATAAGCCTGATGCATGTTCAAGTTTGAAAAACGCTGACTTAGAGCAATATTAGCCCAAAAGAACCCAATGTTAGAAGTTCTCTTTTCTTGCTGCTGGCTAGGAGGAGGTGAGTTCCCCCGAAGGTCATATGCCAAAGGCTTCCTTCAGTGTGGGACCACCTCTATAGCTTGCAGCAGGGACACCAGCTGCCCTGGTACTTCAATATTGTTCTTCGGTTGACTCAAGAGTTGACAGGAGGAGGAGAGAATGTGGAGGGACGCACCAGGTGTGAGGGACCTTCACAGCCCATCCATCATTTTAAGCTCAGGCAGCTGACTTGGAAAAACCTATCAGAATCACAAACAAGGCCAGCCAGGAGGCTGAGATCTGGTGGGGCAGGAAGAGAATAAAGTATCCTACTTTAAGTGAGTGAGTATCTCCAATCAACCTGGAGGTCTTGGCAGATAGAGGCAGGTGCTTGCTGCATTGAACCTGAAGCCTTGTACCTAATTTTCAGAGTCCATTTAGCATAGTCTTGCTAAGCTTTGGATAAGGGAGTGAGGTGGGGTGGGAGGAAAGAGATCAAATAGTCAAAACCTTCAGCAAAAGCACCCCCAGCCCTATGATCCTACGAAGGCTTCGGAGGCTGCTTTTTCTTACTGACGCTTCTTCCCAGCATATAAGAAGTTTTCTGCTATTCAGAGACTGAATTCAACCTGACAGCCCTTGGGAAAAGAACATCTCTCCACCCCAGGCTCTGAGAACCACACAGATACCTTGGCTAGGATCCCCAAACTATGGCTCATGGGCTACATCTGGCCCACTGCCTGTTTTTGTGTGGCTCACAAGCTAAGAAGAATGTAAGCTTACATTTTTAAGTGATTGTAAAAAGTTTTTTAAGATTTTGTGGCACATGAAAATTACATAAAATTCAAATGTCTCAGTACATAATGAAGTTTTATAGAAACTGCTCTGCTCATTTGTTGATTGTGTACGGCTGCTCTAGAACTGCAGAGTTGAGAAGTTGCCACAGAGACCACCTGGCCCCCAGGACCCGAAGCATTTCCTACCTGGGGCTTTCCAGAAGAGACTGTCGACCACTGCTTTAAAACAAAGGAGGTGCCGTTCATGAGCCCAACAAGACACTCAGCCAGGTTTGGCTGTGCATTGCCACACCCAAAGCAACATTTTTTTTTTTTTGAGACGGAGTTTCACTCTTGTCGTCCAGGCTGGAGTGCAATGGCACGATCTTGGCTCACTGCAACCTCTGCCTCCCGGGTTCAAGTGATTCTCCTGCCTCAGCCTCCCTAGTAGCTGGGACAACAGGCACATGCCACCATGCCCAGCTAATTTTTGTATTTTTAGTAGAGACGGGGTTTCACCATGTTGGCCAGGATGATCTTGATCTCTTGAACTTATGATCCGCCCGCCTCGGCCTCCCAAAGTTCTGGGATTACAGGTGTGAGCCACCGCGCCCAGCCCCAAAGCAACTTCTATTTATTCTGTTAACTGTTGTGGATTCTCCTTGCCTCTGTTACTAAGTCTAATAAATGCCTTAATGGTATGATTCTGAGTCTCATCCAATCCCTCACTTTCCTATTCATTCAGAACTTCTGCTCCTGGATTCTCAAGGAATGAAAAAGCACCTGCCGTGAAAATTTGCTCCAATTACAGTGGGACAAAGTCAGAGGCAGGAGGTACAGGCTTCTCTAAGGACCACGTCCTTTTTGTCCCCTGCCTCGTTCGCCAACTGCTTCAAGTGTCCCCTCAGTCACTGAGGGATCTGAAGCAATTCTGGCATGACCTAAGTACCAAAGATCTGTTCTTTTTTTTTTTTTTTGAGACGGAGTCTTACTCTGTCGCGGAGGCTGGAGTGCGGTGGCACCACGTTGGCTCACTGCAACCTTCGTCTCCTGGGTTCAAGCAATTCTCCTGCCTCAGCCTTCCGAGTAGCTGGGATTACAGGCACCCGCCACTATGCCCAGCTAGTTTTTATATATTTTTAGTAGAGACGGGGGTCTTACCATGTTGGCCAGGTTGGTCTCGAACTCCTGACCTCAGGTGATCCACCTGCCCTGGCCTCCCAAAGTGCTGGGATTACAAGCGTGAGCCACTGCGCCCGGCCAAGATCTGTTCTTAAGAGAAGTTACTACTACTTTTTTTCCCCATAACAACCATTAAACAATTTTTTTTTCATTTACTAACTAACCCTTGATATTGAAAAGTTAGGACTTCAGTAAAAATCAAATCGGTTTTTGCATATCAACTTTTTTGTTGCTATTCACATGCTATGTCAATCTCAGTTGCAAACAGAGAGGACCAGTTGCAGACTAGAACGCATCAATTCATTTGGAAAGGAGGCTTCAAATCTAACTCTGTATTCCTTCACCAATAACCAGGCAGCTGCCTCTAACAGCTCTCGGGATTGGATCTGCTGGAAATGCTAAACACGGGTCATAAATTCCAACTCAACAAGGATGCTGCTCAGGTATTTGGTATTTGATGATCAACAGAAATAGTTCAGAGCACCTCCCAGCAAAGTTGCATAGAGTGACAGGTGGGACTTGTTTGAGGGCGGGACCCAGAACTGCAGCCCAGGAATCTGCCTGCAGAGCTGAGCTCGGCCACAGTCTCCGCCAGAGAGGGAAGTTGCAGGTCTTTCTGGAACAGGCACAACTGGCTACAATTAGAAGTCCAAAGTGTGAACCACTCACTGCTTCTCCTTAGGAACCACCACATGCTGTGTCCGGCAGGCATTCTGAGAGCCAGAGGACGGCTGCACCCTGGGGCTGGGCACTGACACACATCACTCCACCAGGACCACTGAGGCAGCCACCGACCGACATTCCTGTCTACAGGCTCAGATCCCCCTCAACAACGTGGCCACATCTTCTGCAAAATGCTGGCCGGGGGCATCCATGGCACAACTTTGGGAAGCTGACTGGGCTTCCTCATCTTTAAGAAAGCAGCGGGCTGGGCTGCTCCCAGCAGCTCTGGCTCTGCTTCCGTTCATTCTCTCTGGGTCTGCCTTAGTTCCAGGGTGATTAATTCGGAAGCGGGGCAGGAGTCAAGTTGCCTCCTAGCTGTTTTGCTGACGCTCCAGCCCCATCAAGAGCCAGCTCCTCACCTTCTGTAAGGCACAGAAGGTGCCTCAAATTAAGCCAGGGGACAGTGCAGAGGGTTAAGAGGGGGCCACAAAGAGAGGCCCCATCTCCTCTTGGGCCAGGGTTCCCTGCGGAACTCCAGGGTCACCTCGCCAGCCAGAGGCAAGACAAGTGCAAAGGCAGCCACAAGGCTTCCGCCAGTTAGACGGTGTTTCTGCCGCCCCTGCCGTCACCCGCTGGGTCCCGTCCCGCTCCAAGCGCACTCCCGGCCCGCAGGGTGGGAATACGAGGATTACAGTGCCCCACGGGCGGGCGGGCCAGGATCGCAACCTCGGCGGAGTCGGCGCCTCTGGGCACCTCTGGCTTCCGCGCCCCGGCCGCACGGTGACCACCCGGGAGGGGATCCCGGGCGCCCCGCAACCTCCCGGCCCCCGTGGGCCTTCGGGTCGCCCCGCTTCCCGCCGCCGCGTACCCTTCGCGCCTCCCGGCCCTCGGTGCCGGCCCCCGCCCCGCGTAGCTCCGAGTCTTTAGCCCGGCCGGCCCCCCACCCGCCGAGCGTACCCATGGCGGCGGCTCCCAGGGCTCCTGCGACCTGCCGGCGGGACGTGCTCCTGGCAGGTGCTACTCCTCCGACCTGACGTCCAGGCCCGGCCCCGTTGCCCCAGGTACAGCCCCAGCTCTGCGAGGCGGGGCCGCCGGCTCCACCCGGGGGGCGGTGCTGCGGGGAGCAGAGGTCCGTGCTCCCGAGCCGTCGCGCGTGGACACCAGCCCCGGCCCAGGTGCGGGTGGGCCCCGACGGGAGCGCGTGGCAGGCCGGGGGAGAGCCAGTCTAAACGCGGATTCCCAGGCCCCACCCCCCGGCCAGCTGACTCAGGAGGTCGGGGCTGGGGCCCCAGAATGTGCATTTCTAAGAAGTCTAAGGGGAGGTTGATGCTGCTGGATCCAG